>NC_000018.10:24036206-24661206 GCF_000001405.40 Homo sapiens | reverse complement strand
ATTTTAAGGAACCCAAAGTGAAATTAACCCAAGATTCTGACTTTCACCTGACAGAGCTGGAAATACAGTGACCAACTATGAGAAAACCACCAGCTTCAGATGAAGGCTCATGAATAACCACATATGGGGAAACTTATTTTCCTTCATTTCAGTGATCAAAAAAACTTGGAATGCAGTTCCTCTCTTTGGTTCCACCAAGTAACTTTTCCAAGCTCTCAAAACTTGGGAAGGGTGAATATAGTACTTGTGTCTCACTGCACCCAAATGCCTTTGCCAACTCCTATTAAACTTGAATGGGAAAACAGATAAGTGAATATTGCTTCGGGCTGACTTTTTTTAAAAACACTCCTCTCAAATTTTAAAATAATACAATTGATTTTTTTAATATCCAAAAATAGACTGCTATTTCGTAGCATTTGGGAGGACAGTTTTCCTTTAGAAGTGAAAAGGGATGATTGAGTGATAGGAAACTGATTAATCTCAGGATTTCACAAGGAAATGCCGACCCAGCATTGGGCCCTCACACACACCATTATAATTCTTTGATTTCCTGTCACTGCAGACAGTTTAAAAACTGAAAGTAAATAGGAGACATGGAAAATCAATGTGAGGTGCTGAATTGTTCCAGCTGCTGCGGCTCTGTTAATTACATCATATTTTTATGGAGACATTCGGCTCAGACGTGCCAAGTGACCGCATCTGGAAGCATCGCCTGCCATCCTGTTGGGGGAAGCTCTTCTCCCCAGGCATCTCGGTTAACTGCAAAAGGACAAGCCACCCCAGGAAAGCAGCTTGTACAGCCCAAGTCTCTGAGGCAAAATCCGGAAGATAAGCGTGTCTTCTGTTACCACAGCGATGAGGTGCTGGGCACTGGAGAGGGGCCACACCTGTGCAGGAAGTGGGTTAGTCGGTATGCGCGGCGCACACCTAAGGAAAATGAAAGTCTATTCTACTCGGATGGCCAGGCCAAGGTGGGCTAAGTGGGAGACAGCCGAGAAGAGACCACAGGGAGCAGGCAGAGAGGAACAGTGAGAGCAAAAGTACGGGGCTTAAAGTGCCAGGCCCGGGGGAGCCACAGTGGGCTTCCAAGACAAAGTTCTTTGAGCACCTACCTCCTTGCCAGGACAGTAAAATGAAGCTCTCAGCGCTAGCACAGACTTCACAGACTGTTTCAATAAAGGCTGTTCCTCATTTCCTTGTAATTTACATGCTTCCGAAGTGCTTCCTGGTTTCTCTTTCTCCTCTCCATCTCATTTCCTTGCATTTTTCTTTCCTCGCATCCTTCCAGAAGTTTCCAAGGCCCCACTTTCTTTCCAGCTTTATGGGTGCTAGGGCCAGCTTCTTCATCCAGGCATCTCTTTCTCAGCACAATTCATTCTCCTTTTCTCTCTTTGTTTTTCCCTCTACAGAACCTCCTTCCCTCATCTATTTCTTGCTATTTTTTTTCTCATTGTAGCTTCTTGCACAAGTAGCTGGATGAAAGAAAAATCTAGTGTTACCAAAGATGCTCTGAGACATTCCTTAATGTCCAGTCCCTGCTGCCCACCTTATCCTTAGTGATGGGGTCTGTCTTAGGCGCAGTCTTGGCCCAAGCCTCTGATTTTCCAAATCCTGCATTCCTCAGAAAGCATCTAAGGGCTCTATACATATTTTGTTTTAATTTCATTATTTAAATATGTATTTCAAAAGTATGACACCTATCTCCTATTCTCTAACCCCCCACCTGAAAAGAAAATTACACATTTTTAGGTAAATTAAATGTACATTATATTTAAATGTCAACGCATGAACTGCATACGTACATAAATTTAACACATGTGGAAGTGCATTCTGTTTTTAATATAAATTCAATATAAATTGTATCTTTTTAAAACTTACAACCTTTAGCACATTGTGAACTTGTGCCTATCAAGTAAATCATTTTGTACATATCTGGGAATAAAGGTTCTTATAGTGTCCAAGAACTGTCTCCTTGACTAGGAATGTGGTAGGGCTGCACTGATATTTGCATAAATTCTGGCCTGTGCCTGGCGGTTCAAGTAAAATTGCCTAAAAGCACATCTTACAGCACATGAGTGAAGGGCTTGATCCAATGCCAGCAAGGGTTCCTGCCTCTCCTTGGGGCTTTCTTTTCCTGTAGGGTAATTGCATTCGTGTAATAGTAAGCTAGGTTGTACCATGTCAGAGACTATTTAAACTCCTGTTTCAATGTCCTGGTTGCTTTCTGCAGTGACCTTTCAATGAGAGGAATTTGAACATTTACTAAATATCGTGAGTGATCCAACCTTAAAATATAAAGTTCCTGTTACTCCTCATCCAAGAGTCCAGTTCACTTTGTCTAAGGGAATCTCCTAAAATTGCAAAGCCAGCTGCCAACAAACTTGTCATTTACAGCATTTATCTGAGCAAATTTGCTGATTCCAGATGATCTAAGGCTGAACTGTTATCTGTAGCCACCAATTTCTAATTTTTGTGTTCATTCCAACAGCTTCATCTATATAATTTATCATTATAAAGATAATTGTTATACATTTGAAATAAAATGTATATTAATACATTATTTAATTGGCTTTATCAACTGGTATTTCCACTTAGATTTCATTTGAAAAGAAATGCTTTGCCACCAAAAAAAAAAAAAAAAAAGTTGAGAACTGCTGGCTTCACCACTGTCCCCCAGCCCCCTCCTCCTCTCCATCTCCCCCACTTCTGCTTTTGGCCCCAGGGGACCCATTGCCTATATCCTGCCTCCCCACCAACTGTCCTTGCTCTTCCAGGCTGTCCTCTGCTCCCTTGCCTCCTCCTTTCCAACTTGACCCATGAATCTTTCCATAGAAGTCTGGCCATCATGCTCTAAGCTGTCTGCTCTAGTGTGATAAACAGACTCACACTAAGGGAGTCGTTTCTAAAAATGATTTGAGGGGTTACCACTGCATGGTGGGAGGTGGGGGTGGCAGACTGACATCTTACTCTGAACTCCTTAAGTCTTGTGAGTTGATGTAAAAAGGCGAATCACCCACAGTGAAATTTTAGGCACTTTGACATTCAGAATAATCTATCAGAGGCAACCCATGGTCCATCTCATACTCTTTCAAAGTGTTTCCCAAACTGTCAACTGAGCACACTAGTATCAGAACCACCTGTGAAGTGCTTACTAAAAAGGCAGATTCCTGGTATCTAGGCTGAACTCTTTGGAGGCTAAGACCTAAAGCTGCCTTTTTAGCCAGCTCCTCAAATAACTCTGCATGTTGAAGTTCAAGGGTCCCTGCTGCCACCGTCTGCACGTGGACGTCAAAGGCAGGGGCTGAGTGGGGACGCTGCCTCTGCCTCCATGGGAAGATACAGACTGAATGGCAAGCCAGGGAAGAGAAGTACACAAGCAAGATGAGGACCACACGGAGACAGGACATAATACCTAGTGAGCATCCTGAGAAGGAAAAGAAAAAGAATGCAAGCTCCCTTGTCTCCAGCTCCAAATTAATTGGTCAGCAGTGGCAGAACAGAAACAGATGGAGGACGTCTGAACCACAAGGCAGCCCAGCTCCCAGCACATCCTGGAGGAAACAACAGCAGGAAGGGGAGGGCCGTGCACGGCAGTGCTTGGAGGCAAAGCCACAGGCCATGGGGGCCTGGTGGAGGCACCAAGCCCTTCTCCGTCCGATCTGCCTACGTGGAAGGTGTTTGTTGCTGGATGCACTGCCTTTTCAGCACTTCTCCAGGGCAGGCCCAGAATTCCTGGAAGGCCCAGGCAGAAAGCACTTGAGCAGAACAAGCAGAGTCCCACTTCCTCAGGCTGTCATTTGTACCTCTGTTCTTCCTTAATAAAAATCCACCATGCACTCCAAAAGAGTAACTAGGACACTTCGTTTTTATTCCACATGCATCTCATTTGTCTTCAGTAGGTTCTTCCATAATCTCATCATTATTGCTATGGCCCTCAGAGGACAGCTGACTTGCATTAATCAGGCGAGCCCCTCATCGCTCACCAGATTCTTTACACTTTTACCATGCCCTGGGGCATCCTAACTTACTTGAAAAATTAATAAACCTCCCCCCTCTTATCTTACCTTATTAATGTCTGTCTTTGTAACCCATTATCCCCGCATATCATCAGAGATCACTGGAGGGTGCGGTGAACACCAGCTTGCTCCCCTAATTCTATTCCTGAAACTGGAACACCCCTCTCCCTGAATGGCCAGAAAGAAAATGGCCTTTGTGGGCCAGCAGGGTGTTTGTTTACCAGCTCAGATGGCACTGTGGACCACAGGCAGGAGAATTCTTAGGCTTCAACTAAAGGCTATTAAGGCCCATTAAGTTGTTCTCTCCTCCTCCACATCCCTCTCCCCCTCTCTTGTGCACCCTAGTAAATCTGACTCATTAGCTTTAGATGTTTTGAAATAGTGGTACATTAATCACTTGTGTTTGCACACTGTTTATGTGGGTTGTTGGTCATGGTCTGTAGTTATACTGGCTGTCTCCCTTGCTTACTTAAAGGTACAATCCAATTGAAAATAAAGATTTTTGCAGGTTTGCTCATTACACACAGTGTCGGCAGCTGGTGAGTGTCTTTTGCAATTCATCAGAGGCCTCCAAGACCACCTGCTCTCGGCATCCTGCAAACAGCTGGCTCTGGGTAAGTACCATAAGCTATTACCTTATACAACAAATAAATAAATAAAGGGATGGATGGGTAGACAAATAAGTTGAATTGTCTGCCCTGAATCATTGCTTCTGGAAGGAAAAAGTCCATTTTAAAAAAGGGAAAAAAATATATCTAGCCCAAACTTTTGGGGTTCCATTTATAGGAAAAAAAAATAGGAGGGAGGTGAAGCTCCCAAAACTTTGAGTGGAAATATTTTGTCATTTGAGTCACAAGGCAGTCAAGAAAAGAACTCTATGACAGGCTGGCAATGTGGTTTGGTACGGAACACGAGAAGGGGTGGGGGATTGAATTTAATTGCCTGCTGGATTTTTTTTTCTTTTTTTCCAGGAAAAGCCACAGGGAGGCTTTGTGGAGCTTGAGCTAAGGCCACCAGATGTCCCAGGATTAAGAAGCCAATCCCAGTTTCCAAGGTCGTCACCACTTTAATTTTTTGTAACGTTTGCCTCAATTTTTAACCCTGAAATGACCCTCTATGTGGCCATGCCCTACTCCAGTCCCTGAAGAAAAGCTAGAGATGGTGGGAGCAGGAGCCAAAAGCTGGGCACTGGCAAGAAGGAAGGACAAGTTTAGAGAGGAGACACGTTGCAGGTCAGCCACAATGTGGCTGACCTTGACAATACAGAAACCAAAAACCAGGTGAAGGTCTGGGAATGGGTGTCATTTTGAGAGGTTTCCAAAGTTTATCACAGACAGCCAGAAACTTCTCTGAGGTCTACTGAGAAAATTCTTATAATTTGAAGCTGGATCCTGGATAACCCAACACAACTACGATCCCCGTGAAGGAAAAAGTTATTCATGATACTTGTTAAAGAATGGCAAGGCAAACTCTATTCAAAGGGGCTACTCCAGTGGGTTTTTTTAGTAGGGAAGAGAAATTGGGCTCAACTCAGAATACAAGGAAAAGTGGGAATTTACAGGCAAGGAGGTCAAGGGGCAGGCTGGGGAGCAGTCCATGGGAAATTACTAAGAGGAAACCTCAGGGTTGGATGTGGTGGCTCACACTTGTAATCCCAGCACTTTGGGAGGCCAGGGCAGGCGGATCACTTGAGGTCAGGAGTTCGAGACAAGCCTGGCCAGCATGGCAAAACCTCGTCTCTACTAAAAATACAAAAATTAGCCAGGCATGGCTACATGGCAGTGCCACTACAAGCACGTGCCTCCAGACCTCCAAAGAGGAGTCAGGAGGCTGAGGCAGGACAATTGCTTAAACCCGGGAGGTGGAGGTTGCAGTGGCAGAGGTCACATCGCCACTGCACTCCAGCTGGGGCAACAGAGTGAGACCCTGTCTCAAAAAAAAAAATAATAAAAGGGGGAAACCTCAGGGGTAAGGGGGATTCTGCCTAAACTGACCTAATAGGATTCTTGCTGACAGCAGGCCAGGGTGGCCAGACATCACCTGAGGAGCTGGTGGGTGGAGGATGAAGAACCCCATCAGATATCAAGGGTGATCAGATATCATAGGTAGGACAGTCTGTCTAAACTGACTTAACAGGGTTCCTGCTAAAACTGGACAATGCATGGAATTCAGTGAATACGAAAGTCCAAAGGTCAGGGCCTAGTTGGATTCAGGGCCTAGTTGATTAGAGTTTAGTCCACAAGAGAATCTTTGTCATCCCCAGAATGATTTAGTGTGGTCTCCACGAATTGATCAAAATTTGGCTGTGTCTTTTTACCTTGTCCTTATAAAACTGGAAGGGAATTCTGGCATAGGATGGGTACCTAACTGACTCACTGTTTATGAGCTTCGTCAATCAAATGCCTGAATGAAGCTCTTAGAAATTGCTATTTTTATCTTATGGCTGGTTAAAATCTGAAAAATCCTGCAGCTTCATTTTTGCCCCCTTTTTTAGTGTGTTTTTAAGGAGTGTTTATGGATTGAATTAATGCAGAAAAATGTTTTGCGTTTTAACACATTGAAAAGTTGGAAAATAAAAAATCAATATTCCTAAATTTTTCTTACTTTGATTCTTCAAGAACCTTGCTATTAAGAACCCAGCTCTTCTGTGAGGCTGAGGAGCAGTAGCATCAGCATCGACTGAGGGACTTGTCAGAAATACAGACTCCCAGAATCAGAATCTACATTTTAACATTTCCGATCCCCAGGTGACTTGTTTGCACATTAAAGGTTGACAAGCTTCTTACCCTCTTCTGTGCCCTTGATTCTTTTAGGTCAAATATATCTGGTGTAGATTGCTACCACCCACATCAATACTAAGGTGATCATAAGAATTTGAATAAGCAAATGCAGATCGAGAAATTTCCTCACCAGTTCTTTGGAGAAGCAGCCCGATGTGGTAGGAAAGAATGATGGAGTCAAAAATCTAGGTTGACTTTGACTCTGCAACTTAGTAGAATCCTGACTTTGGGCTATCATTCCACTGAGGCTTAATTCCCTCACTTGACAACAGAGAGAACAGCAACTCCGATGCCTCCCTTCAAGGCAATTCCAGAAATAAAGGAGTTCCTTTATGTGGAATCATATACTAAGCTCTAATGTGTTACACATGTACAATTAAGTTGTAGTAGTAATAGGAGTAAGTGATAAGGGTCTTGGAGCTGGATCACTCACCGATTGCATGAGAATGGAGACCCACCCTGGTGGAAGGTAGAGAAGAGGTAGGCCCTGGCATGCTGCAGTGCTGCCACTGTTCACATTTTCCCTGGTGGAAGTGGATGCAACCACTGGTGAGATATCTCTGGCCCTTGAGAAGAATGTGGGATATGTAAAATAAAAGGAATTCCTCCAGACAATTGATTGATTGAAGAGAGATTATAATCAGGACAGTCATTCAACAATTCAAGCAAACTTATGAAAGCCAGAGGGCCTTCTGGCCAACATTTAAGGAAATGCTGATCTCAGGTAGCCAGTGGATGTACAGAGAGAATGATCAGGCTCACAGGTAGCACAGCTTCAGAGAAAGCTGAATTCTCATCCTAGAAGGTTTCCTATGCTGAGATCAAGCTCTAATAGGGAAACCACAGGACCCTGAGACTTGGAATGGGGATATCTGAGTAACGCCATTGAGAATTTCAGCTCCCAGATTCTCCTGAGGCCTCTGGGTCTGCAGAAGAGGCCCACCCCACTTTGGTAGAAATAGTGCCCTGCAATTTGCTTTGAAGCAAGTGTCTATATTAGCGTGTAGAGTCTCCAAGACCACTCCAAGTTTGATTATTCGCTAGAAGGACTCACAAGTCTCAGAATACAGTCATACTCACAGCTGTGATTTATTGCAGCAAAAGATACAAAGCAAAATCAGCAAAGGGAAAAGGCACATGGAGTGAAATCCCAGGGAAACCAGGCATAAGCTTCCAAGAGCTCTCTCCCAGAGGAGTCACACAGGACGCACCAAATTCTCTCAGCAATGAGTTGTGACAACACGTGGAAAATGTTGCCAATCAGAGAAGCTCACTAGAGACTCAGCACCCAAAGTTTTAACTGGGGGCTGATCATGTAGGCAGTCTCTACCTGGCAAGTACCAATATTCCAGACTCCCAGAGATAAACCACATTGTTTTAGTATAAACCATGTTGTTTGCACAGACAATTTAGGCACAGAGAGCCACTCTTACTCATTCCAGGAA
The DNA here is from genome assembly GCF_000001405.40 of Homo sapiens. Classification (NCBI taxonomy): domain Eukaryota; kingdom Metazoa; phylum Chordata; class Mammalia; order Primates; family Hominidae; genus Homo; species Homo sapiens. The sequence continues at coordinate 24,652,965 of NC_000018.10, read as the reverse complement.
TGGTAGGAACCCTCCCAAAACCCAAGTTACAAATACTAGTCAAAGGCTAACCTTATCAGCAGGCCTTTCAAAGAATAACAGCCAGACCTGCTATGTTAACTCTTTTCTACATTATCAGTTATAATTTTTAAATTTTATTTTATTTTATTTTATTATTTTTTTTGGAGACAGGATCTTGCTCTGTTGACCAGGCTGGAATGCAGTGGCGCAGTCATAGCTTACTGTAACCCAAACTCCTGGGCTCGAGGTGTCCTCCCACCTCAGCCTCCTGAGTAACTGTGGGAGGTGTTTGCCACCACACCTGGCTAATTTTTATTTTTATTTGTTTTTTTGTTGTTGTTGAGATGGGATCTATATTACCCAGGTTGGTCTCAAACTCCTACCTTCAAGTGATCCTCTCACCTTGGCCTCCCAAAGAGCTGGGATTACAAGCATGAGCCACCCTACTCGGCCTTATAAATTTTATGTAACAAGTCACCCCCAGGACTTAGTGGCTTGAAACAACAAACATCTATTTGCTCCCAGTTCTGTGGGTTAGCCTTTGTGGCTGGGATGAACTGAAATGGTTTGTCTGTGCCTTGTGTGCTGTTGTGGGATTCTCTCCTGAGCTTGCAGTCAGTCAGTCATCTGACTAGGATTGAACTGTCCCCACAAATCTCCTCACGCATCTGGCAGTGGGTTGGTGGGCTGTAATGCAGGACCACTAAGTTTTCCTACATGTGGCCCCTCTACATGGCAAAGTTCACAGCATGGCCACTGGGCTCCATGAAGAAGACAATAAAAGTTGCATGGCTTTTTGAGGCATCAGTTTGTAAGTATCACAATATCACTTCCCAGTCTCCTCTGTCAGTCAAAGCAAGTTACATGATCAGCCCAGGTTCAACAAGGCAGAGAGATAGACTACCTCTTGATGGGGACGTGGCAAAGAGGTACAAGTGGACTTTGGTGCCGCATTTTCCAAATTATCACAGTGCTTGTGCCAGTCATCAATTTATTGCCTCTCAGTTCCAATCCAGCCTCCTTTGCTCTGCTTTGTGATCCTAGAGCTAGAGCTTGTAATCATTCCTTTCTTTTCCCATGGTATAATATCTTTATCAACAAAGGGCACTGGGGTGACACTGCAAGGTCACAGCCAGAGGAAGGAGATTCTCTTACTGGTTCCATAGAGCCATTTTTCTTTGTCCTGGCTGCCAGCAGATCAGCATGCAGGAGGCCTGGTAATGCTCACCTTACCAGCTCTTGTGGACCAATTCCAGCCTCCCTGCACCCTCCAGCAATTTTCTCCACCACCCAGTGGGCTGTTTCCTGCAGACCAGCTCCATCTGTGCCTTCTACGAAGTTTCTTCTTCACCAACACACTGTGTGTTCCCATGGCAACCACACCCTCTCCAAGGGAGTTTGGACCTCAGCCTCAATGGAGGAAGATGGAGAAGATATCTTTTCTAAGTTCCTGGTCTCTCCCTCAGCTCTGGCAGTGGTAGCTGCTTTCCACGTGTGCTATTTTTATCTTCCTTAGACCCCTCTTTTATGCCTTTTTGTAGTTAAATATATTTTACTACTTAATACTTCTTAGGTTAAATTTTCTCTGTTCAAATTACTGGTGTGATTTCTGTCTCCTGATTGGACCCTGATTGATGCCATGCCTTAAAAAATAATGTTTGCCTCCCCCTACTCCTGCAGCTCCTCTTAAGCAACAGAAAAATAGCAAGGTTAAGTTTCAGCACACCCTAACCAGAGATGTACTGGGCTTGCTAAGAGGCCAGGGACTATATACCAAAGAAGCTGTAAACTCTGGCTAATATGTGCCAGCAGAAGTTGGGAAAGTGTGCGTGAGAATAGATGCTGACATGTGGGGCTGTAGGACACAAAGTTAGACAAAGGAGCATTAATCAGCGTGGGAACATTCTCCCATGATACTCAAGTCTGGGCAAATACTCCAGAGAGAGTACTAATACGCTGCAAGGATGGCTCTCAAAAGCTTGAAAAATATCATGGCCCATCCATCTGTTTGGCCCAATGAATTAAAAATACCAAAACTCACATGACAAATGGTCTGAAAGGGGCATTTAAAGCTCAGAGAAGTGGGTATGCTAAAGAGGATATACCAGGTAAGTCTAGAGAGCCCCCAACCAGCCAGAAATGTGCCAGAGGAGCGCCCCAAGGACAATCTTTTACAAAAGGAGTAAGAAATACATTCATGACAATCAAAGGTGTTGCAGGAATTATCCAACTAAAAGAAATCTAGAACAGATGATCAAGAGCCTGCAAACATCTGCCTGAATAAGAAGTCATGATTGTTTAACAAGCTTCTGAACTTGAGCCAGTTCTCAGTTCAGGAATGGCTGAAGAAGAAGCCAGGTCCCCATGACAAAAAAAACGTGCAATACCACAGAAGTGTATTTAGTAGTAATTCTCCAAGTTCTTTCCCAAAGAGATCAACAGCCATTTCCTTAGATAACTGTCCAGCGGAAAAATGGGAACACCCAAAACTTACAAGGATCTAAGTGTAAGTTGACTTAGATTTCCAGGGACCCAAAGCACCATTACACCCCTCCATTTGAATAGAGAAATATGGGGACCAGTCATGACCCACGTCCAGTTCACTAAGGCCACACTGGGTCCATGAATCCAGCCAGTGATCATTTCCCTGTACTGTGCTCAAAACTTACAAGAATTATTGGACCCAGGGTCTGAATTGACTGTGATATCCAGGGACACAAAGCTCCATTGTGCTTCCCATCATAATAGGGTGAGGTGAAGGCTAACGATGACCCAGCTCCAACCTCCCGATGGGTCCAGTGGGTTCCTGGATCCATCCAGTGATCATTTCCCTGTACCCAAATGTGTAATTGAAATGGATATACATGATAAATGACAGAACTCTTACATCAAATTCTTGATCTGTGGTGCAAAAGCTATTGAAGTGTGGAAAGCCAAACAAAGCCACTGAAATGTCCCCACTGTCCCCTATCCAAGGCAATAAATAAAGACAACATCATATCCCAGGGGAAATGGGAAAATTTAGTGCCATCTTCAAAATTTTGAAGAATGCAAAACTGGTGATGGCCATGATAGCCTCATTTTATTCACCACTCTAGCCCCTAAAAAAAACTCTATTGATTATTCACTAGGAGGACTCACAAGACTCAGAATACAGTCACACTCACAGCTGTGATTTATTGCAGCAAAACAAAGCAAAATCAGCAAAGGGAAAAGCACATGGAGCAGAATCATGATACATGATAAATGACAGTAGACTACCACCAATGACGTGCTGGTAAACATTTCACAACGGCCTCTCCAGGGGTCAAGGGACGATCGCTATATAGCATTTGCCAATTTCCAGAGTATAATGTTCCCACTATAGGTTTAACAACCAGCTCACAAGGCTCCTAAAAATTGAACACTTGGCTCTTACAGGTTAGTGTGGGCCTGCTTTAGCACCAAAACTGTCACAGCCTTAACCAAAGAGAAGTCTCAATGGCAGCTGCTATGCCAATGTGGTATCTTTACTAGAACAAATGGTTTGAATGTGTCTCCTCCAAAATTCAGATATTATATTAAGAGGTGGAGACTTTAAGTGGTAATTAGGCCATGAGGGCTCCTCCTTCATGAATAGGATCAGGGCACTAATAAAAGAGGCACAGTGTTTGGCCAGTTTGCCTGTCTGCATTGTGAGGACACAGCATTCCTCCCTCCAGAGGATGCAGCAATAAGGCACCACCTTGGAAGTAGAGAACCGCCTTTATCAGACAACTGAACCTGACAGCACCTTGACTTTGGACTTCTGAGCCTCCAGTACTGTAAGAAAATAAATTTGTATTCTTTATAAATTACCTAATCTATGGTATTTTGTCTAGCACAAAACAGACTAAGACAAGTTTCATCATCATAGCCATAACTATGTAGTTGGCTAACTTTTTGTTTCCTTTTCCATCTGAAAGAAGAATCAGAAAGCAGTTCACATTCATATGGGATGGTTAACAATACACTATTATGGTCTTCCCACAGGGCTTCATTAACGGAGTTAACTCTCTGTTAACTGCCCTCACAGCCGCTGTCATAAGATGGTCCAAAGGGACTTGGACATTTCACTAAACACCATATTGGTCCACAATATCAATGACATTATGCTAATTGGACTTGATTTGTAAAAAATGACAAGTGCTTTGTAGTATCTCGGTAAGAGATATGAGCTCCAAAGAAGAAAAGCCCTATGAAGATTTAGGAATCCCTTATATTAATGAAGAGTTTGTAGGGACCAAGCTGACTAGAGCATGTTAGATCATCCCTTCCAAAACAAAGACAAATCATTAGATTTAAAAAGTAGCATTATGCAGGTACAACCCCAGCACTGCGACATGGACCAAAGATCCATCACAGCATCTGTGACAGGAAAAAAAAAAAAAAAAAAAAAAAAGAACACCCTGCAAAGTTGGTGACACAATATCCCACTGGAAACTGGCACTGCCTTGTCCAAGGCTGCTCTCCCCTCGACAAGAGGACACCCCAAACCAATGTTGCTGATGTATGGGCATAAAGGCTTAACCTTTGCTTCAATTTGGGACAGTTCTCAAGACCCTCCATCCCCACCCCAGAAATTCCCCTGCAGAGATCTGTGGATAATCAGCTCGGCCCTCAGTTGGAAATGCTTCGCAGATCAGCCTCCCCCTCTACCCAATGCTGTCTTCCTCACTTCTGTATAGATGCCTCTCCGGAGTATCCCCCAGTAAACAATCTGCATGCAACTCTCCATCCCAGAGTCTGTTTCCAAGGAACCCAACCTAAAACAGCATACAATGGAACTCAATCTCACTCTCTCTTTATTTGTTTCTTTCTCTTTGTTTCTTGTTATCAGCATCACCATTACCTGGTAAGATTTCTTCTGAAGGGAAAAAATTGCAAAGCAAAATCAGTCAATGTCTTAGTGAACTTGAAGGGACTCCTCATTTTCATTGCCTCGTAACAAACCATTGTCTGCTAAAAACTTGAACTGAAGTTTAGGCCTTTCTACCAAGTCCAGTATGTCAAATACATGTTCTTTTCACATGCTACTGGGAGTGACTTCCAGCATAATTTTAAAAAGTGTTCTAAGGTCTTTTTCATCAGAAAATGAGCATAATCAATTAATCATAATTATTTAATCAACTAAATCAATCAATTAATTAAATAATGAACTAAATAAATCAACCTAATCAATTAATGATGTCAGCCCTGAGTAGGATGTAAGAAATACTGGTTGCCTATGTGACATATATTTGCAGAACCATTGTAGAAATTATATAAGATGAAGTACTAGGAATGGGTATGAGCAGAGGAGATTACTGGTGTAAACCACATAACTGCTACAGAATTGAGTATTCTGAGGAGAAGAATAGGCTGTCTTACTGGGAGCAGAACTTCTGGGTTAGAAGCAAGGCAAAAGAGTTATCCCCATAAAAGAGATGACACTGCAAGTATTTAACCCAAATGACTATTAGATTGGTGGGCACATGCCACCTTGACCCCAAGGGCAGTGAACAGGTTGTTCTAGAATTCAGAGACAGCTGGGACACCAAACATAGAATTATTCTGAGACTGTGGTCACTTAAAGAGTTCCCAGGAGCAGGAAGGCTCACAGGACTGGCTATAGAAATCACAAAGAAAGGAAAATCAGTCCTACTTGTGATCAAAAGGAATCAACTAAAATACTGAAAGCGCTTGGGACTCTGAAAATCCAAAAAGATGACTATTACAAAATAAATGGATAAAAGTTCATAGCATTTAAGATGGAATATAAAAAAGTAGATCTTACACTAAATGAGTGTGTATGTGCATGTTGGGGGAGGGGCAGGGTGGGTAATATGGTTTGGGAAATAACCTTGCAAAAGACTCTACATACCTGCAGAATCTCTATGGGAGGAAAAACCTTTGCCAGTCTTGACCTCAGATTCATTCCTCACTCTTCCTCTGGTCTGGTCTTAATATAAAGGGCTGACAACTCCAGGCTACATTTTTCCAGCCCCTGTATCTGTCAGGATTTGGTCAATGGGAGGTACTTCTGGGAGATTTCTTCCTTCTAGGAAGAAACCCAGGATTTCTTCTAGGAGAAGGAAGAAATTCACGTATTTTGCCCCCTCTTCTGTGCCTCAGGTAGCATCTCAATAGAGACTATTTTCTCCATGGCTCCAGCTGCCACATAAAAAGTGCTTCAAGCATCCAGCTGATGCCAGCCACTGGCACCAATAACACTGTCTCCTCCCTGCCCCTCCAGCCTAAGGTGTGGGGATTTCCCATTGCTGCTCCTCTCCGGGTTTCCACACTGTCCCCTGTTGGCCTTCTCAGCTCATTTCCCACTCATATAACCAATTAATAGCATTAAATTCTCTCTGTTGAACATACTCAAATTGATAAATAATAATAATAATAATGCCATTAAAATGTGGGCAAAGGACATGAACAGACACTTCTCAAAAGATCACAAACATGCATCCAATATGCATATGAGAAAAAGCTCAGCATCTCTGATCATTAGAGAAATGCAAGTCAAAACCACAATGAGATACCATCTCATGCCAGTCAGAATAGTGATTATTAAAAAGTCAAGAAACAACAGATGCTGGTAAGGTTGCGGAGAAAAAGGAACACTTACACTGTTGGTGGGAGTGTAAGTTTGTTCAACCATTGTGGAAAACAGTGTGGTGATTCCTCAAAAACCTAAAAACAGAACTATCATTTGATCCATATACCAAAAAGAATATAAATAGTTCTATCATAAAGACACAGGCACACATGTGTTCATTGCAGCACTATTCACAATAGCAAAGACATAGAATCAACCTAAAAAATCACAAAGAAAATGTGGTACATATACACCATAGAATACTATGCAGCCATAAAAATAACAAGGTCATGTCCTTTGCAGCAACATGGATGGGGCTGGAGGCCATTATCCTTAGCAAACTAACATGGGAACAGAAAACCAAATACCATATGTTCTCACTTATAAGTAGGAGCTAAATGATGAGAACATATGGACACATAGAGGGGAACAACACACACTGGGGCTTATCAGAGGGTGGAGGATGGGAGGAGGGAGAGGATCAGGAAAAATAACTAATGAATACCAAGCTTAATACCTGGCTGCTGAAATAATCTGTACAACAAATCCCCATGACACAAGTTTACCTATATAACAAACCTATATATAGATCCCTGAACTTAAAATGAAAGTTAAAAAGAAATACTCAAATTGTTTTTCTTTCTTGCTTAGACACTACTACAAAAAACAAAAAATTTACTGCTGAGGAATAAAAACATTTAGTTATTGAAAAGACTAGTTTCCTGCTGCAGCTTCTCATACCACCCTCCCTTCATTTGTACCCTCCTCAGGGATCCCAGCAGCTAAGCCAGAACATTAACACTGATCATCCAGGCCTTCAGATCAAGATGGACATGGAGGATCCAAACAATTGCTAAAATGATAAAGAGTAGAGCAAAATGCTACAGAAACTAGTATTCAGAACAAATAGCCATCCAGGACAGAAATGTCCCTACTCAAAGATGAACAACATGATACCTAAACAATAATTCTGTAAAAAAAAAAAAAAAAAAAAAAGAAGGAATGTTTAGCTGGGCATGGTAACACATGCCTTTAGTCCCAGCTACTCGGGAGGCTGAGACAGGAGGATCACTTGAGCCAAGAAGTTTGAGGCTGCAGTGGGCTATGATCATGCTACTGCACTCCAGGCTGCATGACAGAATGAGACCCCATCTCCCCCATCCCCCCAAAAAAAGGAATGGAAAATGGTAATGAATTAAGAACTGTTTAGATAATTCTTAAGTCTAGAAAACCAAAGAAGCTTTTAGTTGACAGCTACTTTGCATTCCAAAGGTAATCAAAGAAATAAAATGAAAGATGGTAGAATTAAATATACTGGGATGAAAAGGGAATTAGAAGAGTTAAGTGAAAAATATTTGACAGAAATTATAGCATAGAATTTAAGGCAGTCTTAGAAGCAGAATTAAATCCATAGAATTATGATGATGGCATAGAGCATAGGTTTGCAGAAATCACCCAGAACAATGAGGAAAAGAATTAAAGTAATTAATTACCTCTTGAAATAAATAAGTACCTCTTGAAGCCTCTTGCTATGTGGGCTCTGGACTAACTGACACCAGGTAGCCATAAAATGCCATAAACTGGGCACCGTAACTCATATCCTATAGTTAAACAATGTATAAGTTAAAAATAAATACTCAAATTGTTTTTCTTTCTTGCTTAGACACTATTAAAAAAAAACAAAAACATTACTGCTGAGCAAAAAAAAAGATTTAGTTATTGAAAAGACCAGTTTCCTGCTGCAGCTTCTCATACCACCCTCCCTTCATTTGTACACTCCGGGTATCTAAACAGTTCTTAATTAATTACTATTTTCCATTCCTTTTTTTGAGGGGGGTTGGGGAGATGGGGTCTCATTCTGTCATACAGGCTGGAGTGCAGTAGCACGATCATAGCCCACTGCAGCCTCAAACTTTTCCTAACTGTTCTGGGTGATTTCTGCAAAACTATGCTCTACGCCATTATCATAATTCTATAGATTTAATTCTGCTTCTAAGACTGCCTTAAATTCTATGCTATAATTTAGCACTAACCATTGTTATTTCTGAAAACCAGTGAGAATTTCTGTCAAAAAACTGCATCAGCCCACTCCTTGTTCTCTTTTGCCTTTAAAAACTTGCTTATAACTGGCTGGGTGCCTCATGCCTGTAATCCCAGCACTTTGGGAGGCCAAGGTGGGTGGATCACTGAGGTCAGGAATTTGAGACCAACCTGGCCAACATGGTGAAACCCTGTCTCTACTAAAATACAAAAATTAGCCCCGCATGGTGGCACATGCCTGTAATCCCAGCTACTCAGGAGGCTAAGGCAGGAGGATCACTTAAACCTGGAAGGCAGAGGTTCCAGTGAACTGATATCCCTCTGCACTCCAGCCTGGGCAACAGAGCAAGACCTTGTCTCAAAAAAAACTTGCTTATAACAAAAGCTGAAAGGAGCATTCTCCAAGGCAACTTGGAGGTATGTCCCAGGCTGTAGTCCTTAACCTTGGCCCAAATAAACTCTCTATGTTAATTTTGCCTGTTTATTTCTTTAGGTTGACAGAAGGAAGGTTTCTACCTAGACCTTAGAGGGCTCACTCTACATTGGCAAAAATTATCACCACCATCATTATCATCATCTCACAGCAAATGAGACTGTTACAACTCTTAGACATTCTGCATGAGTCTACTTGTTAGACAGGGTTAGGCTGTTTCTGCTAGATGTTTTAAGGTCAAAAAACTGTTGTTCCTGTAGTACCTTTGATACTTGCTTACTTTGTGAGTTAAAGCTGTAACAGCTGACTACTGGTCTCCTCCAAACCCCTACACATATATTACTATGAGCTTGTCTTTATCGTGAAGCATCTAATTCTGGGGTCTAGACAAGTGACCATGGTGGGGCCTGAGAACAACACCTGGGCCTCATCCTCCTTGGACTGGCTGTGCCTTTTGTCCATACTGGAAGATATTAGATCCTCCAGGAATTGTCCTGAGCTCTGCATCTGACACATAATTAAAATTGCCTACCTCCTTTATTTTTACTGAAAATAAGGGTTACCAAGAGTAAACATTAAAAAATTATATACAAACATTGTATATAATTAAAACTACTGGATACAGGAGAAATAATTCTGTATACAAAGTGTATAGAAAAAGTAGAATATGTTTTTGGTTTTTAAAAAGTTACAAGAAGGCATAAAAAATGTGTGTCGCGGGAAGTCAGGGACCCCAAACCAAGGGACCGGCTGGAGCCGCAGCAGAGCAACATAAATTGTGAAGATTTCATGGACATTTATCAGTCCCCAAATAATACTTTTATAATTTCTTATGCCTGTCTTACTTTAATCTCTTAATCCTGTTATCTTCATAAGCTGAGGATGTACATCACCTCAGGACCACTGGGATAATTGTGTTGACTGTACAAATTGATTGTAAAACATGTGGTTTGAACAATATGAAATCAGTGCACCTTGAAAAAGAACAGAACAACTGCGATTTTTAGGGAACAAGGGAAGACAACCATAAGGTCTGACTGCCTGCAGGGTCAGGCAAAAAGAGCCATATTTTTCTTCTTGCAGACAGCCTATAAACGGACATGCAAGTAGGGAAGATACCACTAAATTCTTTTCCTAGCAAGGAATATTAATATTAATACCCTGGGAAAGGAATGCATTCCTGGGGGGAGATCTATAAACGGCTGCTCTGGGAACGTCTGTCTTATGCAGTTGAGATTAGGACTGAGATATGCCCTGGTCTCCTGCAGTACCCTCAGGCTTATTAGGATGGGAAAAACCCCGCCCTGGTAAATTTGTGGTCAAACTGGTTCTCTGCTCTTGAACCCTGTTTTCTGTTGTTTAAGATGTTTATCAAGACAATACATGCACCGCTGAACATAGACCCTTATCAGTAGTTCTGCTTTTGCCCTTTGCCTTGTGATCTTTGTTGGACCCTTATCAGTAGTTCTCCTTTTTGCCCTTTGAAGCATGTGATCTACTCCCTGTTCTTACACCCCCTCCCCTTTTGAAACCCTTAATAAAAAACTTGCTGATTTGAGGCTCAGGTGGGCATCATGGTCCTACTGATATGTGATGTCACCCCTGGCAGCCCAGCTGTAAAATTTCTCTCTTTGTACTCTTTCTCTTTATTTCTCAGCCAGCCAACACTTATGGAAAATAGAAAGAACCTACATTGAAATATTGGGGGCAGTTTCCCCCAATAAATGTGATTTTTTGTTAAAAAGAAAGTAATTTTGTCTAATTTAGAGGATTTTATAAGTTGTAAATTGAAGGGAAAAATGACAAATAAAACTAAAGTTATACAAAAAGTTAAGAAAAAGAATGAGGCCAGGCACAGTGGCTCACACCTGTAATCCCATACTTAGGGAGGCCAAGGTGGACAGATCACCTGAGGTCAGGAGTCTGAGACCAGCCTGGCCAACATGGTGAAACCCCGTCTCTATCAAAAATACAAAATTAGTCAGGAGTGGTGGCACACACGTGTAGTCCCGGCTACTTGGGAGGCTGAGGCAGGAGAATCACTTGAGCCTGGGAGGCTGAGGTTGCAGTGAGATGAGATCACGCCACTGCACTCCAGCCTGGGTGACAGTGAGGCTCTGTCTCAAAAAAAAAAAAAGAAGAAAAAGAAAAAGAATTAAAAAAAACTGTAAGAGGTTATAAAAGGTTTATGGAAATCTTATTTTGTATGTTAAAACAGAATAAGATTGACTGGATTTGTTTATAAGGTCTTGTTATAATTAGCTTTAGCATTAATAATACACTAATGCAAAGGTAATATTTGGTTTTCCCTTTTAAACAAGATGTTTGTGTAATATTAACGAGGTAGTAAAAGATTTTTGTTTACCTTTTAAGTAAACTGCAAACAAAAAAAGTGGGGAGAGAGGGAGAGACAGATACAGTTTGCTTCATGATGTCTTTCTCAGGTCTTATGATTGTTTAGGAGACTCTTCCTTTATCAAAAAGTAAAGGTTTTTGGTTTTTGAAATCTTGAAATTATTACTTTAACTAAATGAACAACTACCATTTTACAGTGACATGTGATTCTATTCCGAGCAAGTGTTTTAAACCTTTGATATTTGACAAACTTTCCAAAATCAAAATTTCAAATTCTAAATTCAGTCTCTTGAACCTCAAACTAAGTTTTTGGATATTAGGGCCCATGGAAGTTCAAGAGAGACATATTAGGTTTATTTGGTATGTTGAAGTCATACGGAAAACACTGTCAAATATAAAATGGAGTTTAATTTACTTTAGGTTATATTTGTATAAAGGTGATATTAACATATCTTCCAAATTTGTATGTGATTCCTAAAATTCTAATATGTCTTATTACATGTTATCAGTAATAATTATGATTATTATGTTAAATTGTTTTATGCCACAAAATAACCAAATTTCCTTGTTAATTGTGTCTTTAGCCATGGCTATTCAAACACTTTTGTCATCCACAGACAATTATTGTTTTACCTTGATTATTCTCAGAAAGTGGTTTATAATCAGCAGCAGTCCAAAATTTGCTTCTTCTTTAAATAAATTCATACAAAAACTCTTACAAATACTCCTGAATACAGGTTTCTGGTTTCTGATAACTTTGGAGATTGTACCATTGGACAAAAAAAAAACTTTCAGAACTCTAATGAAAAAACTGATACATTTATGGGAATTGCTCACCCAACATTAAGCAAAAAAAAAAAAAAAAAAAAAGTTAATTACATAGGACTAACTGATAGAAGACTAACATAATTTTTCATGACTTTTTGTTTGAAACATTGCTGATTCTTCTTAGGCTTTGTTTTCTAGAATCAAGAAAATGTTTTTCTTCTTCTTTGAGCTATTTATAGCTTACAACAAGTTGAGTAAAGTATACTTTTGTGAATAAAATTTAAACAATTGCCTTTCTCTCCACCTGATTTCTCCAGAATTTAGAAACAATTTGTGAGTATTCTTAATTTATGACAATATAGTTATTTGCATAAGTTCAGTAAGAACCTCTTTTCTTTTGTAACAGGACACAATTAAAGACACTGATTATTTTACCAGGGTTTTGACTGGAATGGCATATTTTCAGATGTAAACAGACTGCTTTAAGAAATTGGTCCTTGAGGAATCACCACACTGTCTTCCACAATGGTTGAACTAATTTACATTCCCACCAACAATGTAAAATCATTCCTATTTCTCCATAGCCTCACCAACAACCTCATTACTGGGTATATACCCAAAGGAATATAAATCATTCTACTACAAAGACACATGCACACATATGTTTATTGCAGCACTATTTACAACAGCAAAGACATGGATTCAACCCAAATTTCCATCAATGATAGACTGGATAAAGAAAATGTGGTATATATACACCATGGAATACTATGCAGCCATAAAAAGGAATGAGAACATATCCTTTGCAGGAACATGGATGAAGCTGGAAGCCATCCTCAGCAAACTAACACAGGAACAGAAAATCAAACACCACATGTTCTCACTCATAAGTGAGAGCTGAACAATGAGAACACATGGACACAGGGAGTAGAACAACACACACTGGGGCCTGTCAGGGGGTGAGGGTCAAGGGAAGGGAGAGCATCAAGACAAATAGCTAATGCATGTTGGGCTTAAAACCTAGATGATGGGTTGATAGGTGTAGCAAACCACCATGGCACACATATAGCTATGTAACAAACCTGCATGTTCTGCATATGTATCTCAGACCTTAGAGTAAAATTTAAAACAAGAAAATTTTAAAAAATAAATTGAAGTTGACTTTATAGAACTGATAAAAAACCCCTTGGAAAAAATGGGCTGGAACCTGTCTACATGGTTTCTTTACAAGGTTTCTGGCCTGCGGTAAGTAAAGAATGATAGGATCAGAAACCTCAAGTAATTCTGGGACCTCAAAGAGGAATTCACCCAATTCATACAAGTATTACAGGAACAGTTTAAAGACAAATCTTTGGCTTTGTTAGCCTCAGAAGGCTTTCGAAAGTCTTATCTGAAATTCCTTATAAAAAGTTCCAGAAAACCCAATTTAAAAAGACCGTATGTGGCCAATCACTATTTTTGCCACACTTTATGCAAACAATCAGGCCAAGTAAAATAAGACTAGGACTTACTTTTCAAATAAATTATACTAAGATTTGTCATTGGTAGAAACAGAGGACTGGAGGAAAATTATGTTTCAGAAGAAAACTTTAATATATCTGTTATTAGGTCTGTTATTAGATTCTAGATTCTAGCCTTGTCCATTGTTTTTGAGTTTTTATTATTTGCATACAATTTGGACCAAATACTGAACTTTTTACTGGCTCCAAACTAATGTTTACAATTTTTTTACTTAAAATCACTAAAACTAAAACTGCTTTTTCCTAAAGCCTTATAAGCTAAAACTAGACAACTTGATAAAAAAAAAAAAAAGCTTTGAAAAATCATTACAGCAACTTCATGTATGAATAGCCTTTGTGCCTGCTGGTGTACAGACTACTCAGAAAGTTCACTGGAACACCTGATGCAAACTGCAAACCGAAAAAAAATCTGTCAGATTGCCACTGTCTGCTCTCACTTCATCAGAAGATGCTTCAAGCCCAATATCTAAAAATCTTCTCAAATGGCTTCCCTCTGGACTCAGAAACTAAGTTTATAGTTTGTTCTAACCATTAGCCTTTGTTTTTCTTTTGTTCTCATAGGAATGCTTCTTATTAAATAACTGACTGCTCAAATCATAGAGAGGCCTGACGGTGGTGGAAGCCCACCTGCACCACTGCTGCCTGCAGTGAGACACAACTATCAACTGTGTAATTGGACTACCTTATCCTCAGGACTGAGAACCTTGTTCAATGGATTATAAAACAATCCACCAACCCGATATCTGGACTGTGAAACTTCCTGGGGAAGTTTCAGACTGGGGAATGTAGGGGCTCAGAAAACAATATCCTGAAACGAAGGCCTCAGAAGCAGCCTCAGAAGCAAAAGCTTTTTACTGACCTCCTACCTTCCTGTCTCTCAGAACCATTCTCCCACAAGGCTATCCATAGAAACTAGAATCCCTCTTCTCCAAGGCAGGTCACAGAAACCAGAACCCCTTCCCAAAAACCAACCATAAAACCTAAAAATATTAATCTAACTTTCCCTTTGCCTTTCTGTATAAAAACTGACCATAAAAAATTAACTGACCTACCTTGTTTGACTGTAGGTCACAATACTTCCATTTCAGAGGGCCCTGCCCCATACCCATAAAAAAAAAAAAAAAAAAAGCAGCTCAGAAAGGCCAGGAATAATCTAGACAGATAGATCTTGCTGGGTTCCCCCACTCAGTCCATTAGCATTAGATCATACTCTTTTTTTTCCAATTATATTTCCACAAAGCTGTCCATACTTTCACCTAAGCATAAAAATGGAAAATTTCCCCTGTATCTAGCGGTTTTCATTGTGGAGGCTCCCATGTATACATGTTAAATAGATTTGTATGCCTTTTCTCCAATTAGTCTACCTTGTGCAAGTTGATTTTTCAGCAAAACTTCAGAGGGCCAAGGAGAAAGTTTCTTGGCCCCTACATATGTATACGTCACATGTCTTTATTTACGTGTGTGTGTCTGTGTGTGTGTTTGTGTGTGTGTGTGTGTGTGTGTGTGTAAATCTGTAAATTCATGCTGGTACCTCCAATTTCAATCCAACACTACATGGTTTATTTTATCCAAGATTACCAGATAAAATACAGGATGCCCAGTTAAATTAGAATTTCAGATAACTAAAAGTATAAATCTGTCCCAAGTAGTGTCCTGTATTTTTATTTGCTAAATTTGGCAACCCGATTCTAGCTGTCTCCATTTCCATATTCCCAACAGTAAGAGACCTGACTCCCATTATCCTCAATGCATTTCTCAGTCCTCCAGGACATAGCAAATCGCTTAGCACAGCCCCATCCCCTCCTTGTCCACAGGCCTTGATCCCTGCTTGGCTTGCCTACTTCATTCTGGCCTGCTAATGGTTTTCAATGATGCATGGATGAGGAGAAGGAAGAAAGAAAGTAGTTTTAAAGAATGAGTAGGGTAAAGCAAGGGAAACATGGTAACTGCAGCAGCAAGCAACCCCAAATCTCAACAACTTCCCCCAACAAATATTTACTCTTGCTTGCAGGTCTCCAGGTGAGCTGTACTTCTGCTGGGCTCAGCTGAGCTCTGATGGGCTCCTTGTGTCTTCTCATTCCATGTCCCAAGCTGAAGGGGCAGCCACCGTGAGGGGGTTCTTGTGCCAGGGGACAGAAGCTCCAGGGACAAGACAAACTCATGGTGTTTCTTAAACCTCTGATCAAAACTGGCCACTGTTCCTTCCATCTACACTGCATTGGTCAAAACAACCCCATGGCAAAGCCCAAAGTCAATAGGGCAGGAAAGGAAAGTACACTCTGCCTCCTATAAAATACAGCTAAGTGGGGAAGTGGATAAATAATTGAGAACAATAATGCAATCTATCACCATTGCAAATTAAATAAAAACAAACATAACCAACATAACAATCATACATAAAGAATAAAGCATCATTGCAAAAACAAAACAAAACCCCTCATACTGAATCAAAAACTGAAACTCAACTGAATTCTGTATAAAAGAAAAACACCTAAAATAAAATGACTCAGGATGCTTGAAAGGGAAAGAATAATTATAAAAAGAGCAAAGACGCTGTGATTATTTTCTGAAAATTTGACCCCATATCCCCGTGCAGTTAATCAAGCAATTACTTAATCTAAAAGTCAAAGGGGTCTCCTCCCCAACAAACCAAGTTCCAAACTTCAAATCCCTCTTTTAAAAAGGTTCCAACCCACACTTAGCAGTAATAGAAATTACAGATGAGAGAGAGAAGACAGAGGTATATACTATATAGACATTGTATTAATATCTTCTTGTGACGTTTACAAAAATTGAACCATATTATACTACAGAGAAAACCTCAATAAATTCCAACCAATAAGTGTTATTCAGACCATATTCACTGACCACAACAGAAAAAAAAAAGATACAAATAGATTAATGTTATAGAAAGAAACGAGGAATGAGACCCACTCCTGAGAGATTAAGCCATCCAAATTTCACTGGTAAAGGGAAAAAAGCAAAACTACACTTGTAGAATATTTAAGAGAATAACAATAATGGGAACATTACATATGTATGCTAAAGCTGGCATTTCTAATTAAAGAGGAAAAGATGTTGGAACAATTAGCTGGCCTTCTGGGAGAAAATAAGTAAATTTGTTTCCTTTACTGCATAATTCTTTAAGCTAGATGAATTCCAGATGGATTAAAAATTAAAATATAAAGAAGGGAATTCATACTTAGCCATAGATTTTTTTCTTTATATATTTTAGGGGTGGTCAAGACCTTGTATTATGTTGAACCAAAGGCAGAAACTAAATAGATAACATTGGCATATTACACACCATTGAAATTTAAAGTTCTGAAGAGGAAACAAAATGGCTAAAAGAAATTAAATTCTGAGGGAGATACTGCTAAAATTTTAAAACAAAATGTTTAATAGCCCTAATATGCTAAAATGATCATATAAGTCTATATGAAAATATTGAAACCCAACCAGAAAAAAATGTAAATTACATAAACACTTTAGAAGTGAAAAAAATTAAAATGTGCAGTAAGTATATAAAGAGATGTTTGGCCTGGGTAGTAATATGTGTTTAAGTCTACATGGCCATGTTTATCGATCCACAGGAAAATGTCTGGAAAGATAGACACTAAAATGTTAACAAGATTATCAAAAGATTATCTCTGAGGTGGGGTGAGATTTTAGGGTGACTTTTCTTCTCTCCTTTTTGAAATGGCCTTTTTTTAATTAGCATACATTCATTTTTATGACTAGATTACTCAGCATACTTAAAATATACAAATAAAAACTGATGAATCCCCTTTTGGTTTTTACAAAGATTCTTAACATCCATTTTTAGTTACGTTGTAGAAAAATGCTACTGACAAGGGGAAATACTCACTTTATATTAGAGGATGGAAAAAACAGACTACAAAATGATTATTTAATTTGTATTTTATAAAGGGGATATAGTAAATGACAGTGATTTTTCTTTAGCAATAAAATTGTGCATCATTATATGTTCTTTTGTGTTTTCCAGTTATCTACAATAAATGGTTTTTTAAAAACTCAAAAGTTTTTAAATAATGAATGTTATAGCTGCTACAGGTAATAGTCCCAGATAATGAGGCCCCCATAATCGTTGCAAAGTTTAGGGATCCCAGTTTTATTTTTCAGGTATAAAGCAGGGGCCCCATAATAAATACAGAGCCCTGAGCGATCCTCTCCACATATTCTATAAACCAGGGACAGAAAGAAAAATACTGCATGATCTAATTTATATGTTGAATCTGAAAATACTGAACTCATTGAAGCAGAGAGTAGAATGAGGGTTGGCGGGATGGGGAATGGAGAGATATGGATCAAAAGGTAGAAAGTTTTAGTTAGATGGGAAGACTAAGTTTTAGTGACCTACTGCATAGCATAGTGACCATAGTTAATAATAATGTACTGCTTATTTCAAAGTCTCTCAAAGAGTAGATTTCAAATGTTCTCACTACAAACAAAATAAGTATGTGAAGTGATGGATATGTTAATTAGCTTGATATAATCATTCCACAGTGTATACATCTATCAAAACATCACATTGAACCTTGTAAATATACACAATAACTATTTGTCAAATAAAGTAAACATTTAAAAAATAAATTTTAAAATCAGAGTAGAGCTGTTTATGCAGCATCTAAGCCTTGAGTAGCAATTCCTGCTCAACAAATTGTCATGGGGCACTTTCTAATACTAGGTATGAGGCGAGATGAAGAGGAACAAGATAGGGCCCCTCTCTTCATGGAGCCCACAGCCTCACAGAAAGGTGCAGTGAATACACAATGTGAAGTGTGCAATGACAGGCCCAGAAGGGAAGAGGGTGTGAGGGAGAGTGACCAGCTATCTCATTTTACCTGAGACTGAAGGGACATGGGACTTACTTTCAGTGCTAAAACCAGGAAGTCCTGCCCAAACCAGGACAAAATGATCACCCCAGAGTGAGGACTGGGACAGCTTCCAAGCTCAGGTTCATCGTAAGTGGGGTTCTCAAAGATAACTGGGCATATTTGTAGGAGACAGAAGTCCTGCCCCATGGTTTCATCCTTGCCCAGGTCTTTGTTGGGAGGGCAAAGGATTGTGTTGGAGAACAGAATCGGGTTTACAGCAGGTCATTTTCCGCTTTTGGGGTTACCAAAGCCCTTTCGGAAATGGGATGAAAATGGATTTTATCCTTGATAGAGGCCTCCAATCCTGCTTCCTATAAAGAAGCTGGGCCGGGCGCGGTGGCTCACGCCTATAATCCCAACACTTTGGGAGGCCAAGGCAGGCGGATCATGAGGTCAAGAGATCGAGACCATCCTGGCCAACATGGAGAAACCCTGTCTCTACTAAAAATACAAAAATTAGCTGGGCATGGTGGCACGTGCCTGTAGTCCTAGCTACTCAGGAAGCTGAGGCAGGAGCATCACTTGAACCCAGGAGGCGGAGGTTGCAGTGAGCCAAGATCATGCCACCGCACTCCAGCCTGGCGACAGAGCAAGATTCCGTCTCAAAAAAAAAAAAAAAAAAATGCTGAGCCAGGCATTGTCTGTGATGGATGGGCCTGCTGGTCCTCTTGGAGAATATCGGGTGTAAGGCCCCCATGCTGCACAACTGCATGGACGGCAGCTGTCCCTGTTATGAGTTAGGTAGGATGCCCTTCAGGTCCTGCAGGATATTGAGGCCCTCTTTCCTGCAATCTGGGGGAGTTTCCTGGAAAAGCCCCACAAGACACTACAATCCAACTCTGAGTAACCCATTCATCCTTGCCCATGGAGGGGTCCTCTATTTGCAGAGAAATAAAGACAAAGCAAGTTCCTCCACTCTGTGCCTCTGGAGAAGACAACAGATTGATGTAAGCACCAGGAGTGATTCAAGGCCAAGTAAAAGCCAGGGAGGCAATTAAGCACCAGCTGGTGGTGACCAGTTCAGTAGGTGATCTGAGCAGAGTCTGAGTGGACAGTGAGTCACAGGACAGGGGCCTCATGGGGGACTCCAGGAGAGTTACAAAGTAGCCAGCTCTACAGAAAGCAGGGAGAGAGAGACAGCTGGCCACAAGGTATGAGGGCTCCTGCTGCGTTCCCAGGGCTCCATGACACCGTATTCACCCAGGGCTGCTACTGATGCATGATACGGACAGGGACTTGCATCCCGGACATCTTGAAGAGGCCACTCGGCCTCTGACCATTGCACTCTGACCACAGGGTTACTGAAAGAGTAAAGTGCGCTCCTATCTTTTCTGTTTCTAAAGGACAAACAAATTCAGTAATGTTCAAGCCTTTTTGCCAAGTCCCTTCTCATCCCAGCATGCCTACCATACTAACACCAAAATTACGGTAAGTTCGCTATTTCTCGAAAGAGAGCTCTGGCATTTCTATGCCTACCTCTGAGACTCATCTTCCTGTGATCAGAGAGGACAATGACGTCCCCTCACTTCCTGTGATCAGAGAGGACAATGACGTCCCCTCACTTCTGAGTGGACAGTGCAATTCCCTGGGAATATCAGAAAGCAACAGGTCAGAGTTCCTAGCATAGGAAAAGGATCCCCTGGGATATATTTCAAAAGCTACAATAGCATCCCGCCCCCCACCCAGCCAAATCAAGCCAAGATTTGCTTACGCATTGTTGAAGAGAACAGAGGTGAAGAGCAGTGTGTACTGAGGCACACTTAGGGACTTCTCTAAAATATACTGCAGCCATCTGCCAGGCCAGGTGGTTCCAGCATGGCCCAGATCAGCCTCCTAAATACCTGCTATCAGCAAACCACTAAATGTGCTCCATCCCTCCTGAGCTATACTCTGCTCTAGGGCTTTTCAAAATGGGTCCTTTGTAATACTAATCCCCTGAGATTCCCTCCACCAAAAAGGGCTTCTTGGCTACATGAGGCTGGGCAAACGGCCTGCTGGGCCCCCTGCTCTGATCCCAAGGGAGACTCCCCACCTGCGGCCCAGCTGCGCTCCTTGTCTGTCAGGGGAAGGAGGTGGCAATGACACACTGTGACGGCTCTCCGGTATTTTCATGTGAGGGACCTGCGTACGTTTCCTGAAAATATACTGTCTCACTCAGGGTCCAGCAAGAAAGAGGACCCAACTCGGAAGGTTCCAGAGGCTTTAGCCACTGACGGGACTATTTGCAGAGCTGTAGGCAGAGTGAAGGGAACGCCCAAAGAGAGGTTGAGGCACCTGGAAATTAGC
The DNA here is from genome assembly GCF_000001405.40 of Homo sapiens. Classification (NCBI taxonomy): domain Eukaryota; kingdom Metazoa; phylum Chordata; class Mammalia; order Primates; family Hominidae; genus Homo; species Homo sapiens. The sequence continues at coordinate 24,632,064 of NC_000018.10, read as the reverse complement.
AGCCGTGGGAAGCCTTGGCCACCCCAGGTCAAGGGCAGGGGGAGGAGAGAGCTTCCCCCTCCCCCTCCCCGTTGCAGGACACTGAGGTCTGGAGCCATGGGTAGGGGCTGCCCATGGGAGGTGGGGTCGGAGCAGGACCGGGCTTCGGAGCAGGACCGGGCTCCGGAGCAGGACCAAAGAGGGAGGGAGGTGGGTATTGAAGAAAAGGGTGCACGGTGCACATGGCGCCCTCTACAGCAGCGAACCTACTGGGTACAGAGCTGGGAGGGAAGACGTGGGCGTGGGACGTGCAGGAGCTGGGATGTAGCCAGCATGGACTAACCAGAGCAGAGCTTATGCATTAGCAACAAAGAAGCAAAGCATGAAAAGTGTGCCGTTTCCCCGTGAGACGTTTAAAAGTAAGGTTTTCTTTTGAATGCCTTAAGAATAAAGGGAGAGGGGACCTACTCCTAAGCGTCCTAAATGAGGTAAGAATGTTGAGTTTTGCTGTCACCCTTGTGGTCTGCAATTTCTTTCCTCAGGAAAGCAGTGAGAAGCATTGAGACCACGTTTCCCTTTTTAGAACGGTTGCCCTTTTGTGCTGGCAGGGACGTGGCTGCAGGCAGAAGGCATCTCTCTGTCATTCTTCCCTAAAGACAGTGAACTGTGCCAGTTCTGGGCCCTGAACACTTCTGAGAGCCAAAGGCTTTATTCACCTTCAGCCAGAGGCAATAATACCCTGGTGGTATTTAGCGCTGCATCATGTTGGAAACAAAAAAATCCAGTCTCTTTCAGTTCGTTTATATCTCTGGATGTCTTGAAATTTACATTTCATTGCAATAAGAAAAAAGAAATCAAAAGAGAGCCTGCCCCCAGAGAGGAGAGTTACCCCTAATTTTGATGGATCATGAAATACCCCTTCTTGGAGATCTAAAATATACATCATTAAAATCTCTAAGTAGTCCCCCAGAAAGAAACCTGTTTAGCTCTGCTTAATCCAGGATTTCTCATACTTGCGTGAAACTAGAACCCATTTTTTTTAATCCAAGTACACTTTGGAAAGTACTGTGATCTTCTGTAAGCCATATTTCTACAGTCTATGTTTAGCAGGAGACTTAACAGTGCAGTAATTTTTTCAGACAACTGAAGAATAGAGCTAATAAGATGATGCTCAATGCAGAAAGGAAAAGTTATCAACCGGCAGACTTACCAGAAAGGATAAGATTGGCCTCACAGCCTGCTAAAAAAAGAAAGGGTTTGGTAACCTGCATTCTGTCCACCTGCATTTAGGGTGACAGAGACACACCGACTCATGCCAAGAAGTAGCTTGCCTGATCCTAAAAAGAAAGACCTCTAAAGGAAATTTGAGACAGATGTGGGGGAAGCAGAGAAAAATGGCACTTTAGGAGGCCGTGGTGCCGACAGCTTTTCCGAAGTGGCTGCCATAAAATGGTGTGTGGTGTACAGCAAGGCTGTTTACCGACAGGAGCAAAACACGGGTAGGTGGCAGCAGGTGGCAAGGACGTCTCAGGAGGGCCATGACCAAGGGAGAGACTGAACGTCCAGGATCAGGGTTTTAAATCTGATTTCAGGAACAACGGAGAGCCATAGAGGCTTTGGAGAATCCTGAAAATGAAGATATTGTGCACTGCAGTGCACAGAATAGCTGGAAGACGACCAGATAGAGTTCAGAGCACCAGTGAGATTATACTAGCCCTCATGAAAGAAGACTGACAGCAAAACTATGACTGTGACCTTGGAGCTAGAGAGGTAGGGATGGATCTGAGACGTAACAAAGCTAGAAACTTTATGTCCTACTGGTAAATTGTTACAAGGGACTAAGGAAACAAGGGAGTTGAAAATGAACTAGATTTATGAGCCTGGTATAGAATGAGCCTTTAGACTATAACCTACCCCAGCTTGAATTTCTTGGCAATTCTTCCACTCCATCTTAGTGCTTCATTATACTCTGGGTCAGCTGGCTTCTATGCTTCAACACCTTCTGTGCTCATCAGCGCCAATGCCAGAAACAAAGGCAGCTGGGTAAAGAAAATATAGCCAGAAATAATAGAAACCCAACGAGAAAGGAAGTGTGGAATGAATTCTTTGGAGCTAAAAGAAAATCAAAAGGAGGCCTAAAGATAACCTTATAAAAACCAAACTAAAAGTCAGTTGTATCCCATGATCTGGGGTCCAGACTCCTTCCAGGACCTCAGAACTGAGCTTCACAGCAACCCTGTCTCCACTTTGGAGACTGAAAAGCTCAGCTGTCATTCTAAATGACCCTGAAATACATCAGTGCATAAGTGGATGATGTTTAAATAATCCTCTGACCATGCTCGAAGAACATCTCTTTCCATGCCAGCATCTCACAAGCACATTCTGATGGCGCCTAAACTCAATATCACCATAGAATCTAAGAAGCATTATCTCAAGTTCAGCTTCATACTGAAAAGATGGAGGCTGACCTCAGCTGGATGAGGCAGGAGAAGTACCTGTCCTGGTGCATCAGTCATTATTGTACCAACGCATCTTCATTATTAGCCCAAAGCCCTTTCATCCACCAAATTGTTGGCATTCACCCGGCCATCCTTCTGGTGGCCCAGACTCAAAAGCTGGTGGTCATCTTTGACCTCTCCCTCTTCTTCATTCAAGTTTTGTTAGTTCTGTATCCACAATGTTACTGACAAGTGTTTTCTCCTTTCTGTTTTCACAGAGCACATCTTGTAAATTTAGGCTCCCATCATTTGCATCATGTTCTATTGCTGCGGCATCCCAAAATTGTTTGTATGACCTGCTTCTTGTCCCCCAAGTCCACTATGCAATCAGAGTAGCTACCTAAAGCAAGGGTAAGGCCAAGCATGTCTGGCTCAACCATAATTGCTTGATTCGAAAATGTTCAAAGTCCCCTTTGTGCAACATATATTTGCATGGTATTAAATATTACCATTTCATGTGCCAACATAGTGCTCTCAACATATTGTTGAAAGACGTATCTCCCCTTTGACCTCCCCTTCACCACAAATATACTTCTATCGTTTCCTATTTGGCTTGATGACATTATTTGTATACCATATGGCTTTTTCAAAAATTGAAGAACTCACAAGTAGAGAATTATTATTATCTCTACCTGTCAAAAATCTTGCCAACATCAAAGCCAGAGCCCTTCTCAAATGCCATAGATTCCCAGGTGCTTCTGCTAAATCCCTTTTGTTAAAAGTAATTTCTCTCTCTTTTGACCTCTATGGAAGGTTTCAACACAATCTGCATTGTATTAGAGTTAATTACATTCCTATCTCATCTCCCCTATTTGAACATAAGCCCCCTGAGGGCCAAAGCAGTGCCTTACTCATCCTTACAGGCTCATGTCTCTTAGCTTAGTGCCCTGCTTGACAAATGTTTACTGTTTCATGGTCAAATAAACAAACAGTCTTAGTTAGAACCTACACCCCTTAGCAAACTGTAAATGGAGAATATGGAACATCAATGGGAGGCATCACTCCAGCTGCTGCTCCAACACTGTTAATTACACAATACTTTTATTGAGCAATTCAGTGGTAATTCTTGCTGCTATTCCTCCTTAATAAGATCCATTGTGCACCATAAAATAGTAACTGGGACGCAGTTTGTATTCCACATGCATCACATTTCTTTTTAGCAGGTTCTTCCATATCCATAATCTCATCATTATTACTATTACCCTCAGAAGACAATTGACTTGCATTAATCAGTCCTGCTGCCATTCCCTTGCCAGATTTTCTGTAGTTTTATTGTGCTTTTGGACATTTTAATTAACTTGAAAAATTAATTTTAAAATCTTACCTTATTAATGCTCTGCTCCCTTGGAAATCCCTCCTTCTTGTTTATTATCACTGACCATTTGAAGATGAGGTCATTAGTGATTAAAGCTACAGACAACTTCCACGCCCATCCTGCTGCAGATTTTGTGCTATTTTTAAACAGGATGTGAATAATAACTCCAACTTTTAAGCAGGTGGGGAGGGAGGTCTGTTGCTTAGGGAGTTAAAAGACATAATTTCAATTATGCCATAACATTTACTCCACAACTACTGCTCTCTACAGAAGCTCAACAACATTTGTTTATTAATACCATATACAGAGGTAAGTTTTGTTTTACCCAGTTGACAAACTGAAATGAGAAAGGCACCAGATTTGGTGACTCAAGAACACTGACACAAAGCCAAATAAGCAAGACGTGTCTGGTAAAACTAACTGGCTGATTCTCAATGCTCTATCTGGACCCTAGGAAAAATCACGGGATGGTCATTGAACAACATGAGTTCTTCATTTTCTAAACAAGAAAGGCAGCATCTCACAGGCTAACTCCAATCCATTGGTAGAGGCTGCTTGAGCATCATAATGAGAGTGTGAGGTTGTATTGGAACCTGTCAGAAAGCGTGTCCTTATCAGTGAGAGCTGCCTGCTATTTAGATGGGATTTGTGAATGACAGCAGCATATCTGCCTTTCACATTATAAAGGCTTGATATCCTTTTAATAGAATTTACTATAGTGATTCTCAACTTCTAATTATGAGGATTTACTCTTAATTTTAGAAAAAGGGCAGACTCATATATCCCTCAATTATAGTGTCTGTTGATATAGAAAATATCTGACAAAAAGCTAGTATGGGTTCAGTAATTATTTTACAGGAATCCTTGTTTTATAGATATTAACTACTTCTCCATTTAGAACACATGGTTCACATGTGTGCAAGATATATTATTTACTTGGTTTACAAACATTTATTGATATGCCTATGTATTTACACCCTCCTTGTCTAAACTCTCTTGCCAGCCCCCTCCCAACCCTACCCCTCTGGCCAGGGCTCAGGTGCCCACAAAGGACGAAACCACTAATTTTAGTCATACAACTGAAGAAATGAATATTCAAACCAAAACACTGATACAAATGTCTAACTTTGAACATTTTCAAAATGGGGTTTATTTTTGCTACAATTCTATTTGTAGAATGATAGAAAAATAGAGAACTACTCTGTCTACCTGCCTGCAGTCTAAGCTAAACATAGCAAGCTATCTAAGGTACCTGTTGATTGGAAGGGGCAGACACCCAGTAAAGCTAGTTTATTACAAGGGTATTTTAGGAATACAGAGTAATAAGATGAGACCAATTTGCAAACAGTATGGCCTGTAATTCAAGTTCCTGTTACGTCATTTACTGGCTGGCATTCTCAAGTAACTCACTACCATCTCAGAGCCTTCGCTTATAAAATGGAAATAACAAAAGTGTCTGGATCATAAGGGTATTGAAACTATTAGATGCACATCAAGAAATTTGCCTAGTGCTTGGAACATAGTAAGTACTTAATAGATGTTAGCCAGTAATAGCAGCAACAATAGCAATAGAGGTAGTGGTAGAAGCATAGTTGGGCCCCATGGGAACTATGTGAGCTCAAATCTCCAAATCTCCAAGTCTGTCTTTCAGAGGCTGCAGAGTCTCTTGTCAACCCGCTCAATTCTCTTTGCTGCAGATTGTCTTGCTCTTAGCTTCCTAGTTTCTGCTCTTCTGTAATTTTGCCTGACTATAGCTAAAATGAAGCCCTGCAACTAGAATAGAGGATCCATGAGAGCAGGTGTTTGAGCTGATTTTTTCCCCTATTGCCCCATACAATGATGGGCACTTATTAGGCCTTCAGTCAATCAATATTTGTGAGAAGTATGGGTTGTCATGGCACCCACTCTGAATGCAACTGTACATGGTCTTATTAGTACCAGTAACCCAGCACCATCTTAATGACCCGGTCTCTGTTTTCAATTACATATCCCAGGAAAAACTATATGATTGGCTCTAATATGGGTCCAGTGTCCATTGTAGTCAACTCAGCAGGGGTCAAGGAGGCAAAGTTACATATAACTGCCCACTCTAGAGTAAATTCTTCAAGAAGGGAAAGGAAATAAGTAGAGCATTAGACCATCTTTTGTTTACATAGCATAAAAATTCAAAGGAGAGACAATTCAGGACTGTCAAGGGGATTAAAGATGGCTTCATGGACTAAGTGGTATTTCAGGTGGGTTTTAGAGTATGGGTGAGGGTTTGATGGGGAATTGGTTTACATTTTTAATGCTTTTTAAATTTTGCTTCATATTTTACAGTGAGAAAAGACACACTCTATCATTCTAATACAATTTTTGCTGAATACCTATTAATACTATGTGCAAAGCTCTGTAGTGAACACTGCAAGATATGCAAAGACATATAAGCAGATTCTGCTTTCAGGATACTTTTGTTGGTTGAGGAGAGAAGACCTAGACACAGGAAAACAAGAGCTGAGTTCAGGGTTTGAAGAAAACTCGTCAGGCTGGAGCAAAAGTAGAGCTTGGCTTCCTGGAAGAGGTGAGACTTGTGCTGAGCATTGAGATTAGCATGAGTAGGCAGAGTGAATGAAGGAAGAAAATGTGGCAGGCACTCTTCATGGCATACAGAAACTCCATTCCCAACCCTCTTCTCCCTAACTCCATTAGAGTGACTGAAAAGCTACACGCTCATTTCCAAGCATCCCTTGGAGCTCAGGGGGACATGGGATTTCTGATCAATAAGACATAACTGGAAGGCAATGTGGATTTTGCTGTCCTAATAAAGAGACAGGCATCACTGGAGCGCTTGCTTCTGACCTGAACAAGAATGTGATGCCTAAGACTGCAGTAATGTTCTTGCCACAGTGAGAGTCTTTGTATGAGAAAAGTGAGCTCCCTTAAACAATCCCAGGCACAGAAAGTTGAGGAAACCTCCCTACCAGCCTTTACAGCTTTCTTTGGATAATTCGTCAGAATTTTTCCTTATGATCCTATATGTTTAATTGCTTCATTTCCAAATTTAGATCCAGAATTTGCTTTGCTTTTCTAAATAAATTAATATGATCCTCAAACTGTCACCTGGTATTTCATTTATGATTTACTGGAAATAGATTCAGTCCTCTCAAAGTATCTCCCTCGCCAAGTCAATGCACGTTCTCTATCAAGACATAGTCCTCGGAGGGGAGGAGCCAAGATGGCCGAATAGGAACAGCTCCGGTCTACAGCTCCCAGCCTGAGCGACGCAGAAGACCGGTGATTTCTGCATTTCCATCTGAGGTACCGGGTTCATCTCACTAGGGAGTGCCAGACAGTGGGCGCAGGCCAGTGGGTGCGCGCACCGTGCGCGAGCCGAAGCAGGGCGAGGCATTGCCTCACCTGGGAAGCGCAAGGGGTCAGGGAGTTCCCTTTCCGAGTCAAAGAAAGGGGTGACGGACGCACCTGGAAAATCGGGTCACTCCCACCCGAATATTGCGCTTTTCAGACCGGCTTAAAAAACGGCGCACCACGAGACTATATCCCACACCTGGCTCGGAGGGTCCTACGCCCACGGAGTCTCGCTGATTGCTAGCACAGCAGTCTGAGATCAAACTGCAAGGCAGCAGCCAGGCTGCGGGAGGGGCGCCCGCCATTGCCCAGGCTTGCTTAGGTAAACAAAGCAGCGGGAAGCTCGAACTGGGTGGAGCCCACCACAGCTCAAGGAGGCCTGCCTGCCTCTGTAGGCTCCACCTCTGAGGACAGGGCACAGACAAACAAAAAGATAGCAGTAACCTCTGCAGACTTAAATGTCCCTGTCTGACAGCTTTGAAGAGAGCAGTGGTTCTCCCAGCACACAGCTGGAGATCTGAGAACGGGCAGACTGCCTCCTCAAGTGGGTCTCTGACCCCTGACCCCTGAGCAGCCTAACTGGGAGGCACCCCCCAGCAGGGGCACACTGACACCTCATACGGCAGGGTATTCCAACAGACCTGCAGCTGAGGGTCCTGTCTGTTAGAAGGAAAACTAACATACAGAAAGGACATCCACACCAAAAACCCATCTGTACATCACCATCATCAAAGACCAAAAGTAGATAAAACCACAAAGATGGGGAAAAAACAGAACAGAAAAACTGGAAACTCTAAAAAGCAGAGCGCCTCTCCTCCTCCAAAGGAACACAGTTCCTCACCAGCAACGGAACAAAGCTGGATGGAGAATGACTTTGACAAGCTGAGAGAAGAAGGCTTCAGACGATCAAATTACTCTGAGCTACGGGAGGACATTCAAACCAAAGGCAAAGAAGTTGAAAACTTTGAAAAAAATTTAGAAGAATGTATAACTAGAATAACCAATACAGAGAAGTGCTTAAAGGAGCTGATGGAGCTGAAAACCAAGGCTCGAGAACTACGTGAAGAATGCAGAAGCCTCAGGAGCCGATGCGATCAACTGGAAGAAAGGGTATCAGCGATGGAAGATGAAATGAATGAAATGAAGCGAGAAGGGAAGTTTAGAGAAAAAAGAATAAAAAGAAATGAGCAAAGCCTCCAAGAAATATGGGACTATGTGAAAAGACCAAATCTACGTCTGATTGGTGTACCTGAAAGTGATGGGGAGAATGGAACCAAGTTGGAAAACACTCTGCAGGATATTATCCAGGAGAACTTCCCCAATCTAGCAAGGCAGGCCAACGTTCAGATTCAGGAAATACAGAGAACGCCACAAAGATACTCCTCGAGAAGAGCAACTCCAAGACACATAATTGTCAGATTCACCAAAGTTGAAATGAAAGAAAAAATGTTAAGGGCAGCCAGAGAGAAAGGTCGGGTTACCCCCAAAGGGAAGCCCATCAGACTAACAGCAGATCTCTCGGCAGAAACCCTACAAGCCAGAAGAGAGTGGGGGCCAATATTCAACATTCTTAAAGAAAAGAATTTTCAACCCAGAATTTCATATCCAGCCAAACTAAACTTCATAAGTGAAGGAGAAATAAAATACTTTACAGACAAGCAAATGCTGAGAGATTTTGTCACCACCAGGCCTGCCCTAAAAGAGCTCCTGAAGGAAGCGCTAAACATGGAAAGGAACAACCGGTACCAGCCGCTGCAAAATCATGCCAAAATGTAAAGACCATCGAGACTAGGAAGAAACTGCATCAACTAACGAGCAAAATAACCAGCTAACATCATAATGACAGGATCAAAGTCACACATAACAATATTAACTTTAAATGTAAATGGACTAAATTCTCCAATTAAAAGACACAGACTGGCAAGTTGGATAAAGAGTCAAGACCCATCAGTGTGCTGTATTCAGGAAACCCATCTCACGTGCAGAGACACACATAGGCTCAAAATAAAAGGATGGAGGAAGATCTACCAAGCAAATGGAAAACAAAAAAAGGCAGGGGTTGCAATCCTAGCCTCTGATAAAACAGACTTTAAACCAACAAAGATCAAAAGACACAAAGAAGGCCATTACATAATGGTAAAGGGATCAATTCAACAAGAGGAGCTAACTATCCTAAATATATATGCACCCAATACAGGAGCACCCAGATTCATAAAGCAAGTCCTGAGTGACCTACAAAGAGACTTAGACTCCCACACATTAATAATGGGAGACTTTAACACCCCACTGTCAACATTAGACAGATCAATGAGACAGAAAGTCAACAAGGATACCCAGGAATTGAACTCAGCTCTGCACCAAGCGGACCTAATAGACATCTACAGAACTCTCCACCCCAAATCAACAGAATATACATTTTTTTCAGCACCACACCACACCTATTCCAAAATTGACCACATACTTGGAAGTAAAACTCTCCTCAGCAAATGTAAAAGAACAGAAATTAGAACAAACTATCTCTCAGACCACAGTGCAATCAAACTAAAACTCAGGATTAATAATCTCACTCAAAGCTGCTCAACTACATGGAAACTGAACAACCTGCTCCTGAATGACTACTGGGTACATAACGAAATGAAGGCAGAAATAAAGATGTTCTTTGAAACCAACGAGAACAAAGACACAACATACCAGAATCTCTGGGACGCATTCAAAGCAGTGTGTAGAGGGAAATTTATAGCACTAAATGCCCACAAGAGAAAGCAGGAAAGATCCAAAATTGACACCCTAACATCACAATTACAAGAACTAGAAAAGCAAGAGCAAACACATTCAAAAGCTAGCAGAAGGCAAGAAATAACTAAAATCAGAGCAGAACTGAAGGAAATAGAGACACAAAAAACCCTTCAAAAAATCAATGAATCTAGGAGCTGGTTTTCTGAAAGGATCAACAAAATTGATAGACCACTAGCAAGACTAATAAAGAAAAAAAGAGAGAAGAATCAAATAGACACAATAAAAAATGATAAAGGGGATATCACCACCGATCCCACAGAAATACAAACTACCATCAGAGAATACTACAAACACCTCTACGCAAATAAACTAGAAAATCTAGAAGAAATGGATACATTCCTCGACACATACACTCTCCCAAGACTAAACCAGGAAGAAGTTGAATCTCTGAATAGACCAATAACAGGAGCTGAAATTGTAGCAATAATCAATAGTTTACCAACCAAAAAGAGTCCAGGACCAGATGGATTCACAGCCGAATTCTACCAGAGGTACAAGGAGGAACTGGTACCATTCCTTCTGAAACTATTCCAATCAATAGAAAAAGAAGGAATCCTCCCTAACTCATTTTATGAGGCCAGCATCATTCTGATACCAAAGCCGGGCAGAGACACAACCAAAAAAGAGAATTTTAGACCAATATCCTTGATGAACATTGATGCAAAAATCCTCAATAAAATACTGGCAAACCGAATCCAGCAGCACATCAAAAAGCTTATCCACCATGATCAAATGGGCTTCATCCCTGGGATGCAAGTCTGGTTCAATATACGCAAATCAATAAATGTAATCCAGCATATAAACAGAGCCAAAGACAAAAACCACATGATTATCTCAATAGATGCAGAAAAAGCCTTTGACAAAATTCAACAACCCTTCATGCTAAAAACTCCCAAAAAATTAGGTATTGATGGGACGTATTTCAAAATAATAAGAGCTATCTATGACAAACCCACAGCCAATATCATACTGACTGGGCAAAAACTGGAAGCATTCCCTTTGAAAACTGGCACAAGACAGGGATGCCCTCTCTCACCGCTCCTATTCAACATAGTGTTGGAAGTTCTGGCCAGGGCAATCAGGCAGGAGAAGGAAATAAAAGGTATTCAATTAGGAAAAGAGGAAGTCAAATTGTCCCTGTTTGCAGATGACATGATTGTTTATCTAGAAAACCCCATCGTCTCAGCCCAAAATCTCCTTAAGCTGATAAGCAACTCCAGCAAAGTCTCAGGATACAAAATCAATGTACAAAAATCACAAGCATTCTTATACACCAACAACAGACAAACAGAGAGCCAAATCATGAGTGAACTCCCATTCACAATTGCTTCAAAGAGAATAAAATACCTAGGAATCCAACTTACAAGGGATGTGAAGGACCTCTTCAAGGAGAACTACAAACCACTGCTCAATGAAATAAAAGAGGATACAAACAAATGGAAGAACATTCCATGCTCATGGGTAGGAAGAATCAATATCGTGAAAATGGCCATACTGCCCAAGGTAATTTACAGATTCAATGCCATCCCCATCAAGCTACCAATGACTTTCTTCACAGAATTGGAAAAAACTACTTTAAAGTTCATATGGAACCAAAAAAGAGCCCGCATCGCCAAGTCAATCCTAAGCCAAAAGAACAAAGCTGGAGGCATCACACTACCTGACTTCAAACTATACTACAAGGCTACAGCAACCAAAACAGCATGGTACTGGTACCAAAACAGAGATATAGATCATTGGAACAGAACAGAGCCCTCAGAAATAACGCCGCATACCTACAACTATCTGATCTTTGACAAACCTGAGAAAAACAAGCAATGGGGAAAGGATTCCCTATTTAATAAATGGTGCTGGGAAAACTGGCTAGCCATATGTAGAAAGCTGAAACTGGATCCCTTCCTTACACCTTATACAAAAATCAATTCAAGATGGATTAAAGATTTAAATGTTAGACCTAAAACCATAAAAACCCTAGAAGAAAACCTAGGCATTACCATTCAGGACATAGGCGTGGGCAAGGACTTCATGTCCAAAACACCAAAAGCAATGGCAACAAAAGACAAAATTGACAAATGGGATCTAATTAAACTAAAGAGCTTCTGCACAGCAAAAGAAACTACCATCAGAGTGAACAGGCAACCTACAACATGGGAGAAAATTTTCGCAACCTACTCATCTGACAAAGGGCTAATATCCAGAATCTACAATGAACTCAAACAAATTTACAAGAAAAAAACAAACAACCCCATCAAAAAGTGGGCAAAGGACATGAACAGACACTTCTCAAAAGAAGACATTTATGCAGCCAAAAAACACATGAAAAAATGCTCATCATCACTGGCCATCAGAAAAATGCAAATCAAAACCACTATGAGATATCATCTCACACCAGTTAGAATGGCAATCATTAAAAAGTCAGGAAACAACAGGTGCTGGAGAGGATGTGGAGAAACAGGAACACTTTTACACTGTTGGTGGGACTGTAAACTAGTTCAACCATTGTGGAAGTCAGTGTGGCGATTCCTCAGGGATCTAGAACTAGAAATACCATTTGACCCAGCCATCCCATTACTGGGTATATACCCAAATGACTATAAATCATGCTGCTATAAAGACACATGCACACGTATGTTTATTGCGGCATTATTCACAATAGCAAAGACTTGGAACCAACCCAAATGTCCAACAATGATAGACTGGATTAAGAAAATGTGGCACATATACACCATGGAATACTATGCAGCCATAAAAAATGATGAGTTCATGTCCTTTGTAGGGACATGGATGAAACTGGAAACCATCATTCTCAGTAAACTATCGCAAGAACAAAAACCCAAACACCGCATATTCTCACTCATAGGTGGGAATTGAACAATGAGATCACATGGACACAGGAAGGGGAATATCACACTCTGGGGACTGTGGTGGGGTGGGGGGAGGGGGGAGGGATAGCATTGGGAGATATACCTAATGCTAGATGACGAGTTAGTGGGTGCAGCACACCAGCATGGCACATGTATACATATGTAACTAACCTGCACAATGTGCACATGTACCCTAAAACTTAAAGTATAATAAAAAAAAAAAAAAAAGAAAAAGAAAAGAAAACCTGGGGCCAGAAAAAAAAAAAAAAAAAAAAAAGACAAAGTCCTCAAGCGCTCTTTGGGGATGAGCACTCTGCTCATGACTCATTAACTTTTTTTCTAAGTGTGAAAGCTTTTTAAGGAAGAAATGAATAGGTGGAGATGCCTTATTAACTTCAAGGAGGAGACACAAGAATGTCTAAATCTGGCTCAATATATGGAAAATCAACCATGGTTTCAGTATTTGATGACAACCCATCACCTTGATAGGCTGACTTCATCTTTGTCTCCAGATTCAATGAACTGAGTAAAGAGAGAATTTTAATAGAAACAAAAAATCATCTCCATGGCTAGCAGCCTTCTGCTTTTTAAGGGTACTAATAATCTCTGTCTTCAGATGCTAAGTATATAAGAGCTGGTATTATTTCACAGGATAAGAATAAGGGGAGGTGGCTTAGAAAATAAATGGAATTTGGCTGGGTGCAGTGGCTCACACCTGTAATCCCGGCACTTTGGGAGGCCAAAGTGAGTGGATCACTTAAGGTCACTTGAGGAGTTCAAGACCAGCCTGGCCAAAATGGCAAAACCCCATCTCTACTAAAAATACAAAAATTAGCTGGGCATGGTGGCACATACCTGTAATGCCAGCTACTCAGGAGGCTGAGGCAGAGGAATCACTTGAACCCGGGAGGTGGAGGTTGCAGTGAGTTGAGATTGCGCCACTGTACTCCAGCCTGGGCCACAGAGCAAGACTCTGACAGAAAAAGAAATTCACCTGGAAATTTTTACATGGATAAAGTCACTGCTACTTTTCAGTTAATTCAACTACAAGAGACTGAACATTTGTGCCTCCTCCCCCCATCAAATTCATATGTTGAACCTTAATCCCCAAGGCAAAAGTATTTGGAGGTGAGGCCTTTGAGAAGTGATTAGGTCATGAGGGTGGAATCTTCATGCATGGGATTAGTGCCCTTATAAAAGAAACCCCAAAGAGCTCCCTCACCCTGCTACCACATGAAGACACAATGAGACATGAGCCATATATGAGCCAGGAAACATCCCTCACTATACACCAAGTCTGCTGGTGCCTTGATCTTGGACTTCCCAGCCTCCAGAACTGTGAGAAATACTTTTCTGTTGCTTGTAAGCCACCATGCCTGTGGTATTCTGTGATAGTTATCCAAATTGGCTAAGACATCAACATATATTTTTAACTACATAATCATGGTTAGGACCCAGAGTTTAATGACCTCTCTAACTCAGAACAAGCAGGAGAGTTGTTCTGGAGATACACCCTTCCCTAAGTACTTCACAGGTGCTGGAGGAAGTGACATGCTGCTGAGGCTGTGGCTGAGACCCAGCCAGGTGGGCCAGGCTCAGTGTTGAAGGGTTTGGGGCCTGTTTCAGGCATTAAATTGGTCCTATCCATGTGTGTACACTAGCGGAATATAAGAGTTCTGGAGTCAGACACCAGCTCCTCCATGTCTTTACTGTGTGACCCGGAATCACATTACATAACTTCTGTGCAGGTAATGGGGCTTTCTCATCTGTAATATACAGTTGTGAGGATAAATTGCTATCATGCATCCCAAATGATTAGTTCAGTGCCTAGCACATAATAAGAACCCAACAAATATTAGCTTTTTATATTGCTATTATTATTTTTACACCAGTAGTTTCAAAAGGAATCCCTAATGCCCAGAAGGCACTTGGTAGGTACTGAACAAACAAAGGAAGAACAATGGGAAAACTGACACAAGGTACTACATGATTCACTGTGGATTCAATGGATTCTGGGGTAAATCATTTTCTTTCAGCCTCGTCTCGCTTTGAAAATATGTGTTCACTTTCAAATCAGTCTCAGTCTTACAATCTGTAGATTTTTAAAATATGTTTCTGGAAGAAAATTCCTTTTGGTGGACAAAATATTGCAAATGTTAGTGTTTGACAAATAACTGGTTACTTAGAAATGGGAAGCAGTGCTTCATTGCAGGGAGATCTGTTTAAGATTCTCATTTGATTTGTTGAAAGGCTGAGAACTCAGGTTGTTACATTCACCCAGAGAGGATACCTCTTACGGAGCACATTAGAAATTGGATATGCAGCTTCCCTTTTAAATGGCTGTTGAGACCTTCTCGAATAAAAGAAGAAAGACAGGAGCTGCCCAGCTTGTCCATCTCACAGCAGGTCAGGTGTGGGAGGAGCTCTTTGAAAGAGAAGCTATTTAGAACCATCTAGGAACTCAGAGTGAGTAAACAGATGTGGGGAAAAGGTAATTAACACCAGCATCCTAGGTAGAAGCAAAGGCCAAGCTGGTGGAAAGGATCAGACAGCGACAAAAATGACCCAGGAAAACTAACAGACAGGAGGACCATAGATATTCTGGTCTTGGCTCAAAGCAAATATTAGGCCAGCAGCCAGAAATTAACTATTCTTCTGTATTTCTTAAAACATATCACCCAAGTATTATGCAGATTATACACAGAAAAATGAAGCAAAGAAATGTATGTGCTGTTATCTAAAGTAAAGTACCTTAAGGTTCGATGGGGCACACTTGTGCTTTTAGCCTGGTGTCATTCTTGAGACTTGGATCTCCTTGTTCAGTTAATCACTTCTGTCTCCCAATCGAGCCCACCCTAGAAGCCAGCCTTTAGCCTTTGGCTCAGGCCAATTCAGAATGTATTTTTCTGTTACCACTTAACTACAGCCTTGAACTTCATCTATGTCAAGACCATCTTCTAGGACAAAATGCATGGCATATTCAAGTAATGGCAATGACTGGGCCTGGTAGCTCCCAACACTTTGGGAGGTTGAGATGGGAGGATCACCTGAACCCAGGAGTTCAAGACCAGCCTGGACAACACAGTGAAACCCCTTCTCTAGAAAAAAACTTAAAAAGTAGCCAGGCATGGTGGTGTGCACCTGTAGTCCCAGCAACTCAGGAGGCTAAGTGGGAGAATCTCTCTCTCTTTTTTTTTTTTTTGGCTTTAAGTTTCAGGATACATTTGCAGAATGTGCAGGTTTGTTATGTAGGTATACATGTGCCATGGTGATTTGCTGTACCTATCAACCCTTCATCTAGGTTTTAAGCCCCACATGCACTAGGTATTTGTCCTAATGCTTTCCCTTCCCTTACCCCCAACCCCTCAACAGGCCCTGGTGTGTGATGTTTCCCTCCCTGTGTCCATGTAGTCTCATTGTTTGACGCAGGTGAGAGGTGAGAGAATCTCTTAAGACCAGGAGTTCAAGGATGCAGCGAGCTATGACCGTGCCACTGCACTCCAACCTGAGCAACAGAGTAAGACTCAGTCTTTTTAAAGAAAAAAAAAAAAGGCAAGTATGCCAGGATGAGCTGAGTGCATAGTGCCCAGAAAGCGCGAGTAGGTAGTGAGGCTGGAAGGGAACGTTTGGTCCAAGTGGTGGAGTTCATGAAGCCATGCTAAGGAGTTTATAGGTCACAGGTCATAGGCACGAGTGAGATCTGGTCTCTGCAGCACTGGAGGGTCTCTGTGCTAGATACTCCTTTCTAGAATTCACTGAGTGACTCTATAGTTTGCATGCAAGGCTTTGTTTAAAGTTTGTTTTGTTATGTTTTTTAATGTGGTATCCAATTTCAAAAATAATCAAAGGACATTTTTACCTTGTATTATTAAATATTTTGTAATAATGCTGCCCTTATCCACATGCTTGCCTCGTAAGAAAGACACATTTTTAGTTTGTACCCTAATTGCTCACCTAGTTGACTCTTGTTTTATTGCCTCCCTCATTTTGACAAGAAAATATTCTTTTCTGTAAAATTCCACACTGCTCCCCTCTCCACTATACAGATTCTCCTCTGTTTTATTGCTAGTGCTATTCCTTGATCTCTACTGCCTGTCTTCATGATTGTCTTTCTCTCTAGGCCGATAATCTCTCTCGTTCTCATGAGGGAAGTATCACAGCTGTCCAGGTTCCTGGACTTCCAAGACCTTCCATCCTAGGGATCATCACTACTGAGAGGCTTTTGAGTTTCACAGTTCAGTATT
The DNA here is from genome assembly GCF_000001405.40 of Homo sapiens. Classification (NCBI taxonomy): domain Eukaryota; kingdom Metazoa; phylum Chordata; class Mammalia; order Primates; family Hominidae; genus Homo; species Homo sapiens. The sequence goes on along the minus strand of NC_000018.10, from coordinate 24,615,023 downwards.
TTGAGAAAAAGAATCTGATTGGCTCAGCATGAGTCAGGGGTCTACCTTCTGTCCAATCAGATTAGAGAAGCTGGGCCATCTGGCAGACACAAGTCAGGAAGCCCCCTCTTCAAGCCAGGACTGTGGGGCACTTCCAAAGACAGGAGCACAGGCTGGTCACAAACTGCAAGCTTGCCTACTTCATGTTCCTTCTTCAAACATGAATGCTTTTCTTATGGGGGCAGTTTTGTGGAAGCTAAAGAACTAATAAAGAAAAAGAAACCCATTAACACAATTTGATTCTAACGGCTTTGTCACTGATTGCAGTTTAATTCTGGATGGGTTGTTATTCTTAGTTAACCGGGAAGAAAAGATATAACAATTTAGGGTAAATGAGGAGATAGAACATAATTCACATTATTTTTTGATTAAAGTCTCCAGGCCTGAGTTAAAGTGATAATACCAGGAAAAAGAGTATGTTTTGAAAAGCAATTCAGTTTATCATATATGTAATACAGATGTTAGGATTTCCATACTTCTTAAGATCTAAACGCCATGGCCTCACTCCCATTACACACTTGTAAAAAGTCCAAAGTCTACCCAGGATTCCTGTGGGTTCTTAACCACCTTTGTCTCCAGGCTTCTGCTTTCACTGATTAGTGTAGGTTATGGATCAATGCACTGTCTGTATCTGCTGCCCATATCCCTTCCTTTCACACTGCATTCAATTCAGATGTTGACTCTGCTTCTTTCTGTCCTTCCACCAAATCAGAAACAACTTGTTTAAGCAATAGTAGACTACGATGAAGAGAAAGAGGGTCGCACCCCCAAACCAGCACCCTCCTACAGCTGGCCCTGCAGGTGCTCAGCCCAGAGAGACAGGGCTCTGCCTTGAGTTTAGCAGCAGCCTTCAGAGAAGGGGAAGCTGGAAATGGAGAAGTGAAGGCCAGGTCTGTGGATGCCATTCAGCAGAAGCCAAGAAGGGAGGAAATCAGATGGAGGGGCCTCCAGGGTTATTGACATCAGACATCTGGAAATCAGGAGAGCAACACAGCAACAGGAAACCCAGGCTAGGGTTAGACCTAGCCAAAACTCTTTAAACCATCCCCCTCCTGGCTGACTGTTCTCTGTAAAGCATTCTATACAATGCCCATGGCATACTGAAGCCCAAAGGCCAAGAGGCTACACTGTAGTAGCTAAACACCTAGCAAGAGTCAGTGTGTTTATATCATGTACATGTATAGCACATGACTTACAAGTGGGAAAATAAGTAGCGCTAGTGTTTCTGTAAAGACTAGATTGAACTCTATGGAAAGGCGTGTTAATACAAATAACCAAAAACTTGGTGTCGAATAAGTCTTACATGCTTGTAAAAGATGAAAAAATAATAAAAATCAAAAACATTCTGAACCCAAACTTCTTTGAAAGTCTTAAATTATCTTTCCACTAACAAAAGAAGGAAAGAAAAAGAAAAAGGCTAAAATAGCTAGAATGGACACACACTGCACCATAGGTGTGATTTATTCATAGAAAACTGTGGAAAAACTCCAAAGAGCAAAACCATGAAGAAGAGGTCTTAGCCCTACATCAAAAGCATGTGGGTTTACTTTTTGTTTTAAATTTTTTGATTCTTTATTTTAACTGTATTTTTGAAAATTGATCCAACAACATGATTATGTCAAGAAAGTTGGTTTATGCTGAGCCTGGGAATTTGGAAAGCTGATGCTATTCTTTGTGGCACGTTCTCTGTATTCTACAGATTCTCAGCCAGCGATTACAAAGTACAGGGGCCAAGCTCAAAGAGGAAACCAGGACAGGCTTAGATAGAAAATGAAGGTCTGTGTCAAGGGAAAGAGGTCCAGGATGGGGCCTAAATCCTAGGAAGATCCAGTAGACACAGAACGGGACACTGGATGGAAGCTGAGGCCTAGGGCTGGGGTGGGCAGCAGAGATTAGTGCAACTGGGTGTCCCAGGCTTGCTGCTAAAGCCCAAATCCTGAGTCTAGTTGGCAGCAAAGAGACTTGGGCAGTAGGAGCTTGAAGACAAAGGTGATTAGGAAGCCACAGGAATCTCAGGTAGACATTAGACTTTTTACAAGTGTGAAATGAGAGTTGAGGCCATAGCATCTAGATCTTAAGAAGTATGGAAATCCCAATAATACCTTTATTACATATTAATAAACTGAATTTCCTTCAATTTCGTTTCAGGTTATGGATCAACACACCACCTGTAACCACTGCCCATGTCCCTCCCTTTCACAATGCATTAACTTCAGATGTGGGCTCTGCCTCTTTCTGTCTTCCCACCAAATCAAAAACCACTCACATAAGCAATAGTAGACTCCATGAAATACAGTCATCAGCTTTCCAAATTCGCAGGCTCAACATAAACCCTTTTTCTTGACATGATCATGTTGTTCGATTGCAGCAGGAGTAACGGGGAAGGAGAGGCTGGTGGTAATTTACACAAGGGACCCAGTAGTTCTGTCTGAGCTACCAGGTACCAAGAAGGTGACCTTCATTCAAACCATACTGGACAAGAGTGGAGATAGGTCATAATGGTTATTGCCCTATGTATCGTCTTAGTTGAGAATGCCTCAGAAACTGGAGTGGTTCTCAACCTACAGGTGGAGGAACGATGGATTCAACTCCTAGGAGGTGGAAGAGCAGAAAGAAAAGAATCCATCCAGGGCTGCAGAGGCCCAGTTGTTGGGGCTTATAATGGATCCTTCCACCCCCTACCACCAGTCTCAGGTGTTTTCAGAACTGAGAAAACCCCTGGTGCTCAGAAAGGCTCTAAGACTCAGGATTCACAAGAGCTCAATGACTTCAGTTTGGGGTTCTGGACTCAGGTTCAAAGCTCAGTGGCCTCAGGCTTCTGAGGAGCTTGATGGTGTTCAGCAGCTTTATGAGCTTAGAGCAATTAGCACTATGCAGGGTGTGTTTGTAGCTATATAGGCTTCTGTGCCCAGCCTGAGCTCCTAAACATCATTTGGAAAGATATTTCTATGGGAAAACTGTGCCTCCAAATGCAACTGTCCCTCTCTCCCATGCACACATTGCTGTGCACACCATGGTTTTTTAACTCATGAGGAGGAGAAAACTGAAATGATATTGAGCCTGGGTTGGCTTGACATGAATATCTCCCATATGGCATCATTTTGCACTGAAAAATCCAACTTTGGGGAAAGTGATGTCAGATTGTTGCGCGCTTGTTCTGTTAATGCCATGGGACAAGAGGATATCCCTGTGGTTGGGCATGTGACCCTCTCTGAATGGAATGAACATTCATGGGGGCAGGCACTTTAGGAAGAGGTCAGTCTGAGGCCCAAAATATAGAGAAACCAGGGAGGTAAACCTTATACAGGAGGGAAGGAAACACTCATTTCTCTGAATCTGGGAATCCCTTTGGATTAAGAATGATGTGTAGAGAGGTAGAAACATTCAGGGAGATGAAGACAAGCTGTCTTTAGCCAAGTAGGAGATAGGCAGAGAGCTGATCTAGTAGAGCAGTGATCCCCAATCTTTTTGACACCAGTTTCGTGGAAGACAATTTTTCCATGGATGGGGTGGGGTATGGTTTCAGGATGAAACTGTTCCACCTCAGATCGTCAAGCATTAGATTCTCATAAGGAACGCACAACCTAGTCCCTCACATGTGCAGTTCACAATAGGGTTTGTGCTCCTATGAGAATCTAATGTGGCCACTGATCTGACAGGAGGCGGAGCTCAGGCGGTCATGCTCACTCGCCTGCTGCTCACCTCCTGCTGTGCGACCTGGTTCTTAACAGGCTGCAGACTGATAGCATCCGCAGCTCAGGGGTTGGAGACCCCTGTAGCAGAGAAACCAACGGTGGGCCTGTGTGTGGCTATCTGTTGTAAATTATTATCTCTAGTGAGCTCCCTTTTAGTATTAGAAGTCTAGGCTGCTCATGATGGAACTCAAACCATACTAGCTTAAAGCAAAAATATAATTTATTGGCTCATAGGATTCCAGGAAGTGCCTAACAAACAAACCGGAAAGGCAAGGATGAAGGTAGAAATCAGGAGCATCTGAACCCAAGGACTCGAATGCCTCCAAGGCTCCTGTCTCTCGTTACCACTTCTACCTGCATGATAATTCTCTCTCTCTCACCACTGGTGTCTTCGTCATGCAGCAGTGAGCATGGTCACTGTCAGGTCTTAAATTTTACATCTTACAAGAACTGCTGTCCAAGAGACCGCTGGGGTCTTTTTCTTAGCCCAGGGAAGGATTCTTATTGGCCCAGTCAGGATCACTCCACCCCATACAGTCACTCACTTTTTCATGATCCCCATAGCAGGCATCATGAGTTGAGTTAATTTTATTGACTTAGTATGTCTATTTTGTCTTATTAACTGACAAAAAAATTGTTTATATTTATGGTGTGCAACATGATGCTTTGATATATGTATACATTGTGGAATGGCTAAATCAAGTGAATTCACATATGTATTACCTTCATACTTTTTTGTGGTGAGAACACTTAAAACTTAGTATTGTCTAGTGTATGTCTTCCTGACTGACATGTAAATTTATGAAAGTAGACACATTTCTGACTTGTTCACCACTATATCTCCAGCACCAAAACAATGCTTTGCCTGGACATGGTGGCTCACGCCTGTGATCCCAACACTTTGGGAGGCCAAGCTAGGAGGATTGCTTGAGGCAAAGGAGTTCAAAACCAGCCTGGTCAAAATAGTGAGACCCCCATCTCTACAAAAGAAATTTAAAAAAAAATTAGCTGGACATGGTAGCATGTGCCCATAGTCCCAGCTGCTTGGGAGGCTGAGGGAGGAGGATCTCTTGAGCCTGGGAGATTAAAAACTGCAGTGAGCCGTGATTACACCGCTGCACTACTCCAGGCTGGGTGACAGAAGGAGAACCTGTCTCAAAAGAAAAAGAGAAAAAGAAAAAAAAAGACAAGAAAAAAAACAATACTTTGGTACTTAAGAGCTACTCAAGAAATACTTCTAACTCAACATATCAGAAATCCAGTCAAAATCAAGCCGTATGTGTCCATTAGCCACTAAAAATCATGTTCTTGAAAAAAATGGCTATGATAAAGGAGAAAGAAGTAGATAAAAAAAAATCTCTATTCCTAATGTAATCCTAATTTATAAATAAGCTTAGCTTTAAAATGCAATATCTCAAATTGGGGGTAAAATCCACAGGAACTCATCAGACTATAGGGCTACTGCAGACCCTCATTCCATCCAAAGGTAACGAGGAAGGAAAGCAAAAAAATAAAATAAAATAAAGAGAGGTTGTGCCCGTGCCCCATGTAGGGTTGTCAAATAAAATGCAGGATTCATAGTTAATTTTTATTTTCAGATAAACAACAAATACTTTTTTAGTGTAAGTATGTCCCAAATATTACTTACTAAATAATACTAAAATTGTATTTATTGTTTCTCTGAAATTCTAATTTAGCTGGGAATCCCGTGTTTGTTTTTGCTAACTCTGGCAGCCCTAGTCTCCCTGGGGCCCACCCAGGGAGTGCCAGCGTGCTGAAGTAGCAGTGTGACACACAGAGTGAGAGCAGAAGACAGGACCTTGGGTTGCTCTGGCTTCAGGCTGACGTGGAAGGAATGTTCCAGCTGTTCCTGCGTGCTTCCAGCAGAGGAGGCAGACGGTGGCTGAAAGGTGTCCCCAGAGTGGAGGCTGAGGAGTGGGAAGCCCAGGCCAGCTTCTGGGCAACCCATAGCCAGGACTCGGAGGATCTGTCGTGGGGCAGAGCCTGCAGGAGATGGACCCCTTGACACAGGAGATGGACCACCTGATCAAGCCCAGAGAAGTAGCCCTGCGTGATGCCAGCTTGGACCCCAGAGCTAACCCCAGCAGCAAGCCAGGAAAGACAACAAGCATCTTTGAACAGAGTCCGTGGATCTTCTCCAATCGCTAGGAAGATTTAGATGCCATATTGTGGAGAAGAGGGGCAAATCTTTGAGAAGAGAGGAAGTCGCGGTAAGAACTTTAAACTTCAATATTTATGTACCCTGCAAGGTACATATTCCTGCCCTGTAATCAGGAATAGGCCAAGGTGGCCTTTTGGCACAGCTTGACTCAGCAGGTTTGGAGCACGGGCACACAACTCCACATGTTATGTAAGCATGCCACATGAGGCTCATTAGGTGATCACCCGCATGAGCTCGTGCTTGGGTTGGAGCCACTATTGTCTGTAAAAGGTATAATTACCTTGCTGATGCTGTACATACAGCTCACACCTAGACTTGGCACCCATGGCTTGCTTGTGCCCACCACTCAGTCCCAGGCTTGCTCGTACCCAAAGAGATAGTAAAAGCCATGTGGAAACTACGATTCCTCGAGGTTTTTTCCAGCTACCTGCCATTCATCCATCCACTCTCCTTAGTCCTCAGCTTGGGCTGGAACCTGACATTTGGCATAACATAGCCCCCAAACAGTGTTTCAGGCCAAGTTTGTTATCTTTCTGCCATCAGTGAAAATGCAAACACCAGAGACACGCAAAAACCAATAAAGAAAATGAAGAGCATCACCATCTCTTCATCTAAGCATCCATCTACACATCTGTCAGTTGGTAGGGAAGTCTTCCTAGGGACAGAACTGATCTTTTAAGATAACACGTTTCTGAGACTTCCTTCGGATATGGAAAGAAAGGCACCCTGCGCATGGTCTGAAAAGATAGGATTAAGAGAAGAATTTAAATTTTCTGTACAACAAAGTAACCAGGATTTCAGAACTTCCTCCCCAGGAGAGATTTGAGAGTTCTGGCTGAGGAGGAGTGATCGTGGATAGGAGCAAGTTTCAGGAATATGATGAGAACTTTAGGCCAAAGGAAGAAGCAGCCTTTGAATATTCCCTTGTTCAACATGGCCTGGGAATATTTAAGATTGGGCATGTCTTATCTTCCATTGTAACTTGTTCTCTGTTCTGGGCAGGGCTATTATCTAAGGCCTCCTCCATTATCTGCAAGCCCTCAGGGAAATCCACTGAACATTAAAGCTTGTGGCAGAGTCACTACAGACCTTACGGCTCAACAGTGAAAGCATGAATTGCCTTCCAGATTGTGCAGTGCACAACTTGCACACTCATACTTGGTGACCCTAACTGGACTAGAAATGAAGAAACCTTCCTTCCTCAAAGTACGTTAGCACAAGATGACCCTCAAGAGGGAGGACAGGGAAGACTAAATTGTATTATTACCTGGATTCAAAAGGAATATTATGCAATAAAATGTGAATAGTAATTATCTGTAGGTGCTATAATAGGTGAATTTTATTTTCTTTTTAGTGCTATTATGCACTCATCTGTGTTAGTTTTGATGTCAGGAAGAACGATTAAGAGTCAAAGAAATTATCACACCCTAGGCAAACAGCAGTAGTTATGGCATAGCTGGTGCCCAGCCTCTCATCTCTGGATGACAGCTGGGGTCTGAGTCAGCTGACATTCCACTTGTCTTGGTGCCTGGCACAGGAATTAGGAGGTCCAAGACTCACCTGAAAGATGCCGGTGCCCATAACAGGGATGATAATGCCGGCAGGATGGTGGTGTTTGGGAAGGAGGAGAGGACTATGACAGAGGAGGAAAGACTTGGCAGCAGAACCCAGCCACATTTTGTGTTTGGGGACAATGCCGAGACATGTGTATTTTACCATAGCAGAGACTGACCAAACTGCTCTAAATGTTAAGCAAAAGTCAGGGAATGAGGAGTGTTTCCACATTTTTATCTAGTACTTCTCCGGAATTTGCTTTTATTACTCTTTGTAAAAATCGTACATGTCAAAACTAGCAGGTGTTTGCATCCTGCAATTTTTAATTTCTAAGGGGCCTTAGAAGCTATACAGTTCTACTTCCTCCCTTTACAGATGGCAAACATGGGCCTCAGAGAGGAGAAGGGCCAGAGCCAGGATTCCATAGAGTCAGGTTCTGCAGAGAAGCAGCACCAAGACAATGTGCATGTATATATATACACCTCTCTCTCTCTTTCTCTCTCTATTTACATATAAAGAGATTCATTTTAAGGAATTGGCTCATGTGATTATGAAGGCTGGCAAGTCCAAAATCTTCAGGGTGGGCTGGCAGGCTGGAGACCCAGGGAAGAGTTGATGCTGTAGTTCAAGCTCGAAGGACATCAGGCTGAAGACCCAGAAAAAAGCCAATGCTATAGCTCAAGCCCGAACGCTGTCTACTGGCAGAATTCCTTCTTACTGGGAGGAGGGTCAGTCTTCTGTTCTATTCAAGCCTTCAACTCGTAGCATGAGGTCAACCCCGTTAGGAAGGCCAGCCTTCTTTACTCAAAGTCTACCAATCTTAATGTTAATCTCATCCCAAAACACCCTCACACAAATATCCCGAATAATGTTTGACCACACATCTGGGCACTATGGCCCAGCCAAGGGGACACATAAGATTTGAAGTGGAAATGGAATTGAAACCCAAACTTCCTGACTTTCACAAAAATCTGTCCACTTGGTCATGTGATCCCAGTAAGACTCATGCCATTGAAACAATAAATGCTGGAGTCTTAAAGTTTTCAAGGAAGAAGCATGGGGGAGTGAAATGTTATACTTAACAAATGTATTTATATGCTTTAAGTTATTTTCCCCAGCAATATGTCTACATAGACACACTTCAAACCAATGAAGAAAAATAACATAATTTAGAGAGACCAAATTCAAGACCCCAAGTTCTATGTAACCCCCAAGCATCCCAATCCTACCATAAAATAACATTAATGAAATATTTGTCAAGCCATTTGACAGCCATGGATATTAGATGCAGAATATTATGAAATACGAAACATTAAGAGGCACATGCACCAAACATAAGCTCGTGTCAAGTTCCTCAGCTAGTTCTCTTCATGAATCCTGAATGTTGGATGTGATTCCTCATTAGAGAAGAAGCACTGTAATGTCTACATCTTCCACTTCTCTCATGCCTCAATTTTAGCACTTTGAATTCTACCTCCTACAGTCTTTTTTTCTCCATTAAAGGAAAAAGAGAGAATGTAAGCTTTGCACTTAACACCTCACTGAGAAGCCTATATTAGAGAAAAAGACATTCCCACCTTTACTGCTCTGATCTACTGGAAGAATGTTTTCTTAGCTAAAGAGGTAACACTACAACTATTTAAAATTCCCACCAGATTTCTGCAGTAACATCATTACCATAGAAAACTAACTTGAGTTTCAGTTTCACCTTTTTTCACAATTTAGGTAATCCATTTGAAAATCCTAAATGCATTGGGAAATATTTGGAGGTTGCAGCTTTTGGTTAGAATCTAAATAGTTATAAGAATAAACAAGCAATTTTACTCTGTTCATCTCACAGACATCATCAAGTAGAAGCAATTGCTGAAATGGACTGACCAATAGCTACACAAGGAATCATATTACTTTAGTTCTAGCTTTGTAACAGCCAAAATAATGAGACCTCAGGCTATAAAACATCAATCTATCCTGTCCTTAGGACAATGATCTTGAATAGGCAATATATTAGTCATTTTAGACTGCCATGACAAAAACCATAGACTAGGAAGCTCAAACATTTATTTTTTCACATTCTGGAGGCTAGAAGTCCAAGATCAAGGTGCCGGCAAAGCTGGTTTCTGGTGCAGCCTCTTTTCTTTGCAGATAGCTGCCTTCTTACTGTGTGTTCACATGGTCTTGTCCTCTGTGCACTTGTGGAGAGAGAAAGAGGGAGAGAGCTCCATGGTTTCTTCCTCTTCTTCTATCAGGACACCAGTCCTATCGAATTAGTGCCCCACCCTTATAACCTGATTTAACCTAATTACCTCCTTAAAGGCCCTATCTCCAATTGTAATCACATTGGGGGTTAGGGCTTCATCATATAAATTGAGGGACACAATTCGGTCCATAACAGGCAATATTAACCTACTTAAAATGTATCTTTCTACTATTTAAACTTTGTATGGGGGTACTTTCTCTTCCTTCCTCTTCTCCTCCTTTTCATTTTCATTCTTCTTGTTTTGTTTCCCTGTTCTTTGCCATTCTAAATAAGCCTTGTAAGGAGTTAGAAAATGTTTTTCTTTTTTTTCTACTTTAAAAAAATGTATTACATGTTTGAGATTCTTTCTTTAATGAAAAGGGAATGATTCATAATTAATTCAAAAGAATCCAAAACATATTTTTGAAATAGTCCCAATAATTCATTTGCTCTGACCAGATCCAACTCGACATGGCAATAAAAACACAAGTGGGAGGCCAGGCGCAGTGGCTCACACCTGTAACCCCAGCACTTTGGGAGGCCCAGGCGGGTGGATCACCTGAGGTCAGAAGTTCAAGACCAGCCTGACCAACATGGAGAAACCCTGTCTCTACTAAAAATACAAAATTAGCCGGGCCTGGTGGCACATGCCTGTAATCCCAGCTCCTCGGGAGGCTGAGGCAGGAGAATCACTTGAACCCGGGAGGCAGAGGTTGCAGTGAGCCGAGATTGCGACATTGCACTCCAGCCTGGGTAGCAAGAGCGAAACTCCATCTCAAAAAAAGAACAACAACAACAAAAAAATACACAAGTGGGAACACATCAGGCCTGATTTCAGGAGAGTTACTTCTTATGTAAATTAACAAAAATTCAGCTATATCAACTTGGAAGTGGGGGAGTCATACTTCTCTAGACCATATAGTTCCTAAACACAAGCCATTCAGCGAATCTGGTATTCAACCAAAGAAATGGCAAAATGTTCTGATAGGGGAGGAAAATTTGACCACGGATGAACTTACCCACAGGCAGCATGAGATACACTAATTCATCTGTGCTTTATTTGACAGACAACTTTAATCTCCAAGAAAGGGTATTTTTGACTCTGTAGTTTTTTGTCTAATGATCTGTCTTTAAAAACTACCTTCAAACTAAGACTCAATTTAAAATGTATCATGACAAAGTTTAGGGAAGAAAGTGAGAGAACAACTGGCTGGCCCCAAAAAGATGAATGAAATTTATGTAAGTGGGCTGGGCACAGTGGCTCATGCCTATAATCCCAGCACTTTGGGAGGCCAAGCCAGGCGGATCACTTGAGGTCTGGAGTTCAAGCCCATCCTGGCCAACATAGTGAAACCCTGTTTCTACTGAAAATACAAAAATTAGCCGGGTGTGGTGGTGGGTGCCTTTAATCCCAGCTACTCGGGAGGCTGAGGCAGGAGAATCTCTTGAACCTAGTAGGCGGAGGTTGCAGTGAGCTGAGCTCACGCCACTGCACTCTAGCCTGGGTGACAGAGTGAGACTCCATCTCAAAAAAATAAAATAAAATAAAATAAAATAACTTACCGAAGTGGATGGAAGAAGAGACAGCATTCAGGAGGGAACAGTATAAGCAAAGACATAGAAGCAAGATTGCAGCTTCTATGTCTTGGGCAGGGCTTCTCAAACTGATGTGTGCAGGAATGACCTGGGAAATGCAGATTCTCCTTCCCCCCACAGCTGGATGACTCCTGAGTTTCTGCATGTTAGTAAGCCCCTAGGTAGGACTGATGCTGCTGTCTGAAAACCTCACTTTGATTACAAAGCACCTAGAAGGAGATCAACTGAAAAGATGTCTGTAGGGAGGTGGCAAGATAAAAGGCAGGGTCCTTTGTGAAGGTCAGGTTAAATAGGGCTTGGAAAACCGACTGAGGAGTTGGACTTGTGATAAGTTATTACTCTTGAAATGATCAGGCAGTGAAGCAACACTAAGTGTTGGCAGGCAAGTGTTAGGAATCTTGACTAGCAGAGCCATGCAGGGACCAAGCCGGGGAAAGAACATTTTGAGTTAATTAACACAGAAGGTTGGAAAAATTTGCGTCTGAAGGAGAAAAATTCCACTACAGAGGGCAAATATTTAGAGAGGTAAAAGCAGTAGAAGCAGCCCACTTAATGAGATTTCATTGTAACTTTATGTTTGAAGGCCCTAAAATAGGTGGTAATCTATGTCTTAATAAATGTCTCTGTACAATTATAATAATCTCTGTCTTAAGTTTGAAAAAACATTGTATTTATATATCAGAAATATTAAATTGCTACTCCAGAAAGCACTTCAAAGAAACACACCATAATGGGCAAATATTTATGCACCAGCCTAATATTAAAACCCAAAATCTCTCCTAAGGAAAAGACAACATTTACAAAATTAACTATAATGGCAGAGAAAGTTCATGGTACAGATAGACTTTTTATCCAGTGTTCTACGGCAAGTACAACATAGGTAGGAAGAAAAAGGACAAAATTGAAATGCAGATTTTGTCATGATTTTGCCACCAATCACTTGGCAGAACTGCTTTTTAAAAGCTGATCAGTACTTCAAGATGCATTGTTTGAACCCAGCTCTAGATAAAGATAAACATTCATGCTTCCAGGGACTAGAATCACAAGAGTGACTAGCAAAGTTCATAGGAGCAGAAAGGCCCTGGTGCCAATTAAAAACCATACATCCCATCACAGCAAGGAGGGGAGCTATTGAATAATTGAATATTCTCAAGCCATTCCAAAGGAGAATAAACAGATGATGGCCTGATCCCGCAGAGACTGGATGGAGCTGTGTGCATTAGGCTGCGCTATATTCTCTTCATTCTTTGATTAATTATCCAGCTGTGCAACTGTCATTAACAAGGATATCTCTGAATCATGTGGCTCCGACAGTAACCAAATCTGGCTGTTCCTTTCATTTTTTTTTTTTTCCACATGGGTAAGCACCTTGCTGTTTGGAAGAGAGTTGCATGGTATGTCACTTGCAACAGGCAAATTCTCCTTTCACCACAGACAACAATGGTCTCATTCTTTAAATGGTCTTCCAGGTACTGCCGATAGGCTAGTCACAGAGTTATACCCAGTGAATGAGAGAAATATGCCCTCCTGTAAGTTGATCTTCCACTGGAAGAGGTTGGGAACCACCAGGCTTAAAATGAGAATGACTGTCATTTTTAAATTATATTTGCTGGCTTATTTTATTTATTTATTTGTGCTAGAAAACACCACCCACATCCCATCATTCCAAAAGGGGCTTGAACAGGTCAGGCTCAGTATGGCATTTCTCCAAAGGCTGTTTTGATCTGCAAGGTACTGAGGACTTAAGCCAAAGAAAATCATTTGAAATTGTAGAAATTCCATCTTTTCCAACCAATCATTGGAGGAAATAAGACCTGGGAGTGGGGGATGGTAGGAAGGCTCCTGGAATAATGCTATGTCAGTAGCTGCCTATGCTACCTGCTCTTGGTAGCTATGACCAAGGTGACCACGTGATCCTGAGTGAGTCACTTAATCTTTCTGTACCCAAGTCTATCCACTGATTAAATCTGGATAATAATGCATATTTTCCACATTTCCAGGGAGGCAGCACAATAATAGGGAAGAGACAGCATGTTCATTAATATTCCATCTGTTCCCTACATTTCCCAGCCCTCTTGCAGTTAACCAGGACCATATGACTGGTTTTAGCCAGTGAAATGTGAGCAGAGTGACATGAGTCAATTTTGGGCAAAGGCAATACAACTTTCACGCATCATTTTCTCTTCTGCTTATGTTCCATAGTGTGCAACTATAAGACAGTAGCCCTTCAGCTTGGGTCCCTGAGTCAATGTGTGGAACCAAGACCCTTGTTGGTTTAGCTTGTAAATATACCATGAGCCAGAACTAAACCTTTGTTTGGTAGAGACCCCCTTCTCATCTCTACCAGGTGAAATACTATTCATCCTTCAAAGCCAAACTCAAATGCCACTTCCTCCATAAAACCTCCCCAGATATGAATTTCCATTGCACTTTGAACCTCTATATTTAACACTTGCCTTATTTTGCCTAATATTACTGCAAGTCTAAAAAAGCATATCTCAGGCTCTGTGGCCAAATGTACTGAGATTGGATTCTCAGCCCCCGCATACACAAGCTGTTTAACCTTAGACAAATTATTGATCCTTCCTAAATCTCAGTCTTCCCACCTGTAAAATGAAGTTAACAAGAGATATCATGAGGTTTAAGTGAGATAACATGTTAAAAACTTGGTAGAGGGTCTGACATGCAATAAAGATTCATTCTGTTATTTTTGTGAATTTGTCTTCAATCTTACAAGACTGTAAGAGTCTTGTATATGGAAATGATATGTTCACCTACTTTCTGTCTTTTACAATACCTAGAATATGATCTTACACATAACAGGTATGCAGTAAATGTTTGAGAAATGAATGAACTAAAACTAACAAAATAAATCCATGAAATGATAAAAGAAACAAAAATTCTCTGAGAAATAAAAAGTAAGTAAGAGAGAAAGAAAAGCAAAAGGAGAGAAAAAGTTTTTAAAAGCAGGCGATAGACTAACATTAAGTAAATCATGTTGATTTGAGGAATGTAGGTGGATGTAATCTATGCATATTGGTGATCATTTTTTGAGAGGGTCTCAGGTGCAGAAAATGAAGTAATTCTAACCCTCTGTTCACAACACGTGTCATTTGTATTCTTCTGAATTTTATAATGTTTCAATGAAACATTTATATTTTAAAACTCCTCAAGTTTTAAATATATAAGATATTTAGACATAATGGCACTCTAAATTCTTCAGAAGAAATTATCAGGTAACATCAAGACCGTTTTGATATTGCTGAGTAAAGGAAAAACAATAATAAATAAAAATTTAAAAGGAGGCTTTGGTATATAAGTCAGCTGTTTTTACGTTTAAAAATGCCTTTTATGTGTATAAAAGTGTTTCTCTTATTGGAATAACATTTTTCCATCTTCCTGAAACTTCCTTTATAAACTAATCCTCACAAAAGAGTTTTCGTATATATTTAAGCAACAGCGACATCATGTGGTCTCTCTGGTAGACCCTTGGTAGACAAAACTCATTTGGTAGTCATTCATTTAGTAGTCTGCTCGCCCAGATGAATTCCCCAGGGAGATACTGAAAACTTGAGTGCCACCTTCCCATTGGAATAAATTCATTCAAAAAAAATCCAGTGGATCAATGGTGGATTCCATGCTTAGAATATGTATCCCTACACAATCTTATCTAAAGGATAATCGTGTCTCCGCTAAGCTCTTAAATCACCAAACATAGCCTATTTGGAGACTAAGGTAGTCACACAGAAGCCTAATCAACTTGTCATTTGACAAAACATCTTCAAATATACTAGGGATGAATGTGTTCTATAAGTCTGGTTCAGTAATCACAACACATACACAGTGTATGCATGGGCTTTTCCCACTATTGTCCATAAGCACCCCAGGACCAAGTCAAAACCCCTTGTTGTACACTTCTGTGACCTCTTGTAATTCCTCTCATAGAATGTATCACACCCACCTGATTGCCAATGCAAGACTCCTTCACTAGGCTAAATGCTCCATGATAGCAGAAGACTTTTGCTCACCTTCATTTCTGCAGTCTCTGCCTCTCACTAGTTGATGCCCGTCTATTCATTCAACAGATATTTATTGAGCACCTATTGTGCACCCTGCATGGTTGTCAGTGGTGCAGACTTTTCAGTGAACAAAACAAAGTCCTTTCTTTCATGAGGCTTACATTCTAGTTGGAGCCATTAGGTAGTAAACCCCCAAGCTGGAAGCTGGGAGTAAATGCTATGGAGACTAAGGAGTCCTGAGGGTTAGGACACCACTTTATGTTGGGTGCAAAGGGAGAGCAGAGACCTAAAGAAAGTGGGGGAGCCAGTTGTGTAGTTAGTAGAAGATGTCTAGAAAAGGGCATGGAACTCAAGGGAAGAGGGGAAAGGAGGAAGAACATAGGTGTCACTGGACACGGGGGAAAACTAGACAAAGAGTATCACTAACTAGCAGTGCAAACTCAGGCTTTCCTTCCCTTTCCCAAACCTCATTTTCTTCACGCTTCAGATTAAATAATTGCTAAAGTCCTAGCCAATTTTAAGATTATCATGAAAATTCAGAAGTTGTAACCTTTGATGGCACTTGGTGTGTATGTATGTGTGTGGACAGGCACATGTGTGGGGTTAATTTCCAAAGCAATTGCAGACATTTCTATTTCTTCCAGAGTGATTAGACAAAAATTACTATGTGCTCATTTAAAAGAAATTGATCTAGATTCTGTGTGTTTAGAGGTTGGTTGGTCTCACACTAAGATATACATTAAATGAGATGTGTCATATTTGCCCAAACACAGTAATCGCTAATTTGGTCATGCACTGCAGTTTGGTTATAAAAATCATTCAGGTGGAGGTGAGGTGAAAAGTTAGCTACAAGATATCAGCAACTGTTAAGTACATGACATTTCACCATGAAATGAGCTCCCAGTCTGATAATTCCCTAGTTTTAATTGTATTAGTGAGGCTTAGGTCTAAGGATTACTGGTATTACAATGACAGATGCAAACAATACAATCACAGAGAGAGTTTAGAAACTAAATGAGTTCTAGGTTTAAGATGGTAATGTGTTTGGTAATATGTTTCTCCAGCTTCCATCAACATTCTCACATGTAGAGCCAGCTACAGAAGACAGAATGGATTATATTGAAGAGCATCAAGGAGTTCATCATCAAGATTTTAGGAATCAGTAAATATCTGCTCAGAAATATCTTCTTCAGTGGACCATCATTTTGCTTTAAATATCACCAGCAGAGATTCGTTCTTTGGGCTAAGTTACTATTTCTAGAAAAACAAATGCAAAGATACAAAGATATGTCCAGAAAGAGCTACCTATTCTTTTTTTTTTTTTTTTTTTTAAGATGGAGTCTCACTCTGTTGCCCAGGCTGGAGTGCAGTGGGCTGATCTCGGCTCACTGCAACCTCCACTTCCCAAGTTCAAGTGATTCTCCTGCCTCAGCCTCCCAAGGAGGTGGCACTACCGGTGTATACCACCATACCCGGTTAATTTTTGTATTTTTAGTAGAGATGGGGTTTCACTGTGTTGGCCAGGCTGGTCTCAAACTCCTGACCTCAATTGATCCACCTGCCTCAGCCTCCCAAAGTGCTGGGATTACAGGTTGAGCCATTGCACCCAGCCCCATTCCACTTTTAATTGTCACAAATGCCTTAGGAAAACTAATCAAGATTGGGGAGAGGTATGATGAACAAGCCTTGGACACAGCTATGAACACAGGACGAGAGGTCAAGGTCATGAAGCAATGCTGTAGGCAGATCAAGCTAAGAAAAAGTGAGTCCCATTTGATGAGTTTCTGCTGCGTATGCCAGTTTCTATGACTAGACTACCAATGTGACGTAGACCCCATTGCTGCCGTTTTTACAGATGAGGCAACTGAAGCTTACCTGAGGTCTCCCAGTTGGTTGCAGAGCCAGGGTTCCATCCCAAACCCACAGACACCCCATTGTGTCAGGCTGCTTCTCTGCACTAGGGGCATTGGATACCCCAACGCCAAAGAAGTGGAAATATTGAAAAGGAAGAGGAGGGCAGTGATGGGGGCTATAAGAAAATGAAAAATGATCAATTTGCCATTGTGTCCTGAATCAGCCCTGTTCCCTCCTGGAGCAGTAGAGAGTTTCAGGTACCGGGGGCAGCAGGTGCCTCTGTGGCAGGCATGGGTTGCGTTGACTGGGATGACTTGCAGCACATTCTGATGCAGTGCTGTTGGCCCTTTAGCAGTTGACTCCTGTTGAACAGAAGAGGCTGAACAGTGTTGTAAACAAAGGACATCTTCAACTATCAGCCTCATCTCTTCCGGACTGTGAAGTCTTGGGCAAGCCATTTACTCTCTCAAGGCCTCAGTTTCTTCCTCTGTAAAATGGGGATAAGAACACCTCCCTAGGAGGGTTTTATGAAGACAAAATTCTATCAAACCTAGCTCAGTGCCAGGCACATAACACATGTATCAATACATGTGATCCCATCCTTTTTTCCTAGAGAAGAACAAGTAAATTAAGGAAACCTGAGTTTATTATACCCAACCCACTCTCCTTGTCCCATGAGATGTACCTGCTCCCACCCCGAAGTTCCACAGTGGCAGAAGATATGCTGAATGTCTCATTTCCCAGAGCTGTCACTCTGTAGATCGACACTTGTTTATACAATTCCCCAACCAGGCCCAGCTGAAAGTGGGGCTCCTTCTCAAATATGGCATTCATGCCACCCCCAGAGAACACCAGAGTACATCCTGGCACAAGGTGGGTTAAGGTTCTATGGTCCTTTTGAACTCATACTAGATTGAGAGTAGGGTTCAGGGGAAAGTTGAAGAGCTGAGAATCTAGAAGGCAAACCGTCCCTAATTGATTAGAGCCAAGAAGTAGTAGAATGTCCTTGTAATATTGACACCTGGGACAAAGGCATCATTTTATTTCCCACATCAGTGAGGAAAGGGTCAAGGATGCTTGAATTGGGAGAAGGAAAACAGGCTAGAAGACAGCTCTGCTCCTGACCCTTTTCCCCATTCTCTTCCCACTCCTTTTGGGTCTGTTGAGTGTTTAGTACACAGTAGGCACACAATAAATATTTGATTGATGAAATAATGGGTTACAAATAAATCAACTATTGGGTAGATGGACAGACAGATGAATTGATGAGCAGATGGATGGATAGAGGTTTATCTACATGGTTACTGTCTACCAACTTTGAAACAGGTTATTTTTTAATTGAGCTACATTCATGAGCAAAGTGATTTGTTGCAGTGCTATGCCTTTGTTTGCTAATATTTGGTACACCGGTAAAAGGACAGAGGCCAACACTCAAGTTAATTATTCTTATACCCTAATATGCTCTGAGTCTCCTAGCCTGACAGGATAACATAGCCATGTCAAAAGATAGTATCCCAAAGAGAAATAAGGTTCCACTGGTATTACTACAATGCCCCTGAAAGAAGAAGTAGAATTTATTTCTTAAAGTTAGAGATGGGTACACAGGTGTCATTTGCTTTATTGCTCTTTAAATTGTCCGTACGTGATTTATATACTCTTATGTCTGTAGATTTCCAAATGGTATTAATATAAATCTTTTTAATGAAAGAAAGGCAAGGAGAGAGTTAACAGCCACCTTGAGCCTCTGCAGAAAAGAATAAATCTTTAACCTAAGGCCTCACGCCTTCACGGTGGTGGGCAGCTCCGTAGATGGCAGAAGCACAGTGTGGTGCCCAGACGAACAAGTAGACAATGAAAGAAAGAGATCCTGTGATCTTTCCATCCTTGGATAGTCTTGAATTCCACACAGCTGTTTCTGGACAAAGGGACATTCTGGAACTGGAGTCTTCTCCCTCAGGATTGATCTTCGTGTCCTTTATTACCCGAGAGTGGCGGGACTTTGGTGCCAATGATGAAAGCCGATTCACAGGCTGCAGTGGACATAAAGGCTCTTTGTGATTTCCAAGGGTGTAAGGAGGCAGGCACCGGGCACTCTCGCAACCCCACTCAGATCTCAAGGACGCTGTGGCGCTCGGCTCCTCCCCGCTGACCTGAGAAGGCCCTGACAAGCCACTTCAAGGAGATTACCTCGTTTCTATTTTGCAGCTTTCTCTGGGTTTCCACAAGGTGGTTGTCTGGACATAACACACACTGGCAGTTCATGTTAATAGAAAGCAGAATGAAAACAGCCCGATCAAATCCCTACCTAAAGGAATTCACAGTGGCTGCTTTCAGAGGGCCCAGGGCTCCCTTCGGCCAGACATCCCTGTGAAAGAATGCAGGGTTGGGGGTATCTGCTGGTGGGGAGAGAGGACGAAATAAATGCAAATTCCCACCAAGAAGATACCTTTCTTCCCCGTTGGCATACCCACGCTTTGTGGACTGCAACATTCCCACTGAATTTTTTTTTAAAAAAGAATGAAAATGACCTCAATTTTAGAATTAACTTTGGGCTGATAATTGATTTTTAATATATTTGCAATAAACACTCACTGCAACGACCTCATGTGGGACCTGCCAACAATGATTCCTCCTCCCCTCCCAAACTTAGCCACTACCCACACATACCTTGAGATCATCAAGCTCTCCCCAACTCATTATTTTCTTCCTTTCTTCATCTTCCCCCTCTTATCCGGCATACAATATGTCTTTCTGAATGGGCGATGTTTGTTTGCTAGGGCTACCGTAACATCATCAACTGGGTGGCTTAAACAAAAGAAATGTATTATCTCCCAGGTCTGGAAGCTAGAAGTTTGAAATCAATGTGTCAAGAAGGGTTGGTTTCTTCTGAGGGCAGTGAAGGCACAATCTGTTCCAGGTCTCTCTCCCTGGCTTGTCATTGGCCATCCTCTCCCTGTGTCTCTTCACATCATCGTCCCTCTATGCGTGTCTGTGGCCAAATTCCCTCTTCTTATAGGAACACAAGTCATATTGGATGCAGGCCCAGTCTAATGGCCTCATTTTAACTTCACACCTCTATGAAGAACTTATCTCCGAATGGTCACATTCTGAGGTACTGGGGATAAGGACATTTGAAGTTGGGGAGGTATACAATTCAATCTATAACATGGGGCTTTGCCAAAATCCCTTTTTCAGGTGGTGACAGTGCATTTAGAATTCAACTTCTTCCAGCCTGGACACTGTAGTAAATACAGAGAGGTCTGCACTCAAAGCAGTTACTTGCTTAAGTAGATCTGCTCCACAAAGCACCAGGGAAAGATGTGGATTTGGTTAAAACACCAAAAGAATGGGAAAAGTTCTTCCCCAAACAAGATATGAATTGCTTTATACTGAGAATCAAGTCACAGAGATTTTTGCATGTTCAAGTCCATTTCCTTAGTGCATTTCCTTGAAGCACACTATTTATCTTCCTTTCAGTTATTTTTGTATTTCATATTCTTCATATTTATTCATAAATCCACACCTATCAAGGTGTATTCATAAATCCACAGCTATCCACACCTGTTTATTTAATCCACACCATGATTCGTTAGTAGTGCAGACAGCTTATTCTATAACCTTGGGATGTTCAAGGGTGAACTGGTGATGACCTCCTGTCATCTACCATCAGAGAGGGAGGGAATGAGATATGGGGAATTTGAGCACTTTGGGTCCTCTCTCAGCTTATCCTCCCCTTCCTGCCTCTTCTTTAAGTGGTGTAATAAATACCTGGCTAATAAATAACCGTAGAGAAGCAGGTGATAGCTGACTCTATGGTTTCAACTCTATTGCGCACCCAAAACCAGGGCTGAAGCCCAATACCCCCTGGACACAACACAACCCCTGCCCGAGGGTGAATTTCCATGCAGTGTAATGGACAAGGGGCTGCCTATACTTCCAGGCCAGAACCCAAACCAGAAAGTCACCTGCCCTTGTCACACCAAGATAAAGCAGGTGGGCTTGCCTGTCTTTTTGAGAATTCTTCTGGCTTTTTCTTTCATTCCTTGCCACTTACGAGAAGCTGGAGCTCATCTGAAAAAGGATAACCAAGGGTGATTAAAACTGAACACTGTGTCATGTGAAAAGGACCTGAAGGAACACACCTGGAGAAGACTAAGGAGGAAAGTTTAAAGAACTGCCAGAGACAAGAGATTGCTATTCAGTACCAGCAGAAGCTGTAAAGAGCCCAAAGGTCAGTATTAGGTCACTGCTACAATCTTGAGCTCTCTCTGTAACCTGCCCTATAAGAAATGAGCTTCCCATCACTGACGTATGGAAGGAAATGCCATTCCATCCAATATAGTGTCATGCCAAGAGGATAGGCTTTTGGAAGCTGAATCCTGCCTGGCTCGCTTCTTTCTACCATGAGAACTTAGATAAGTTACTTAACCCCTCAGAGCCATAGTTACCCTCACATATAAAACAGCAGCCACAGTCTCTAGTACAGGGAAGATCCTAAAAAAAACAGTAACACATCCCTGTCTGCACCCCTCTTCTCTTGATTCTTTTTTCAGAGTGATGGGTATTAGAAACTAACTTCCATTCCTCTTGTTGAATAAACCAAGAGAACCCAACATCTCAGCATGGGTGTTTGGCTTTGGGTGGAAAATTCCTCTGGGCAACTGAATCGTAAGCACCAGGCCTGGGTTTGCCACCCCTGCTCTTCCCTTCCTCCCTGAAGGGAACCAAGATTTGAGCACCAGTTATCACATAAAACATTCAACTCCATCTTGCTGGTAGTTTTAACCAGGTTTAAATATTTCATACAGAACATTTTTCTTTGAAACACTATCTTGTTTCGTTTTTTAACAGCAAGTGACCTGAATTAATGTGGAGAGGCCAGAAGAAAGACCAGAAAAAATTAATACAGGGAAAGCTGTTGTGCTAAAACAGTTGAACATGGTCCATATATGTTAAAAGTCCAAGCATTGAAGTCCTTAGCACTTCAGAGATCTCACTACGTGGGTGGGTGCCTCTGTGTTTAAAAAGACAATATATTACATACACATACACTCAGCTGACCCCCTGAGGTAAAGTAGGTTGATGATCAAAAATAATTACTCCCTGCCTTCCTCTTCCAAGGTGGAATTATACTTCCCCACACCTCCACGTGGAGTGCAGGCCCCTAACTTGCTTTATCTAATGAAATGTAGGCAGACACGACGACGGCACCAGTTCCAAGCCTGGCCTTAGAGGCAGCATGGCTCCGTGTGTGCTCTTGCCTCTCTGGCATTGCCCTGAGGAGAGTATTGCCCATCAGCTCACGGCTGCCTCTTCTGCCAAGGCCTCAGAATGAAGACCCGTGAAGCAAAGCAAACCTCAGCCCAACTTGCAGCCAAGAGCCAAGCTCAGCTTGGCCATGGAAGTGGAACCACCAACAGAGCACAACCTCAACAGACCAACCTGTAGACACACAAGCAAAAACAAAGATGCCTCTTCCCTGCCTAAGTAAATCTTGTGTCCTTTTAATTATTGCTTGTACTGTGTGATGTAGATTTAACTAAAAAATAAAGTGGACAGTTTATGGATGTCATTACTCCCAACCGGTGTAATCATATGTGTGTGTGTGTGTGTGTGTGCACATGTGGGTGTGTGTGTTTGTAAATATAATGACAAAACCATCACATAAAGGACAATGGCCTAGAATGAGAGCCTCAGAAAAGAACCAGCTTCCTGAGTTGTGGACAATGGTGCTTTTATTAGTCATGGTTCTCTAGAGGGACAGAACTAATAGGATAGATAGATATATAAAGTGGGGGGGGGGGGTGAATTAAGTATTAACTCACACGATCACAAGGTCCCAAGCTGAGGAGCAAGGAGAGCCAGGCCAAGTCTCAAAACTGAAAAATTTGGAGTCCAATGTCTGAGGGCAGGAAACATCCAGCACAGGAGAAAGATGTAGGCTGGGAGGCTAAGCTAGTCTAGTCTTTTCACGTTTTTCTGCCTGCTTTATATTCTAGCCTGGCTGACCTGATTAGATGCTGCCCACCAAGATTAAGGGTGATTCTGCCTTTCCCAGCTCACTGACTCAAATGTTAATCTTCTTTGACAACACTCTTACAGACACACCCAGGATCAATACTTTTGCATCCTTCAATCCAATCAAGTTGACATTCAGTATTAACCATCGCAGTGCTCAACAATACGTAGAACAGATAATCAGGCTTATTCGTATTTCTCTCCTCAAAGAGGAAGATGTGGCTGTGAAAGCCCAAGACTGAGCCATGATCTGAAATAGCCCTTGAGTCAACTGATTTCTAAAACTCCATTTTTTAGTGACCTCAATGGCCTCATTGATTGAATCACTTGAGCATCAATCTCAATACATGGTTTTATGGTTTTTGTGTTTCACCCACACTGGGATCCACATTTTGGGGGAGTTAAATCCCAGATCTGTCACTATCATCAATAACATGGATTGAATGTCCACCAGGGCTTCCATAGAATTCAGGGGCTGAGTCCCTAGGATCACCTTGGGTGGTCACCTAACCTCTGTGCCCCCAACCTGAGCCTGCATTGATTTGATAACAAATGTGCTGCCAGGCCTATGGGTGTCTCCCACTCACTCATGCCTGGAAAGACTATCGGACCACTGCCACTCTACTACTGCTGTTGGAGAATGTGCAGGTTCAAGAGACTGTCTGGTGCAAGACCCCCAGGGGAGAGATTGGCCCGGGAACATGCAGGAGTCACATGGGGGCCATAATGAGAGATAAACCACAGCTCGCACCTGTGTGGCAAGGGACAGTGCTCTGACACAGTGGTGATGTCATCTTTATGAGGGGGTGCTTTCTTAGGGTGAGAATGGAAAGCCCCAGATCCAAACCCAGGGCGAGAGAGCTGGGATGAGGAAGAGTGTGATCTCTGCAAACAGGGCAAGACATTGACAAAAGGGCAATATGAGGTGCTTCAAAACATGCTATTTAGTGTCTATATTTTGACTTGCTGTAAGAAGCAGGAGTGCTGGAATCCCTACAGCATGCAAAACCACACGGAGAAAAAAAAAACCTCACGCCTATTTTACAACATTATAGCTGGTATACAGCTGTTGTGAAGAGAGGTGAAAGGGGAAAGGGCACCCCACAGTTCTCAGGTTCCCCAGTCATAACATATAAGGAGCTTCTCTAAAAGTTACCCATCCACCGACCTGTCTCATAAGGAGGAAAGTAATTCAACAGCAATACGCACATCCAGAAAAACTGTGACTTTCGCAGAACGTATTCATTTTCTGTTGCTGCATAAAAAATGACCACAGTTTTAGTGGCTTGAAACAACATCCGTTTATTTATTTATTTATTTTTCTTTCTTCTTCAATTTTTATTTCAAGTTCAGGGGTACATGTGCAAGATGTGCAGATTTGTTACATAGGTAAATGTGTGCCATGGTGGTTTACTGCACAGATCATCCCGGCACCCCAGTTTTAAGCACAGCATCCATTAGCTATTCTTCCTGATGCACTCCCCGACTCCTCACATGCAACACCCATTTATTGACCCGAAGTTCCACGGGTCAGACGTCCAGCCAAGGACCTAGCCAGCGGGACACCTTGATTGCAGCCTTGTGAGACCCTGAGCTCACTAGGTTCTCAGCTCAAAGTCTCACAAGTCTGCAATCAAGGTGTCCCACTGGCTAGGTCCTTGGCTGGAAGCTCTGCGGGAAAATTTACATTCAAACTCTTTCCCCTTGTTGGCAGAATTCAGTTCCTTGTGATTGAAGGACTGAGGTCCCTGTTTCCTTGCTGACTATCAGCAGAGTGTCAGCCCTCAGCTCTTTAATGCCAGTCCGTACCCCTTCCCCTGTGTCCACTCCCACCTATCAAGCCAGCTATGGCACGCAGGATCTGCTCATGCTCTGAATCTCCAACCTCCCTCATCTCTGACCTCTAGACCCAGATGTAAAGGGCTCATGTGATTAGGTCAGGCCCACCTAGATAATCTCCCTCTTAAGGTCAACTGATTTCCGAAGCTTCATTACATTTGCAACCTTCCTTCTACCATATAACAGAACATAGACAGGAATGAATCTCATCTCATTCACAGGTTCCACCCACACTCATCAGGAGGCGATGACCCAAAGGAAAGTCCTTGGAAGTCATCTTAAAATTCTGCTTCCCACTGCTTCCTCCTAACATTCTGGGGTCCTCCATCTGCCCTTAGCTTCCTAGAGCTCTCCAGAGATGGCCCCATTCAGGTCCACTCAAATTTAACTCACTCATTGCCCCACTGCAGTAGGCCTTCCCTAGGTTACCATCAGCTAACCTGGTAAAATAACTAACATCTAAGTGTTACTGGGTTCATGTGCCTCCCCTTTGACCATCATGTCTGCCTTTTTAATAAGAGCTCTGCCACAATGGAATTCAAAGCCTGAAGGGCAGGAGAGGGGTGGGCCCCAGCTTGGCTCTAAGACACCTATTGGTGGAAATCGTTGGCACTTTGGCAAGCTGGCTAGGAAGACATATGAACTCTGAGAGGCATTTTGACATCCCTCAATCACATTACAGGGCCTCTCCACCCTAATTTTGGGTGACGCACTTCCTGCCTATAGGAAAGTATTATCAGGAAGTAAAGTATATAAAGACTCAAGTCTCATTTACATCATCTACCCAGCCTGAGCAATAGGCCAAAGGCTTCCTTTAGGTAATACCGTTCTACTCTCTGCTTCACAGGTTCAAATCCACACAAAGCAGAGAATGTTCTGTCCACTCCTCAGGCTGGCAGTTTGACTGCTCAGAAACCAGCATAGGTGTTTGTATGAGTCTGTTTTCACATTGTTATAAAGAAATACCTGAGACTGAGTAATTTATAAAGAACAGAGGTTTAATTGGCTCACAGTTCTCCAGGCTGTACAAGAGGCATAGCAGCTTCTCCTTCTGGGGAGGCCTCAGGAAACTTACAATCATGATAGCACACACCTCACGTGGCCAGAGTAGAAGCAAGAGCAAGAGAAGGGAGCGCTACACACTTTTGAACAACCAGATCTGAGGAGAACTCACTCACTCACTATCGTGATGACAGCACCAAGGGGGATGGGGTTAAACCATGAGAAAACATCCCCACGACCCAATCACCTCCCGCCAGACCACTCCCATGATCCAATCACCTCCCACCAGACCACTCCCATGATCCAATCACCTCCCACCAGGCGCCACCTCCAACATTGGGGATTACAATTGATCATCAGATTTGCCCGGGGACACAGATCTAAACCATATCAGTGCCTACTAGCAGGTGATGTAATGGGCAATTCAGCCTTAGGAATATGTTCTCAGGGACAGAAGCTTCAGCCAGCATTCAACAAACAGCTCTCAAGCACCTGCTTCTTGCTAAATTCTGTGCAGCAGGTTTGAGAGGCACACTTGACATCCATCACCCAGCCACAGGCCAGGCTATTTACCATGTCCAAATACAACCCCCGAAGTAAGGTGACTGCCTGGTTTCCCAGTGAAAAGATCCAAAAGAAAAGGTTTGGGACCAACTTCAATGTACAAAATTTTAGGGATGTAATTGATATAGAAAATGTACACTTCTATATCAATGTTCAATTTATTAATTTATGTTCACAGGAAAACTTGAAGATCACGATATATAAAATATACTGTTTAATTTATTGATTTATGGTCACAGACAAACTTGAAGACCACAATATATAAAATACACTGGTGGGAACATGACTCATTTCCATTCACATACCATCAAACAATTCTATCTGAGCTCTTTATGTATATCTTCTATGTTGATGTTCTCACCATAATACCCTCCTGAGTCATCTAACCTGGCTGAGCATTTTTTAGTCCACATTTCATGTGATCTTAGGAAATGTTAATATAAGTCACAATTGTCCCTTGACATAAAAATAGGCATAACATTTGGTATAATGTCTCATTCATATTGTGGGCGTATATTTGTGAACTCCACAACATAACCTTTGACTGCATGGCTTTTAAAGTGGTGTTTTAAAGACTTTTACAACATCATCCAAAGCTTGTATCTAAAACTACTCCCTTTACCTGCTTTATTTTTCTCCATAGAGCTCATCTTCAGAGACCTTCTCTTCCCTGCAGGGACAGAAATCTTGTCTCCTTTTTTATAATTCTATCTCCTTCTTAGAACAGTGTCTGGTACATAGATGGGCTGATACTTATTTTAAAATAAATGAATACTTCTAGGAATGATCACTAAATTATGTTAAATCAATATATCTTAAATTTTGTTATTCATATATAAAATTATATGTTATATATTAAATCATATAAATAAATATAAAATATATTAAATTATGTATGTACATAAAATTCCATTAAATAATATCTGCAAGCATGTAAAATTCTATTAAGAGTTTTACACATTTTTACTCATCTTAAGGCTACATGTTCTCTAATTCATACTTTTTTAGAAAAAAATTGAATTTTAAAAAGTAATCAAGAGTACCCTGTAATATGAAAGATGAGTAAGAAGTCAGTTTTTTGATGGAGGGATCTCTTCTTATTTGGGGGCTCATATGTGGGTATAAAGAAGTCATTTCCACACCACAGAAAACCCACTTCCAGTCCTCTGCCTTACGCAAATGTCCTACCCCCTCAGCTTCCATAACAATACCTGCTTTCTTCTGTGAACATTCCTTGCATGACTCTTTTAAACATCTGTTCTCTAAATATCAAAGCCATCTGTTGACCTGTGTCCAGTTGTGTACTGTCTTTACATGTTCTGGGTAGAGATTGCTCCTCCTTGGCCAGCCTTCCAAACCCAACAGACTTCCTATCCTCTTAAAGACAGGTTCCTGGTTTCTATGCCATTACCAGGAACTTTGCTGTCCTCCTGCCCACCTAGGAACACATTCCTTGGCCTCCTAAGCTTCTTCCTATTTTCAGTGTTCTTCTGGCTGACCCCAGCCTCCTTCCAGTGCTGGGTAACATTGCATTATTTAGATGCACTGTCTGGTGCCACTCGCCACCATGAATTCAGATCCCTTGATCAAGTAAACACAGCAATGTATGGACATCGTAAGAAGGTGAAGGAGACAGATGTGCACAGAGAGAGGTGGTAATTGTCACACAACACACGGATCATGCTAGAAAAGGAGAAATCTTCAAGAACTAGTGGGGAGGGATAGCTGCCATCCGGACAGATCACTGTCAAACAACAGAATCTGGACTGCTCAAGTGCCATGTGGTCTTCAGGGTTATAACCCAACTCCCAGGGAGAAACTGAGTAGAACCAGTAAAGCACAGTGAAGGTCAGGAAAGTCCATTGTTCCGTAGTATGTTTACACAGCGGGTGGGAGATGGGAAGCAGCAGCCTTTCTGGGTACCAGCAACAGAACAAGGATCCTGGACTTTCTGGAGGGTGAGACTAAGGGACAGAAGGAGAATTCAGCAACACATCCCTGACAAACCCATCACCTCTCCCACTATCTGTGGTTTGTCACAGACACTCCATAACGTTAATCCAACTGACTCACATACAGAATAAAAATTCTTTCCTGGACCTTCAGCAAATTCCTGGGACATGTAGGAGAAGCAGATGTCACTCTCTCCTGCACCCCAAGGAAAGCACACTTCCCAGCCCTGTTGAGAAAAGCCCAGCGGTTCTTGTGAGAGGGAGGAGAGGAGGTCAGAACAAACAGCCCTGCTTCTCCTGAGAAAGTTTCACTTTATTCCCGGGATTGTGACTGCATGAACATCCCAAAGCACTCTTTGCTTTTCCCTCCTCCATTCAGTTTCTGTTCTGTAATGCGAGTAGACAGCTGTGCTTATAGGGAATGAAAATATTCTTTGTCATTTTTTTCTCCATCTCAAGTCTTTCATGATGAGTTGCCTGTGTTATTTGTGTGCAAGCATTCTTCTTTTGAAAAACATGAGAAAATCTCCATTCGCAAACTTCTATTACACCTGAAATAGCATGTATGCTTATTCAGAAACTAAAGCTATTGTCATCAAACTACAGTAGCATTTTTAGGCAGTTCTGCCAATTGTATAAAATATGAATTTCTTCGTTCTCTTGTTTCTGTTCTGTTTCTTTTGAAAATGGTTTAAGAAAAAAATCCGTTGAGAAAATAGTTTCCCTTATTCTGGTATACTTACGAATTGGTGATGAAGCCACTACCACAGAACGTGGAGTTAGAAATATGTCATAAGAAATGATTCACAGTCTCATGACAATATAATTTATACAGGGAGAGATGCCAATTTCTATGCATCCTGATTTATTTTATTAATAATTCTTTCAAGCAGTATGTTTTGTTATTACCGAACTTATTTTAGATCAGTAAGTTTTCAAATTGGCTTATGATCAATTCATAAAAATATTGGAAGTAATCAGATACATAAATTGTTCCATAGAGTCAGATATAACTACTATGTAACAGTAAATTGAGATGATATTGGTTTTAATCAGCTACCCAAAAAAAGGGAAAATTTATACCATTCTCTGTTTAATTTAGATTATAAAATTCACTAGGGAAATCAAGGAATCGGATAGCTGATAGGAGTTCTTAATAGCAATTGCAGTAAAACACATTTCACTGCTTGAAATTTGTGAGCCTCAATTAATCATGGGCTCAAATAGTTTTTAAAAGTGTTTTATAATCCAAATATTACTATCTCAGTAAGACACTCCAGTGTGTTTATTAATCCATATCTGCTTGCACACTCTCCTTGACCTTCAGTCACAGGCCTTCCAGCTCAGCAGGCTTCAAGCAAGATGCCAAAACTCCTGCTTCATCTAATTGCATGATTTTCAGTTACTCCACACTGTTTCTTCCCGAAGAAGCTTTAAAGAAAAAAAAAATCCCCCGCCGGTTTAGTCTCCCTCCTTAATGACAATAGAATATGCATTCATTACATTCTTGGAATTGTAAAGCCTTTTCTTCCAACCTTCCACTTATAAAAATTGCCTTCTCAATCCCATCTCCTTCTCTGTTTTTTACAGTAAGACAACCTCATTATTAAACTCCTCAAGATATATGAGCGTCTGTCCTCCAGAGAGAGGCACGCTAAATTCTCTCCCATGAGCTATTCCAGGATTAATCACCATTTTCCTGGTACCTCTGGACTCCCCACTCTAAGAGGACAGGTATTATGTTGTCTAATGTGGTGCCCCCAGCACCTAGAATCACGCATAGTCCTTAGCAGGTGAGTGACTATCTCACCTAAACCCCTCACTCTGCCACTTTAGACCATTTTATCTTGCTCATCTTTAACAGAGAGGAAAAATTCTTCAGAAAGTCAAAAATACAAATAGGAATGAGATATGACCTATTTGTGAAAACATATCGGTAGAAATGGAAGCAATTCCAAATTCCTCATCCTGGCATTTGAGGCTGCCTACACCTCAGCGTCACCCCCTGCCGCCTCCTGGCACACAGTCTTTTCTGCTATTTGATGAGTTGAACTGCCTAACAGATTCGAAAACATATCTGGCACTTTTCCTGTCCCACCTCTCAACCTGGAATGCCCATTCCCAAAACATGACCTGTCCACATACCCATCCGCTCTAAACACAGTACGGCGCAATAGAAATAGCAGATTGTAGCATCAGATGAACCTGAGCAGTGTGACACCAGACAAGTTACTTACATGTTCTGAACATTATTTCCTCGATAGTAAAATGAGGACAACCTGGATACTAAATAATCCTATCATGTATGTAGAAAAGGAAAGAACCAGAACTCTTTGGTAAAACATTAATGCCCACCGTATCTGATACATGATAAACTCCTTAAGCAGAAACCCTGTCTTAAATATCCATCAGTTCTTTGTATGCTATAGTCACAGACAGACAGGGAATGAATAAGTGAATGCCGGAGAAAAAGGAAGAGAAAGGCAACAACTTGGATGGAACTGGGGCTCATTATGTTAAGTGAAATAAGCCAGGCACAGAAAGACAGACTTCACATGTTCTCAATTATTTGTGGGAGCTAAAAATTAAAACTGTTGAACTCATGCAGACAGAGTAGAAGGATGGTTACCAGAGGCTGGGAAGGGTAGTGGGGCGGTGAGGCAGAATAGTTAATGGGTACAAAAAAGATAGTTAGAAGGAATGAGTAAGATCTAGTATTTGATAGCATAACAGGGTGACTATAGTCAAAAATAATTTAATTGTATATCTAAAAATAACTAAAAGAGTATAATTGGATTGTTTGTAATGCAAAGAATAAATGTTTGAGGTGATAGATACTCCATTTACTCTGATATGATTATTATACACTGAATGCCTGTGTCAAAATATCCCATATACCCCATAAATATATACATCTACTATGTATCCATAAAAATTAAAAATTAAAAAGTTGGCCAGACACTGTGGCTCACACCTCTAATCCCAGCACTTTGGGAGGCCAAGGCGGGCAGATCACCTGAGGTCGGGAGTTTGAGACCAGCCTGGTCAACATGGTGAGACATTGTCTCTACTAAAAATACAAAAATTATACCAGCTATTCAGGAAGCTGAGGCAGGAGACTCACTTGAACCTGGGAAGCGGAGGTTGCAGTGAGCTGATATCGTGCCACTGCACTCCAGCCTGGGCAACAGAGACTCAGTCTTAAAAAAAAAAAAAAAAAAAAGTTATTTTTTTTTAAAGTAAATTTAAAAAGAGAAGCAAAAGCAGCATGAGAAAAGGGATAAAAGCAAAATAGGGGGAACTTTGTGATTTGGGGTCCAAAATTCTACTTCTGTAGGCATGTTCGTCAGCAGAGTTTTCCTGTTGGACTCAGAAAGCAGGGCAGCGCTGTGTAGCTACAGTTTTCATAAAGACCTGGTCATGGAGCTTCACAGTGGGGGAAAGGTGACTCCGAAAACAGCAGAAAAGTGCTTCTGGGTGGAAGCCAGATAGCAAGACAGAGGGGAATTTTGTCTTCTCTACTGTGGATGGAATTAACATTCCCAACCAGCACATCATTCACAGAAACAAGATACAGCCAGCCTCCACGGATACAGTGTGCATCCATGGACTCAACCAACCGTGGATGGAAAATATTCAAAACAAAATGGATGGCTGCAGCTGTCTGGACATGTACAGACTTTTTTCTTGTCATTATTCCCCAAACAATACAGTGTAACAACTATTTACATAGTGTTTATGTTGTATTAGGTATTATAAGTAATCTAAAGATGACTTAAAGTATATGGGAGGATGTGTGTAGGTGATATGCAAATATGACACCATTTTATACTGGGGCTTGAGCATCCATGAATTCTGGCATCTATCTGCAGGCTTCTTGGAACCAATCCAACGGATAACGAGGGACGACTGTATTGGTTCTTTACTAGGTGTATTCTGAACTACAACAGGAAGGCATGTACTCCACCCTGTACCCCAAAACTCTCCCCTGAACAAAATACTACGTGGTCTAAAATTCTAGCATTAAGTTGTGTTTGCTAAACTTTGAGTTAAGCACTGCCCTCTGCTAGCATTCTTTTTCAACACGCAAAGATAAAGCATCGCATCATTGACACCTTCATGAAAATAAGTTAAGAAATCTATGACATCTGCACTGGAAGAATCTGAGAATAGTGAGAGAAGATGGATGCCAGGATTGAGACGGAGAAGAAGGGAGGGGAGGATACTACAAGCTGGAGAGAAAACTTAAACAGCCTCCAATCTATTCTCCTCCACTCTCAGGCCTCACCTGCTACCTCTAGGCAGAAGACGCCGACAGCTTTTGCCTGCCCTAACTTCTCTCAGGCCCCTCATGGCCCCTCCACTTGAACATCCTACAGGCATCCCCAACTCGGTGAATCCAGAATTGGTTTCACCATGTTCCTTCCTGCCATATCCACATACATACATTCTCCACTAAAACCCTACCCTAAATACCGCCTTTCAATGAAGCTCTTCGTTTGGAAATAATTTCTCTCTCTTTTCAAATACTACAGCCTTTTTCACTGGTGTCTCTGTAGTCCTTGTCACTCTCTTTTTCTTTTTCTTTTTTTTTTTGAGACAGTGTCACTCTGTCGCCCAGGCTGGAGTGTGGTGGCGTGAGCTCGGCTCACTGCAGCCTCCACCGCCTGGGTTCAAGCAATTCTCCTGCCTCTGCCTCCCAAGTAGCTGGGATTACAGGCACGTGCCACCATGCCTGGCTAATTGTTTTTGTATTTTTTTTTTTTTTTAGTAGAGACGGGGTTTCACCATGTTGGCCAGGCTGGCTTGTCACTCTCTACCATGTACTATAGTGATAGAGTTTTTTTCCTCCCCTTTTGGAACGTAAAATCTTTTAGGCATTCATGAATTC
Source organism: Homo sapiens (assembly GCF_000001405.40). Lineage (NCBI taxonomy): Eukaryota > Metazoa > Chordata > Mammalia > Primates > Hominidae > Homo > Homo sapiens. The sequence continues at coordinate 24,581,582 of NC_000018.10, read as the reverse complement.
TCCAACAAAATTTATGCAGCATTTCCATATGGAAATGCTAGCTGCATTCCATCAGTCAGAGAGAGAGAGAGAAATAGTGGACAAGGAAAACAGCCTGCTTCACAATCATGAGTAAGATTTATAAACAGAATGCCTCTGACCTATTTTTAAAAGATCCCATCAGGGGACCTCCTCTTTCAGCTTTGCAGCCCCCCGCCCTCTGTCTCTGTATGGGGGAGCTTCTTCCTACTGTCTTCTCCCTTCTAACCTATTAAACTCTCCGTGCCTTAAAACCACACACACACACACACACACACACAAAGATCCCATGGAATTTTACTACATTCAGAGAATGATTAAATTATTGACCTGAAATATATTTTTAGAAAGCACCTAGTCCAGGGGTTTTGCAAAACTTTTAGTCACATTTATATATTAAAACAATTAAATTGCACTAACTTGATCAAGAGATAAAAAGTTAAGTATAAACGGATATACACACATAACACATAGTAAGAAATGAATACCAGCTTACAGTCAATAATTTGTGTTAAGGGGATTTGAATTTTATATTCATTTATTTGTTTAGTAAACATTTCTAATTATTTAATACATGCCAGGCATTGTTCTAAATACTTTTACTTTAAAAATATAGACTTATTTTCCTCACAATAATGCAAGGAGGTAGGTATAATGATTGACCCAATTTTACAGATGGAAAAACTGAGGCACAGAGACTTTATGCAACTTCCCCCAGGCCACATGACTAGTAAATCACAAGGTTAGGATTCAAACCCAGATAATCTGGCTGCAGAGTCCACACTCATAACCAATGAAAAAAGCTACCTCATTTACATTTATTATTGTTATTGTTATTGTAATTATCAGAAAAATAATAAAATAAAACTATGGTTAAAAAAAAGCTTGAGGATAAAACTGTGAATGTCATGGACATTCTTCTTTCCTTTTTTTCCTCCGAATGATAAAGAAAGTTGAATGAAAAATGTATCACTATGAATAGCAACATTTATACTCAATTTCCTATGTGATCCTCACTCATTGTTGATTGAAGTTTCATAAGCAAGAAGAGTGGAAAGGAATTAGGTTAGGAAATTCTTTCTTTGTCATCCTTATAATTTAGAAAAACATTCACAAGTTCATAAGGATATTTAAAGTTTTAATTTCACTTGTAGAGTAGCCCCAGATCCTTGTCAAGTTTCTCTGGAAGTCAAGAGTGCCATAAAACACTTTGAAAAATGTCACTGGTCAATTTTGCTGTCTCAAGACAGGTTACCCCTAAACTACCATGGAAAGATTCATGAGCAACTTAGGGTAGCGACGATGTCTTTTCTCCTTATCTTCCTATACCTAGAATAGTGCCCAGCATAGTATGAGTTTATCACATGTTTCTTGAATTTAACAACTTGTTTCCTGTGTATTGCTTTCAAGGTTTTACAAAAATCCCAGCATTTCACTATTCAATCTCTATTTGAAAAAAAAAAAAATCCCCAAAAACAGGAAAGAAAGGAGAATCAGAAGCCACTGGAAGCCTAGATCAAGAGAAACTTTACTGCCAAATATAGGGGATTCTCCTTCCCTCTGGGGAGCGTGTTTTGGCCGACCACATTGTCAGGAGCCTCTAATTGCTGACCAGCAAAAGGAAAATTGTCACACACCTCCCAAGAGGAGAATAAAAACAGAGCCCAGAATTCCTCTGTAACCAAGCCTAGGAGAAGATTATAGATCATATGTTGTCAGCAATTACAGTAACTGTCCCAGGGGGGCCACCCCTTTGGTATCACATTGGAACTGGGAATTGGGCAGAGAAGAGTGGGCTGAGTATGCGGTTTTGTGGGCATCAATTCACAAGTGCTAAGCCCACTTCACCACTGTGTGTGCACGTGCATGTGTGCATGTGTGTGTGTGTGAGAGAGAGAGAGAAAGAGAGAGAGAAACTATCCACCTAGATTAGAGATTTCTGGGGTTCAGGGATGCCTACGCATCTAATCCATCCAAAAATGTCCTGTCTTATAAGTTGTTGAAGATGAAGCTCTACAATGAGAAATTCACAAGAACTTTAAGTAAGAAAGGAGCCTCAGCATTCATCCAATACCTTTTCTTGCAGATTATGACACAAGAATAAATTATGACTAACCCTAATTTAAAATTAGGTTAGTGGCAGACCCATAACAGACAGCCCAGGGAAGTTCGGAAAGCTAGAACTTACATCGCTTGATCCAAGCCCAACCTGCTTTCCACTGCACTTCACTTAGTCTTCTGTTTTGTTAACCAAGGGAAGATTTTAAACTTTATCCATCATTCATGTGCAGTATTTCCTGAGCCTCAGTCATTTCCTTACCTCCTTTGCAATTTTGCTCTACACCATCTGTGTACAATTTGTACTATTTGTTATCTATTAGTTTTCTCAAAATTCATGTTTAATCTGTGGCACAGATTGCCATCTGACCCCTAGTTTTCATTCTTCCCCTCTTAGGGGCAAGAGAGCACCCCCACACCACTGAGTTCTAGCTGTGGACACGGCCACCCAGTAATCCTTGCAGCAGGGTACAGCCAGGTGAGAACAGAATGTCAACAGAAGCAATATATGAAACCTCTACTTATTTAAAAGAAATCCCTTAACATGAAATTCTTCTCTGTCTCCCTTCTAACAAGTTAGAAATAGTAAGGTCATGTGGTAGCTTCATGACAATGCCATAGAATTAAATGAAATGACATAACGGAAAGAATACAGGTTCCTAAACAAGTTCAGGGACCCAAGCTCCAGCAACTACATTAGAGACAAACGAACTCTTATTTAAGATGCTGTATCTTGGGGACCTCTTTGTTATAGCAGCTTATTGTTTATTGTACCTAAAACAACAACTCACGCAATAATATCTATTAAAAATCTGGAATGTATTTAATCTTTTCTATTTGGTAAATACCTTAAATTCTATATAACTATTCAAATAAACAATATTTGTTCAAATACCAGCTACAAATAATTCCTTTCCCACAGAAGCATGAATACCCATCTTGGGGAAAGATTGATATAAGGGAAGTAGAAACAAGCTTTGATCAGAATAAGTGGTAAGGGCATTCAGGCATTGAGAAAAGAGAAAGAAATACAAGAAAAATAAAGGCTGGGTGCCTGAAAGTAACTTTCACCCTCTTTGCCATCTGGCCTTGTGAGCCTACATGGTGCCACATAGTCCAGGAAAGAGGCCAAGGAATTCCAGGGGTACCCCAGCTTCATCTCCATCTATAAGAAGGATCCTGGCATTGGCAGGGAGGCAGACATCTCTCACCATCACCTCCCACCAAATGTTCAAGGTTGATGGGGCTTCACAGCTGGTGGGCGCCATTTTAGGAGGCAGTAGTTGCACAAGAGTCTGGCCTGCCTCAGCTATTCATCCTGCCCGGAGCCCGCCTTCCTGTGCAAACCAAGGAGAAAGAGGCAAGGCATTCAAGGAGCTTAGTAAGAGGCAATGTTGTCTGTATTGGCCAAGCCAGGCAATTCTTTTGTGCATTCTCATGTTGGGCTTTCCCGCATAGCTCCTCTCCCACAGGTGATGTGCATGAGAGGATACAGATTGGAAACACCTGTGCCAGGAACCCGCCTCCCACCCTGACCTACACTTCCCACCCCCACTACACCACATGGCCTTGGTCCTAACTTCAGCATGTCTCTGGAAATGTACAACTGCAGTTTTGCCTGGGACCAGCTTGGGGGCAGAAGAAAATGGGTTTTTAAACTAATTTTCAGAAAACAATATTTATCGTTTTAGCTTCCCATCTGGAATTATTTTTAAAACACACATACACAATGGCAGGTTTTGCCTGCATCTCTAACTCTGCATTTGACCCCTGCACTGATTCTATTCTGCACAGAACAGAGTCAAGTCAGATAACTCTACATCCTTTTCCTTAGAAAGTGGTTGGTGCAAGCCTTTCTCTTCCCACTAAGGAGTCCTACGTTGAAGTATCTTTCAAGTCACTGTCAGTGAAAAATCCTGGATTCTCCTGTCCGGACCATACTCACCCATCAGAGTTAACACACAAAAGTGCAATTTTTGAGTAACTACTTTCATATGTATGAAAAGGAAAATCTATTTTAGTGCCAAAGCTAAGCAGAATTGACATGAAAACAAATCACTCTGATTAGCAAAAAGAGCATAGACATTAAAGGGAGACAAACCAGCTCGGCAACAAGTAGCTGGTTCAACCCAAGCGAGTTAATTCATGTCTCAGAGCTTCAAATTTCACAGTCTAGAAAACGGAGATGATATGGCTGGGCATGGTGGCTCACACCTGTAATCCCAGCACTTTGGGAGGCCAAGGCGGGTGGATCACCTGAGCTCAGAGGTTCGAAACCAGCCTGGCCAACATGACAAAACCCCGTCTCTACTAAAAATACAGAAATTAGCCCGGCATGGTGGCACGTGCCTGTAGTCCCAGCCACTAGGGGGGCTGAGGCAGGAGGATCGCTTGAACCCAGGAGACAGAGATTGCAGTGAGCCAAGATTGTGCCACTGCACTCCAGCCTGGGCGACAGAGTGAGACTCCGTCTCAAAAAAAAAAAAAAGAAAGAAAGAAAATGGAGATGATAACTCCTATCACATAAGGTTGTTGGGTGAACTAAATGAGATGACATATATAAATCTGAATAACATAATGCCCAGCAGGTACCCTAAAAATGCAAGCTATCTTTTTCCCACTTTCTCCTTTCCCTCGAAAACAAGTTAGTATGTTAGACAACTGAAATAGAACAATTTTCATTTTATGCTTCATATGTTTCTATATTTTTCTATATTTTCCAAAAATTCTTCAGTAGTATGTATTAATTTCTTGAAAAAGAAAAGTTATTTACAAAAATAGCATCATCTCTGCACAGAAACCTACTTGTCTCCACAGCTTAATTTCATTTACTTCCTGTTTATTTCTTCCTTCCAATAACTAATGTTAAGAAATCATATCATTTAGAGTAAATTATTTTTCAATTGATAGTAAAGATAAATTTATTGTAACAATTAAAGCAAGCTCCTCTGTTTGCCTTTTAAACATCATCCCATTAGAAAATAAACATAAGCAACAGCTCAGCTGTTACAACTGAGAAGTATAAATGCAATATTTCTCTCATTACAGGATGAAATGATGGTTTTGCATGTAGAATGAAGCAAGTACATCGAAAATTTTGATTACTCAATTATGTCTACATATGTTACAGTATTTAAACATTTTACCATCTTAGAATGATCTTTTAATATTCTAGTATTTATAAATTACACATGGCTTCAGATTCATTCTTTCCTGGAAATCCAACAACCTTGATACATATAAACTAAGCTCCAAGCATGAAAGTAGGATGTCAGTAGAACGTTGCTGCCAGGGAACAAACAGTACCTGACCTTCCCTGGCACCATTCCCTGTGTGTTTACTACGTTAACATAGGAGGATGAATTTAGGCAAAGAGCCGGATCCTATTCAGCTATCACCTGCAGAACCTATACTCAGCTAGACACTAAGACACAACTACTGATTGTAAACAATTTATTTACTATGTCATGATTATTTGTTATAAAATAGAAGGAAGTTCATTAGTGTCTATATAAGATTTTGTGTTTCCTTCACCAGTGCCTCACTGCTTAAAGAAAACAGACAAAAGAAGTGCTGGAAAGCTAGGCTGGTGTTTTCTTCTAGAGCCATGGAGCTGCCACAGCCAGTTTGTAACTGGTATGTGCCCTAAGCCTGAAGGTTAAATCTGGGACCCCCCAGCCAAAAACTTGGATGTGCAGAAAGACTTACCTGAGGAAACTCTCTAAAATACAGTTGTCCCCTGTGCCACCCCCAGAGATCTTATGTAGTAGTACACTTAGGGTATGGCTTAGGAATCCAAGTGTTTAAAGCTACCCAGGTAATTCTGAACCAGGCACCAGAAAATCATGCTTACACCCTCTCCTCACTCCAGGGGAGAGGCAAACCTTTCTTTAATTAACTTGAGAAAGATAAAGTTTACAGAATTTTCATTTGCTATGGGGCATTGTGTTTAAAGTAGGAAAAATGTAGTAAATATTTACAGGAAAAATATTTTTTAAATGTTTCTGTTCAATGAGTATTTATTAGGTATCAGCTAAATGCCAGACAGTGTGTTCCCAGACAAATCAGCAAACAGCTTCATCCTAACTTTTCATCATCCTCAGAAACCTAATTCTTCCCAAAACAATAGGGGAAACATAGATAAGAAGATGTTGAATAAACTAATAGTTTGGAACATCACTGAAGACAAGAACAGCAACAACCATGTAAATGAAAAGGTTAAATGAAGTGGTGATTAAACTTTTACACTGACTTGAGGCTGATTATATTTTTCTTGTACAATAAATGGAACTACCAAGACTCTATGGCAAGTCACAAGTTACTAGGCCAGAGCTGACTTTTAGAATTTTTTGTGGGTTCCTAGTTAAGACTGAGAATATAGTATAGGGTAAGATTGGAGCCAGTTTGTTCTCTTGTTCAAAATGTAACTGTGACCAAGTAGATGTTTCATTAGCAAGTAATGTATATCCCCTTCATCCAAAAGTAATTACTTACTTAATTTTCACAAGTGGCTTTTTACAAGGAGGTGCTTGTTCCCAGAGCCCTTGTAAGCAAGAGATGAAAACCTGTAATGGCTTCATCTCCTAATGCTTGCTGCCTCTCTCACTGCAAATATAACAAGATTCTCCATGGCATATTTCTTCTTAATTGACTGAAATAATCTTCTCACATATGTTATACCTTTGTTGTTTTATACTTTGATGTAGCTTTGTTATATTTCAATTAAATTCCTTTGAAACATGGCTTTAGAAAGTCTAAATAGCCAAATGAGATTTATGACAGTAATGCAAGGATGGTTCAATGTTAGGAAATCTATTAATATAATAAATCATTTTAATGGAACAAAAGAAAAATTTATACAATCATATCAATTTGAGGACACATTTGAAAACATTCACAATCATTACTGATGAAGTTTCCTAATAAGAATAGGATGGTTAGATCACTTCCTTAAAGTGATTAATATCTGCTGTATGTTCATATCCTGGGCTCTAAGCCCCATGCTTTAGAGCCTACCCCCACTGCTGGACAACCCTCAGGTTACCCAGGACAACAGAATTCCCTGCACAAGTGTCTCTAAAGCCAGATTCTGGGGCAGCACATCCTCTTTCCTGGGTTCATATTCCAGTGGGAAGACAATACACTCCCAAAATGTACAAACCCTAGGTGCTGGCAATGACCAAAGAGTGGCTGTTTACAAGTGAGTGAAAACAGAGCTTAGAAGTTTGGCTGTGGAATCTTAGCACATGAGCTGAGCATTAGGTCCCAGAATTTGGGTCAGAGCTAGGTATGATATGAGAAAGAAAGCAGGCTAAAATGCCCTGAATTCTTCACGCTGCTACATTCCAGCACAGGACCTAAAAAGTGCTGACGTCTACACTTGAATCTGGGCTTCAGAGCTTGATGAAGAATATTTTTCATGATAAACAATTGTCACTTAACACTTTTAGCTTGATTAACAACTTCAAAATATTTACAAATTTCTTTTGCTGGCCTCCATTTGGACTCCTGTCCCAGCTCCCATAAATGTCAGGGACAGCCCAGTATAGCATAATGTAGTCTAGTATAATAGAGAATAGTTTTATCTTGAGCCAGAAATCAATATCACACATAATAGGGAAAAACAAAAAACAATCCTTGTAAAGGAGGAGCAAATGAAAATTATCACTACTATTTTTTTTAGAGATAGTATCTCACTCTGTTGACCAGGCCAGATTGCAGTGGCTCACTGCAGCCTTGAACTTCTGGGCTCCAGTGATCCTCCTGCTTCAGTCTCCCAAGTAGGTGACACCACAGGCACATGCCACCATGCCCAGCTAATTTTCTTATTTTTTTTGTAGAGACAGTGTCACTACATTGCCCAAGCTGGTCTGGATCTCCTGACCTCAAGCTCTCCCAGCTCAGTCTCCCAAAGTCCTGGGATTACAGGTGTAAGCCACTGCACATGGCCTATAACTACTATTAATTAACATTGCTCTTGACATTAGCCAAAACAGTTAGATAGGAGTAAGAACTTACATACATAAACAATTGATAAAGAAGAAGTAAGTAACCATTACTGGTAGATGATATGATTGTCTGATTAGAATATCCAAAAAAGAAATTTAAAAACATTAGAAATCATTTTTAAAGTAAATTCACATAACAAAATTAATATACATAAATCAATAGCTTCAGCCAATTAACAAATAAAGTATGAGAAAAAATCTATTTGTAATTGGAACAAAAATATATACACATAAAGGTAATTTAAAATTTGCAACATATACAAATTTTGCTCTCAGGTAGATAAATAAACCTGTAAGAATGATCATGCCAATTCTAAAAAAGAAGAATATTTAAGGGAACTGGCTGCATCAGAGATTAAAATCTATTATAAAGCTATAATGATTAAAATAAATTGCTGCTTTCTCTAAGGAGAGAGAGAAAGGGCAATGTAAAAAAAGAGAGTATCCAGAAATGGACCAAAATGGATAAGAGGAAATATAAGGTATAATAAGAGTATTTTTTTAAATAATGTTGGAACATCTCATTGCAATAACTATTTGATGGGGAGTGGATTGTGGAATGTAGTGCCTCAGTATATGTGTAAAATATATCCCAGAGATGTGAAGAATGTTGATGTCTACAATTAAATTAAATTAAAGAATACTAGAAAATCATGTGGACTTTTGTAGCAACTTAGAGTAGGTAGGCCTTTCTAAGTAAGACACAAAGCCTAGGCTCATTAAAGAAAGAAATGAAAATTTGATTACATAAAAAATAAAATTTAGTAGAGAAAAAATGATAAAATCCTGTGCACATCTATAATTAATATGGTTATTAAAAAGAAAATGAAAAAATAGTTGCAAGATGAAGGACTAATCTCTAATGTCTTTAATATGTAATCTTCATACATAATGAATAAATTAATAAGAAAAGCAAAAATTCTATAGAAAAAGAGAAAGGGGGAAGAACATGCAAAGAATATTCACAGAAGAAATATGAAAAGATACTGAACTCATAATAAAGTAAATAAATAAAACTATAATAAAATACATGTTTTTAGCCTTTCATCCTAGCAAAGATCAAAAAAAAGATCAATAATAAACTATTGATGCATGTAGAGTCTACATGAGTACTCTCTCTCTCCTTGACTCCACAAATTCAGCTATAGAAATTCACCCTGAGACACTCTTGGTACGTTAGTGTGAAAACTAATCTAAAAGTCTATTCAGTGCAGCATTATTATCAGTAGCAAAAGATAAAACAACCAAAATGTCCATCATAATGGATTGGTTAAATCAATGTTGTTACCCACATCCAACTGAACACAATACCACCATTTTCTAGAACAGTAAGTGTTAATGTATGAATATAGAGCTAAATACCTCAAAGATACATTGTTATGTAAAAAAAAAACAAGAGAAAGAACAGTTTGAGCCATATACCTATGATGCTTCTATCTGTGTGTGCGCATGTGTGTGTTTAAGAATTAGATACAAATGTGTGTTGGGAGAAGACTGAGGGACTAGAAGTCAGGGGTTGGAAAGAGGCTCTTTTTTTTTTTTGAGAAGGAGTCTTGTTCTATAACCCAGGCTGGAGTGCAGTGGCACCATCTCAGCTCACTACAACCTCCCCTTCCTGGGTTCAAGCAATTCTCCTCCCTCAGCCTCCCAAGTAGCTAAGATCACAGGCGCCTGCCACCACGCCCCACTAATTTTTGTATTTTTGGTAGAGACGAGGTTTCACGATGTTGGCCAGACTGGTCTCAAACTCCTGACCTCAAGTGATCTGCCTGCCTTGGCCTCCCAAAGTGCTAGGATTACAGGTATGAGCCACTGTGTCCAGCCAAAAGAGGCTCTTTTCTTCCTGTTCTGTTATTTGTTATTTCTTTTATTTTGCACACATATTCATTTTTTTCTAAAACAAACTAAAATACTGAGATCTTTAAAAACATTTTATAGCAAAAGCAATAAAAGAAAAAACAGGTAAGTCAGACTTTATCAAAAATAAAAATATGTGTGCTTCAAATAATACCATCAAAAGTAAAAAGACAACCCACAGAATGGGAGAAAAATTTTGCAGATTATAATACATATCTGATAAGGGACTTACATCCAGAATATACAAAGAATTCTTACAACCCAATAAGATAAATAACCCAATTAAAATGATGGGCAAAAATTTTAAAATAGACATTTCTCCAAAGAAGTTAAACAACTGACCAATAAGTATACAGAAAGATTCTCAACATCATTAGCCATCAGAGAAAGGCAAATCAAAACCACAATGTGAGGCACAACTTCACACTCACTAGGAAGGCTATGATTAAAAAGACAGTAAGAAATGTTGGTGAGTGTCTTATTCCATGTATGCTGCTATAATAAAATACCCAAGACTAGGTATCATATGTAAAGAACAGAAATTTATTTCTCACAGTTCTGGAGTCCAAGATCAAGACACCACTAGATTTGGTGCCTGGTGAGAGCCATCAGTGCATCTTCTCCCCACAGCATGGCCAAAAGCAGAAGGGCAAAAGGAGTGAACGCCTTTTTTATAAGGCACTAATCCAATTTATGAGGGTGGAGCCCCCATGACCTCATCACCTCCAGAGGTCCCCACCTTCTAATATTGTCGCATTGGGAATTAAGTTTCGACATGAATTTTGGAGGAAACACAAATATTCAAACCATAACAGTGAGGATGTAGAAAAATTGAAACCCTCATAAATTGCTGGTGAGAATGTGAAACAGTGCTACCATGTCGAAAACAACTTGGCAATTTCTCAGAATGTTAAGCATAGAGTTACAATAGGATGCAACAATTCCATCCTTAGGTTCATTTCCATGAGAAATGGAAATACACATCCACACAAAAACACATGAATTATATTCCTAGCAACATTATTGATAACAACCTATAAGAGAAAACAACCCAAATACCCATCAACTAGTGGATAGGTGAATAAATTATTGTACAATACAATAGAGTACTATTCCACAATAAAAAGGAATGAATTACTGATATGTGAAAAGGAATAAATTACTGATATATGCTACAACGTGGCTGAATCCTGAACACATTATGCTAAGTGAAAGAAGCCAGTCACAAAAGTCCACGTATAGTATGACCCCATTTGTATAAAATGTCTCACATAGGCAAATCGATAGAGACAAAAGGTAGACTCATGGTTGCCTGGGGCTGGAGAAAGGGTACTGTGGGGAGGGAATGGGGTGTCACTGCTAATGAGCATGAGGTTCCTTTTTAGGGTGTTGAAAATATTCTAACGTTATGCTGCTCATTACATACACTGTGAATATGGTAAAAACAGTGAACTGTACACTTTAAATGAGTGAATTTTATAGTATGTGAACTATATCTCAATAAAACTCTTTTTCCAAAAAAAAAAGGGAAAAAGACATGTCATGCTGGAAGGGTTCTTAGAGGTTATCTGCTCCAGTCCCTCCTCTGCTCTTCTGAAAGCTGCCACCCAGAGAGGGTGTCAAGTGACCTTCCTACGAGAACACAGATGCACAGGGGCAGATCAAAAATTGGAGGCCAAGCCTCCTGCGTGCTGGAATGGGGGCTTGTCCCAGACAGGAAATGTAGCCTCTACATGCCTGCTGATGATACAGCCCTTTCTGGGCTCTCTCACTCAGAGGGGAAGTTTATCCTACAGGGATAATGCAGCAGTGTTGTACCCGAGCCAGACACTGCCAAAGAGGGCCATTCTTTCATTCAACAGGTATTTGTTGGGCAGCTCCATGTGCCAGGCAGTCTGAAGGGTTGGGGAGGCAACAGTGAACAAGACAAAACATTCTCTTTCTTTGTTGAGGTTGCGTCTCAATGATGATAACAGCTCATCTTTGTAACACATCATGTGTTATGCACTTTGCATGGATCATCTCATGTTATTCTCACAGCAGTCCTATGGGGGGTGGTACTCTTATTATGCCCATTTTACTGATGGAAACACTGAAGCTCAAGGAGGATAAGTAGCTACCCAAAGTCACAGAGTTAATAAACAATACAGTCAGACTTCAGTCATGACGCTCTGACCCTGGAACTATGCTTTTAACCCCTATACTGGTCAATTAAACTATGCAGACTGTAAACAGGGACAAAACCAGTCGATTAATTAGAACAATTAGTGATGAACAGGTGACTGAAAAATGTTGGAAGGGGTGTTTTGATAGCATTTAGATGAAGTGATTGGTCTATATGAGGATGGCCATTTAGGCTGAGACCTGAAGCATGAGGATCCAGCCATGGCAGCAAGAACAGAAGGTGGGGTGCCTGATGTGCTGCAGGCTGTGGGGCACAGCGGGGTCAGAAGAGGCAGAAGCCAGTAGGCAGAGCAAGCCGAGCCTGTTCGTCCATTCTAAATGCAGTGGGAAGCCACTGGATGCTTTTAAGCAAGATGGTGTACAGAGTGGTAAGATCTGATTTATAAAATCCTTCTGGCTGCTGAGTAAAGGTTGACAAGAAAGGCTGAGAGTAGCAGCAGAGAGACCAGCTGGGAGATATTGCTGTAACCCCAATGAGAGATGCTAGTGACTTGGACCAGGTGGGAGCAGGGGAGTTGGAGGGAAGGGGACAGATTCAGTATGTGTATTTGAAGTAGGGTCAATGCTCCCTGACGATGGATAGTGCATGGAGGGGGAAGGAAAGGGAAGATACGGCCGGATGCGGTGGCTCATGCCTGTAATCCCAGCACTTTGGGAGGCTGAGGCAGGCGGATCATCTGAGGTCAGGAGTTCAAGACCAGCCTGGCCAACATGGCAAAATCCCATCTCTACTAAAAATACAAAATTAGCCAGGCATGGTGGTGCATGCCTGTAATCCTAGCTACTCAGGAGGCTGAGGCAGGAGAATCGCTTGAAACCTGGAGGCAGAGGTTGCAGTGAGCCGAGATCACACCATTGCACTCCAGCCTAGGCGACAGAGAGAGACTCTGTCTCAAAAAAGAAAGAAAGAAAGAAACAAAGATAGGTGGCCTCGAGGACCCTGGTCTGGTCTTAGGTGATAATGTCCCCATATATTAACCACATATTTTCTGTATTCGGATGACTTGACATCTGGGGTCTTGCTGACTTTGGAGAGACTGCCTCTCCCAGGATTAGCCAGTTCCTAGAGAGAGTAAACAACCCTCCTGAGAGCTGCTTTTCAAATACAAACCAATCCAGAGCCAAAGCCCCCACCACCTCTTCTACCAGCTCTCACACTCTGGGCCACTACCCCCTGCCTTAATCACCCCACAGCCAGGTACCAGACAACTAGGGACAGTACCTATGACCCAGAGCCCATTGAAATTCTTCAAGCTACCCTAAAATTATCCAAAATCTGCTTAACCTCTCTTGCCCATTCCTTCCACAGAAACCACAATAAGGGCTCTGTGAACAGCTCCTCCCTCTCCATCTATCTCCTGACACACCCTGGTCCTTCCCCATGTGCCCCCACCTCCGACCCCACTTCCCACCAGCATGGTGTGCCCCCTCTTCTTAGGAACTGGTAGTAAATATGTATATATTTAGACATGATCTGTCACCCAGGCAGAAGTGTGGTGGCGTGATCATAGCTCACTGTAACCTCAAAGTCTTAGGCCCAAGCAATGCTCCTCACTCAGCTTCCCAAGTGGCTGGGACTACAGGCACACACCACCACACCTGGCTAATTTTTTTTTTCTTTTTTACTTTTTATAGAAACAGGGTCCCATTATATTGCCCAGACTGGTCTTGAACCCCTGGCTTCATATGATCCTCCTGCTGTGGCCTCCAAAAGTGCTGGGTTTGCAGGCATGAGCCACCATGCCTGGCCTAAGGCACTCTATTTTAAAACACCCCAGTCTGGCAGAATCTCACTCCTTGGGAGACAGAAAAAGGAGACACTATGTAAAGCAGACCCAGAGTGGGCAGAGTGGGGCTGTACACGAGAACGGAGGCCATGTTGTGGCCTAACAAGGATCTCCTCTGGCTTGAGATCAAGTGGGAAAGTCTCTCTTATACTCCTGAAAGAAGCACAAGAGTGCATGAGTCATGGCCCCTCTCTTCCCCAACCCAGCCCCCAGCCAGGTCGACTCACTGATACCCTTAGGCCAAGAAACAGAGCTGGGTTCTCACTCCACTGTCTCCACTGCAGGGGATGGGAAAGGAAGCTCCAGGCCCAGAATGAGGGCCTGAGTCATGGGCTTACAGCACTGTTCCTTCCCTACAAGCTGCACTCAGACACGCAACACTATTGATATCACAGACATTATTTTAACAATAGCTTCTAAGACAATTAAGTCAGTGAACATCTGTGCCTGAGGAACCCTAGGCAGGGTGTGTAAGTGGGTGGGACAGAGGTGACTGAACATATCAACACTATTAAAAGAGGTAAGAATTAGCAGAGGCACTTAGAGTGATTTCCAAGTGTTGTTAAAGGTGATCAAAGCCTTTTCTTCCTCAATAAGACCTTTACTGTGCTGTGAGTTATCACGATTAAGCAGTGGGTAGCAAATAAAATGCCCTGGCTCTTTGCAAAGTGAAGCAAGGAAATTGTGAAACTGGGTTTCAACAAGCAAGGTTTTCAAACTCCTCCCAGCAAAGTTATCGGAACCCTAGATTCTGAGGCAGTGTGAGTATGGAGACGCGCACACTCCACTGTGTCCACTCTAAAGAGTTGAGGCGGAAATGGGAAATGCCAGGACAGGGCATCTGAGCCAAGGCCTGCAAGGCACAGATGGGTGCAATGAGGCCCAAGAGGTAATGAGATGTGGTTGAGGCCACACAGGTGGGGAGAGGCAGAGTCACGCCGGACACTTGTAGGGTGGCCTGTTTCCAGGTCAGTGGGCATTTTTGAGTGGGGGCACATGTAACCTTGGAGTTCCTTCCGCTACTCACCCCACTTATTGGGCTGCCATTCCCAGGAGACAGCGCAAGCATGCCAGGCTCTTTGCATTTGACCTTCATGATGTGAACAGGCAGCCCTCTCCCAGGAAGTCCAGGTGAGGTGGCTGATTCTGCTGGCTACCATAGCACTCAACTGGTGACATGGCCTTTCTCTCTCCTCGTCTACAGTGGCTGGCTGCAGCTGCACGGAGAGCCCAGATTTTCACTTAGTTATCTTTGTATTCTCAGTGCCCAATATCATATCTGGTACTTATTTCACAAATACTGGATGAATGCATGACAGCAGGGGAAGGAGACAGAGAGGAAGAAAGGAGTGAGGAGGAGGGACGGAGGGACGGAAGGAAGCTCTGTCCCAGGCATCTTGCCTGCCATCTTCCCCCACCCAAACTCACTTTCCCACTCCCTC
Source organism: Homo sapiens (assembly GCF_000001405.40). Classification (NCBI taxonomy): domain Eukaryota; kingdom Metazoa; phylum Chordata; class Mammalia; order Primates; family Hominidae; genus Homo; species Homo sapiens. The sequence goes on along the minus strand of NC_000018.10, from coordinate 24,566,228 downwards.
AAGTCCCCTCTCTCTGCTTTATGATGTGCCATTCAAATTATCTGACAAACCAATTTTTACTAAGGAATAGTGAATTAGAATGGCAAATTAACCTCTCAGCAAACTTTAAACAGAAATATATATAGGCCATATATATCTAAATAAAAATCCATATATATATTAAACATTAAAGATTAAACATTTAATCTTTGCTAGTAAAAGCAAATGGACATCTCAGAGAGGAATATATATATTCCTAAACAAAATCATCCCTGTTGCAAAGTTCTGTGAGAGAAACTGGCAGACTTTGAATGTCTCTGAAATTGGCATTTTCTCACTAGGAATACAGGCAGTCCCATTCATTAATCCAAAGAAAATAATTACATGTACAATCCAAAGCAGAAACGTGTCCCATGCTTCTCTGGTTTTACAGAACTGAGCCTCTTATCATATCTCAGAATAGGCTGGGCTTTCTTTTACATAACTCAAAATACTAATTCCTCCAAGTAATGTCATTCTGGTTAAAACATTCAGGGGAACGCACTATCAGATTTGACTGTTGATCCAACATTGGCCTATCACAAAATTGCTGCTCGAACCCTGTATTATTCTCTGGATGTCTTTTTTTTTCTAAATTAATTTTTCTAGTTTTAAAATAATTTATCACTAAAAATGGTTATCCTACTAATTCTATCAAAAAATTAAACATTTAATCTTTGTTAGACAGATTTTTTTTTTTTCGAGACAGAGTTTTGCTCTTGTTGCCCAGGCTGAAGAGCAATGGTGTGATCTTGGCTCACTGCAACCTCCACCTCCCGGGTTCAAGCAATTCTCCTCCCTCATCCTCCCGTGGGACTACAGACACGTGCCACCAGGCTCAGCTAATTTTTGTATTTTTAGTAGAAACAGGGTTTCACCATGTTGGCCAGGCGGTCTTGAACTCCTGACCTCAGGTGATCCATCCACCTCAGCCTCCCAAAGTGCTGGGATTACAGGCGTGAGTCACTGCACCCGGCCTGTTGGACAGATTTTTAAAAATCTAAATCTCTTACTATGTCACAAGAATTGATCACTTTTGTGTCTGAATGGACAGCTCCTCTTCTATATTTCATTCTTGGGCTCTATTCTATCAGAAAAACATTAGCACAAAACCCACAAAGAACTGAAAACTTGAAAGAAGCTTTAATACTTTGGATGATATTTCCTTTCAACTCACTTTCATATATTTGCTTGAAAGGAAAATGGCAACAATAATTCTTTGTGAAACAGGGAATATTGAGAAGTTTTTCCGCCATTTTTGTTTTATTTCTAGAACAGTTAAGCAGGGCCTGTACCTTCCAAAGGAGAATACACACAAAAACTGGAAAATGGAACCCTTGTCTGACTCTTGCTAAAGCCATTCTTCCCTATGCACCTTCCTTCCTACACAAGTATGGGTTTTTGCTCTTACCACCTCTGCTACTAACTTTGGAGACCAGGGAACAAAAAATGCATAGATTCCAAATACACAGAATGCCATATCTAAATGAACACAAAACTGATGTTCTTCCCAAAGCAGCCACAGGGCCCATCTCTCCAGAGGAGCAGAGGACAATTCACACTGCCCAGACATGTCGGAAGCAAACGCAAGCTGGTAGGTATGACCTGTGTAGGGACAGGTGAAGGCACATAGTTATCCCCACCATACCAAGGCCACCTGCAGACCCACATTCCACCTGTCTTGCTACAAGATTAACGAGTGCACCACAGCACTGGGGTTATTCACTTACATCCCCCACAAAGCAGGAAAAAGGAGTGAGCATGTTGGGAGATTAAAATTCACCTTTCTCTCACCTAACCCTCCAAACACATAGCAGAAGCTTTCCCTAGAAGGTAGCATGGGGTTATTTAAAGTTCTGAATCTGGGAGTATATGATATTGACTCTTCCACTTACTAGCTGTGTAATATGAACAACATACCTACTTTGCCAAGCCCCCGTACTCATCAGTAAGGTGAGCATATCTGTCTCACAGGGTTGTCAAGATTTTTGAATGGGAGAAGGGATTCAAAACATCTTAGTAGACTCCATAAGTGATTATCATCACTATTAAGTGCCACCTAATGTTAGGTGCTGTGAGGACTCCCTGTGAATGAGTTCCAGCTGCTGCCAAATATCTTTGCACCCCCAGGGATGGATAGAGTAATAGCAAATGGAAGTCTCAGAAAGTGCTGCCCTACAATTTGCGATTGCAAAGATAAGGGACCAACCTAAGCACCCATCAACCAATGAGTGGATAAAGAAAATGTGATATACATACACCATGGAATACTACTCAGCCATAAAAAAAGAATGAAATAATGTCTTTTGCAGCAACTTGCATAGAACTAGAGGTCATTATTCTAAGTGAAGTAACTCAGGAATGGAATCCCAAATACCATATGTTCTAACTGATAAACGGGAGCTAAGCTATGGGTACACAAAGGCATATAGACTGGTATAATGGACTATGGAGACTCAGAAGGGGGACGGTGGGGTTAGGGTGAGGGATTAAAACAACTACACATTGGGTACAATGCATACTACTCAGATGATGGGTACACTAAAATCTCAGATTTCACCACTCTACAATTCATCCATGTAGCCAAAAAACACTTATACCCCAAAAACTATTGAAATAAAAATATATTTAAAAAAGAAAGTCTTGGCAGAGGCGCGGTGGGTCATGCCTATAATCCCAGCACTTTGGGAGGCAGAGATGGGCAGATCACTTGAGGTCAGGAGTTTGAAACCAGCCTGGTCAACATGGTGAAACCCCATGTGTACTAAAAATACAAAAGTATTAGCTGGACGTGGTGGCAGGCACCTGTAATCCCAGCTACTTGGAAGGCTGAGGCAGGAGAATTGCTTGAACCCGGGAGGCGGAGGTTGCAGTGAGCTGAGATAGTGCCACTGCACTCCAGCCTGGGTGACAGAGACAGACTCCATCTCAAAAAGAAAAAAAAAAGAAAAAGAAAGAAAGTCTTGCCCTAAGAGAGGTGATCAAGAAGAGGCCGAAGTTCTGAGGGGCTCCATTTCCCATTTTCTCCCTTGGCAAGGAGACTTGGATATGTAACATAGCCTCTCATTTCTTTGACAAGCCCCTGGTGAGTCTAACAGAGAACTAAAGAGCATGGACCCAGAGTCTGGGCAAGACTGACCTAATCTTTCGAGGCTGAGGCCAAAGGCACCAAATCCAACCTGCATGGGCAAATCCACCTTTATATGCCAGGCTTCAACCAGCTGTAGATTGGAGGTGAGTTTCTGGGGTCACTGCCTTGTGTCCTCTTCTCTGGACTGTACCTGAGTATTAAATCCCTCTAGTGGGTCTTAGAGAGGTCAAAACAACCATGTGGAAAGCCCCAAAATGCTGGGTCTGGAAGGAACCTCAGATATCTGCCTCCTCACCCCCACTCTGCAGTGGAATTTGCTTCAGTGGTTTCCACTGCCCTCAGTACAAGGACAAAATGCGTGCTTACTACATTGTGTGCAACCCTCCTCCTGACCCACGTTTTCACTCTTCCTTTTATGTTCTGCGATCCAGTCCCGACCTCTTTCTTGTGCAGAGCCTTCACAAATGCTTAGTTCATCTGAAATGCTCGTCTACCTCATCCCACTCCCATGTTTTTCCGGCTGGCTCCTCCTTAGCCTTCGTGCTCAACCCAAACCTCCTTATCCTTCAGGCTCCACCTGAACAACTTTCCTCAAGAAGCCCTCTCTGACTGCTCAGACTTTGTCACTTCATTCCATAGCACTGTATGCTTCCCACTTGCTAAAATGTATCATTTTAAAATCATCTTTTAATATTAGTCTTACTTGTTAAACTTTAAAATCCAAAAGGACGCCAGCGGTACATGTTTCATTCCCATAGTCTCTCCCCATTGCCTAGCACAAATCTTGACACAAACCAAGCACTCAATGAACAATTGTTGGATTGGATTAAACCATCTGGTCTACCTACCTCATGTTACAGAGGAAACTGAAAGAAACTCAGAAAGTGAAGAAACTCACCCAAAGCAACACATTTGGTTGCAACCAAGAATTCGAATGCAGCACTCTCAATGACCAGTCTTAGACCCTCCCGGGCCACACTCCCTTTCTGGTAGTACTTAACTCCCATTTGTCACAAGCTCTGCATTTAAACAAGACTGATTCCAGACATGGATCCTGATTTAGTTTAGATTGTCTGACGTCCACACTCCCCATTCTGTATGAGGATGAACTGGGAAGACTGCAATTTCTCTCTCCCCTCTGGACATGCGGGGATTCTTATTTTGGCATCGCACAGCTAAACATATAGTTAGCATGTAGGAGCGCAAACTACCCCCACTGCTTTGTTCTGTGCCTTAGAAAAGTAAATGCCACATGACAACATCCCTTTGGTGCAACTGCTGAAATGGCCTTCTTTCCCCAGTGAGGAAGCATCCCAAATGAGCGCAGGGTTCCCTCCAGTGGTGTCATTTTCAATGAAGCTTGCCTGTGTCATTTGCAGTTAGGGGTTCATTGGTCAGAAGTGTTTTCCAGGGATGCACACAATGGAAACCATTAGAGAGATACTCAGAGCCGCTAGCTAGCCCAAAAGTTTAACCCACTCTATTAGCTGTAATGATGGCAGGCAGCTGCTGGAAGAGAGGAAAGACGAGAAAGCAAGAGTGCCAGCTTTGTACAGACACACTCACGTGAGGTTTCAAATAGACCCCCCGGTGCTGGATTTAATATCATTACAGCACTCATAATCTTCTCCAGATTACTCAAAATACCTTTAAAATGTGTTCAGTAATGAAAGGATCTGAAAAGACTACTCAAGAAACCTATCCGCCTCTACTGTCAGTTTCTATAGTGGAATTCTATGATCCTTTTTATTTGTTTGAGGTGGGGTAGGAGAACTCATTACTCTTGGGATAAGTTTCAGGATCATCTCTCAGCTGGAGACCTTCATACATGAATCCCAGAGAATGGTGACATCCTTCTTTAGAAGGCATTGAGTAGGATAGAAATTCTTATCTCTGCAGCCACAGTCATCTAAAATAAATTAGGACCAAAAAAAAGGCATTTCTCAGGGTCACTATAAAGGACCCCAGATTCACGCTCATCCATCTGATGCATTATAGCATGTCACCTGTGCCAGTAAGTCTGTGTTAGAAGGCAGCCAATGCAATACCTGCAGTACAAATTACAGACTTTGATCGCAACTTGCCTGTTAGAGCCGAGAACTAAGTTTGCTCTTTCCGTTTTTTATCTCCAAATGTTTCAGAGCGAAGAGATGAGAAAGTGTATTTGAATCTTTAGGCTCCCTCTTTATCCATCTCTAAATGGGATCTTAGGAATGTCTGTGCTTACCTTGCCTTTCATCCAGCCTGCAGTGTGACTCATCTGCAGGCACAAATTACCTCACTAAAGTATTCTTAGGAGAAATAATTAGCCACACGCCCCTCCTCCGCACACTCTCCCGCATTCCTCGGGAGGCCCAGATGCCTGACATAAATCATTTAGTCCTGAGCCCTCGAACACACCTTTCCCACTGGATTCCATAATTGGCAAAGTAGTTGCCAACTGGGTTTAAAGTGATTTGAAATTGTTTTCCATCCAGTCTTGCTGATAGCAAAAGGTTTCCCCTTTACCTCAGGCATGAGTTACTGTAACATGATTGAATGTAACCAGTTATTCAGTTCAAGCTGTGATTCTGATACAGTATAGACAACGTGAATTCCCCTGAGCTCAGTGAGGCCATCTCAATGGTCCGTTTAAGTCCAATTCAATTAGACTCACTATGGTTCTTAGACTTTCTTACGTATGTTTGCCGCAGCCCTCAGGGTTGAATGTGAGACTAGTATTCATCTAGGACTTTTAAATTAGGTCTCAGGTGCCATCATTCTAAATGAATTATTACAGTGGTGTGTTCACACTGCCGTAGTTGAAGTTATGTTAGCATCTCTTCACAACCATTTTAATCCACTGCGGAACGGAACTTGTCATGTAAGGCCTCTGCCAGAAAGTGACTTTTTCCTTGAAACCTGGTTTTTAGAATAATTGGTCTACCAAGTAAACACTGTGATATGCATTTTTTAATGAAAAAAAAAAGGAAAAGACCTTAATTTACTTTGGGTTTTGTGTATGTTTGTTTGTTTTGCTTTTCAAATGAGCACCATGGAAGGATTGCTCTCTTAATACTGTATTTCTTCAGATTTAAATAGTTTGTGTCTTGAATGCTTCTCTATGAGGTGGGCAGGGTGGGAGGGGCAGGAGTTAGACCTGAAGGAAATTTGTAGAGATTCGTGGATTTTCTTTTTTGCAAAATTTTCTATTGTATGCCTCTATCATTTCTCCTTCTGGAGCCTCAACTAACATTTTCTTCTTTCTTTTAATTTCCCGGGATTTCTAGGAGCCCCAGTCATGACATCAGCAAGCACGTGGGAACATCTGTCAGCATGTAGCTATTTCAAACACATTAAAAAGTCCATGCTCATTTCCCCATGCCAGAGTTGCCTAACAAACTATAGCTTCGAGCACAGTGACAGTGACATTAATGTCATAGTAGAGGGATCAGCCAGCCTAATGGCAAAAGCCCCCTATGCATGTGTCATCAATCACAAATCACATGCTGGGGAGAAAATAAAATAATTACAGGACCTACTTTTCTTTATTCAGGCAATTCAGACAGTGGCAGCATTCCAATTTCCCAAAAACCAACGGTTTGCAATCATCAGCCTCTCTCTGAAAATGTATGCAAAAGAGGGTTTAAAACAACAGAGCCATGAAATTCAGAACAAAGCAACCACAGGTGAACAGATTAAATGGGGCACTATTGGGCGGTATATAAATCAGAAATCCAAACTGCAAACATATTCGAGGTTTATTATTGTTCCCCAATGAAAGAAAAGCTGAACTGGCAAGTTGATTGACACTTCTATACGCTATCTGTATGATTATACCTGTGACTTTTGTCTATAAAGCATACAAAGAGGTGACACTTTGCAACTCAATGGAAAATTTGATGGATATACCCAAACTGGGACGTTCAAGCCCTTCAACAATTCAAAAAGCCTGAATTATGCGAAGAGGCTATAATGCTGTATCATCCACACACAAAGCTATGTTGTTGTTTTTCTTAGTCATTACTATGAAGTCCTAAGCAAAACTGTTATCACCCTCATAGTTTACCTATTAAATATATGCATAATAGAGCAAGTTGTGAAAACAATATTCTCCCAATGATGAAATGGTGGGGGGGGTGGGAGGGGCAGAGATGTTGCCTAATTTCAGTGTTGAAAGGTAGTTGCTACTGATTTAAATGAATGTCTGGCTATTTTCGTTTCAGAAATACATTTTTTAAGAAGTCACATACTGTAAGGGTAATATTCACCAATCTAGTCCTTACCTGCTTGGATTTTTGTTATCTCTGATAGGATTTAGATAATTAATTCTAACTCAGATGGATTCACGGCCCTTGATATTCCCCATTTTGTGAAAAGCTCTTTCCCCAGATATTTGCAGTTTCCTTGTCATCAATGTCAGCTCTCAACCTAAACATTGATACAGCCAGGAGACAGGGAACTACTGGGTAGAAGAGGGTCATTCCCAGGCAAAGGCCCCACCCTCAAGCCTGGATACCCACGGCCCTAAATGAGAACAGGCATTCCTGTCTTCACTCCCAAGAAGTTGCCTTTTGGCATGCCATGCCCCCTATCCTGTGCCCATATAAATCCTGAACCCCAGGCTCCAGAGCAGACCAGCAGGCAAGGAGATGAGGAGACAAGCAGACGGACGGCTGAGCGATGTGGCAGAGAAAGAGAGAGGAGGAGGAACGTCTGAACACCCAGAGAAATTCGGCTGGGGGCAGCTGGAGAGGAGTTCGGCAGCTGGATGGCCAGGCACCAGGGGAATATTATCTACCCACTCCATTCCCAACTTCCGGTCCCTATCCATCCTGATGAGAACCACCCACACCACTCAATAAAACTCCTGCATTCATCCTTCAAGTTTGTGTGTGACCCGATTTTTCCAGGATGCTGGACAAGAGCTTGGAATACAGAAAGCTGGCATACTGGCCCTCTACCCTTGCAGAAAGGCAGAGGGTCCATTAAGCTGGTTAGCCCTCAAGACATCCACGCACAGCAAAGCTAAAAGCTCACACTGTAACACACACCTACTTGAGCTCCTTCACCTGTCTGTCTGCACGCTCCCCTCCTCTATGGGGTTTTGAGCAGCAGCAGCCAAATAGGCAAGTCACACCCCTGTCGTATGTCCTGCGAGGGGGATCAGGGAACGCCCCTGTTTCAATATCATCCCCAGGGACTCCTTTCCCGAGCACCTCCTAGCCAACACAGCCCCTTCTCACATCACACTCTGTCTCATTATCCTGTTTTGTATTCTTTGCAGACTTATTACCTGATACTACCTTGTTTATTTGCTGATGTTTATTTGCTGATTGCAAATAAGAAAATTTGTCTTATTCACCCCTGTGTCCCCAATGCCTAGACAATGTCTAATACATAACAGTAAATATTTGTGGAACAAACCAATGACTGAATGAACAAATAAAGCACCCATCCATACACACACACACACACACACACACACACACACACACACAGTGATAAGATTTCAAGTCAAATTATTCTGACACACAAGTTTATCCATGCTCTTCTGACATGAAATGTGGATCTGTTCCTCAAAGAAGAATTGGATTGTTGTTACTATCAAAGATCATAATGGAACCTATAAATAATGCAAAGTAAAATACATTACTAATTTAGGATAGTCACTGAAGAAAAGGAACAACACGGGCTGATCAGTGATGCAGGACATTGAATTCCTAGGCTGCCATCTTGGTTTCCACAATCTTGGAATCTGGCTGGGTATTCATATGTAGCTAAAGTTCACTGCCCAGTAGACGTCATGATGTGAAGGAAAAATCAGTCCCCTGGGGATTTCTAATCCCAGCATTGTGGAATCCTAGATGTCTCAGAACAGAATACTGAAAAGTGAGGCCAGGCACGGTGGCTCATGCCTGTAATCCCAGCACTTTGAAAGGCCAAGGCAGGTGGATCACTTGAGGCAAGGAGTTTGAGACCAGCCTGACCAACACAGTGAAACCCCATCTCCACCAAAAAATACAAAAATTAGCTGGACATGGTGGCATGCTCCTGTAGTCTCAGCTACTCAGGAGGCTGAGGGATGAGAATCGCTTGAACCCGGGAGGCAGAGGTTGTAGTGAGCCAAGATTGTGCCACTGCTCTCCAGCCTGGGCGACAGAGCAAGACTCTGTCTCAAAAAAACAAAGAAAGAAAGAAACAAACAAACAAACAAAAACACTGATTTTCTTTTATACATGTAAAATAAAATTTACCGTTTTAACTATTTTCACGTACCGTTCAGTGACATTAAGTGTGTTTACATTGTTGTGCAACCATTGCCGCCGTCTATCTCCAGAACTTTTTTCATCGTCCAAGATTGAAACTCTGTGCGCATTAAACAATAACTCCCAATACTTTATCTCCTCCTTCCCTGGCAACCACCACTTTACTTTCCATCTCTATGAATTTGATTACTCTAGGTACCTCACATATGTAGAATCAAATCATATTTGTCCTTTTGTGACTGGTTTATGTCACTTAGTGTAGTGTTTTCAAGGCTCATCCATGTTGTAGCATCCATCAGAATTTTCTGCTTTCTCAAAGCCAAATAATATTTCACTGTGTAAATATAGACCTCATTTTACTTATCCATTCATCTGTTGATGGACACCTGGGTTGCTTCCACCTTTTGGCTGTTGTGAACAAGGCTGCTATGAACACAGGTGTACCAATAGCTGCTGGAGTCCTTGCTTTCAATTATCTTGGTTATATAACCAGAAGCAGAATTGCTGGATCATATGGCAATTTCTTGTTTTTTGAGGAACCACCATTAGATTTCCCATGGCAGCTGCATCATTTTACATTCTAGCCAACACTGGTTTCTAATTTCTCCACACCCTCACCAACACTTGTGATTTTTTGGGAGTTTTTTTTATTAGCCATCTTAATGGGTATGAAGTGGTATCTCACAAAGGTTTTGATTTGCATTTCCTAATGATTATTGATGTTGGGTATCTTTTCATATGCTTATTGGCCATTTATATATCTTCTTTGGAGAAATATTTATTCAAGTCCTTTGTCCATTTTTGAGTGATATTGGGGTTTTGTTGTTCTTGAATTCTATGAATTCTTTATATATTCTGAATATTAATCACTTTTCAGACATATGATTTACACATATTTTCTCCCGTTCCATGAATTGCCTTTTCATTCTGCTGATGGTGTCATTTGGTGCACAAAAGTTTTAAATTTTGCTGTAATAAAAAGCATCTTTTAAATGTATGGCTAAGCTGGAGAGAAAGAAGGGGAAATTCTTAAAGCCATATATGATAGGAAATCCCAAATCCAAAGAGATAACCAAACTTGAGACCACTGTTTGCCTAGTGGGTACATGTCAGTTCCCAGATATTTAAATCTTGGGGAGGTTATCCACTCACAGGTGGTGAGAAAGGAAATAATACCTGGGGTCCGACAAGACAGAGGTCATATCATAAAGTCAAGACTCTGAAAAAGTGGTACCCTTGATGGGTGTATTTTTGGGGGGTTTGTTTGTTTGTTTTGAGAATGAGTTTCACTCTTGTCACTCAGGCTGGAGTGCAGTGGTGCGATCTCGGCTCACTGCAACCTCGGCCTCCCGGGTTCAAGTGATTCTCCTGCCTCAGCCTCCTGGGTAGCTGGGATTGCAAGCGCATGTCACCACACCTGGCAAGTTTTTGTATTTTTAGTAAAGACAGGGTTTCACCATGTAGGTCACGATGGGTGTATTTTTTAAAAAGGTTTCTGAGAGGTGGCTGGTGGGAATACTTGCATATCTCACCCTTGTGTCTGGTTAGAGCACGAAAAAGAAAATTCTCACCCCAATAATTTCTAACCATAAGCCAATTTGCATGCATATTTGGAGCTGCAATTCATTACTGCTGGGACCCAAAAAATTCCAATTACAAATTTACTTCGAAGAATCTTAGTTGGTGAACTCACAAATCGACTCTGGAAAAACACAGTTTGGACCTCAAAGAACAATTAAATTGCAAGGAACATGAGTTCATAATCACTAGACACACAAGAAAACAAGCTACCACCAGTGAGAGCTAGCAGAAATAGCAACCATAGAATCAGGCCCACAAACCTGCAGATATTGGAATAGTAAGACGGTGACTAGAAATTAAAGGTGTTGTATGTGTTTAATGAACATTTTTAATGTTTTCAAAATTATGATGATTAAGATATTATCAAAGATTACCAAAAGATTTCTATAAGATCTAGGTAGAGTTTCCAAAAGGTAGAATTGGAATTGAAAAAAAAAATCAGCAGATAGGTAAAAGTGCAGCTTAAAAACAGCTGAAGAGAAAATATGGAAATTAGAAAAGCAAGATGAATAAATTACCAAGAATGCAGCAGACAGAGTCAACAAGAAGGAAAATATGAAAGAGAGGTTAAAAGACTTTGTATAAAAATTCTTAAGTGTGTATATATATTACTAGATTCACAAACACATAGATATATGTAAAATGCATAGACAAAATCTAGATGCAGGAGAGGCCCCTTACAACTTTATGCATTTTGCATTGTTTGAAATTGTTTATAGAATAGGCCTGCATTCATTTTATAAATAATATATAGAAAATGCCCCAAAATGCATCTAAAGGATCTGAGCGATGTAAACACATAAGAAAAACAAAAGAGAATAAGATGAAGGTCATGGGGGAAAAAAAATCAAGTGTAAGATGGTATAGGGAGATCAAAAAAAACTCAGTTTGGGGGAAAATGTAAGCAAAGAAATTAGGTGAAATGGAAATGTGAAAAGAAAAACACTGAGAAACTGGGAAACTGGAACACCAAAAGGTCACATAAATTTTGCTCCTATTTAAGTTTCGTGACCAAAAAAAAAAAAAAAGGATCTTTTATTTACTGGTTGTTTTGTTTTTTTAATGTCTGCTGGTTTGTTGCCAAAGCTCTAGATTTTTCTGCAGCTAATTAAGACCCTTGTCTGGAGTTGGACCCTGGAGATAAAGGTCAGAACTGCCGGTGGGGCTCTCAGTGTTTTTAGCTGTTGTTCTTTGAGCTCCTAAAAGCTTAACTCCTCAATTACCAACCTGAAAAATGGTGCTGCTCTTTTCTGAGACAATACCCTCTGTTTAAATCTTTGCCCATTTAACCCTTCATTAACTCATTGAACCCCTATGACTGAATTTACATGTTTATTTCTTGCAGCTTTGGTACCTTCTAGAGATAATGCCGCCTGGGAACATCGTTTCTGTCTCTCCTATGGCTAGTTAACATCAGGACCCTGATCTTCCAAATCGCCACAGCTTTTTCAGGATTAAATGCCCTGTGAGGAAGGTGTTAATCAGAGCAACACCTGAAACAATTGTAGTCTAGGTACCGTCTCAAATCTGGAGGTAAAAGCAGCCTGAACATATCCAGTGGCTCCCAGGCATCAAAAAAAGGTTATGAAAACTGAACAAGGAAACTGGCAGGAAAGGACTAGGCAGGAAATGAGGTAATAAGTCACATAAATCCTAACATCTACCAATGTCTGTGTTTAAGAAGGAAATGAAAGAAAATAAAGGTGCCCCTCTGTACTGTTTAATTTATAGCAGAATATGAAAACATTCTGCTAATGCAATTTTCTAGAGATTCAGTTGCACAACTGGTTATTAAATCCTCCAAAGAAAATGTGAACTAATTGTATGGCTAATTAACATTTTGGCCTAAAAATATTATAGCCAAGATCACTTTATTCTTAGCTGGTGAAAAATAATCTGATCCCCTATTGAGGGCCCCTCAAAGCCTGCTTGGGCATATTTACAAATCTCTTATCTTATTCTCAAAGCTATTTGGCCCTTTTGTTCCAATACAATAGCCCCAATATATCAGACCATCTCTATTTGTGTAAAGATACATGGAGTATTCACTTCTTCTCCGCTATGTGAATTTTCATTTTCATTAATGGCTTTACACAAAGGTAGAATAGGCAGCTAACTAATATTGTGATTACAGGGAGTTTCTCTGAAATCTCTCTCTCTTTTTTTTTTTTTAAATTTGCTTTGTTTTCTTGTTGTTGTTTGAGACAGGATCTTGCTCAGTCACCTAGGCTGGAGCACTGTGGCAAAATTACAGTTTACTGCAGCCTCAACCTTCCAGGCTCAAGTGATCCTCCCACCTCAGCCTTCCAAGTAGCTGGGACTACAGGCATGTGCCACCACACCCAGCTAGTTTGGGCATTTTTTGCAGAGTCAGAGTTTTGTCATGTTCCCCAGGCTGGTCTCGAATGGGCTCAAGAAGTAATCTGCCCACCTTGGCCTCCCAAAGTTCTGGGAATTACAGGTGAGAGCCACTGCACCCAGCCTTCCCGTAATCTCTTTAAAAACTCTTCTGCATCCAGGTTCCAAAACACCTGAAACACCACCACAGAAAAGACATATTGCTTAAAACAGAATTTTGAGTTAAGAAATTTCTTTTCTAAGGTCTCCTTTAAAACAAAAAATCTTCCAGGAGGAATGACATGTAAGTCACTAGCACTACAGCTTGAATTAATGCACCAGGGATGCCAATTGCCTGAGACCAAGAGGCAAAAAAACCCATCACCACCCTGTGCTTCAGTACAATATGAGGTGCTTGGGCCAGATCCAAATGTCTTCATCAGGATCGGGGCTTTAGGTGAGAGCGGACTGGAAGGATCTCCTAGAGTGGACTCTGCCCTATCACCCACCACACATGTCCCTCCTCCCCTTCCTACTGCACCCTCATCGCCTCGCCCATCAAAACTGGCATGCCATGGACTGTAGCCAAAAAATCTGAAGAATGCTTCCAGCAGTAACATTTGACAATGTCTATGCTTCTAGAATATGATTCCAGGGTTCCTAACTTTCTATAGTTATGAACTTTTTTGGTTATCTAAGGAAAGCTATGAACCCTATACCACTCAGGGTAACTTTAGTTGCTGTAAGAAACCCACCCAAATTGTACAGTGGCTCAAATAGGATGGAAGTTTATTTCTCACTCATGTAAAGTCCAAAATGAGTGCTTCTGCTCAGCTGGTGGCTCTCCACTAAGTGGTAATTCAGAAACTCCAGCTCTTTCCCATCTATGACTCTGCCAGCTTTAACACTTTCAAGGTCACCCCACTCTTAGGCAGTGAGCCAGCAGAAGGAGAATGGGGGTCTGGGGGTGGAGTAAAGGCCAGGCCTAGAAGTGGCATAGAAAGCCACTCTGGTCTCTTCCATGTATGTTGCAGTTTGGGTACATGAAGTTAAAATTTCCCCGCATTAGATCCTTCCTTTTCTGAATAGCAATGGCCTGGAAGACCTGAGCACCTGGTGCATCTGGAGCACGGAAATGGGACAAAGGATTCAGAAATGGGAGAGGAGGAGGGGCAGAACCATGCTCTACTGCTCAGGATTTTACTTGGGGTCAATTTTCCTTACATCAAGTCACAGGATAAATAATGGATCCCCTATTCGTTTCCAAAGGAGATGTCAGCCCCTGTATGTGTGCATGTGTGCATACACACACACATCTTATTGGATGTTCTCAGATTTATGTGCACATAATATTCATATTAGTCATGCATATTCATTGTGTATTTATCAGCCATGCATATTAATCATATATATTATACATATTATGTAATATTTATATAGTTGATCATACATGTTATATATAAGTATAAAGATTTACATATCTGATAAATAGATATGTATCTGGTTTACATCTCATGCTTTACATCTTAATGCATAAACAATTGTATTTGGTAATGACCATGATGATTCCTCTTTCATGAACTTGTTCTCTACCTGCTTTAGGAGGCACTTCTATCTAGAGGGACAAACGCCATACATTCAAACTTACCACAGTAAATAATGTATCAGAAAACATTTAGTATAGTAAATTGACAAGAGTCATGGAAAATGTTGTTAAAGTGACAGTTCTACTTAGAATGTTCTGTTTATGTGTGTAATTTTTCAAAGAACATTTTGACAAATACACAGGATTATGTCCAAATTACTGGTGTGTCTGCATTCTCAAGCTGTTATTCAAACAATGGAAGTCAAGTTTTAAAGAGATTTTCAGGATCTGCTGAAATGCTTCTCTGCATTAAATGTGAATACAGAATAAAATAATGTTTAAACAGAATACAAAAATAACTATTGTGACATTCATTTTAACAGGAATTTTTTAAAAGAAAAAAAGAAACCAGAAACAACTGAGCAAAAATTCCGCCTACTCTGCCCTTGTGTAACTTCTCAAACTCTCTCATTATTTTCCTCTGCCACTTTTTTCCCAAAAGAAAGTGAGTCCAAAACACCTGCTTCAGAAGTTTTGGGGCCTTTACAAGTTGATTGAATAGTTGTAACCCTCAAAGGGAAAACGTTGGGAGATAACATTCTGAATCTGCCCCCTGGTCCACCACCCACTGTCCACCATAGTGAACTACACAGGCCACCTATTTCCAGAAGAGCAATTTGTCATCACAGGTGATAGGAAAATATGAATATGTGCTTTTGAAAAGTAGCCATCTCAGATGTTTCAAGGTGCAAGTGTACGTGTGTCTATGTGTTATAAGTCCAACTAAAAAACATTTCCCTTCTTACAAAATAACAACAGTTGTGTTGTCTTAGTCTATTTCGTGTTGCTATAACAGAATACCTGAAACTGGGTCGTTTATAAAGAGGTTTATATGGCTTACAATTCTGCAGGCTGGAAAGTTCAAGATTAGGCAGCTGCATCTGGTGAGGGCCTCAGGCTGCTTCAACTCATGGTGGGAAAGAGATGGGGAGCAGGTATGTGCCAAGAGATCACATGGCAAGAGAGAAAAATGCTGGGTGGTGGTGCTGGGCTCTTTTTAACAACCAGCACTCCCAGAGCTAATAGAGCAAGAACCCACAAGGGAAGCCATTAATCCATTCATAAGGGCTCTGCCTCATGAACCAAACACCTCCCAATATTGCCACATTGGGGATCAGATTTCAGCAAGAGGTTTGGAGGTGACAAGCATCGAAATCTTAGCAAATATAGACATACTACTTCTTCAAGTACATTACTCGGACATTTTAGCTTTTTTTTCAAGACTCTTTTAATCATGTGCACCTTCATTCATATAAAACAGAAGAACCTAAACAACTTGCTTATTAGGTGCCAGGAGCTGTGCCTCATGCCTGTAATCCCAGAACTTTGGGAGGCCAAGGCAGGCGGATGGATCACTTGAGGTCAGGAGTTTGATACCAGCCTGGCCAACATGGCAAAACCCCGCCTCCCCTAACAATATAAAAATTAGACAGGCGTGGTGGTGTGCACTTGTAGTCCCAGCTACTCAGGAGGCCGAGGCATGAGAATCACTTGACCCTGGAAGACAGAGGTTGCACTGAGCTGAGATCACACCATTGCACTCCAGCCTGGGTGACAGGGCAAGACTCTGTCTCAAAACAAACAAACAACTTGCTTATTAGATATTATAACCACTATTGAGGTGATTTTTTTTTTCTATTTTAAATTCTCTATTTATTCAAAAATGAATCTTGAAATTCCCAGTGTGGGGTCTTTGCTAATACTTGTAGAATATCAGGTCAGGTGCTTTGGTTTTTTTTTTTTTTTTTAAGTAATAATGCCTTGCTTCATTTCACACCTTTAACCTTGACATAAATACATCCCTCGATGAGATACTTTATAGATGAGAGTTTAATGAAACTTTTTAAAAATATTGTGTAATTACTTAGCTGGGAGTGGTGGTTTATACCTGTAATCCCAACACTTTGGGAGGCTGAGGCGGGCAGATCACTCGAGTTCAGAAGTTCGAGACCAGCCTGGCCAGCATGGTGAAGCCCCATCTCTACTAAAATAATTAGCCAGGTGTGGTTGCGCACACCTGTAATCCCAGCTACCCAAGAGGCTGAGGCATGAGAATCACTTGAACCCAGGAGGCAGAGGTTGCAGTCAGCCGAGATCACACCACTGCATTGCAGCTTCAGTAATAGAGCAAGACTCTGTCTCAAAAAAAAAATTAAAATTAAAAATAAAATATTGTGTAATTATTTAAATATTTTTAAGTTATGGTTGTATAAGATTCATAATAAAGAAAATTTTGAAGAAATATTTTACAATAGATCATTTCACATGAAAGTAATTCTCTCCCATTTTATGAATTTTTACTTAATGACTTTCATTTTGCCAAGCTTCCATAGAAGTAAAGCCACAGGCATTGATATTTAGCAAGCAGAAGTGTTTTATTGGTCAATTTCTGCACCAACATGTGATTTCTCTACGCTATTGTAGTAAGTGGTGGCTATAACTCACTCTGCATCTAAATAGGCAAGCCACCATGGAGGGGTGCAGTAATGGGGCCACGGGGTGACCAGTCATTTGGTCAAACATTATTCTGGGTGTGTCTGTGGCGGTGTCTCTGGATGAGATTAACATTTGAATCAGTTGGCCAAGCAAAGCAGATGTCCTTCTCCAATATAGTGGGCCTCGTTCAATCCACTGAGGCCTGAATAGAACAAAAAGATGGAGTAAGAGAACTCACTGTCTCTGCCTGACTGCCTTTGGGCTGAGATATTGGTCTGCTCCTGACTTCAGACTGGGACTCTGAAACTGACACCATCAGTTCTCCTGGGTCTCCAGCTTGCTGATTGCAAATCTTGGGTCTTCTCAACCTTCATAACCAAATAACCCAATTCCTTAAAGTAAATTTCTTTATATATATATTATATATATATATTTTTATATATATTATATATTTTTTTATATATATACACACACATATATATACAAGCACATATAGGATGGATATATATATACACATACACACATATAGGATATATAATGTATATCTATATACACATTATATGTAATATATACATATATAGGCTATATATATACTCTATATATATTCTATTGGGTTCTATTTCTCTATGATATATATATCATATATATCATATATCATAGAGAAATAGAACCCAATAGAATATAGAGTTCTATATCTATATCACATATGATATATATATCATAGAGAAATAGAACCCAATAGAATACAAACACAAACACACACACACACACACACACACACACACATCCTATTGAGTTGTATTTCTCTGGAGAACCTTTTGTAATACAAGTACCTTTGT
The DNA here is from genome assembly GCF_000001405.40 of Homo sapiens. Classification (NCBI taxonomy): domain Eukaryota; kingdom Metazoa; phylum Chordata; class Mammalia; order Primates; family Hominidae; genus Homo; species Homo sapiens. Next base: position 24,548,033 of record NC_000018.10, on the reverse strand, counting down.
CATTTTTTGTGTCCTCCAAATATTAGCTGGGTGAGTTCATCTTTCCCTTAACCTCTAGGTTAAAGTGATTCAAACCTACGTTTTATGGATTGAGGAGGTACAAAGCTGACCTCAAGTGTTCAGTGAAATTGATAAACCTGGGGCAAGGAGGGTTTTCTGCATATAGTTCAGCAAGAGCTTCTCCTGATGGAGAACGGCTCATGGTTCTCCCCAGGTCTTGCTTAGGCCACCCTGCTTGTATTGTAACACTCTTCTGGTGGGGACAGTGTACCTTCATTTCTTCAAAACTCCACCTATATATATAAGGAACTGGTATTCATGTGGAGAGCTCAATGAAGGGGTCTTTATACCTGTAGACTTCCTTATTCTCATAAGTCTTTGACCTGCCCCCACTGGGAATTTCCCTTGTCCCCTCAAGACACGGTGTTATAAACCTCTCCTCTATCTCCTCGTTTTCTCTCCTCTCTCCCACGTCCCAATTGTCCCCCTTATACTTCCTCCATCCCAGATCGATTTTGGAAACGCCACCTTTCTCAATCTCTTTGTCATGCAGAGAAATTCAGCTCCCTCTCTAGCCACTTCACTTCAATTCAGCTTTGTGTATCAGACATGTCTCCATGCCCATAAAAGGGCCTTTCACAAAATAAAATCCATCCTCCTCAACAAGTCCTGTGGACTGTGCCCAGCAAGAAAGTATTCCTTCTTCACTATATACTTGTTGGGAGCTCAAAATATTTTTCTCGTTATTATTTTTTGGTGAGATCCTTCTGGTGCATATCTTTAGAGCATGGATCATTTCAATGGCTTTTTGTTGTAAAACTTACATGTTTCCACAGTTGTTCTTCTAAGGAACCTGCACTGAAGGCCTTTGTCTCTGTGCAGATGGTATTCTACATTGCGGTAAGCAAACAGGTTGGCTGAAACAATATGACGTTGACCTTTGCTAAGTGAAAAGAGGAATTCCATTTGTGATTTCATGTCTGATACGCTGTGTACATTGTAGGTACTCAATAATGCTGGTTAAATGAATAGTTGTAAAAATTTGCTGCTGGTAAATAAATTCTGAAATCTTGGCTGCAACTATCATTTTAGATGGGGTAGATAAAAGTGATAGCTCAACATCCAACATTTGTCAAGGAAGATTTAGCCTGAGGGACAATGTTGGTAGTATGCAATCTAAATAGCACCACTACAATCATTAGTTGAGTAAAAGAAAGTTGATTCTGCTTATTTTTTTAATCTACACAGTATATACTCACATAAAGTTTAAACTGGTTTAAAATTGAAGTGATTTATATAAAAGCCCCACAAGAACAACAGGAAGTACATTCAGATGGAAAAAGTATAGTCAGCTGGAAATATGAATGTGCTTGGGGCAATTGTCTTTCTGGCAATCTTCATTGTATTGCTCTGAACATAGACATTTATATGGTTAAGGAACATGAAAGTTCCATTTGTTCAAAGCACCTTTCAGGGGTGTTGTTACATAATAGCTGCACATCTGGCAACGGCTCAAGAAACTAAGTATGACGCCATGTTTACGCAACCACCACTATACCATAGTCCAAATTCCCGGGTTTTGCAATAACAGAATCCAGCAAATTTTAAAAAATTAATTAGATGTGTCTTTACACTACATTTGTGTCCATGGAAATTTAGTAGCTATACCTGGAAATGTGACACCTGTGGCCATATTTCTGCTGTTGTGTCCACCACATCTATTAGGATTGTCTTTTGGGGTTATCTTGGCCACTTAACTCTCAGCTTTCTGAAACAGAATGAGTCTCCCTCCACGTATCGTGCTTGACAAAGAAAGGGTTTTCGAATATGCTTATTCCGGGAGTGAATGCTGTGATCTGAATATTTGCTCTTTGGGGCCTCTCTGAAATGTACAGTCACAATATCAAGTTCATTCTGCCCTTTCCTGAGTCAATTTATCCAACTTCATAGTAGCAGCTAGCCTTTTTGGAGCATGTGTAATATATACACACTGTGTTCCGTGGCCTGAATGTATTCTCATTCAATCCTCAGCACAGTCCTTCATGGTTGATAGTATGATCAGCATTGTCTTCAATCTGCAAAAGGAAAAACTGAAGTTTAAGGAAGCTAAGTGATTTGCCTGGAGTCACACAGCTAGAAGAAGGCCCAGCCAAGAATTAAGTCTACATCTGTTGGATTCCAGAGCTAACATCTGATCTTTGTCATTTCACTAAAATTCTGAACCAGAAATGAGCCAAAGAAAAAGCCAAGTGCCCATTAGTAATGGATAAAAAGCATCTTGTCTCCGAGGGCCTTGGAGCCTTATAAAAATTCAGGGAGTTCTTCACCTCTTCCATCTTTCCTGACTCCAGATGGGGCTCTGAGCTCTCTTGCTTGGGTTTCCAAGTGAGGGAATGAGGAGAGAAGGAGACATATTCCCGCCCCAGTCTGCACTAAAAGAATGGAAGTGGGCATGACAGCAGAACGGGTCATGCTTTCCTCTGGCTTTAAAATGCCATTTATCGACTGGGCTCCATGGCTCAAACCTGTAGTCCCAGCACTTTGGGAGGCCGAGGTGGGCGGATCACCTGAGGTCAGGAGTTCGAGACCAGCCTGGCCAATATGGTGAAACCCCATCTCTACTAAAAATACAAAAATTAGCCAGTGCGGTGGCAGGCACCTGTAGTCCCAGATACTCCGCAGGCTGAGGCAGAAAAATCACTTGAACCTGGGAGGCGGAGGTTGCAGTGAGCCAAGATCGCGCCACTGCAGTTCAGCCTGGATGACAGAGGGAGACTCCACCAAAAAAAAAAAAGCCATCTTTCTATAGCAGTGGTCCTGTAGTTATAGACCAGACTCCAGTACAAAACCAAGATTCTATTATGAGATATCCACCTTATCCACAGCCCTGGGGGAGACAACCATATTAATTAAATTTCACCGCTGCTGAATTCCATGAGTTCCTTCTATGCTTACCAGGAGCATCTACATGAAAAGCACAGGGTCTGTATCCAGCCAGAGTAAGCAACCATTCCATTATATAATCTAGGGGAGGCCAAAAGGCCCAGGGTCTCCCCTGAGGCCCCATTTAGACTGCTCTAGGAACTGAACCTTCCAAGGCTGCTCCTTCTCATGCCCTCTGGGCTGGGCCAAGCCCCTTCCTCCAAACTCCCACAACATCCTCTATTAATGAGTATATAACATCACACAGCAGCCATGAAGGAACAGCAAACGTGTGAGTTGAAGAGAGACCTCCCTATCCTGTCCAGCTCTATTCCAGCACTCCTGGGGCAGAACGTGCTGCTTGGTGAATCTGTGAGCTTGCTCTCCAGGGATGCTTAGAAGCAGGCAGCCATTCATCTGGGTCCTATGGGGACAGGGATTAAGGGGCTTCCGGCATTGGGCAGAATGTTGGAAGAGGTGACCTCTAAAGTGTGACTCTTCAGTTCCGTGAGTACTGTGCTGAGTCTTTGTGTGACGCAGACTCTTGACAATCTAGACTTCCAGACAAAGGAAAAATGATGGCTTTCACTCAGGTTTGCTGAGGATGATTTGCAAGTGCCCAAGCATCCCTTTGTCACCTAAATCAGATCATTAACCATGGTTACTCCTTGGTAAGATGAATTTTATTTCTTTGTTGAGTTGCTTATTTATAATCCCATCTTGTTTTGCAGAAGCTCTGGGGTGACTATAATGCAAATTGGACAAAGCAAGAGTGCTAAAAATGCAGAGACAGACCTTCAAATGCTCCCAAATTCTAGCGTCCAGCAGCCGTCCACAGTACTTATATGGAGCAATGGTGACATCCAGTGGTCAATTAAGTTACACCTGGATGAGGTTTGTGATTTTTTTTTTTTTTCCCCCAACCTAGAAATAATTATACCAGAAAAAATATTTTTTGAACAACTCAGTTTTGGGTTCCTCTGAACATCAAGAAAAGCCTGAATGTTGTGTCTTCAAATTCAGGATAACACTGGCCTCTGCCTCTCAGCTTGTAGCATTCATGTCTGCAGACAGTCTTCGCTCAAGCATAGAAAAAAGAGCTCTCTACTGCCTCATCTATAAAATGGAGCAGGCAATAAACTACCTGCCAAATTGGAGTCAGCAATGAGTTGCCACGGGAAGCACAGTGTGTGAGGATGGCCATAAATGTGTACAGCGGGAAAATGAGAGAGACGGTGTTCCATAAGTCAAACCAGGAACAAAGAACAGAAAGCTGAAAGAATGAGCCCAGCTGAAGGCTCTCAGACAGAGAACTGTATTAGGGTAAGGCCCTGGGCTTATTTGCTTTTTCTCCCCTGGCACTTAGCACAATGTCAGCACATAGCAAGGGCTCGGATATTTTTGACTCTTTGAATGAATGAATGAATGAATGAATGAATGAATGAATGAATGAATGAATGAATTGAGGATTTCCTAGGCATTATACCCCAAAGGATCTGCCAGTTAAGGATTTGGTGGGTCTGTCCAGCCTAGTTTGGATCTGGAGGTTGCACCTTGAGGTCACATCTGGAGATCAGAAAGAAGGATAGTTTCTGAATGATCTAAATGTCTCAGAATAAAATAGGCTGGAACAGCACAAGGTAACTGTGTGGGTTAAGCAGTGTTAGGAGCTAAATTGGTATAAATCCCATCTCTGTGTAGTTTGTACACTGAAAATCTACATGTTGAGTTATCTAATTTGCCAACTGAGTCTGTGGTGTTTGTAGCTGACCCACTAAGCAGTGGCCTGGGAGAATGGAACAGGAGCTTGTGACAAGCGACAGTCCCTAAGCTCATGGTTCAACAGCCAGACTTATCAGAGGCTGATCTAAACGGTCTTTTGCCCAATGCTCTAGATGGTTTTGCATAAGCTGTAACTTAGATCGTTTATCTCATTTTAAATAAAATATTCATAACTGACCCCTAAAATGATATTAAATAGTATTCAATATATTTTCTTTAATATCATTTTAGGGGTCAGTTACCTAGAAAGATATTTTTATTGTTTAGAGTCTCTTGCTACTAAATATGTTGATTATATTGACACAGTGCTAGCAAACAAAGCAAAATACTTAAAGGTATTGTCTAAATAATCTTATACCACTGTCCTCTAGATCCACCTTGGAGGGAAAAAAAGGTTAAAAGACTCTTTAAACCACATCAAATGGCATTTTTACATAAAATGTAAAAAATGGACAAAATGATCATTTCCAATTCATCATCCTATAACCTTGCAAAAAAATGCAATAAAACATGATATTCTTGGCAAAAGCATATTTCTGAATTCCAATTATACAAAAACACAGAGAAATCCAAGTCAATTTCTTCTTAAAGCTATAATTATATGAAAGAGCAGAAAGTCTTATAACAACAGAAACGCATTTGTATTAAGAAGATAATTCTTGGCCATTACCAGAAAATTGTTAATTCTTGAAAGAGCACATGTATATAAATAGTTAGTATAATTATTATACTTTTCTCCCTACATGAAATATGGTAATGTCAATGTTACAGCCAATAATAAATGAAAGAGTGTGAGTGTGAATTTATTTAATGGTTTTACTGCATCTTCTGTGCAGATGGGCTGCAGTCTAGATCAGAATAAAGATTTGTAAGAGTCGAGAATTGCTGAAATGATTGATTAGGAGTACAATACAATCTTCCTGCCCTACGGGGTCTCCTATTAGCAAAGTGCCATTTGCCCTCTGATGTGTTACATAATCCCCACAACTTCCCAAGCTCAGCATCCTTGAACCAAGTGGGTCCTCAGTTCTCACAAGTAATTCCTTTCAAGGTCCAAAAGCCCAAGTATCAGAGAAAAGAGAAACGTATAATCTGAGACAAAAGAAAGGGGCCATCTGCATGCTTAGTTATAGATGACAGCCACACCCTGTTACTTGATTTCATTTCGTTCCTTATATAACACATAAAATGCACTATACAGAATATAACTGATTTGAATGAAGGTCCACTAAAATGAATTTTCTCTGAGGTTTTTTTGAGGATTTCAAGACAACTTTTAAAATAATTAGACATACGATATCTTTTTGCATCTAAAACCTCTGCCTTGGTTTCTCATTGTCACATAGATTCTACTTCCCTTTTATGTCATATAGATTCTATTTGCCTTATATGGCACAGGCCATAGTGCTCTGACCACAATATACTTCTCTCCTGCCATTCCCTCACACACCCTATCTACCCCATACCTCCAGCAAAGAACACTCAGCATCCCAAACAAGTAAAAAATAAGATAAGGGACTCATTCATCTACATTTCCCAGATATCATCATTCATTTAGCAAACATCTATTTCACATCTTCTATGTGATTGGTTGTGAGTATAAAACAATGAAGAAAACATTGTTCCTATCCAAAAAACTCACAATCTGATAAACTTCTGTCACACAGGGCTATGTCTTCTTGTTTTGAAGGAAATAGGACACACACTATCTTTCCAATCACCAAGGAGAAAGAGGCTGAGGCCCAACAGAACAGCATAGGTAATATGGTAGCCAAAGCTCTCTACTAGAGAAGCAGCTTTCTTTGCTGGACACCATGGCTCATGCTTGTAATCCCAGAGTTTTGTGAGACCAAGGCAGAAGAACCCAGGAGTTGAGCCCAGCAGTTCAAGACCAGCCTGGGCAACATAGTGAGACCCTGTCACTATGAAAAATTTTTAAAAATTAGCCAGACACAGTGGCAGACACCTGTGTACACACAGCAGCACATACCAGCTACTTGGGAGGCTGAGGCAGGAGGATCGCTTGACTGAAACCCTGTCTCTAAAAAGAAAAAAGAGGGGAAAACAACAGAAGCTGCTTCCAATTATCAATCACATCCAAATGTGGGCCAACCCATGCCATTTACCGACAAAATAATGAAGGATTGGATAGAGAACTGGCCTTCGAAGTGCAGAGTGAAATGCAAGAGAGAATCCGGTGTCAGGCAGATCTTTGAAGGTCACCAGATTCTTGATAATGCCAGAAACAAGGCCTACCACGTGACCATGACGAGAACGATGACCAGGCCCTGGGACGGCCCTGGTGTGAGCAGAGTAAGCAGAGGTGAAACCTTGGAGCCCAAAAGGCCGGCAGAAGAAAGTGATGATTTAAGCTCACCAAGAGAGCATTCAGGTCCTGGGGTAACTGAGGTGTGAAGAAATACCAGCACTTTGGTAGCAAGAAGGGCCTGTGATTTCTGCCTTTTGGCAAAAAGCAGACACGAGAATTTGCAGATCACACAGATTAGTGGAACAAGACTAAGTTGACCACTTCCTCAATGGATATAGGGAAGGGATGACCAGGCTATGAAAGACTTGGAACCCAGCTCTCACTCCTGACCAAGATTTCTCATCAAGGTAAGGAAGGAAGGTGGAGGAAGAGAGGTCCCCAATGAATGACATAGCATCTCTCATTGTCTTAAAGCTACCATTTATTGAGCCCTTACTAATCCCCATGACCACCCAAGCAGTATTATGATCTCTCATTCTATTATGAAGAGACTCAGGCTCAGATAGACTAAGTAACTTGCTCAATATCCACACAATTAACCATGTGTTGGAGCCACAATTCTAAAAGCAGTACATCTAATCACCATGCTATGCTGCCTCCCTGTTTGAGTTGCTTAATTGGCCCCAAGTCTCATGGGAATGGGAGCTCTATTGCACATCACTAGGATAAGGGCAAATGCAGTTAAGCTGTTCTCCACATAAGATGCCAAGCAACACTGGTCCCAGGCTGACTTCACACGAGCTTAGCCTTTAAAACTAAAATAAGCTAGCAAGTGCTAGGATCAAAAAATAAATAGCTAAAAAGTGTCAACACTGATCAAAGAATAAAGTCAACAGTCACATACATTCATATCTAGTTTATACCACAGAGCAGTCATTGCTAAATAGAAATAACTCCTCTTGAAACCAAAATGCAGGATCAAAATAAATGAAAAACAAAACAGCTATTCTATTTTGGAAGTCAGTTATACAAGTTGGTTACATATGAAGGGGACTCGTTTCTGTATGACTAGAAGGCGTTGGTGGTTATTTTAAGTCTTTGCCGTGCTACATAGAGATTGTTTATGCAGCAAGCAGTTGCTACAGAGGCAGGGGCTGTAGAAGAAATGTGCATGCCTCAGCAGAGGCAAAGGAGTGTAGGGACCTGTCAACTGAAACTTGGTGTACTGAATAAAAATATTTACAGCACTACTTTACGGAGTGATCCACTTCCAAGGCATCAACTGCTTTATGCAATATCGCATCACACTAAAAATGTTCCCTTCTGGGTCTACATATAGAGGAAGTTGAAATATGTTCTTATGAATATTGACATGATTGGAACAGATATTTGTAACTATACCTAAAATGTAGTTTAGGGGGCATAGGATTAAGAGTGCTGCAAACTGAAATTTTGGATATGTCTATTTCATATTGTGAAAAGGACCTCTGTATGCTTTTTTTTATTTCTTCCATGCCATTAGAAGGATATGTATGTTCTGCAATTTTAGGATAACGTTTTTGCTTTGCTGTTTAGTGATCTAGTGAAAAGACTGCACAGCTGACCATTTGTCTCTGAGGTGCATGTAGAATGTTAATAACCCAGTTATCATATAACTTGCATTTGTTTAGAAAAATGAGACAGATCTCTTTTTTATCCATTTAGTTCAGTAAATGCTGTATGTTTAATATATATATATATAAATGTTCCACCAGACCTAAGTTTCTCAGCCTTTGCACTATTGATCTATTAGGCTAAGTAAATCTTTGTTGTGGGGCAATTGTCCTGTGTGTTGCAGGGTTTTCAGCAACATCCCTGGTCTCTACTCACTAGATACCATCCCCCCAACGTGACAACCAAAAATATCTGCAGACATTGCCAAATGTCCTCTGGGAGGAAAATCACCCCAGCTAAAAATGATGCCTACACTATTCTATCAAGATCGAGCCCTGATATTCCTAAATTGTGGCAAAAAGCTATTGTCTTTACCAGAGGTCAGGGTGTTTCTGGATGAGCTCTCCTTATCTAAGCATCTCAAATGCACTACCTGGAGGTTTGGCTCTCACAGGGCTGAGAATAATGACCAGGGCCAGGTGTACACAAAGAGAATTTTCTCCTCTAATATTTAAGTACAGCTTTATTTTTGTTTTGCAATTAACCTCTGCTCCACAGCCTTTAGTACATCTAGTAGTGTTGTCAAGGAGATAATCTCCAACTAGTAGATAACAGGTAGGCCAAGATAATTGGCCCTTGGTTCCTTTCTGCGGCTCCCACACACACACAGTGGACCTTGCTGCCTCCATAAATCAGGACTGGCTGCATGATTATTGTATCCAAATAAGAAATTCACAAATTCTAGTCTCCTTTCCTTACCTGGTTTAGAACTAAAGAGACACATTTAATTTGCTTCACCAGATCAAATAAAGAGGAAGTCTGGCAATAGTGATAAACCCCAGAGATCAGCTAAATTATGTCCCAACTTGACATTTATATGAGCACACGCCTCTCAATCTCCAGAGGTGATTAGATTAAGGTTATTTTGCTTGCACTTCATGCACGCACATCCCTAAAGACTCAGGGAAAGGGGTGGATGGTGACTAATACCATCAGTGATTTTATTCAAATGTTTTGTATTGCCAATATGCTGCCTAAAATGTTACTTAGGATGGAGAGCTGCATTTCAACAGAGTGCACGCAAAGCCTTTTACATTTTAGCATTAAGGTTTTCACACCGGCTCTCACTCAGAGCCTGAGCAAACCTTTCTGCTGTTGGGACACAGGATCATTGTTTCATATCTGGGCAGCATCCCACATGGCATCCTCTACCTCCAGAGACAGAAATCATTTTGCTCAGAGATTTTGACTTAGTTCATTAACTCCAGAACCCTCAGGAGAAGGCTGAGACAGTGCACTGGAATGCAGATCGAACCACGCTGAGTCTCCTGTGTGCATGGGAAGGTGGTGAAAAGCACTCCTTTACCTCTACTCTGTGTCAAAAAACAAAAACCAAGAGAAAAATAACTTGTGCTTCATGAAAATCAAAATTAGAGCTGAAATGCCCAGTTGCCAACAGCAAGCCAAAACCAGCCTCTCTGTCCTGGCATGAGTTAAATCCAACTGATCGCATCCAGGGGTGTTGCATTTATCCTGCCTCAATTTGTTCTTGAAAGGAGAACAAGCACGATCATAAAGGATTTCAGATTTCAGACCTGATAGTTTGAGGAATAGATACAGAATACATCTCAAAATGTACTATCTATTCACGTGGAAAAGTAGTAAATTATTGTTTTGGGGTTTTTTGGTTTTGTTTGTTTGTTTGTTTTGAGATGGAGTCTTGCTCTGTCTCCCAGGCTGGAGTGCAATGGTGTGATCTTGGCTCACTGCAACCTCCACCTTCCAGGTTCAAGTAATTCTCTTACCTCAGCCTCCCAAGTAGCTGGGACTATAGCCGGGTGCCAACACATCCAGCTAATTTTTGTATTTTTAGTAGAGACGGAGTTTCATCATGTTGGCCAGGCTGGTCTTGAACTCCTGACCTCAGGTGATCCGCCTGCTTCAGCCTCCCAAAGTGCTGGGATTACAGGCATGAGCCACCTCACCCGGACAAACTATGATCGTTTTTTTAAAATAAATAAATTCCTCCAATCCAAAAGACATGTTTCAGCCTTGGTTAAAAAAATATATGGGTAGCAATTTAGTGTTATGAATTTTATAATTACTTTATCTGCAGCTTGTAAAATAAAACTTAAACCCTTTTAAATTGTAGAAATGTATATTGTTTCTCTTACTTCCCTGAATTCTCCTTTGCTCTTTATGTATTATTTAATCTATTCATAATAATGAATAGATTATTCATCCTCTATTTAGCAGAACTGTTCCAAATATTCTATCCTGTTGCTATTATGGTAGACCCTATCTAAGAACATGTGTTCCAATTTTAAGGTCCAAAAATACCTACAAGTGCCTATAAGAACAAAACACAAAATACTTTGGAAAGAGACATCCCTCATCGTGCCTAATCTCCCAATATCCTATTACACAGAAGTGTCAGGTGCAATGGAAACTCCATAATTCATTTTCCTCCTTTGCCTATATTTACCCTCACCTCAATCCACAAAGGATTTCAGCCAACTTACAAAAGTATATACATCACAAAAGAATAAAATAGTTGAAGGAATCAGGGCAAAGACAAATGAGAATAGAAAGTTAGTAAAAACCAGAGGTAAGATCAGAATGCAGACAAACATAACATGGGGCCCTGTCCAGGTACAAGAAGTGACCCTGGAGAGTTCATTTAAGCTGCCTAATGGCCAAAGAGATGACAGAAAGACCATCCGTTGTGAGACTGAAAGTAAACTGTTCAAGAGCAGCCTGGTTGGATGTCAAGACCTGAGAGTAATCTCTCTGGTGGTGCCTCCTAAGGAGGGACCTCAACAGCATCTGAATTCATTTTTTTCATCTTCCTAACCTTTATCAAGGGAACGCCTAAGCCCTCTCAAGTAAGACATGGATGGTTCTCATTGTTAAAAATAATCACTAGGGAGGAAAACTTGGAGACACCATCCAGTGACTCATAGAGCTGCAAACGTTTTTCCTTCTTACTCCTTGTGTCTTACAGTTTTATTACATGCTTTTTGGTCCCCTTTCTGTAGCATGCTTGCTAACTCTCCCATCGTATAGATAAAGGTCTAGCCGCCCTAAAAACCCACTCTTTGAAAGTTGTGTATAACCTTGGAGCACCAGCCCCCAGATTGAAGAAGACTTCACATGAATCAGGACCTGCAGTGCCATAAAAACACATTTTGCTCTAAAATACACCCTGCCAATGTTCATGGAAAATTGTGCAAACTCTAGATTGTTTTACTCGTAGCTTCCTATAGTGCTTAAGTCCTACCTAGAATAATTCACCCTCAGTGAAACCTTTTTTGGGGGGGAGAGGACATATCATGGAAAAAAGCAGGCAACTGAGAGTAATAATGAATATTACATGCTCTTGTAAAGAATGTCTTCAAAGGAGGGGAGCCTTGCCAGCATTACTGAGTAATGATCTTTGAACACAGTATTAAAGTCATAGCATGAAGGAAGGGAGATAAAATATTTAATGACACCTGATATTCCCAGCTCTTGCAAAAAGCCAAGAACTGGTCACAGTTTATCAGTAGCTGCACATTTTAATATCATTAGACAACAATTTTTTCCAATCAGAGTAATAAAGTTACCAAAATCACGGGGTGGTAGAAAGGAAGGGAAATAAAGCAGGTTATAAACTGCTTGGAAATCCTGTCTTTTCCAATTGACTTTTAATATGAATGTGGAAACTGGGCTCAACAATCAAATGACTTTTAATATGAATGTGGAAACTGGGCTCAACAATCAATTGACTCACTTGGGTCACAGATCGGCCAGAGCCTCAATAAATATTGAGGATGTTTCTATAAAACAATCTTTGACAAATCATGTTCAGGACAAATCCTTTAAAACCCCCCTCACCTCCTGGGACACAAGTGTGGTCAGAAGTCCTTTTTGGCTCTAGTGTGTCATTGCCCTCAAATCTTCTAATCCCGCCAATATGAATCAGTTAAAGGAGAGTTACATATCTGGAATTTTGCACCAGGCAAATAAGTGCTTCAAGAGGATGGGGTGGAGGTAGATAAGTAGGTACTAGGTCGATAAGGCAAGGAGATCTGTTCTGTCACAAGAAGAAAACCAGGCAGGAGCAGTGGGCAAACAGAAACCAGCCCATGGAAGGACAATTTACTGAGATACCAATTTGCCTGGGTTCTCAAGGAATATTCCTCTCGTCCTCCGCTGCACCATCCCCCTCCAAATAGCAAGGTCCTTACTGTTCTTGCCACAGAAATTTGAGAAAATATAAGCTACTTAGAGTCTACTTGGAGCCAATTTTTTTGTAAAAGCCTGCGTTGTTTTGTTTTAAGATACAGAGTATATCAATTTTCTAGGACTGCTATAACTAAGGCCACAGACTGGGCAGCTTAAACAACAGAGATTTATTTTCTCACCGTTTTAGAGGCTGGAAGTCTGAGGTCAAGGTGTCGGCAGGGTTGGTTTCTTCTGAAGGCTCTCTCCTTGGCTTGCCTGGTGGCTGCATTCTTGCTGTGTGTTACATGCTCATCTCTCTGGGCTGCATCTGTCTGGTGTCTCTCCCTGTGTTCTAATCTCCCCTTCTTACAAAGACACCAAGCTTATTGGATTACGGCCCACATGGATGACCTCATGTTTACTTAATTACCTCTTTAAAGGCCCTATCTGCAAAAACAGTCACATTCTAAGGTGCTGTAGCACTTCAACATACGAATTTGGAGGAGCCCAAAGTTCAGCCCATAACACAGAGAAACATATTTTGGAGAATGAAGAGAGGCATATAAGTCCTGTGGGAAGCTCGCATCCACACCCGTTTCAGGGAGTACCCAGGGAGGTGATAAGACCTTGAAGGTGTTGCTCTGGGAGACACCTAGAGAGGACAGACCTAAGTACAATGATGCCTCGGCCTCCTTCGGGATTCCTGGGCCCAAAGACATGGCACACAAGTAGCAGAGCCTCCCGATCTGAAGGCGGGGACACTAAGAATTTCTGTGGTCACAGGAATAGGCTGGTGGCCAATGACCAGATGGTCATCCCTGATGCTCAGGCTCTAATGCCCAAATCCTTTGCACTATTCAGGGGTAGGATCCCACAGGCAGCCTCAGCAATGGCCAATATTGAATTTCTAGACAGCCCGGTGGATAGGGGCTCTGCAACAGATTTACATTAGTTTAAAGAAAACATAGAATGTGATATTTCTTGTTGCTTACAGAATGAATTTACACCTGCAAGAGTTATGTCAGGATGTATATAAAGTTTAGGAAAGAATAAAACAAAATAGAAACTAAGCCCATATTTATACAATAAGCCAACCAGGGCATCTAAAACTGCACAGAAGCAGGACAGAGTTTAAATTAAAAGGTCTTGGAGTACAAAACAATTTATTTGAATGTAAAAGGCAAAAGTGAGTCAGGTCTCTTGACCTATTCCAACAATACACTAATCTTTTCCATAAATGATAATAACTGTAGTTCTACGTACTAGGAGCCAACCCCATCCAATCACTTCAGCACTCTTTTTTTTTTTTTTTTTTTTTTTTTTGAGATGAAGTCTTGCTCTGTCACCCAGGCTGGAGTGCAGTGGCACAATCTCGGCTCACTGCAACCTCCGTCTCCCAGGTTCAAGTGATTCTCCTGCCTCAGCCTCCCTAGTAGCCAGGACTACAGGCACCTGCCACCATGCCAGGCTAATTTTTGTATTTTTAGCAGAGATAGGGTTTCATCATGTAGGCCAGGATGGTCTCGAACTCCTGAGCTCAGGTGATCCAGCTGCCTCAGCCTCCCAAAGTGCTGGGATTACAGACATGAGTCACCGAGCCCGGCCTCTCATTTAATTTGAAATTGTTATCATAGCTCTCCTGTGTATCTCAGTATTTTAGCATTATTTGTGATCTTAGGTATCTCTTGTTGACACAGTCCTCCTCCTTAAATGATAAACTTCATGAGAGCAGGATCTCTATTTTCTACTTCTTTTGGACTGCTTCATCGTAGCTAGAGAAATTTTGCTCAGTTAATTCCAGGTGACAGCAATGACCGAGAAGTCTTTCTTTTCTTCCCTCCATAAGCATTAAACAGAGCCTGTGTGACCTTTTGTATTCCTGAGACAGAATGGGGAGTGAAATCTCCCTGTTTTTCCATTAACACAAATTAAGGACATTTTCAGAAAAATTTTCTGGCAGGTAGCTAAGTTCTAGAAGGATCACTGGAAGAAAAAAGAGGTCTGGCATTGAGAAAAATAAGAGGAACCAGAAAAGAGGCAGATTCCAGAGAAAAAGCACAAGAACATAATTAGTTCAGTTTAGGGTAATACGAGCACTTGAAAGTCCTCTCCACCCCTACTCCCACCCCAACCCCAGCCAAGTAATGTGCTTTTTCTAAGCCCTGACTTCTGAACCACTAAAAAAATAAAACAGTAAAGCAAATAGGAAATTAAAACATCCCCATTATTTAAAATAAGATTGATATTATAGAACACAGTGTATACCTGCAGGCCAGTGGATTCGCTCAGGTTGAGCCCCGAATTAGACTGCTGCTTGTCCTCCCCACCCTGGGAGGACTGGGTGCCCTTTACCTCCCATGGTAGTGCAAGGACTTTCCCACTAAGCCTCCTGAAGTTCAAGAGGAACCAAGACCACATTCTCTCCAAGAGCAGCTCGCCAATCAGGGAGTTTTCTCCTCTCCAAAGTGGAGAGGGAATACAAAGAGGCTGAAAGTGTTGTACTAATGCACATGACTTCCCATAGAAGAAAACATCAGGAGTGAAGAAGATGTGTTCTCTCCCAATGGACATGTTGAACATAAGGTCCTAAAGACAAGCCAGTGGAGCCATCCCACAAGTGACTGTAGAGGGATGAGGGGGTGTTCAGGAGTGAGGTCTGGGCTGGGATATGCCCTGGTTATTGGCAGCGGACACATAGTGATGGAAACCAAGAACTGAGATGCACTTCCTCAGAAAGGGGATGTAGAATGTGAGGAAAGGGGGAGTGGGACTAGAGCCCTTAGGAAGATGAGCATTCAGGGGTAGAGAAGACAAAGAGAAGCCAGGGAAGAAACGAAGAAGAAAGCATCCAAGAGCTAGCAGAATAAAGGCAGAATGGTGTCGTGAGAGCCAAGAAAAGGAGAGAAGAAAAGAGTGAGTAATAATGACCAACTACAGGAATTGGGAATGGCTCGGGCAGTTGGCGGCCTGGAGAGCACTTCTACCCACTTCTGAAGGGTAGTTTTGAGATGACAACCTAATTGTAGTGGGTTGAGAAATGGATAGAAGTTGAGGAAAACCTATTCCCCGCCCTCAAGGAGAGGAGAGCTTGGTGGCAGCTACGGATAATTAAACAAGCAATTACAAAAGGCATGGTCTTTGACTTGGATTCATGAGTGTGTCCCCAAAAGTTCCAAAAAAATCATGGACCAAGCTATATGCACCTCATCTGGATGTGCATTAATCTGGGAAGAGATGTATAGCTTTCATAAAATCCAATTGCCTAACATGAGGAAACAAGAAAACAGGATACTAAATAGAGACAGGTCAGGATCCTAAGCCCTCAGAAAGGACAAGTTTATAGTTAAGGTCCTAGGTCATGGCAGCTGAACTGAAAAGAACTGAATCCAGAAAGTCAACTACATTAGTCCATTTTCACACTGATGTAAAGAACTTTTCTGAGACTGGGTAGCTTATGAAGGAAAGAAGTTTAATTGACTTACAGTTTTGCATGGCTGGGGAACCCTCAGAAAACTTAACAATCATGGCGGAAGGGGAAGCAGGCATCTTCTTCACAAGGCAGTAGGAGAGAGAAGTGCAAAGGACGAACTTCCAAACACTTATAAAACTATCAGATCTCTTGAGAACCCACTCACTATTACGAGAACAGCATGGGGGAAACCGATGCCATGATCCAATTACCTGCCTCCCTAGACATGTAGGTATTACAGGTCCCTACCTTGACACGTGGGAATTACAATTCAAGATGAGATTTGGGTGGGGACACAGAGCCAAACCATATTAACAACTCTTCCAGAGGTGTTTCACTAATTGATATCTGGGGGGCACTTGAGGGTTCAGGTGAGGAAGTCTTGGTAAAAGAATAGGAGAAACTAAAGCAATGAGAAAGACAGAAAGCCAGAGCTGTCATCCATGAATTTCACAAATATCTGATAAGTGTCTGCATGTCCTAGGCAGGGTGCAAGGCCTTGGATACATCCTTCATGGAGCTTACCTTCTAAGAGTTTTTGTGTTTAAAATTAGATGCTGAAACTTGAGATTTCGCAGGTGAAAACAGCTCTTTCACTATACCAAGTTAGATTTGCTCAATTATTTCATTCTTAAATCACCATGTTCCCACTTGGAGGGCAGAAAAAAAGAAAGAAAGAAAAACCATGCATGATGATTAACCCACCAAGCTGCCAGTTCAATCTCCCGTGCGCTCCTTTGAGTCATGAGGGAACAAGGAAAAATCAGGATGACAATAAAAAGAGAGAGAAAATTCATATGTTAAAACTTTACATTTCAACTTTGAACTGACATTGCAGCAAGGCTCTTTCCAGCTGCTTTGTCTGGCCATGTCAAGAAGTGACCATGATTTATGGTGCCACCTCCGTAATTTCAATGCTCTTGATCTCCCACCGGAAGCAGTGACAAGTAAGGTTAACTGCTGTGTAAAAAGACAGTATGACTAATGCTTCATGCACAGAGCTGGCACTGATCTACAGCGTGGGGGTGAAGTTGGGGGAGGAAGCAGGGATGTCAGCCATTGGTTAAATCCCTTCCGAACAGCAATCTCCCAAATGCCCTAACACCTTCTGGAACAGTCAGGACTTGTGTGGAAAAATACCCTGAATTGTGTTAGGATCTTTTGCCTTATCCTTGTTCCCTTACAAACATGCAAACAGCCAACTTGACTGATAATTACATTCTGTATTGTTAATAACAGCTAACACTAAGTGTCCGTGCCATGCCAGATCCTGTCTACTTGGCTTATAGTCATTGCTCCAGTTAATCCTCCTCTTATCAGCCCCCATGGTCATCCCCATTCACAGATGAGAAGAATGAGGCTCAGAAGATTAAACAGCTCACCCAAGAGTGTGAAGCCAAGCCAGGATTTGAGCCCAGATCGTCTGACTGCAGGAGACCCCTATTTTAGTCAATTCTTGTTTATTTAATCCCATCTATTTATTTTTACGTGTATTTTTTTTCTTTAGCCAGCATACATACATTTCTTTTTTTTTTTTTTTTTTTTTTTTTTGAGATGGAGTTTCACTCTTGTCGCCCAGGCTGGAGTGCAATGGTGCAATCTTGGCTCACTGCAACCTCTGCCTCCCAGGTTCAAGAGATTCTCATGCCTCAGCCTCCCAAGTAGCTGGGATTACAGGCACCTGCCACCAGTCCCGGCTAATTTTTTTTTTGTATTTTTAGTAGAGACGGGGTTTCACCATGTTGGCCAGGCTGGTCTCCAACTTCTGGCCTCAAGTGATCCACCTGCCTCAGCCTCCCAAAGTGCTGGGATAACAGGCATGAGCCACCATGCCCAGCCTGCTTACATATATTTCTAAAGGATTACTTGCTCTACCACTAGTGAGTAGACTGGGGTATGTGTCACTATAGAAAATCATTCATTTAATCTTCCAAAGCCACAGTTTGCTTTGGTAAACAGGATCTAGATCAAAAATTGTTGTATATGCAAATATTCTTTGAAGGCTAATTACTTTTTCATATGCTTATGTCTCATTTCTCCTAAATAAGGGAAAAAGAAAGGAGGAACTAACATCAGTTGAACAACTACTTCATGCTAAACATTGTTTCAGGTGCAGAAAGCCTCACAATAACCCCACCAGGTAGATATCTTTATCCCCATTTTATAAATTGGGAAATTGAGGCTCAAGAAAGTCAAGGACATTTTCCAGGTGTAACTGTGTGAGAGGTAGAAGTGGGCTCAAGGGCCTCAGTGATTCCTCACCAGGACTGACACGTACTACGGATCTCTTAGTAACTTTCAGTGTCTCATACTCTATTTTACCTACAGGTGAGCAGAAATTAAAGGGAAAGGAGAAAGAAAAGAAGAGAAGAAATTAAGGAGCAGGGTGAGAGTTGGCTTCAAAGATTAGATATCCCTGAAACACTGAAGAAATGGCTTCTCTGCTTTCCAAATTTCCTCAAGATCTGTCCTAAGTCTTATCAGGGAATGTTTGTTTGTTTGGTTTGTTTGTTGTTTGTTTTTGACAGGGTTTTGCTCTGTTACCCAGGCTGGAGCATAGTGCCACAATCACAACTCACGGCAGCCTCAACTTCCTGGGCTCAATCAATCCTCCCGCCTCAGCCTCCTGAGTAGCTGGGACTACAGGCTGACGCCCCTATTCCTGGCTGTTACCAGAGACTTTGGATTACAGTTGTCTGGACAACAACCTTGAGATGCTACAGAGTTTCTTGCCTGGCAAAAAGCCAAACTCCCTCCAGCTCCCGGCGCATGTACAGTACCTGTGTGAGGTTTTCTTTCCAAAGCGCCTGAGAACAAGGTCAAGGCTGTGCTGCTATTGGGATTTTGTCCCGCACAGTAACTCAGCTGACAGTGACTGGGTTCCTAGAGAAGGAGCTAGGGACCTACCTGCCTCTCTTCACACAAACATCGTCTCAGTCTTATCTTCTCAACTCTTTCACTGCACTGAAGAGTTCTTGAAAGTCAGTTCAAATCTCACTTCAAACTCTTTTTCACTTAGAGAAATAAAAATGCTGTTGTTTTTGTCTAATGGAAGTACTGTGCTGTGACTGGATCTGTAACAACGGCGTGTCAAAATGCCAAAAAAGTGTGTCAAAAATAACATTTAAAAAAACTCAGGGGAGACATGTTATAGTCCTAAATGAGCATTTTTATTTCTCTGTGTTGAAATGTGTTCGTTTCCTCTCCAGGGTCTTAATAAACCTCAAAGAAACACACAACACTTAATGAACACAGTTTCAGGGCCAATTCAGTTCTTGATATCCCATTACTGTCAAAACATCTCTCACTTGTATTTGTGAGTTCTCCTCTTCCAAGTCTTTCTCTTCAATTTCTTCTTCACCGGATGCTTATTTTCCCTAAATCTTGAACCTCTGAAGTATATGTATATTGCCATGAAGTTAATCAACTAAAAAGAATTAATTTCAATTTATTTTCTTTGTCATTGTTGAGGAAATATCATCAACTATTTCCTGACACATTAAGATAAAAGTCAAATTCACGGCAATCCCATGTTGCCAAGGGTTTGTTTATTTAATTTAATGGGCTTTCAAATAATATTCAATAGAGTCTATATAGGCAATATGCTCACCTCCCATGATTTGGCTGAGAAAAGATAAGAATATCTAAATTTTAGAGCCCGTTCAGCTAAATTCAAAGTATCATAGTGTTGGCTGGGTGCAGTGGCTCACGCCTGTAGTTCCAGCACTTTGGGAGGCCGAGGTGAGCAGATCACTTGAGGTCAGGAGTTCAAGACCAGTCTGGCCAACATGGCAAAAGCTGGTCTCTACTGAAAATACAAAAATTAGCCAGGCATGTTGGGGTGTGCCTGTAATCCCACTTACTTGGGAGGCTGAGGCAGGAGAATTGCTTGAACCCAGGAGGCAAATGTTGCAGTGAGCTGAGATCTCGACACTGCACTCCAGCCTGGGTGACAGAGTGAGACTCTGTCTCAAAAAAAAAAAAAAAAAAAAAAAGTATCATGGTGTTTCTTTGCATAATTTATAGAGGAAATATTTACTTCTATCAAGACCCATGGTGAAGATTTGATCTAACGCCAGGAAGCTCCTTGAATTTCCTGGTTCTATCACCTCATCCACTGCTTGTTGTCTACTTTGCTTTCTCACTGCAGAGGCAAACACATGACCCAGGCAGAAAAATCAAAATCAGGATGTCTCCATTTCCTGAGCAAAGCAATTGAAAAGCAGGTGGACCTGTGGCATAGCAAAGCCATAGGTTTTTTTTTTTAAGAATTATTTTAGGCCAGGTGCAGTGGCTCATGCCTGTAATCCCAGCACTTTGAGAGGCCGAGGCAGGCAGATCGCTTGAGCTCAGGAGTTTGAGACCAGCCTGGCTCTACTCTGTCTCAAAAGAAAAAAAAAATTATTTTGATAGTAGGAGGGAAAAGATGTAAGGTCTCTTCTTAGTTCAAGAAGAATGAAGAATGAGGTAAGCCTAAGTCTGGCACAGCTGGTGGCCGTTTTGCCTGGATGTGAAGAATGGCTTTCTAAGCATGAAGTTAACAAAGGTAGCCAAGAGCCAAAAAATAAAGAACAGTCTTGATCATAGTGTTTGAACTCATAGATTCTGCTCTACCCAAAGTCAGATCCACCCTCTTAGATTTCCAATTACATGAGCCAATTCATTTCTTTTTGTGTCCATGTTAGTTGAATTTTGCTTCTCAGCATTCCTGAATAACATACCTGATTCTTCCCACAGGTACCCAGAAAGAGTGTTTCATAAGCTAGAAGGCACAGTGGTTCCATGTGCGTGGGTTTTGTACCTTCCTGTTGCTATAACTGAATCCTGCAAAGATGCAAGGTGCTTTTACCCAGATGGTTTTCCCACAGAAATGGACTAAGATTGAAGATCTGCCCACTTCTCATCCCTTTCTGGTTTTTTTATTTCTTTTTTTAAATTTTTTATCTTCCTCATCTCTTTAATAATAACTTTTTACTGCAGGAGAGCACTGATTGCCTTCCCCATGCTACATTTGCTAGGTGTTCTGATACAACTATGATGGGGCAGCAAACAAGTACAATCTTTCTATACTACGCAGCAGTAGCAATAAGGATCAAAGTCTTTGAAATACCCATACCATTGGGATTATTCCAAAAATACTAAGAAACCCATTGATATTAATGGATCAAGAGCGAAAATCCATACAACTGTCTCCATAAATGTTGAAAAGGCATTTCAGGCCGGGTGTGGTGGCTCACTCCTGTAATCATAGCACTTTGGGAGGCCAAGGTGGGCGGATCATGAGGTCAGGAGTTCAAGACCAGCCTGGCCAACATGTTGAAACCCCGTCTCTACTAAAAATACAAAAAATTAGCTGGGCATAGTGGTGTGCACCTGTAATCCCAGCTACTCGGGTGGTTGAGGCAGGAGAATCACTTGAACCCAGGAGGCGGAGGTTGCAGTGAGCCAACATCACGCCACTATACTGTGGCCTGGGCGACAGAGTGAGACTTCATCTCAAAAAAAAAAAAAAAAAAAGCATTTGAAAATTTCTTTTTTTTTTAAATTTCAATATCTACTTTTAATTTTTTTGTCTTAACAAAATAGGAAAAGATGGGTAAACTTCCTTAGCATGATAAAATACATCTATTTCAATCTCCCATCATGCTTACTGAGAAAAAATTATACATAGTCTCAAAAAAATGAGAAACAAAACAAAGATGCCCATTTTATCAACTACTATATAACATTATAATGGGGATATTAGCCAATATAACAAAACAAGAAAAAGAAATGAGGCATAAAAACAAGAAAAGAGGCTGGGCACGGTGGCTCACACCTGTAATCTCAGCACTTTGGGAGGCCAAGTTGGGCGGATTGCTTGAGCTCAGGAGTTGGAGACCACCGTGGGCAACATGGCAAAACCCCATCTCTATAAAAAATATGAAAAAATTAGCCGGGCAAGGTGGTGTGCCCCTGTAGTTCCAGCTACTCAAGAGGCTGAGGTGGGAGGAACACTTGAGCCTGGGAGGCAGAGGCTGCAGTGAGCAGAGATCATGCCACTGCACTCCAGCCTGGGTGACACAATGAGACCCTGTCTCAAAAAAAAAAAAAAAAAGAAAGAGAGAGAGAAAGAAAAGAGGTAAAACTAGCATCATTTAAAATAATTTAATACTCTCTCAAGAAAATCCAAGTCAACTGTTTTAATAACACAAAGCTATTACTAAAACTAAGAACAAGCATAAGTGTGACCAGAAACAAAATTGTTACATAAAATTAATAGCCATCATATATTTACTGTTCAGGCAACTACTGATTATATTGTAAAATGGAAGAAAAAGACTTGATTTGAAATAGCAAAAAAAAAAAAAAGTGGGGGGCGGGGATAATATATCTAGGAATGAACTTAGCCAAAAGTATGAAAAATCTACACGAAGTAAAATTTTAAATGCTTCTAAGGGGCAAATAGACAGTAAATAAATGGAAAGACAACCATTCTCTGAAACAAGGAAAATCAAATTATAAAGATGTCATCTCTCCCCAAATTAATCAGAGAATTCAACACAACTCTAGTGAGCTGAGCATGGTGGCTCACACCTGTAATCCCAGCACTTTGTGAGGCTGAGGCAGGCGAAGCACTTGAGGTCAGGAGTTGGAAACCAGCCTGGCCAATATGGTGAAACCCCATCTCTACTAAAAATACCAAAAAAACTAGCCAGGTGTGGTGGCATGCCCCTGTAATCCCAGCTACCCAGGAGGCTGAGGCAGGAGAATTGCTTGAACCTGGGAGGTGGAGGTTGCAATGAGCCAAGATGGCACCACTGCACTCCAGCCTGGGCGACAGAATGAGACTGTCTCAAAAGAAAAAAAAAAAGAAAAAGAAAAAAAAATCTCTAGTGAAAACACATATAATTAAGAAAAAAACATAGGCAAAGCCATTCTAATGTTCCTATGGGGAAAAAAAAAAGTGGTCAAGACTGTTCAGAAAAATGTAAAGAATTTATCTGAAATGAAAAGCAAGAAAAAGAGTAATAATGAAAAAGAGCAATGCTGGGTGTTGACATATATTATAAAGCTAGAATAATTTTTAAAGTACACCACCATTCATGAAAAAAATACCAGTAGAACATAACAGAAAAATTGATAAATAGACCCAAATACATAATATAAATTTAATATATGGGTTTTTGTTTTTGTTTTGTTTTTTAAGACGGAGTTTCACTGTCGTCCAGGCTAGAGTGCAGCGGCACAGTCTCAGCTCATTGTAACCTCTGCCTCCCAGGTTCAAGCGATTCTCGTGCCTCAGCCTTTCAAGTAGCTGCAATTACAGGAATGTGCCACCACACCTGGCTAATTTTTATATTTTTAGTAGAGACGGGGTTTCACCGTGTTGGCCAGGCTGGTCTCAAACTCCTGACCTCGAGTGATCCGCCTGCCTCAGCCTCCCAAAGTGCTGGGACTACAGGCGTGAGCCACCGGGCCAGGCCTAATTTAACATACGTTAATGCTGGCATTTTAAAATAACAGGGGAAAGGTAGTTTATACAATAAATAGTACAGGTTAGCTATGTGAAAAAATAATCAGTTGTATCCCTATCTCACGCTTTACACAAAAACAAATTTTAGATTGAGCAAAAATCTAAGTGTAAAATATAAACCCATAAAAATACCAAGGGAAAATGGAAAAATATATTTAAACTCTCCAAGTGGGAAAAGACAATCTATGTATGTGACAAAACTCAGAACCCTGAAAATAAAAATTTTGAAAGCTGGAACCATACATATAAAATATTTCTGAATGGCAAAAACACACAAATAAACAAACAAATAACATAAACAATTGAAAAGATAATCTAGGCCAAAAAACACACACTTGCAGATGATATCACAACCAAAGAGCTAAAATTTCCTCACTGTGTAAAGAATGTCCTACAAATTAATAAGGAAAAAAACAAACAGCCCAAAAGAAGACAGCCTGCTCAGGAAAGGAAATAATTAGTGACTTCCAAAAAAATGCTCGACTTCACTCAAAATAAAAGAAATCAAAATTATAATGAAATAACACTTCAACCTTCTAAACTGGCAAACTTCAATACATTTGATAATAGACTTTGTAGATGGGAGTATAAGAAAACAGGCTCTCTCTTCTCATATCACTAATAGAAATATAAACTGATATAATCTCTATGGAGATAAATTTTGTAATATATATCAAAATGTTAGATGTTTGTATCTTTTAACTCATCAATTCCACTCCTAAGATCTTATCCTGTGGAAGTGAGATTCACGTAGCATGATTCAGTACAGCATTGTTTATTGCAGGAAAAAATTAGGAACAACTAAGTCTCCATCCGCAGGAGATGTACACTCAAACAGTACACAGCCATTAAAAAGAAAAATGCTAGTCCCAGCTACTCAGGAGGCTGAGTCAGGAGCATCACTTGCACCCAGGAGTTGGGGACTGTAGTGTGCTATGATCACGTCTTTGAATAGTTACTGCACTCCATCCAGCCTGGGTGACATAAAAATAATAAATAATAAAGCATGTCTTTACGCTGTGACACAGAATGATCTGCCAGATGCATGTGCTCATAATGCAAAGGATTTCTCTGAAAGGAAAAGCAAGAAACTGAAGCTGGACTCTTGGTGGCTGGAAGGTAGAGTGGGAAGACTTGGTTTCACTGTATAACCTTATGTATCTTTTGAATTTGTGTTTTATACATGTTTGTATTACTTATTGAAAATAATTAGGGAGCTTCCTGATAGCTTAACACATGGAGGTTCCTGGAGAGTGGTCCACTCAGGAGGGCTTGGAAGCTCCCAGCGCCTTCCCCACTACCTTGCCCTACACATCTCTTCATCTGTATCCTTTGCAATATCCTTTATAATAAACAAGTAAACTTAATTTTCAAAGATCAGATTTGCGACATGTTCAGGTACTTGCCTCCAGTCACACAAGTAGTTCTCATCAGTGTTACACTGCCTCGCGAAATCCTAGAGATGACCAACAAGTACATGATGGACCCAATCCACATCTTGGTGAATTGACTCTGGAAGGCATCAAACAGCCTTTTGTGGCAGTGGAAAGAGAAGAGTGGAAATTCGACATCCCATGTGATCTCTACGAAATGCTAACTGTTATTCAGGTGGTCATCTTCTGTAACACCAAAAGGAAAGTTGACTGGCTGATGGAGAAAATGAGAGATGCTGCTCTCACCGTGTCCTCGATGCACAGAGACACACCTCAGAAAGGGCCACAGTCCGTCAGTAAGGAGTTCCCATCCGGCACCAGCACAGGGCTCATTTCCACAGATGTCTGGGCCGGGAGGTCAGATGTCCCTCAGGTGTCCGTCATCATTAACTATGACCTGCCCAAAAAACAGAATTGTACTCACACAGAATTTGGAGATCAGGTCGATATGGCTGGAAGGCTGTGGCCATTAACTTTGTAAAGAATGACCAACATCTGCATCCTGAGAGACATTGAACAGTACTATTCCACTCAGACAGAAGCAATGTCTATGAACATCACTGATCTGATCTGAAGAAGCAGTTCCACTACTCTAAAGATGAGTTGGAGACTGTTCATCTATTTTGGGCTCCTGTTTGGAAATATTTAGGAGCAGCTTCTATTTAGTGGGGTTTATGTGGACTATCTTTACATAGCTCCCCACCATACACCCCAGGAAAAGCTCTGGAGATCCTGCCATGTCTTCTTATCCATATGTAATTAATGCATTGCTCCAAGTCTTTCTCACTAAACATTTAAAACTTTTCCCATAAAAATAATAGTAATTAGAATTATTCAAATTATTAAATTATTTTTAAATAACAAAAATAGAATATCCATACTTCAATGCAGGAAGATTATTTCTAAGACTCAATTTTAAGAAAATAAACCAAAATACAGAAAGTACATATACATTCACCACAATAGTTTTTAGTTCTTTTTGTTTTGTTTTAATAATGAGGAAGTAGCAACAACATAAATACCCAATATTAAAGGAATAAAATAATATTACATGCGTGAAATGAAATACTATGCAGCTATTAAAAACTATGTTTATGAACAGCTTTTAACAACCTGGGGATGTGGTTATGTGATAAAATTTAGTGAAAAAAATCAACGCAGATAATCTTATATGCTATGATCTCAACTACACAGAAATACACACAGGAAGCATGTTAAAATGTTAATAATTATCTCAGTGCAGTGGGATTACAGAACATCTCTTTTCCTCTGTACTTTTTCATAGTTTTCAATTTTCCCAAGATGGGGATGTATTTTTACTATAGTATCAAAAATGGTTAATAACAATTAAAATCTGGATGCTCTTGCTCACAAACCCTGGATCCCTTATTTACTAATGACTGACTCAGAGAAACCTCTTTCTAGGGCTTCATGATACATTGCACACACAATGGTTTTCTGTCTTCTAATAGGATCCTACCAGAAGTGATTTCATTTCATCTCCCTCTCAGTGCTGGAAAGATTGGTGCCCACCTTTTCCTCATCATGCCCTCTGCGTGGGACTGCGAGTCCAGCAGTATAACAGTTTCAGGAGTCAGTCTACTGGGATACATATCCCAATTCCATCATTTTCAACTTCGTTTCTCTGGGCCTCCCTGGGGATGCAGGAGATCCTCTGTGGAATGTCATTGCATGGATTAAATGAGATCCTTTGTGTCACATGCACAGCTCACAGTCTGGGACATAGTCAATCCTTAAGAAATATTAGGTATTTTGCACAAGAGAATTTGCTTTTCAATTCAAGACTGTGACTTCAAAACAGGGAGAGAAACTCTCCTAATAACACCTTCTCTAGCAGCTTCTCTGCATCCATTTTTGCCCAACAGTTTGAGATTCTGTCATATGGCTTGAGGTTTTGTTTGCATTAATTCCTCCTTTACTCTGCCACTGGGATATCCTTCAAGCCTTTGAAGCCCACACCAGCAGGAAGCCTTGGGGACTTTACAGACTTTGTGCTGATGCCCCAGGAAGGCTGTCTTTCCTAGAGAAGAGGGAATGAATTGGCGGCAGCGGAAGGTCAGAGAAACCCCATGACCAACAGGCCTCCAGAAGATTTATGCGTAACTCCTGAAAGGGCAGGACAATGGTTGGACTCCTTTAAGAAGAGAAAGAATTCAAACATTCACGTTGACCAGAAGTAGACTGATTTCATGGCTAAACTCAGACACAAGATTGGAGCCCAGATCTTGATTCTGAACAGCATTCTCCACTACAAGGAACTAGGGCTCCTTGAAGAAAATCTGATTCCCGGACTCAGTCAGAGAAAGTAAAAGATGGGCCTGGAATATTTTCTTGTGCCAGAAAGTAAGGAGGTGCTCAATAATGAGGACATGTCAAAAGAACACAGAGACAAACTTGAAGGGACTCGCCCTGGCCAAATCTGGGACAATTTGAGCATCAAAATAAATAATGATAATAATGGATGAAAACCCTTTAAATAAAATAAAACTCTAAAAATGTCATACTGATGAGAGAGAAAAGGCTCTTCTTTTAAATAGTAGAAGGCCAACTAATAAATACGGAAGGAATGATGGAGTTATAAAAGCATCAATGATGCAAAAAAATAGTGGTCATAGTTTGAAGAAAAATAGCACATTTATAAGGTCTCAAAATATCTACCAACAAGTGTCTAATTAATTATAAAGGGAAGAGTCGGGTGCTGTGGCTCACACCTGTAATTCCAGCTACTTGGGAGGCTGAGGTGGGAGGATCACTTGAGTTCAGAAGCTCAAGGCTGCAGTGAGTTACAATCAGGCCACTGCACTCCAGCCTGGGCAAGACAGCAAGCAAGACCCCAACCCTATAAAGAAAAACTAACAATTTATAATATATGTAAAGGGAAAAAAAATAGGTTTAGAGTGGGAAAACCTTACCCAAGTTATCAAAGTCATCACTACTAATGAGACATCATCTACCAAATTATCGGACTCATTATTTGAAATAAGACAGCCTGATATGATGCGTAGAGAAGCATATTACTTCTCTGGTACTTCTGCCAAAAATGTATAACCTGGATATAATCAGACAAAACCATACTGAAGAACATTCTACGAACTAACTGGCCTGTCACCTTCAAAAATGTCAAGGCAAAGGAAGACGAAGAAAGGATAGGGAATTTTTCCTGATTAAAGGCAACCTAAGAAACACAACAATTATATGCAACGTTTGATGCTGCATTAGGTCTTAGACCAAGAAAAAAAATAGCTATAATTTTGAGATACCTTACTGACTGGAACAATGGATGAAATTTGAATACGAATAGTGGATTAGACAATAATATTGTATCAATGTTCAATTTCCTCACTTTGATCATTGTTTCATTCCTAAGTAAGCCAATGTCCATCTCAAGTATTCTGGGGTAAAGGGACATGGTGTTTTCATACAGAGAGTGACAGAGAGAGCAGGAACGATATAAAGCAAATAGGAAAAAATACAAATAATTGATAAATCTACATTTAAAAGTACATGGGAATTTCTTCTACTATTGTTACCACTTTTCTGCAAGTCAAAATTAAAAGATTAAAGAAAAACAAACCGGGGGGTGGAGGGGGCCAGGGGGTCATGTGACATCAAAGACAAATGAGATTGACTGAATGCTCCCTCCCTCTTCCCAGCCCCGTATGCGTGCACACGCACACACACACACAGTAAAGCAAAAAGCTAGTTTCCTTGTCCTTGGCTTCTGCATGGAAAACTGTGATCCTCTTTGCTTCCCAGGCACCTCAGGAGAGATGAAAATTAAAACCCTTCCAATGGAAATACACTTTCACCTTGAGGCTCTCTTCCTTCTTCTCAATTAAAGAGTATTTTGGGAAACAACTGGTCATTTAGGGCCTTAAACACTAAAGTGAGTGCTCACTCCTTACCCCTTCCCTTAAAGAAGGTGGAGAAAGAATAGAAGCCTCTTGGAGAAGTTTGTAATTCTCCCCGGCAGGACGTACCGTGGCAGCAGGAGTGCACTGCGCTGGAGGAGGCCCCAAGACGGTGTGTGCGGGAGGGCGCTGGGTGTGGGGCTGTTCGCAAGCGGTGGAGTGAAAATCCTGCATCACGGACTTCAGGAAGAGATGTTGGGTCCCGGTGGCGATGGCAGCGTGGAACAGCAGCAGCCCATCCCCACACCTGAAGCACAAGTATGTAGGTGATTTCAAAAGGGAGGAAAGCTTCCGTCAAGGCAGCTTTCCTAGTATCCCAAGCTGCTCTAGGCGAGCAGCTGAATCTGCTCAGGCTTCACCTGAGATCTTTCTCAATTCACCTGAGATCTTTCTCAATTTTTCTCAATTCCACCTTTGGCTCTCTATGCCTCTGATAGCGACAGGAGGCAGCCAAACGCCCAGGCATTGGGTCCCAGTGAAACCCCACCTCCAAGCTGAAGACGAAGACAGTTTAAAGCCTGAAGGCCAAGCTACAGGTTAAATTCTCAGACTGGATTGAGAACTTGTCCTCCTGTTTGGCACGCTTTCCTCTGATTGGTCCCCACCCTTCACCTGTTTTACATATACTACCCTTTCCTAATTGGTTTTCTACATCGTTGTGCCCAGCTTTGAGTGGCGTTTTCACTTTAACCTTTTCTGCGTCCTCAGAAACCATCAGCAGGCACTCCCCATCCTGTACCTATAAAGATCCCAGACTCAGTTGGTAAAGGAGAGACGACCTGACTTTGGGGAAAATGACCTGCCCTTTCTGTTCCCTCTCCAGCTCCCCTCTCCACTGAGAACCATTTTCATCACTCAATAAAATTCTCCACTTTCACCACCCTTCAACCTTCCATGTGACCCCATTCTTCATGGACACTGGACAAGAGCTCGAGACCCACCCAGTGCAGGTAATCAGAAAAGTTGTCACACCTTTGTGCTTGTGGTGGGGAGGGCAGCAGCCCCACATGAGGAGGCAAGGGGCCAACCGAGCTGCTAACAAACCACTGTCCATGGACAGCGGAACTAAAGGAGCACTTTAACATCCACTGTGGGGCTTTGGGGTCACAGGCACCCTCACCTGGGTGCTGCCGCATTGCCCTCCAGGCGACATTCCTGGTCTGGCTGCAGGCCCTGCATGGAGCTTGTTCCTGTGTTGGCCCCTGGGGTGGCTGGCTGGATCCCGCAGTTGCTTGTTCACATGCTCCCTCCCACAGAGTTGAGCGCAGTGGGGCCAAATAGAGGGGGCAGTCCTGCCTTGAGTCCCGAGAAGGGGTCGAGAAAAATCCTGCATCACCTCAATCAACTTCCTTATCTGTAAAATTGGGCTAAAGTACCTGCATCATAGGATCAGCCTGAGAATTAAGTAAGATAGCACTTATAAAGTTCTTAGAAAAACTGGCACATCCTAAGTATTTGATAAGTTCATTGTTATTGCCATTATCATTTCTACTGACAATCCATCTTTGCCCTTGTTTTGCATGTTGTATAGTGGTGCTGGGCAGCTCCTCCCTCCCTGAGGGCTGTTCTGCCAACCTCACGACACCATCATAGAAGACTTCAGAGACTGACTGTTGCAGGTTGAACTGTGTCCTCCAAAAAGATATGTTGAGTCCCTAATCTCCAGTACCTGTGTATGTGACCCTATCCGGAAATAGAGTTTTTGTGGATGTAATC
Organism: Homo sapiens; assembly: GCF_000001405.40. Taxonomy (NCBI): domain Eukaryota; kingdom Metazoa; phylum Chordata; class Mammalia; order Primates; family Hominidae; genus Homo; species Homo sapiens. Next base: position 24,517,195 of record NC_000018.10, on the reverse strand, counting down.
ATACTGGATTTGGATGAACCCTAATCGAAGATGACCAGGGTCCTTCTAAGAAGAGAATAGATGCATGTGCGCGCAAGCGCGCGCGCGCACACACACACACACACACACACACACACACACACACAGAGGACCATGTGACAGCTGAGAGATTGGAGTGACGTGTCTGCAAGCAAAAAATGCCAAGGATTGCCAGCAACCACCTATGGTCTCCTCCCCTAGATCATCTAGAGAGAACACAGCCATGCTGACATCATCATTTCAGGCCTCTATCCTCTGGAACTGCAATATAATAAACTTCTGTAGTTTTAAGCCACTCCATTTGTGCTACTTTGTTATAGAAGCACTAGGAACCTATTACTCTCACCTTTGCTTTTCCCATTCACTCTACGGACTTTCCTTTTTAAGCTTCCCTCCCCAAACATTGTCTCTCATAGGATTCTCATCCATGTATTTGTGCATGAACTTCCCCGCATCTTATGAAATATCTGAGTAAATGTTTAGTCACAGTGGTCTTTGTCAGAAAACTGCCACGTTCTTTAAGGTTTGTTTTTGTTTTTTTTTAATTTGGTGTACATGAATTATTTCCCCACCATAACATATGATTGTCCAACCAAAGGAATTGACACAGGACACTGGATTTCTTTCTTCAATTCTGTCAGTGTTAGGGAACTATCTGTTGTCGTTGGAATCAGAAGCCAGTCTTGTCCTGCTGAGCCATCGTGTATCCTTATTTGGGTCTGGTCTTTCATAATCTTGATGTCCTAATATTCTCTCAACTGGGAGATTGACAAAGAAACCACTGTCATTTCACCAACTGATTATTCAATTCCATATTCCTAAATCTCATTTTTTTCCAGCTTCTCCGAGTTAAGCATTACATTTTATTTCAGCTAAATCACCCCTGTAATAGGCTGAATCTTATTCTGTTAGAGATTTTGATGACTTCTCCATTGATGGAACATAAAACAGTGTCTAGCATATATACATTTTTACAGTTTAATTCTGGGCTCCCAAAAGATAAGTTGTGAACCAAATGGGGAAAGAGATATGACTAAATAATACCAGCTGAACAGACTAAAATATGTAGGAAAAATTAAGCCTCTCTCAGTAAATGTCAAGTATGAAATTGTTTTATATAATTTTATTCATTGTGCCTATCCTACTCCCACAAGATTTCATTTGATTTTCAGAGATTGATACCATTATGTTCTGCATTCCGAGTATGAGATCAAAACATTGCCAGTTCCAGGCCAGAATTTCTTGCACTCTGATGCAGAACTTGCTCTAACAATGGTGCATGCCCCAGAACAGAGTGAAGTCTGTGATTCAGCTAGACCCTACCCAACGCTACTACTCCCTGCAGACTGATGTGTGTGGATAATCACTGTGTGAGCAGAGCATTGAAGAACCACAGTTGATCAGAGCAAGGGAGCTTAGAGGGACAGCAGAGGAAATGTTCCTAATTTTCAACAGTTATTGCCCCAACCAGGGTTGACTGGAAGGAACACTTCTGCTGAAGCACACACGTAGGCAGATGTGGCAGTGATTGTTCACCAAACCTTCTGCCTTTTCCTCCTAGATACACAGCTAGACTATATATCTCAGCCTCCCTTGCCAAGACATGTGGCTGGTGACTGAGTTCTGGCCACTGGAACATGGATCAAAGTGATATACTTGTTAAAGAAAAAAATTAATCATGATACTTGATCAAGATGGTAAGGAAGACTCTATTCAAGGTGGGAACCATCAAGATAGGTGTAGAGACCATTGCAGTGGGAGAGAGAGATTGGGCTCCACTCTGAATACAGGATGGGCAAGTGGGAATTTACAGCCAAGGAGCAGGATGGGAGCCAGCAGAATGCAAAGTTACTAAGAGAAAACATCAGAGGTAAGGAAAATTCTTGTTAGAGCAACTCAACAGAATTCTTGCTGAAGGCAGGCCAGGATGATAAGATATTGAGGGTGGTCAGATACCAAGGGTGGGGGACTTTCGTTAAGCTGACTTGGCAGGATTCTTGTTTAAACTAGATTCCACAAGGACAGAGAGGGAAGCCCGAGGTTGCGCCTAGTCGAGCAGAGGACTCAGAGGAGACTGATTCAAGTTTGGGTCAAAGGAGAGTGTCTTTGTCAAATGCCACTTTCAGGACTGGGCTCCAAAACCTTTCATGCAAACCTCCTTGTTCTCTCTCTCTTCCTTCACCTGCCAGCTGGATTCAGAGTACCCAGGGGGAAACTCCAAGGCCCTAGGGCAAAATCCAGCAAACATTTTCTATAAAGGGCTGGATGGTAAATATTTTAGGCTTTGGGAGCTATACCATCTCCATTATGACGGCTCAACTGTGCTGCTGGAGCAGGAAAGCAGCCCTTGGTAATATGTAAATGAATGAGTGTGGCTGTGTTCCAATAAAACAGGCTAGATTTGGCCCATGAGCTGTAGTTTCCCAAACTCTGCCCTAAGGAAATCACTCAGTAGAAGGATCTTGGGTTTCTGAATCCCTGTGTGGATTAGACTATCCCCTCCCATCTATTGAGCCTCATTGGCTGAGACGGGAATGATGAGTTGGCATGGGATTCTGCTCAGATTAGTCACTCAGTAATCCAGGCCCACAGAGGCATCATTTTAGCATGCACTTTCACAACAACCCCTAGTGGTGAAAGGAAGTATTACAAATTGCACACTTAAAGCTTACCCCCAGGAGTGGTATGTGTCATTTCCAGTCGCATTTCATTGACTAAAGCAAGGCACATGACTACATCTAGCTTCAAAAGGAAAGCAAAAAATAAAAATAAAAAAACAGAGAAATGACCAACCATATGTCTAGGAGAAGAGGAGAATCAAATTATTTGTGAATAACACTAATAATACCACTAAACATTAAACAAAGCTATCAGTCATTCACATCCTCAGTGCAAGAAAGCCAGAAGAGCCAATCAGATCACTATCCTCCCAAGACCAAGGTTGACCTATTAAGGAGAGGTGAAGTGGGTTGTGAGAACTCAGACCCCTGTGGGTAGAGCGAGCTTAGATTAGATGACTGTGTATGGTTTTCAGAAAGCAGCATTATGGCATGAGGAAAATGGGAAGTGGGGGGAGCTATGGAGTAGGGGAAGGGAAGACTCAAGGGCCTAAATTAGCATCTAGATACAAATTTGGCTTCCAATCCACCCAGTTCATTTTCTTCATAGAAATGACAGAATTAAATAGCCCACTTACAAATGATTCTGTGTTAGATTGAGCCACATGAGATTGACAAGATTTGACCACTTTTTACCTACAAAAACATTTTCCTATGGTCAAGCCTACCTTTATATTTTAAATATCACTAACGATTCACTTTGGAAATAGAATGGCATAAAACAGTTACATCACATTCATAGAGTTAGAGGATTCTATCCAAAAATATGCTCAGAACATTCAGAAAATAAAATATTCCTTGGGCTGGATAACCAGATCTAGTTCTTGAACATACTCCTAAGAGGAGCAGGAATGGCTATATTCTTGTCTTGATACTGCCTCTTCTACGGTTGCAATTCACCTCACTTCTAAACCTAAGGGAAAGAGAACTAATGTATACATTGAGTTCCAACTATGTAAGGGATTTGAGTCAGGGTCACAATTGAACTGAAATGGGAATTAAGGGTCTGGCAGCCCACCAAGCAGGCCCAAGGATCTTTTTGTCTGGAGGAATGGAGCCTTCAGGAAAGCAGAGATGAAGAGAATGCAAAATGAACATGGACATAGAGGCTCAGCGTTGAGCCTAGCCTATAAGACCAGGTTCGAGCCCAACACTGTAGAAAGAAATGAAAAGTGCTGTTTTCTTGAGTGACTTTGTGAAATACAAGAGGTAAATGGTAAGTCTTCAGGAATAGGGATTTTGTGACTTCTGGGTAGCAGGAATAAAGCAGGAACACCTAGAGTCAGGTCTTAATTTGCCAGAAAGCAGTCAGCAATGAGTGGAGGGCTTAGAGAAGACTTCACAAGCACATGTGTGAGATAACTCCCTTAGGAAGCTCATAAATAATGGTGGAAGACTAAGGAAAGTGTGGAGGACTGATGTCCTAGAATTAGACAGATGGGGACAACTGGCCAAAGAAATGTGGGCATTTATTACAAAGTCTGAGGGGTTCCCCAGAGAAATCTAACACACACACACACACACACACACACACACACATATATATATACATCTCCAATAAAGAGATTTATTACAAGGAATTGGCTCGCCCAACTGTGGGGACTAGCAGGTCCCATGATCTTCAGGGTGAGTAGGCAAGTTAGAGAACCAGGAGAGCCGATGATGTAGTTCTGGTCCAAAGGCTGGTGCACTTAAGACCTAGGAAGAGTCAATGTTTCAGTTCATGTCTTAAAGCAGGAAAAAGCTGATTTCCAGTTCAAAGGCCATCAGGCAGGGAGAGTCCTCTCTTTCTTGGGAAAGGATCAGCTTTTTGGTCTATTCAGGCCTTTTACTGATTAGATGAGGCCCACCCACATCAGGAAGCATAAATTGCTTTACTTAGTCTGACTTAAATGTTAATCTCATCCAAAACGCCCTCATACACGTACCTAGGCCAGGCATGGTGGCTCACGCCTGTAATCCCAGCACTTTGAGAGGTCGAGGTGGGCAGATCACCTAAGGTCAGGAGTTTGAGACCAATCTGGCCAACATGGCAAAACCCCGTGTCTACTAAAAATACAAAAAATTAGCTGGGCATGGTGGTGCACACCTGTAATCCCAGCTACTTGGGAGGCTAAGGAAGGAGAATCACTTGAACCTGGGAGGCGGAGGTTGCAGTGAGCCAAGATTGTGCCACTGCACTCCAGCCTGGGAGACTGAGTAAGATTCTATCTAAAAAAAAAAAAAAAAAAAAAAAAAGTATCCAGGGCTGGGTATGGTGGCTAATGCCTGCAAGCCTAGCACTTTGGGAGGCCAAGGTGGACAGATCACATAAGGCTGGGAGTTTGAGACCAGCCTGGCCAACGTGGTGAAACCCTGTCTCTACCAAAAATACAAAAATTAGCCGGGTGTCGTGATACATGCCTATAATCCCAGCTACTTGGGAGGCTGAGGCATGAGAATTGCTTGAACCTGGGAGGCAGAGGTTGCAATGAGCTGAGATCGCACCACTGCACTCCAACCTGGGCAACAGAGCAAGACTCTGTCAAAAAAAAAAAAAAAAACACCCAGAATAGTGTCTGTCCAAATATCTGGACATCCCATGGCCCAGTCAAGTTTACAGAAAAATTAACCACCAAGCAAAGTAACCTTATTTACTCACACAGACTGATGATTTTGTTCTATGCATACACCATTTCACAAAATCTTCCCAACAACTTTCTGAGTTAGGTATTACTGAGGCAAGTTAAAAGGTTAGGTGGATTATCTGAGAGCACAGCTAATGGAGGAGCAAAGATTTGAACCCATAACTTCATGCATGTTAGAAACTGTTGTTTCTAACAGTTTCCAGAATAAGGAGTCCTTTTTATTAGCAATAAAATACCGTAACTTTGTTTAAATCTTGATTCAAGCAAACAAACTATTTTTTTAAAATTTTTTGAAACAAATGGGGAAAACTGAAGATAATCTTAGTTTTAGATAATATTAAGAAATTATTGTAAATATTTTAGGAGCAATATGGCAAGGTTATGTACAAATAAAAATTATAGGTATATCATTACATGATAGTATTTTTATTTGAGATAATACATCATGAATAAAACTTTTTTTTTCAAAAGCTATGAGTTCCTACAGGCAGAGTCCCAGGACAGCATACCAGCTTGTGTACACTCTGACTGATTAGTGCCTGTGGCATATCCTTATTAAATACTTTGACTTTTGACCCGCACCTCAATGTGTTGACTTCATTCTGAGCCAGGGTCTTCCCATGATCACAAGGTGGCTGCAGTAGCTCTAGCCTTTACCTTCCCTCAGCTTTATAACCAGCTGGGGTTGTTCAGCTTCCTTAACAGTCTCCAAAGCCCTGGATCTTGCTCTCATGGGGCCTAATCAGATCACTTGGCTTTAAATGAACCAATCAACTATGACTAGAAGATAAAACTGGAGCCAACCCCTTAGCATATTGCATAGGCTCATATTGGCGAAGAGGTATTTGCCCAAATAAATGTGGGGTACTGTTCAGAAGACAGAATGGATAATGAATGGCCAAAACCAACCATTTTCTCCTCTCACACCCTCCTATATAGGATTGAGTCTGGGTGTGTTCGACCTGAGTCTTTAGGTAATAAGGAAAGTTAGCCCTTTGTGGATGGAATGTTTTCCAGTGAAGTGAGAATCTTAAAAGAAGTGAGCTCAGGGCCAGGCCCAGTGGCTCATGCCTGTTATCCCAGCACTTTGGGAGGCTGAGGTGGGAGGATTGCTTGAGCTCAGGAGTTCAAGACCAGTCTGAGCAACATAGGCTGAGACCACGTGTGGCTAATTTTTTTATTCTTTGTAGAAATGAGGGAGCAACTAAGACTGCCCCCCACCCCCCGCCCATCTCTACAAAAAATTTTTTTTAAAAATTTGCCAGGTGTCATGCATGCTTTTTGTCCCAGCTACTTGGGAGGCTGAGGCAGGAGGGTAGCTTGAGCCTGGAAGGTCGAGGCTGCAGTGAGCCATGATCATGCCACTGCGCTCCAGCCTGGATGAGACCTCTGTCTCAAAAAAATAAAAATAAATACACAAATACATAAAATGAGCTCAGTAGAATCAGGAAGAGAGCAGGACCCTCTCTGTGCCTTAGTAGGAGCCATGATCCCAGCCAGGCCCATGCCTCCCAGGGCCTCTGCACACAACCTCTGTTTCCATGGTATCCAGAAACAGGATCCCTAATCCTTTTGTTCATTTTACACAGGGAGGACAGAGGCTCAGGGAACAACACTCAGTGGAGGTCACTTGCCCAGGAAGGGTGGGAGTAATCAGTGGAATGAGCCCGAGGGATCCACCCTGTTTTCACCTCTGAGTCCCACTCATTTCATAGAGTCCAACTGGTGGCATTGCAGATGGACTCACAAGTGAGTGGATTGTGCCCCAGACCCACATCCACCCAGAACCCCAGCCACATGATCTCTCCATCCCTATATAAGGGAGAGTGATATGGCTTGGCTGTGTCCCCACCCAAATCTCATCTTGAATTGTAGTTCCCATAATCCCACATGTCATGAGTGGGACCAGGTGGAGATAATTGCATTATGGGGGTGGTTCCCCCCATCCTGTTCTCGTTATAGTGAGTTAGTTCTCATGAGATTTGACAGTTTTATAAGGGGCTTCCACCTTTGCTGGGCAGTCATTCTTCTCCTTCCTGCCACCGTGTAAAGAAGGACATGCTTGCTTCCCCTTCCACCATGATTGTAAGTTTCCTGAGGCCTCCCCAGCCATGCTGAACTGTGAGTCAATTAAACTTCTTTCCTTTATAAATTATCCAGTCTCAGGTATGTCTTTATTAGCAGTGTGAGAACAAACTAATATAGAGAGTGACCTCCCAGTCTAAGGCTTATTGTGCTCAGTTCATATTTCTGGCAACCAGAGCACCATGGGGTCAAAGGTTGTCCCTGGAGCAGGAACCAGTGTCTGCAAATGCTTGGGGGTGAAACAGTTGGAAGTGTTCCTAGACTACAATCTCCTTTCTGTCTTGTGGAACAGGAGTGTAGTGAGGCAGGACTCAGGCCGGAACTGCAGGGTGAGCATTTGGGCCTCTATTCTGAGTTGTGGGGCTTTGGATTTGGGAAGCCCCAAATCCAAAGATGAGGGAAGTGATCTAACTCATTTATTAACATAACAGAACCTCCCAGAATTCAGAGTGGAGAACAGATTGTGGGGGTGAAGGAGGAGGAGGAGTGGAGACTCCTTGATGAGGCTCAGAGACTCCTGCACTGCCATGTGATGCACGAGAACTTTGTAATTGTGGCCTTGCAGGGCTGCCCTGGGCAGGGGATGGCTATTCTCCAGCACTGTCTTTCCCCCCGAAGACTTGCATCTTTCAGATCCCACGGAGTTGCCTAAGTGGAGCAGGTCCAGGAGTCCTGGGTGCCTGACGGTACAGGCACGACCCCATCTGGGCATTACTCTTCACTGTTGGCCTGCATTTAATGTGTTATGTGAGGTATACATACCCTTAAACATCCCTGACACCAGTGCCTCTGTTGCAGTTTGTTTTTCCTGAGACTGGAGACACCTAATGTCACCAACATCCAAGGACTAGCTAAAACCATTTGCAGAGGAGTGTGGGCATGGAATAGAGGTTGAGGAGGTAACTTCTAAGCAAGTCGGGTCAGGTCTCCCAAGGCAGGTGCTTCCACTCAGAAGGCCCTCCATTGTGATGTGGGTGGCTGGGTCCCAAAAGACATGCTACAGCCAGCTGAGCACCGTGGAACACACCCTACACAGAAACTGTACATGTGTGGACCATGAGGGAGAAGCTTTAATTTCAGTGCAAATCTTCATCAGCCCCAGAAGGGGCACAGTGGAGAGAGACCTTTCTGAAAAAAACAAGGGCAGGGCCATCTTGTTGAAGAGCCACAGAGTTCACACTCAAGAGATGCCATTTCCATGCAGCAAGGTTGGAAAAGGCTACCTGGTCAGCTCTGGCCTCTTCCAGCACCAAGCAATTCACAATGAGAAGCCATGCAGGAGTGCCATGTATGGGGACATGTTTCATACTCAACAAGGACATTTCAAATGCATTGACTATGGAGAAGCATTCAGTCCTAAAGACACTCCTGGCCAGCACCAGATAATTCACACTGGAGAAAAGCCTTATGTGTGCACTGAATGTGAGAAAACCTGCACAAGAAGTTCCAATCTCATTCAGCACAAGTAAGCTCACATGGGAGAAGGGCCTTGAGCGCAGCCAGTGTAGGAAGACCTACAGCAGAAACGCTTACTTTGTTCAACACAAAAGTTCACACTGGAGAAAAGCCATATGAGTGTAGCAAATATGGGGAATCCTTTTTTTTATTATTTTAATTTTTGTAGGTGCATAGTAGGTATATACATTTATTCATGGGGTATATGGATACTTTGATACAGGCATACAATGTGTAACAATCACATCAGGGTAAATGGGGTATCCATCACCTCAAGCATTTATCCTTTATGTTACAAACAATCCAAATATACACTTTTAGTTATTTTTAAATGTACCATTCGATTATTATTGACTATAGTCACACTCTTTTGCTGTCATATATTAGACTTTATTCATTGTTTCTGACCATTTTTTGGACACATTAAACACCCCACTTCCCCCTCACTCGCCCTCACTACCCTTCCCAGCCTCTGGTAACCATCCTTCTACTCTCTATCTCCATGAGTTCAATTGTTTTAATTTTTAGTTCTCACAAATAGATGAGAACATGCAATGTTTTCTTTCTGTGCCTGGATTATTTTGCTTAACCTTAAGGACCTCCAGTTCCATCCATGTTGTTGCAGATGACAAGATCTCATTCTTTTTTATGGCTGAATACTACTCCATTGTGTATATGCACCACATTTTCTTTATCCATTTGTCTGTTGATGGACATTTGGGTTACTTCCAAATCTTGGCTATTGTGAATAGTGCTGCAACAAAGATGGGAGGGCAGATATCTCTTCAATGTACTGATTTCTTTTCTTTGGGGTATATAACTAGAAGTCAGATTGATGGGTCATATGGTAGCTCTATTTTTAGTTTTTTGAGGAACCTCCAAACTGTTCTCCATAGTGGTTATACTAATTTACATTGCGTAAGAAATCTTTGAGCTCCAAATATGGACTTGGTCAACATCAAAGAACCCATATTGGAGAAAGTCCTTATGAGTGCAAAGAATGTGGGAAATCCTTTAGCCAGAGCTCCAGCCTTGTTCACCACCAGAGACTTCACTCTGGAGCAAGCCCTTATGTGTACAGCAGGTGTGGGAAATCCTACAGCAGAAATGTCCACCTTGCAGGGCACCAGAAAGTTCACAACACAGAAAGGTTTTATGAGTGGGGACAATGTGAGAGAGCCTTTGGCTGTCCCTCTAACCTTGCTCAGCACCAGAAAGTTCACCCTGCAAAAGCCTTATGAATGCATAGAATGTGGGAAGGTTTCAGCCAAGGAGTGCCTTGTTCAGCACCAAAAGTTGACACTGAAGTAAGGCTTTATGCTGAGGCAGTGTGGGAAATTTTTTAGCAAAACATTTACTCATTGAGGCCAGGCGCAGTGGCTCATGTCTGTAATCCCAGCACTCTGGGAGGCCAAGGCGGGAGGATCACTTGAGGTCAGGGGTTCAAGACCAGCCTGACCAACATGGCAAAACCCCATCTCTACAAAAAATACAAAAAAAAAAAAATTAGCTGGGCGTGGTGGCAGGTGCCTGTAATCCCAGCTACTCGGGAGGCTGAGGCACAAGAATCACTTGAACCCCAGAGGCAGAGGTTGCAGTAAGCCAAGATCGTGCCACTGCACTCCAGCCTGGGTGACAGACTGAGACTGTCTAAAAACAAACCAAAAAAAACAAACAAACAAAAAAAAATCTTTGTTCATTCAGCACAAGAAAATTCACACTGAGAGAATTTCCTTAGGAGAGCAGGGGATGTGTTATATCCTTGTTCTGTCTAATGACTCACCCTAGAGGGTAGCTTGGAGGGTAGCCTTTTTGCAGGGAGTCATCAGACAGAAGCGAACCATATATATCAAAATATCTGAACTGGTGATAATACCTTTTAGTGCCAGGTATGGAGGGAGCTTTCAGGAGGTAGGGTGCACTTCCTTAACTGTCTAGGCCCTTCGCAAGGATTATGTCACATCCAATACCTGTGCCAGAAGCCATCTCACCTTGACCACCCGGCAGGGTCCATCAGTCACCCCGATGTGCTCAAGAAAGTGAGACCTCCAGGCTCTCTCTCCAGTCCCCAGAGAGAATCATGAATCCCCCGAACCCGTTTAGGGACCTCATTCCCTTCTCACTGGCTGGTTATAGAGGGACATGACCTGGCTTTGGCCAGGAGGACTTGAGCTGTGGCAGCTTACTTATTAGGTTCCCTTCTTCATGGACATTGCTAGTCTCTTAATGCTCTTTGTTGCATTTGTTGCATCAGTCTCCTGGATTCCCAGCCCAGGACCTGTCTGCTCTACGTTTCATCTGAAGTATTTTGGTGATCTATTCTTTGTTTAGGGATAAGTTGAGAAATAATTAGGCTCTGCCAGCATGAAGAGGGGAGCAGTTGTTATGGGGCCTCCAAATTTGTATGCTCAGAGGGAAAGCAGGCAGGAAGAAAATAGCTCTCCTCCTACTTTTGGCCTGATTTGGATTGTTGTACAAGGCTTGCTGGGAAAATTTAAAAGGCATTGTGGGCTTAATCACTGGGTGTAATTAATAGGGAGCGAGGATATTGCAGTAAACTGGGAGAATGTGTCCCTTCCAAATATGCATTCACACATTGTCAGAGACTAAGGCTGTGCAGAATCAGGGTGTACAAATTATAAATTCCAAATCTCTCTCTCTCCTATGGCAAATGTCACTGACAGAGCAAATGCATTAAAGATTATTGGATTTCCATAGTCTTTATGGTCTGTTCATCTCTAAACCATTGCTGGCACAGGTGAAAGAGTGGAGATTACAGGGAGGTAGATAGAGTCCAGCCATGTGGCTTATGACCTAGCCATTCTTTCTGGTGACTCAGGTGGAAATAGCCTTCATTGCCTGCTGACTTTTGCCACCACTGTGGAAGGTTAACCTCTCCCAAGGAATCAGGCTGGAGATGGCAGAATCAGCATACGGTTGCCAAAACTTCTGGTTTTCTAAAATAAGTGGATTTGTATTTTTATGTAGAACCCTTTTTTAAACGCCTTATTGCAGTATAATTGACATGCAATAAAACTCATGTTGCAAGTATACAGTTTGATACATTTTTCATGTACATATATTTCAAACCATCTCTATAGCTATGATAATGAACATATCTATCACCCAACACATTACCTCATGTCTGTTATAATCCTCTTCTCTCTGCACTACTGATAACGAATCCCCTGGAAACTACATATTAACTGTAGCTTAGTTTGTGCCTTATCTAGAATTTTCTTATAAATGAGATCATGAAGTATTTATTCTTTTTTCTGGTTTCATTCATGACACATAATTATTTTTAGGTTTGTTGATGTTGTGTCTACAGTTTTGTTAATTGTTCAGTAGCATTCTATTGTCTGGATATGCCACAATTTGTTTATCCAGTCTTCTGTTAATGAACATTTGGGTTGTTTCCAGATTGGAGCTATTAAGTAACTATGTAGAAAGCAAAATTTTCAAAAAGAGCTAGGACAGTCGTTGAATCTCATATTCCACTACTGTCACATTCTAGACAAATTAATTTATTGTTTCCTTTACAGGCCCAAGGGTTTGTTGTCTTTGCTTGTGCTAAGTCCCTCCACTGGAAACGCCCTCTTTTCCACCCTCTCTCAGCTTACGCAGCTTCTGCTCACCTTTGATGTCCGCTCAGATGCTACCTTCTTCAGGAAAGGTTCTCTGAACTCCTTCCCTCCCCGCCCTCCACACCCCAACCTGATCCAACCTCTCCAAACCTCTGCAGCACTGCATACCTGTCTTATGACACCTCTCCTCTTCCCATGAATTCATAAGATGCAGAACTATTTGTGTTGTCACTTTCTTCCCTCTTCCAGGCTGTAGACACTATGAGGCAAGCCTATGTCTTGTTCAACTTTGTATGTCCCCACACCAACTCATGGTCAGTACCCAACAGTTATGAAATTCCATTCAAGTCAGCATCCAGGTGGATGTCACTCTCACAAGTATTGCAACTACCATTAAAACAAATCAACATGGCCAGGTGCGGTGGCTCACGCCTGTAATCCCAGCACTTTGTGAGACCAAGGCGGGTGGATCACAATGTCAGGAGATCAAGACCATCCTGGCTAACACGGTGAAACTCTGTCTCTACTAAAAAAAAAAAAACGTACAAAAAATTAGCCGGGTGTGGTGGTGGGAGCCTGTAGTCCCAGCTATTCGGGAGACTGAGGCAGGAGAATGGTGTGAACTCGGGAGGCAGAGCTTGCAGTCAGCCCGGATCACACCACTGTACTCCAGCCTGGGCGACAGAGTGAGACTCCATCTAAAAAAAAAAAAAATCAACATGTTATTTTTCTTAATCTGGGTGGTGCGTTCAGAAGCATCACTTCACTTTATTATTATTATTGTTATTATTATTCACTCTTTAATATGCCTGATATAATTTTTTTTGAGACAGAGTCTCACTCTGTCACCCAGGCTGGAGTGCAGTGGAGCAATCTCAGCTTATTGCAGCCTCCGCCTCCTGGGTTCAAGCGATCCTCCCACCTTAGCCTCTCGAGTAGCTGAGACTACAGGCACGCACCACCACGCCCAGCTAATTTTTGTATTTTAGTAGAGACAGGATTTCCCCATGTTGGCCAGGCTGGTCTCGAACCCCTAACCTCAAGTGGTCTGCCTGCCTTGGCCTCCCAAAGTGCTGGGATTACAGGTGTGAACCACCATGCCCGGCTGCATAAATTTTTTCTTAAGCAAATAGGAAAACTAGAGCCTGAGCTCTCATAGATTCTCCATCATTTACACATCGCTTTCATACATGAAGAATTGCTTAAAATGTAGAGGGTAGACCATTCCCTGAGATTAATTCTGCTCTGGATTTCTCATATGCTCCTTACAGATGGGTCACTGCTACCTTAAGAAAGCACTCGTTGAAACTTGATGCCTATAATTCTTAATTACAATTGCATTGCTGGCTTTATGTGCATCTCTGCTCATTTAAACTCAATGCTGACTGACAAATTGTGCTCGTCTGCCTATTCGACAGTAATTTAGTCAGGCAACCTGCAGCTTGCACCAGATTGATGAGCAGCTGTTGGATCTGTTTGGGGGATGTATTGTTGTTTTCTTGGTGTAGGCTGCTTTGTGCGGCTGCTGAATGGATGAATGGTTTTGTCTCGTCCAGTGACATTGTGGGCACTCTGGATGGCCACTCCTGGAACTCCAAATGCACATTTCAAAAAAATCAATCACCCACCGTTCCAAACACACCCTCACTCAGAGGAGCAGGATGGAATGACCCATCTGATTCAACTCAGATTCATATTGCTGTTTTCCAGGCCAGCAAAAGGTCAGGTTGATACCCAAAATGTGGCCATCCTTAGCCTCAAATCAAAACCTATTTAATTTGCTACACATGGTGACTTGTCTCTGAAGAGCTTTAGGCTAGCATAAATAGCCTTCCAGTACAATAACCCTGTGCACAGCTCCTGGGCTCATGCAATTCTGAACTATGCAGTCTCCCTCTGCCATAGCTCATGGCCTTCAGCCTCTTAAGCATGTTGAGGTTCCGAGTTAATTGTCTGAATCTCTTCAGCTGTATTTACCTCCCTCCCCCAATCATTCACACTTGATTATTTTTCCAGTTGAACTGGTTTTTCATGGTGCCTGTGGCCTGCATACAGAGTTAAGGAAAAGTGTCCCTAAGGTATGAGCAACAACTTTATTGAGATATAATTCACAAACCATGCAATTCCCCCATTTAAAGTGTACAGTTCAATGGGTTCGGTATATTACAGTATTTTTAAAAATTGTAGTAAAATATATATAACATAAAATCTTATATTTTAACCTTTAAAAAAAAAAAGAAAAGGCTGGAGTGCAGTGGTGCGATGTTGGTGTCACTACAACCTCCTCCAGCTCAAGTGATCCTCCCACCTCAGCCCCCCGAGTAGCTGGGACTTCAGACATGAGCCAATTCGCCCAGCTAATTTTTGAATTTTTTTGTAGATACGGGATTTTACCATGTTGGCCAGGCTGTTCTCAAACTCCTGAGCTCAGGTGATCTGCCCACCTCGGCCTCCCAAAGTGCTGGGATTACAGGCATGAGCCACTGCGCCTGGCCCCGTTTTGGATTTGAAAATAAGCTGACACCACCACATTTCAAGGAACTTAATCTAGGTCTGCTTTAATAACAGATATTTTTCAGTGGTCTCATATTATGCCCTGAAATGTTCAGAGAGGACACTGGGGACCCTAATGTCACACAGATCCTTCCCACTTGCAAATATGCTCATTGGTTCCTGTCAAGGGACAACATCAAGTGCACTGGGGAGTCACCCACAGGTGGCAATAAAGTATGAATACCTAACGGTTAATACATTTTATATGTGTAAGGAAGTTTCCCAAAGTTGAAGACAAACATCAGGGGGAAACATTCAACCTCCGAAATGGAGCTAGTAAGAATCAAAAATACGTGCACTTTTTCAAACTCCCAACCCCACACCAACCCAATATCACAGCCAATAATGTTGATTTCCTCTTCACTGAGAAAAGCAATTCACTTGGGCTCCTCAAATCTTTCTCTTCCCGGTTGAGCACAGTGGCTCAGGCCTGTAATCCCAGCACTTTGAAGGCCGAGGAGGGCGGATCTCTTGGGGTCAGGAGTTCGAGACCAGACTGGCCAACATGGTGAAACCCTGTCTCTACTAAAAATACAAAATTAGTCAGGCGTGGTGGTGGGTGCCTGTAATCCCAGCTACTCGGGAGGCTGAGGCAGGAGAATCGCTTGAACCTGGGAGGCAGAGTTTGCAGTGAGCCGAGATCAAGTCACTGCACTCCAGCCTGGGTAACAGAGAAAGACTCTGTCTCAAAAAAAAAAAACCTATCTCTTCCCCATCAAAATGTATCTTTATCTTCCTGCTCTCCCTGCTTCCTCTCCTGCTGTCTGGAAGAGGTATCCCCTCTCCTTCAAAACTCATTTCTCCTCATGGCCTCCACCCTTCTCAGGTGCTAGGCCCCCACCAGCTTCGTCATCCTTTCTCCTTTATCTCTTCCCTCCAAAGACACAAACATCCTGAGTTTTCTCACCTGGCTTCTCTCCCTCAAGCCGCTATTCCAGCTCTTCACCACACAAATTCTTCACGAAGAACCTTTTCCAGTTGTTCATCTCATACAGACTTCTCAAAGCTTTGCAGTCTGGTGTTTCCACTGGGCAACCCCCCTGGAACAGGGAACATGGAACAAAAGAGGACTGTGCAGGGCTGAATGAGGTCTAGAAACCAAGAAGGAAGACCAACGAAGCCATGAACTCAGAATGGCTATGATGGCATTGGGGGCAAAGACGCAACAAAATAGAGAAAGAAATGTAGACAGGCATACTGGCAACAGCACTCGGAGTTGACTAGTAATCGAGTCAGGCCCCTGTTGTAAGGCTCCTGTCATCTTGCTCATAAGTACAAAGGGGGCCAGGAGAACCGAGCTCATTGGAACACTCTACCGAGTTCACTAATGACATCCTTAAATTTGAGTCATAGTTAGGATTGTCAGATTCAACAAACAAAAATGCAGGATGCCCAGTTAAATTTGACTTTAAGATAAATAATTTTTATTCATTATTTTATTTTGTTTGTCAATATTTTATTCATAAGTATGTCCCATGCAATATTAGGGTATCCTCAACATAAGCATGTCCCAAATATTGCATGCCACTTACACTAAAAAAAATTTCATCGTTTATCTGAAATTAAAATTGAACTGGGCTTTCTATAATTTACCTGGCAATACTAGTCACACTCCATACTTCACTTACAGAATTTTGACCAACCTCTTCTTCAATCCTCCTCCTCACTTGACTTCCAGAACACTACTGCATCTCAGTTCCTGTCAATGGCTTCACTTCAACCTGGTCCTTGAATGTAGGGATTCCACAGGGTTTGGGCTGCAGGCCAGGTCCTGCTTGGCTCTGTGTCTTCTCCCCAGTCTGTCTGTTCCTAGGTCTTCCTCATGCCACGCTGATGGCTGATCATTTCAGAACTTCAGAGCTGAGTCACTTCTATCTTTCTTTAGACATCTTCACTTAGAATTGCTAGCCCTATGTCAAACACAACCCATCTAAAACCAAACTCACCATGCTGGTATACCTCCAGAATCGGTCCCCAGTTTCCCCACTAAGCCATGGTGCCAACATCCTCCTGATCTTGCATCCAGGAAATATCAGACCCAAATTCAATTCTTCCTGTTTCGTTGCTTATATCCAGTCACCAAACCTCTTTCATTCCATCTTTGAATATCTGTCATCTCTGTCACTGGGCCTCACCCTCTGTGATGTCTTGCTTGAAAAAATGTGACTCCCAGGCTTCCATCCCCCATCTCTCCAGTTTTTTCTTCAAACGACTGCCGTGCAGTATCCAAAAATGCTTTCCAATTACATCATTCCCTTCTGGAAGGTCTGCACGATTTCCACTGACTCAGAATAAGCTCCTACTTGGGCCTCACTTCTGGTACAGAAGGAGCCTTCTTAACCGTTCTGCACCAACACCTATGAGAGTCAACCATCTACCTTCACCCAGTTATAATGTAAATGTACATTTCTCTTTTTTTCAACTTGCAGAGAATTTGAAAATACAGAAAAGCTTAAGAATAAAATTATATTTTTTAAAAGAATGACCTTTTAGGCCTGGTGAGGAGGCTCACATCTGTAATCCCAGCACTTTGAGAGGCCGAAGCAGGCAGATTACCTGAGGTCAGGAGTTCGAGACCAGCCTGGCCAACATGGTGAAACCCCATGTCCACTGAAAATACAAAAATTAGCCAGGCATGGTGGCGGGCACCTGTAATCCCAGCTACTCAGAAGGTTGAGGCAGGAGAATCGCTTGAACCCTGAGAGGTGGAGCTTGCAGCGAGTCAAGATCGTACCACTGTACTCCAACCTGGTCGACAGAGCAAGACTCTGTCTCAAAAAAAAAAAAAAAAAAAAAAAAAAGAATGACCTTTTAATCCCTTAATACGATGAAAGTTTCCATGATCTGACCCAGGCAATGTCTGCAGGCCCATCTCCCAGGGGGTACTTCCAAATATCTGAAACTAAGCCTCAAGGTTTATTCATCGTTTCCCAAATATGCCACCCTGTCTCCTGCCCATGTGCCTTTTCCCAGCCTGAAATTCTCTTTTGCCCATTCCTCACCTGCTCAACTTTCAAAAGCAACTCTTCTGTGAGGCCATCCCTGATTTCTGACCCACACACCCCCAACTCCTAGTTAGAAGTAATTTCTCTTTCTCCTAAATTCCCACAAAATTTGCCCCTTTATTTAGCACAGATTTATTTGTCTCCCCACTAAGTTGTTGTGCAAACGTGGATTGATGGGTCAGTTACTGGGACACGGGCAGGGAGAGGCAGGATTGGTGAAGACAGCAGGACAATGAGACTTGGGGAGGGCGGAGGGTCAGGGAAGGCATAGTGACATCAGCTCATCTGGGCTCACATCAGGTGTCCCCACTCCCTGGCAGCAAGGCCTTGGTGGACTCGATCGATGTCCCACCCAGAGCCCCTTGGCGAGGGCTCTTACCTGCGGTCTTCTCTAACTCATGGCTTCTTGACCTATGAGCCTGGGAGGTGACGTGTCTCCCTGGGAGTGCCCCATCCCCTTTTGATAATGGCTAATTCTGGGGCACAAAAGCCTGACTCCTTTGCCCAAGTTGCACAATTTTTCAGTCCAATTTGGGTTCCAGAGACCCTCTCCGCAGCCCTCCACCCTCGGCAGGCCAAGGCAGACTCCACCTGAGACCTCACTTGCTCAGCTCCTTCCCGTCCCTCTCTGGGTGCCCTCACTGCTGGGGGATTCCCAGGGAGAGCACCCTCAGGAAGTCCCAGCACCTAAAGTCCTGTCCCATCATTTGGCCTTGTATCAACTTTGTGTTCTCTCTTTGACTTATCCCGCTATCTCTGAACTGGAGGTAAAGTTCTCTCCCGCAGTTGTGAATAAGGACTGTGGAAGCACTTAGCTGGAGGCTGGGAAGTAACAGTTCCATTCATTGCTCCCAGAAACTGAACCTGAGCCCTCAGGAACACAGTCCCCAGGGGCAGGCAGTTAACAGTGCTGTGGTGGAGCTGGGCATGAGGTGCCCTCCCTGGAAGGGAAGGAGAGCTTCACAATGAATGCAGCTCAACCTCACACCCCCATTCCCTCTGCCTCACCTTAGTGAACTTTAATCATCAGTCTACCTTTACTGTTGACTGTGAACCTATCTTTCCTTTTTTTTGTTTTGTTTTGTTTGTTTATTTGAGACAGAGTCTCACTCTGTTGCCCAGGCTGGAGTGCAGTGGCGCTATCTCAGCTCACTGCAACGTCCACCTCCCAGGTTCAAGCGATTCTCCTGCCTCAGCCTCCTAGGTAGCTGGGATTACAGGCACCCACCACCACACCTGGCTAATTTCTATATTTTTAGTAGAGACGGGGTTTCACCATGTTGGCCAGGCTGGTCTTGAACTCCCAACATCAGGTGATCCACCTGCCTCGGCCTTTCAAAATGCTGAGATTACAGACATGAGCCACCGCACCCAGCCTCATGAACCGATCTTTCTGGATTCGTTCATAAATTATTTCTAGTGATTGCTGCGTGACCCCAAGAAACTAGGATTTCTAGGCACTCCATTTTTGGTCAATAAGCACTAACTCAATATTAAAATCATCTAGTGAGGGGAACACTGAGCTAATTTCAACCTGTGTGCTCATAGCAAGAGGACAATGGTGTAGAGTCTGATAAGATGAACACACCACAGAGGAGATGGGGTGCTAGCCCAGGGATTTAGGGCCCAGGAGGAGAGAGACAAGAATGGCTCACATTTGTCTGCAGAATACATTTCCCATTTGTTTCATGGCACACTAACCACTGTGCAGCTGTGACTTGTGAGTCTATTCAGTCCTTGGCTGCTTTACATTTTGATTCTTAAGAACTGAGGATTCTGCTTTTTTGGACTTTAAAAGCTTTGACCATAGAATGTGTTCATTTTCAAGTAGATAAAAGATCTTCCTACATATCAACCAAGAGCATTTCATCTTTTCTTTCTGTGATACCCATCCCAAGGCATACAGCACAATTCAAGAAACAGACATCATTGTTGTAAAGCAGAACATAACCAGATGGTTTTCCAGTTCTGGCTATCTAAATACTGTGTCATCTGTGTTACATAATTCTTAAAGAATGCACACTGCTTTAATTGTGCAGCACAGATCATGACAGATTGCTCCATTTTTTGACATCATTTTCTTCAGTGTTTGCTCTGCTCTGAGCTCAGGGAAACTAATTATGTCCAGGTGGGGTCCAGGTGCGGATATGTGTGCTAACTCCAGAGGGCCTGCTTACATATGAAATGGTTTTGCTGGAGTGTTCTAGCTTTGAAAACTTGCTCTCTTGGCCCTTTTTAATAAGTGCTCATTGCTCTCTAAATATTCCCCCATCCCCATGCTGACATGAGTAATTGAAGCTCTCAGGGAATGGGACCAGCTCTGAGAAGGAGAAGAGCGTTCTCAGACTCGATTGCAGACAGTGGGCTGCCATTCCTTAGAGTCTCTCAGAAAACCTGTCTTTAGCGCACATGGTCTCACTCTTTAAATTATCACTCTCATGCATGATGCTGAGATGATTTAGCTTCACTTCAAGTTTAGAATGGAAAATCATACTTGTTATGGAGATGTATTTCCTGTTATGAAAAGGAACTGGATGGCTGGAGGTAGATGGTGGTGATGGTTGCACAAAAGTGTGAATGTACTGAATGCCGCTGAATTGTACCCTTTAAAATGACTAAGATGGTAAATTTTGCTATGCATATTTTAACTACAGGGAAAAAAAAGGAACTGGTACTGTTTCCAACTTCAGGAGGTGGGATCCACAGAAATTAGAGCAATATGCCAACTTCAGATCAGTAATATTTACAGAATCCTCCTATTCTGTTGGTTTTTGCAGATACTTACACCTTACATTGGCATAGAATTGCTTTATAGTTTGAAAACCACTTTTATATACACTATTGTATTTTACCCTCTCTGTGTATACAAGACAAGTAGGTTTATCACCATATAACAAATAAGGATTGTTGCATTAACTTTGGTACCTAAGAAATGACTCCAAGACCCAGCAGCTTGAGTATAATACTCATTTCGGCCGGGTGTGATGGCTCACACCTGTAATCCCAGCACTTTGGGAGGCCAAGACAGGCAGATCACTTTAGATCAGGAGTTCAAGACCAGCCTGGCCAACATGGTGAGACCCCATCTCTACTAAAAATACCAAAATTAGCCAGCCATGGTGGTGCATGCCTATAATTCCAGCTACCTGGGAGGCTGAGTACAAGAATCACTTGAGCCTGGAAAGTGGAGGTTGCAGTGAGCTGAGATCATGCTACTGCACTACAGCCTGGGCAACAGAGTAAGACCCAGTCTCAAAAAAAAAAAAAAAAAAGAATACTTATTTATTTTACTCCACAATCTGCAATTATGTTCAGGGCTTGGCAGAGATGGCCACCTCTGCTCCATGAAGCATCATTTGAGGTGGCCCAACGAGGACTAGAGGATCCACTTTCAAGAATGGTTCCCTCACATGGCTGCCAAGTTGGTGCCAGCTATCAGCTGGGATCCGAATCAGAGATGTGAGTTAGGGGTCTGAGTTCTTCTCCACATGGGCCCCTCCCCAGGACTGCTGGGGCTTTCTGCAGCACAATGGCTAGGTTCCAGAAGTGGGTGTTTCCAAAGATAGTAAGAGGTAGCTCCCAGTCTTTGAAGACTTGGGTGCAGGAATGTGCACATCTTCACCTGCACTGTATGCTCTCGGTCAAAGCAGCTACAGGGCCTACCAATCTCCCGGGAAAGGAGACATGGACCCAATCTCTTGAAAGAAAGATTGTCAACCAATTTGTGTCCATCTTTAATCTGCCTCAAGGATGTCAAGACTTGGAATAGGTTGGCTATGATTGCTCAGAGATGTGACCCTTCGTTTTCTTCATGAAATTTCTGGATTGGTGTGATTATTATGCACTAAAGTCCATCTAAGTCACTTTAAATGATTTTCTTCGCATGAAATCTGTTGATAATCATGCTTAAACCACTTTCCCTCCTTTAAGTTAGAGTACAAGAGTGAGTTCTTAAGAGTTATTTTTTCTACTGTAGAATGCTTTGAAACACATCTCTTCCAGCTCCAAGATCTACGTATATTCATGAAATCCTTAATTTAGTTTCTGCCAATGATTTAAACACTATTTTTATCATAATACTTACCACCACCAAATGTATATAAATGCAAAATCATATGTCCTAGATCAGTTTTAATGTCATGAATGATGTTTATCAGATTATCTCAAGTAAGAAGTGAATTCATTTGATGTTATCTAAAAATCTTAAAGATTACAAATGTGTTATTACAGTTGTGTGTTTATGGTATGAAGCTCCTACTTTAGAGTGAAGCTCTTGTAGGTGAAATAACAATTTTCTTTGAAGAATTTTACCTCGTAGCTAAATTTGCTGAGAATAAACCATTCCATCAAGTGGGAGATACTGGCCTATGAGTACTGCATGTTGACAAATAAGGTTGTTAAACCATGGAGACCAAGGAGAACATTCTTTACAATGAAGCGGTTGAGGTGGTCACCACCTTAACCAAACAATCAAACTCACAACCACATCACTAATGGTGTAACAACCTGATGTTAAATGCCTCCCAGCATGATACAGTAGGAAGTAAATGGTACCAACTGTAAAATAATCTTGCCCAAAATGACTTGACTCTAATTGAGCCTTAATATCTTTCAGTAAGCCTTTCTCAGCTAGTTCCTCAACTGAACCATGGATCCACAGAATATGAGTTGAGTGATGATTGTCAGTTCTCCTAAGAATGGAACATAACTACTACTATTCTAGTTGCATGGGATAGAAGTTAATTCACGACCTAAAATGAGTGCCTTAGGACAACACACCTCAATTCTCTCATGGGTCCCCAGTTGTGAAGGGTCAAGTTCAATGAGAAAATAATCAGACAAATCCAGAATGTAACATATTCTACAAAACAACTCATCTACTTTCTCCAAAGAGAAAATATCGTGGGGGAGAAAAAAAAACATGATGATTATTAATTAAAGGACTCTAAAGACTTCAGTCACAGTCGATGATAGTTTATGCCTCTTTTTGGCTTTCATCTACAAGGATTCATACAGCCTGTGCTCTTGTATCAAGCTTCTTTCACTCAACATGTCTGAGATTCATCTATGCTATTGCAAGATGCAGTATCTCTTTCCTTTTGTTACTGTGTAGCATTTCTTTGTATATACATATGCCACAATTCAGTTATCTATTTTATTGTTGATGGATATCTGTGACATTTCCAACTTGGGGACATTGTGAATAAAGCTGTTGTAAGCATTCTTGCACGGGTCTTTGATGGCATATGCAACTCTGTGGTGTAGACTTAGGAGACGAATTACTGGTTCATAGAATCAGTATCTATTGAAGGGTTTTAAATACTGCCAACAATTTTCCTAAGTGGTTCAACCAATTTGCACTTTCAGCCAAAGGATCTGGGAGGTTCAGTTGTTTCATACCCTTGCCCCTTCTAGGGGATGGGGAAGAGGTCATATTGACAGAGAAACAGCTTGGGGCAACCTTCAGGGGCAATAAAAATATTCCATATATCAACCTGGTTGGTGGTCATATAGGGGTCACAATTTTTACATAAGTATGTAAAAATTGATCAAGGTACAGGTTTAAGGTTATACACTTGTATGTAGGTTCTGCCTCAATGAGAGATGAGAGAGCAAGAGATTAAAAAGACAACAACCAAATGTAACGGGTGAAACTTGATTGGCTCCTGGTTCAAAACAAAAAACACTTATCAGAGACAGTTTTGAATCACTTGGAGAAGTTTTAATATGGCCTGGATATTAGATGTTATTAGGGAATTCTTTTTCATTATCTTAGGTGTGATCATTGTATTGGGGTTATTTAGGAGAATGTTAGTATTAGGAAATGCATGCTCGGGTATTTAATTAGGGATAAATTGTCATGCTGCCTGTAACTTACTTTCTAATGTTTCAGCAAATGTGTCTGTGTGTGGGCGGGGGGGGGGGGTCTGTGTGTGTGTACACATAAAGATAAAAACAAAACAACAAAACAAATATGGAAAAAAATGTTAACCATTGTTGAATCTAGGTGGTGGATATGAACTTGTTATATTATTTTTTCAACTTTTCTGAATATTTAAAACTTTCCAAAACAAAAATAAAATGTGTTTGGGGGAAGATATAGAGAGTTGAAGTGACCAGCTTAAAATAACAAGGTAACAAGGAGAAGACCCTAAAAGAAAATTCTAGCAATCTTGACCCTCTCTGTGCCATCCTGTACATTGTCGCTTCCCGGTGTTCAAGACTGATTGTTAAATTTGAATATGTTTTTTAAATTTTATTTCCTTCTTCAAAGTGCTTCCAAGAGTCTAACAGGAAAGCACAAAGACACCCCTAGATTTCTCTTATAAATAAACTTGCATTCTGCCTGCAAATCAAACCTCCCCCTGCCCCCATCTCTCGCCTGTTACACAGCTACTTTCAAAATCACTCCACAATCATTTGACCCATGTCCATATTCCCTTTTTCTAATGCAAAAGCTAAATTGAAAGCTAAGCGGCCCTGGCAGCCCACAAAACCCCATGATTTCTGCCCTGAGCGGGAGGGGACCCGGTGAAACGCCGCGCCGCTGTTTCAGGTTCACTGCCCAGCTGCCACGCTCAGCCGAGCTTCTCAGGTGGCTGGGCCACTTTGAAGGTTTACTTTCAATTAAAAAAAAAAATAAGAAAGAAGCCAAATCAGCAGCTGTCAGGGATGCAGGGGAGATTTATTCCGGGTGGTCAAAGGGGAGCGTGGTCCCCAGTAAAGGCCTAAAGTTAGGCAGGAAGGAAATTCAAGCTGGAGAGAGAAATTCCTCCTGGCAAGGTCAGCCGATGCTGGGCTAGTCCTTCTGGGTAAGGCTGCCCGATTCCTATTGCTGGACCTGCTCAAAAGGGAGCCGAGGAGTCGGCTTGCAGACACTTGGAGAGTGGGTTTGGGGAGGGAGACTGTCCAGGGGGAGCTTTGAAAGCAGAGCTTATTAATCAGATGAAACCAGGCCTGAGGGATCCAAACATGACTGATTTTCAAATTGCTTCCTGATTCAAAAGCTGGTGTTGCCCACCTCAAAATGTGATGAGGTGAAGAGGCCAGGTCCCTGGGCAGTTCTGCATGCATCGAGCTTCCATTGAAGTCGGCCTGTGTGAAGAAGCAGAGCAGCTGTGCAGAGCGGAGCTGGAGTGGGGGGCTGTGGTTTTATCACCTTTCATTTCCTGTCTCAGTTCTGATATGGCTTTAGACGTTTCACATGCAAGTGTGAAAACTAGCATGTGCTTTGCAGAAGGAATCAGCCAAGCGCCCCGCTAACCCTGATCAATGCCCTGGTAACTTCTAGAACCAATCAGTCAAGCTACATGCATGGGTTTTAAACTATTCTCATCCCCTCTCCCCTGTTTACAGCCATGTTATTTATCCACGCAATCCCGGAAGTAATTGGAATATAGAAGCTCGAGTGGGTTCTATGCCCTCTCCATTTCCTCTGGACGTACTAATTATCCATGTTATACCCGCTTGCTTCTTACCATGGGTAATAAGGGTTATCACTGACGCTGTTAGTTAAGCTAATAGACATTGCCCAGATATCCCAGACCTCATTAGGTATTTAAGATACCTATATGTTTTTTATATTTTTATATATATTTCAAATACCTATATTTATTTTATATTTGTATGCATTTTAAATACCTAATGAGGTATTTAAAATACATAAATGTATGTAAATATATGTATTTAAATAAATACATATATGTATATATAAAATACATATATGTATATATAAAATACATATATGTATTTAAATAAATAAATATATGTATATATAAAATACATATATGTATTAATATATGTATATATAAATACATATATGTATTAATATATGTATATATAAATACATATATGTAATTTAATATACGTATATATAAATACATATATGTTTTTATATGTATATAAATACATATATGTATTTTAATATACGTATATATAAAAACATATATGTACTTAAATATACATGTATTTAAAATACAGATATATGTATTTAAATATACATGTATTTAAAATACAGATATATGTATTTTAAATATACATGTATTTAAAATACAGATATATGTATTTAAATATACATGTATTTAAAATACAGATATATGTATTTAAAATACAGATATATGTATTTAAATATATATGTATTTAAAATATGTATATATACACATATAGACAGAGATTTAATTTTTTAAAAGCAAACAAAATTACAATGAATTAAGCCCATTTTGTCGGATTTCCAGACGTTGACCTTCTTGTATCTCTCCTGTCATTTCTGACAGTTCCCAAAGAGAGGCCCTTGCACACGTCCATAAACCAGTCTGTCAAAGGAAATCAGCCTGAAGCAGCCACCCTCTTTTGAGTCGTGGCTCTGGTTGTCACTTGCCCTTGTCCACCACGTGGACCTTCTGGGTGGGAAGCCTCAGCGCTTCCAGTGCCCATCTGGAGAATGCAGTGGTTATGCAGGCCTCCAGATGACACGTTTCTTCCATGGGAGCTCCACATTCCATCTGGGTTGTCAAAATGCTGGGTTCCTTGCATCATGGACAAAAATGACTTCCTCTCTGGCTCTGTATCACATTGTGACATCTGGTCACTAAGGCAGCTCTGTTATGCCAAGAGAATCACAAAGTGTCTTTTGAAAGGTTTTATCAACTTTTGTGTTTATAAAATAATTCATAACTTCTGGTCATCATTCCTCTATCCAGAGGAGTTCAAATATAAGCCAGGAAGATAATTACATTATACACTGCTTTCTTTTTCTTCCTCTTTCTTCCCAGCTCCTTTTTCCCCACTTTTATTCCCCGATTTTCTTCTCCAAAATATTTTTCTTTCTCTTTCCCAAGTTACAGAACAAAATCTCATAAGATTTTAGTATACAAAACACATATTGATAGAGATGGAATGAACGTATTAACTCTATTAACACTATCTGGGACTGTCCCTAGTCAGTTGCAATTTTTAATAAATCTAAAAAGCCAAGCTGGGCATGGTGGCTCACGCCGGTAATCCCAGCACTTTGGGAGGCCACTGTGGGTGGATCACCTGAGGTCAGGAATTCGAGACCAGCCTGGCCAACATGGTGAAACCCTGTCTTTACTAAAAATACAAAAATTAGCTGGGCGTGGTGGCACGTGCCTGTAATCCCAGCTACTCAGGAGGCGGAGGCAGGAGAATCACTTGAACCTGGGAGGTGGAGGTTGCATTGAGCCAAGGTCGAACCACTGCACTCCAGCCTGGGTGACAGAGTGAGAGTCTGTCTAAAAAAAGAGAAATAGGCTTATTTTGTGAATTATAAATAATGCCTACATCATGAAATAGATCAATCCTGAAAATTTGACCTTAGAACAATTTTCACCAAAACATACATTATTTCCCCCATTAGCATCTATTATATTATCAAAGACAGAGTTTCATAAAAGCAAAAATTTGAGTGTAACAGATGACCCAATTTAAATAATATAAAATATGTGGGGTAAGATAAAGATTTGATGGGGAAGGGGTACCATATGTCTTTATGTGAAGGAATGGCACAAATGTAAAAGGTTAAGTAGATGTTTTGGTACAACTTATAGAAACAGTAAACGTCACCCCAACATGCACATGCTGCCTCAGTGACCAAGAAGGAAGTCACCCCATGGCTAAAGATAACGACTTAAAATGTGTAATGAGAGGCCGGGCGCAGTGGCTCATGCCTGTAATCCCAACGCTTTGGGAGGCCAAGGTGGGCGGATCACTTGAGCTCAGGAGTTGGAGACCAGACTGGGCAACATGGTGAAGCCCCGTCTCTACAAAACACACACACACACACACACACACATACACACAAATTAGTCAGGCGTGGTGGTACATGCCTGTAGCTTCAGTTGCTCGGGGGGCTGAGATGGGAGAATCACTTGAGCACGGGAGGTGGAGGCTACAATGAGCTGAGATTGTGCCACTGCATTCCAGCCTGGGCAACAGAGCGAGGCCCTGTCTCAAAATAAATAAATAAATAAAATGTGAATTAGATTCATGGAAAATGGTGTAATATGAAATTAGAAACTATTTTTGTAATAAAAATCGTATCACTGTTTATACCCTGATCATTTAATTACAAAAGAAGCTCTGTTGCTTCTTTTGGGGTTGGGCATTAACTGGAACTGAGCTACAATACCAACTATAGCCAGTAGATGGTGCTTTCGTAAAGGAAAAAAAGAATAGAAGTTGAAAATTCTGCTTCTGGGGAGATATTTGAAGTTAGAGATCTTGAATTTACTGGATACTTAACATGTGGTTTTTACTAAGAAATAGACAGCTACTTTGAGAGCTCACTGGGAACTGGGGATGTAAGAGTAGATATAAGAGAAATGCCAACAGAAGAATTGTTTAGGAAAGATGGACATAGGTTTGTGAATGGGTAAGATAAGAAGTACCTTTTTTCAGTGGATTTTGAGGAAGTAAGATTTTTTTAAAGTTGTGGAGGTCCTGGAGTGTGGCTATTTTTAAAAAGCCAAAAGCTTTTAGTTGGGGCACAGTGGCTCATGTCTGTAATCCCAGCACTTTGGGAGGCCAAGGTGGGGTGGATCGCCTGAGGTCAGGAGTTCGAGACCAGCCTGGCCAATATGGTGAAACCCCATCTCTACCAAAAATACAAAAATTAGCCGAGCATGGTGGCGGGCTGTAATCCCAGCTACTCAGGAAGTTGAGGCAGGAGAATCGCTTGAACCTGGGAGGTGGAGGTTGCAGTGAGCCAAGATCATGCCACTGCACTCTAGCCTAGGTGACAGAGCAAGACTTCATCAAAAAAAAAAAAAAAAAGCCGGTAGTTTTTAATATTGTTAGGAAAGATTCAGGAATGACACTAATGACATAGATACAGAAAAAACTTTTCTACTTACCTTATAGTCTCAGGGGATTTTAAGGGATTCTTGAAGAAGTGATTCTGGTTTGTAATGTCACAGGGCAGCGAGGTGTGTGTGTGTGTGTGTGTGTGTGTGTGTGTAATGTGGATAGGAGGTGGATGGGGTGGGTTGTGTGGTGTGTGGAGTGGATATTGGGGGTGGATATGTGTGGGTTGGTGTGGGCCTGTGTCTGTGTGGATGAACAGAAGTGTGTCACGCGTGGAGAGGGCAGGTGTGGGGGTGGATGCAGCGAAGTGCGTGTGTGTGCACGTATGCCCTCATGTGAGCACCTGGGGCAGCCTTACCTTCTAGCAGGGGAGAAGGAGAAGTCATTGTTTTATCATTTTTTAGGGCGTTTATGTAGCCTTAACTGATTTTCTGAGTTTAATTTAATACAAAATATTGAGAAGTGAGTGGGGTGCTGTGATCAGACTGCTTTACATTGTAACACAAAACAACCCTACCCGTGTACTCAGTAGCTGCACAGACAGAACCAGAACAGAGAAAAACTATGTGGAGCTACTGACATCTGGTGGACAACACAGAGACTGCTGACATGGATGGGGGAAAGACCTAACTTCGGGATTTTGTTGATTTAGATTTGCTTTTTAGTTTTGGTCCTGTTTGTTTGGGGTTTGTTTGTTTGTTTGTTTGTTTGTTGTTTTTTCTTTTTTGAGACAGAATCTCTCTCTGTGGTGCAGGCGGGAGTGCAGTGGGGTGATCTCAGCTCACTGCAGCCTCGACCTCCTAGGCTCAAATGATCCTCCCACTTCAGCCTCCTGAGTAGCTGGGACTACAGGTGCTCACCACCACGCACGGCTAATTTTTGTTCACCATGTTGCCCAGGCTGGTCTCCAACTCATGACCTCAAGTGATCCACCCACCTTGGCCTCCCAAAGTGCTGGGATTACAGGCGTGAGCCACCACGCCCAGGCGATTTGTTTTGTTTTGATTTGATTTGATTCAGTTTTTTGTTTGGTCCACTTACCAGTCACCTCTTTCTACATGCTCTGTCTTATTAACTTCCCTATGTGAGAATGGTGTGAACAGAGCCCCCTGAGAGTCGAGAGACAGTGTGGGATGAAGCTTCAGCACCTGGACTCAAGTTTCAGATCCCTGAATTCAAGTTCTGGCTTCAGCACCTGCTGATTGTGCTGCCGGAGGCAAGTCAACTACTCTCTTCATCCATTTGTTTCTAAGGAATGAGGCCATTCATCCCTGTGCTGGTGGAGTAAGTACCGTACCTAAATTTCTGCATTACCATTATCCATGCAAATCCTATTTCAGCCTTCTCCAGTCAAAGCCTTGTCTATACAATGTCCAAGACATCAGCTACACAGCCTTGCTGTGGAAGGACTGGGTTGCCTGAAAAGATACAGGGCCAAGCAGGGCTGCTCTGCAGTGGGGCAGCTGTACAGCACTGCCCTCTCTTGCGTCCCTACAAATAGTACTATAAAAGAAGCAATTAATCAAGCTATGTCACTTCACTGCGGCGCACATTCATGCTCACGTTCCTGTTGACTCCGTGCCAGGCGATCTCTAACTCCTTGAAGGCAAGGGCTCTGCCTACCCCGTCCCCTAGTAACCACTCCATGCTATGAACCTGGCTAGGGGCTATCGTCTCAAAGCATCAGGGATTTTCCTCAGTCTCGAGAATGGGCTAGAAGAATATGGCCTTCAGAACTTCAGATCATCCATGTGACGCTAAATGGAAAAAAAATACAAAATAAGAATTGTACTCACACCAACTTGATTCCAGAAATGAGAGGCCAGGAAACGTAGAACCTGCAACCACCCATCTAACTGGGCCATGACCCAGATGGCCTACATTGGAGGCAAGGAAACAGGAAAGACAGAGTAATAATTTTAAAAACATTTGTTTCCAGTTATCTAAGAAGAAACTGGTAAGTGTCTTCCTATGGAGGAAAAAGCATATCTTTTTTTTTTACATCTTTATCTTGCCTATTGGAAAGTTTCAGTAAGGGTGAATATCAGAAAAATGTTCACAGTTACCCTAAACTTATTTTGCAGGTTGTTTTCTTTTATGATCAACTGTGAAATTTAGTAAGAGAGCAGAGAACAGGCGGTTTGGAAATTTGAAATAAGAGATAAAGCCGACTCCTTCTACTAATCCTTTCACAAGAGCTACTAATCTTTAACCAAATGGGCTGGTTCTCTTTAAGGTCCCCTTTCTTCTTTTATTCCCTCACAGAAGTAGAAGCATGTGAAGAAATGACTATGAACATAAGCAAGGAGAAATGCATTTTTTAAAAAGGCACTATTTAATACAAAGTGCATAAGCAGTCCTTAGGTTGCAGTATATGACTCAAGGTGGAAACTTGAAGAGACTGAATGAGGTAATTCAGGGAAAGATGCTCATAGCTAAGAACAGCCTGTTTTTCCCTGCGATGCCCTTCCTCTTCCATTCTCACAGTACAATTTTACTCTCTTGGGTGCCTCTATCCTACTATTGTTATGTTGTGTAGTTTACGATATTTCAAAATCAATTATCTTTACCACTAAATCATTTCTCAATGAATATTGAGAAATAGTCATGACCTTAAAAAAAAGTTGGTTCTCTTGCATGATAATGTTCAGTAGCTTCTGTCTTAGCTATCACACAAGAATAAGCAATGTAAATATCTGCTTCTCTTTTCTACTCAACTTTCGGAGGCTGTTTAATACACACCAGGGTAACTGCTTGACATGTCAGTTAGCTATTGCTGAATAGCAAACACTCCCAGAATGTAGTCTTATCATTGCTCAGGAGTCTCTGGGTCAGCTGGGTGATTCTTCTTGTCTAGGCCATGCTAGGCTTCCTTCAGCTGATCTCATTTTGCCTGGGATTGCCCACGCATCTTCAATCAGCTGCTGAGTTAGCCTGAGTGAGGCTGGCTGGTCTTAGATGGCCTCACCTAAGACACCTTGATTCTGCTCCACGTGGTCTCTCATCCTCCAGGAGTCTAGCCTGGGACATGTTCACCTGGCAGCTGGGAAAACTGCCAAGAGATAGAACAGATGGGCACAGGCTTCTTGAGGCTAGGCTTGGAACTGGCAAGGTGTCATTTTCACTGCCTGTTGACAGCAGTCTGTTGGCCAAAGCAAGTCACTCTTGATGGAAGAAGCTACGAAGTCAGAATGCAAAGGGTGGGGATACAGTCATAGTGCAAAGGCTGTGGAAGGTCTGCACATTGTGGAAGGTCTGCACAATGTGTACAAGGAAGACAATCAGATCTTCACGACAGCTCCAATTTTTGAATAACCCTCAGAGTAGACATTTATTATCTCTACCTCCTCTTTTGTTTTTTCTTTCTCACTCTGTCACACAGGCTGGAGTGCACTGGTGCAATCATGGCTCACTGCAGCCTAAGACCTCC
Organism: Homo sapiens; assembly: GCF_000001405.40. Lineage (NCBI taxonomy): Eukaryota > Metazoa > Chordata > Mammalia > Primates > Hominidae > Homo > Homo sapiens. The sequence goes on along the minus strand of NC_000018.10, from coordinate 24,484,996 downwards.
CAGGCTCAAGCAGTCCTCTCATCTCAGCCTCCCGAGTAGCTGGGATCACAGGCACACACCACCAGGCCCAGCTAATTTGTTTGCAGAGATGGGGTTCTGCTATATTGCCCAGACTGTCTACCTTCTTCTTCTGGTAACCGTACACCCCTTCATTTGAGGAAATTGTTCCTCCCTCTTCTGCTCACCTGGTTTGAAAAGAGCAGATCCTACTTCCCTGCCAGGAAGAGGAACTGACATAGGTGGGCAGTCCTGGCATCCACCCTCCCCTCTAGAGACTGGTTCAGTGACATGCACAAGATACCAGCTGGGCACTCTATTGATTTTTTCCAGCATTTTTTTCTCAGTGTTACTAGGAGAGACCCTTTTTCTATCCGATTAAGAGGAACACAGGCATCCATCGTTCCAGCCCTGTGCAGAAGGCAGTCTGAGAAAATGAAGTTGTTGGAATCTCTGGCTTTGGCCTTCCCTGGGGTCAGCTCCCACCACTGTCTTTATGTACTTTGGTTGTAAAAGCCAATTAGCTCACTTTTGCCCAGGTGGTTCAAATTGTGTTTCTATCATTTGTATCCAAGAGAATCCTAATTGATGAACCCCCGAGAACATAAAATTTCCAACAGAAAAGGCAATGTTTGTACTTTCCGGGGTACTCACTAAAATAATTTCATGAATCACTTTCTTTTTACTTGTAGAGTAGGGGTTGCAATCTGGATGTCAAAAGGGAGAAACCGGCACATGAAAAGGCCTAAATGAGGAAAGTGGAACCCTGGGGGCTGACGGGTGTCTCTGTCCACTACCGGATTCAGCAAATTGTTTTCTTGAGAGAATGTGGGCCCAATATCACTGAATCTTTCAATTTTTTTCAGGCAAAAAAAGAAAAAAAAAAGCTAAAATCCCAATTTTAAGGAGAAATTTTCCCATTTATAATTCATGACAACAAATTCAACTCATCGTATTGACCAGATGCATCCATGAACTCTTGGAACCTCTGTTATGAAATGTAGAGCGAACTCACCGAATTCAGAGCTGAGCCACTGCTCCACACCTTCTTGGAGTTCCTCATTCCTCCCTCACCTCCATCAACAACACAAAAAAATGTTAGACACTTCGTAAGCATTGCTAACAGGAACAGAGAAAACTTCACTGGCACAAGGGTGCTAGGTTTCGCAGCCAAGTCACTCAGCATACCCACCTAATGGAACATGATTTGAATTTGTGCCTTAAGAAAAATACAAATTACTAGCTGGGGGCAGTGGCTCACACCTGTAATCCCAGCACTATGGGAGGCTGAGGCAGGTGGATCGCTTGAGGCCAGGAGTTCAAGACCAGACTGGCCAACATAGGGAAACCCCATCTCTACTAAAAATACAAAAATTACCTGGGCATGGTGGCTCACACCTGTAGCCCTAGCTACTTGGGAGGGTGAGGCAGGAGAATGGTTTGAACCCGAGAGGCAGAGGCTACAGTGAGCTGAGATTGTGCCACTGCACTCCAGCCTGGGCGACAGAGTGAAACTCTGTCTCAAAAAAAAAGAAAAGAAAAGAAAAAGAAAACTACAAATTACAATATGTAATGGAGTGGTAGGCTGCTTATGGTACAGTTGAAACTGTAGGTGTGAATCCCTAAAGGCCAAAGTTCTACATTATTATGCTTAAACACACGATGCATTTGCCAGTTATTTCTCTGTTGTCTATAAGCTTCAAGCCCACCTTTTCAGATACCACACCATAAGGCTGGAGCTAGGAGTCACACCTACTTCTCAGACTCTCTCATCAACTGGTTCTCAGTTAGCTTCCACCAATGGAAAACACGGGCAAGAAATAGGAAGATGGGAGGTACTGAGAAGAAACTCACTTAGCACTTCTAGCGTGAGTTGACATCTCTCCAGCAGCAGTGCACAACAAGCCTCCTACTTCAATGTACCCCATCCGAGGGACCAGCTGCAGCCGCCACGGCTGTCCCTCAACCCCATGTGGCAGTCTGAGCACCAGCTGGCCCCATCCCTTGGGATGCCCAAGCCCTAACCACAAAGCATCACAAATCAATCAGAAATCCAAGCATCAGTCCTCCAGATACTTCTCCAAGATCCTAGATTTTGATAACATCACTTCTCCCCTTATATTCTCTCAATACCTAAGATGTTAGCTCTTTTCTCAAAGTATTAATCTCTGGGTTAACCAATTCCCCGCATTAAATTTCTTCTGCTTGAAATAATTAACATGGTTTCTCTTTTCTTCATTCAACTTTGACTGATAGCAATTATTAGAATAAAAATTTTCTTTGTATTCTAGAAATTCTTTTTCTGAAATCATAATGTGAAAAAAGGTTTCTTCAAATACCAAGATCTTTACTACAGGAAAATTGTTACTGAAAAGCCACAAAAATAGTTCTGTAAAATCCCAATTAGGGCCGGATGTGGTGGCTCATGCTTGTAATCCCAGCACTTTGGGAGGCCGAGGTGGGCAGATCACCTGAGGTCAGGAGTTCAAGACCAGCCTGGCCAACATGGTGAAACCCTGTCTCTACTAAAATACAAAAATTAGCTGGGGCTTGTTGGCAGGCACCTATAATCCCAGCTACCCAGCTACTCAGGAGGCTGAGGCAAGAGAATCACTTGAACCCAGGAGGCAGAGGCTGCAGTGAGCCTAGATTGCACCACTGCACTCCAACCTAGGCAACAGAGTGAGACTCCATCTCAAAAAAAAAAAATTGCTATTAGGATACTTCAGCTACTTATGACGAAAGCTTCATGACCCATAAAAACACTTAACCAGCTGGGCTCGGTGGCTCACGCCTATAATCCCACCACTTTGGGAGGCCGAGGCTGGCAGATCACCTGAGGTCAGAAGTTCAAGATCAGCCTGACCAACATGGCAAAACCCCATCTCTACCAAAAATACAAAAATTAGCTGGGCGTGGTGGTGGGCACCTGTAATCCCAGCTACTCGGCAGGCTGAGGCAGGAGAATCGCTTGAACCTGGGAGGCAGAGTTTGCAGTGAGCCAGGATCACGCTGTTGCACTCCATCCTGGGAAACAGAGCAAGACTCCATCTCAAAAACAAAAAAACAAACAAAAAAAACCATTTGACCTACAGTGTCATTCCTAATCAGCATTTATATCCCAAAGCCCTTCTTCACTCTTCAGGGGTCCATTTCTATACACACCAACTGAAGACAATACTTAGAAGCCAATATTCTTAGGAATGTTCTGCCAATTATGCCAGTGGATTTGGGTCTGGATTTAAGATGAGCAAATAAATATTTAAAAATCAGATTTTATAAGCCTGCCATGTTTGGGGGAGAGAGCAGTAATTACTCATTCTAGAACAGAAGGCTTCATTTTATGAAAGCATTTGCCTGAAGATATCTTTAGAAATTTATATATGCAAATATGTGTTTCCAAAAAATGAGATTACATTATATATTTTTTTCTTTAGAAACATCTACACTGATATGGTTTGGATTTGTGTCCCCGCCCAAATCTTATATCAAATTGTAATCCCCCATGTTGGAGGAGAGGCCTGGTGGTGATTGGATGATGGGGGCAGATTCCCCCTTGCTGGTATCATGATAGTGAGTTCTCAACAGACCTGGTTGTTTAAAAGTGTGTAGCAGCTTCCCCTTCTCTCTCTTCCTCCTGCTCTGGCCACGTAAGACATGCCTGGTTTGTCTCCACCTTCTGCCATGATTGTAAGCTTCCTGAGGCCTCCCAGGCATGCTTCCTGTACAGCCTGCTGACCTGTGAGTCAATTAAACCTCTTTTCTTTATAAATTACCCAGTCTCAGGTAGTTCCTTATAGCAATGCTAGAACAGACTAATACATTCACCAAACTAATAATTATGGCTACTCTTTGTATATATGAATTGTTTTAGTATTGTCTTTTCTTCTTACAATAAATACACATTACTTTTATTATAATGGAAAAAATATTCTAAAGTTCCTCTAGTGCAAATATTAAATACTTGAATTTTAAAGCTAGGATTCACCTTCTGTTTGAATGAAAATGCCTCAAGTATGCCTTTTCAGTAAGCATCTACTGAGCATCTGTGGAGTGCCTGGTGGTGTACTAAGAGAAGCCCAAAGGAAAATTCCTGTTCCTGCAGAATCTAAACCTTATTGGCACGGTTCACGGGTATCTTTACAATAAGTAGCCAATACATGATAGACCTTCAATAAACACTTGTTTAATAAATATATGCATGTACCATCATAGGATTTATTTTTCAAACTCTCGTTTCACAGAGAATTAGCCTCGTTCAGTTCACTTATCACACAAACATCATACTTCATCACTTCTAAGACACATATTGTCCACATCTCAACTCTAAAATCAGAATGAAGCTTATTGTCAATGTGATTTTTTAAAGTATTGTATCAGACAATTTGCAGCATTTTCTCTTTCATAATGGTAAATGATATGGTTTGGCTGTGTCCCCACCCAAATCTCACCTTGAATTGTAACTCCCACAATTCCCATGTGTTGTGGGAGGAACCTGGTGGGAGGTGATTGGATTATGGCAGTGGGTCTTTTCTGTGCTGTTCTGGTGATAGTGAATGAGTCTCACAAGATCTGATCGTTTTAAAAATGGGAGTTTCCCTGCACAAGCTCTCTCTCCTTGCCTGCCACCATCCATGTAAGAAGTGACTTTCTCCTCCTTGCCTTCCACCATGATTGTGAGGCCTCCCCACCCATGTGGAACTGTAAGTCCATTAAACCTCTTTTTCTTCCCAGTCTTGAGTATGTCTTTATCAGCAGCATGAAAACAGACTAATATAGTAAACAAAATAACAATATGTCTTATCTTGACAGCATCTTAGATTGAATGAAATACAATATATATTTTATATATATATATACTTTAGAAAATACATGTGAATACTTGGGCATGCACCCCCTGAGGTTCAACTGGGAAAAGATTTCATAGGACCACTCCATTCCATGAATGTTCAAGCCCCCAGTGATCACATGAAATCCACAACTAGTAATTTATATAAATGTTAAAATCAACAGCAGACAAGTAGCAAGTTTATAAAAATGTGTGCATTTATGAGAGTTTATTTCTCAAATTTTTAAAATTATTATTGAATGTTAAACATGTATTTCTCATATTGGACTTTAATGTAAGGCATAAGTGTATATAAACATTATGTACATTTCTAAGCACTCATGTACTTAAAAGACTTGTATTTTAATGTTTGAAGTTAAAGGTTTAAAGTTTCTAAGAAACATGAAAATCACCAAACGGTGTAAGAACTGCAAAGTTATAAAAGAAACACCAATAAAATCTTACCGGAGAGATGAAATTAACTATGAGAAAAATGAAATTTTGTGACAAAGACAGGCAGAGAACACTTCAAGAAAGGCAACAATTTAAAAAATTTTTAGTGGGGCGTGGTGGCAAGTGCCTGCGGTCCCAGCTACTCTGGAGGCTGACGTAAGAAGATTGCTGGAGCCTAGGCAGTCAGGGCTGCAGTGAGCTGAGAGCATGCCACTGCACTCCTGCGTGGGCAACAGAGCAAGACCCCCATCTCAAAAGAAAATGTTTTAAAAGGACAAAACATAACCAAACTAATAAAATGTGAATCGTCAGCAAAGTATAACCTATGCTAACCACATAATAAAGGAATACCTCTGAGCAGTACAATGTAAAATATTGGGCAAATGCATTAAAGACATTAAGTAAATACAACAATATTTTAAAATAATAATTGACATACAGGCAATAATTATTGTGGTGTCTTGTGCCTATAATCCCAGCACTTTGGGAGGCCAAGGCGGGAGGATTGTTTCAGCCCAGGAGTTTGAGACCAGTCTGGCCAACACGGCAATACCCTGTCTTATCAAAATTAAAAAAAAAAAAATTCCAGCCTGACCAAAATGGCAAAACCTCATCTCTACTAAAAATACCAAAATTAGCCAGGCATGGTGGCATGCACCTGTAATCCCAGCTGCTCAGGTGGCTTAGGCACAAGAATCGCTTGAACCCAGGAGGCAGAGGTTGCAGTGATCCCTGATCATGCTACTGCACTCCAGCCTGGGTGACAGAGCAAGAATCTGTCTCAAAAAACCTTTTTAAAAATTTTTTTTAAAAAATAATTATTGACACCCAGGCTGGGCAACACAGTGAGACTTCATCTCTACAGAAATAATTTTTTAATTATCCAGGTGTGGTGGCGAGTACCTGTAGTCCTACATACTTGGGAGGCCAAGGCAGCAGGATTGCTTGAGCCAAGGAGTTCCAGGCTGCAGTGAGCTATGATTGCATTACTACGCTCCAGCCTGGGAGACAGAGCAAGATGCTGTCTTAAACAAAAAAATTTTTTTTTCTTTTTAGACAGAGTCTTGTTCTGTTGCCAGGCTGGCAAACTCCGCCTCCCGGGTTCAAGCAATTCCCCTGCCTCAGCCTCCCGAGTAGCTGGGACTACAGGCATGCGGCGCCACAACCAGCTACTTGTTTGTATTTTAGTACAGATGGGGTTTCACCATGTTGGCCAGGATGGTCTCGATCTCCTGACCTCATGATCCGCCCACCTTGGCCTCCCAAAGTGCTGGGATTTCAGGCGTGAGCCACCATGCCCGGCCAACAAATAAAAATTTTTAAAAATAATAATTATTGACATCTACTAGTTCAGTGACTGTATACCAGGTCTATCTAGTTTAATCATGCAGTCTCTTCACCATCTCTTAGCCTTCTTCTTCTATATGTTCTCAAAAAAGGAAGCTGATGTGGAAGCTAGAAAAAGAGAACAGGAAGAAATGGGACAAGCCATACTTTCAACCATTGGTGACCACTGCCTATCCCTTGCCTTCTGATCCTGTGACCACCAGGGCCTCCAAAATAACTTCACTGAGGACCTTTGAGAACTGCAGTCATCAGCTCTCTCCTCTCCCACACTACGCTTTCTTCCTTACTGGGATTAGGAATATAAAATCTGGACACACACAGGAGCTCACCTGGGCACATGCCCGTTCCCTGCTCTTGCCAACTCAAACCCTACCTCACCCACCCACTGATCAGAACAGAGTTGGGCAGTCCCAGCCAGGAGGTTCTTTTTCCTATTGCATGCTTTAGGGAATGATTTTCAAACTGGATAAGTTTCTATTACGATAAAATTAAAAAAGAGAAATTCACTTAAGACTGTATTATGCATGGAACATAGAAAGAAAACAAAACTGGATTTTTGTAATCAGCATGAAATTAAGATCTAAAAGACAAGGAAGAGGTGAGGACTAAGAAGAATATAGTACTATTATGACTACAAGTTTACAAAAATATTATCAAGTCATATTATACTGCTATTATTCACTGGAGTAATTTACCATTGACTTCAAAGTGCAGATCTGTTGGTAGAATGAAAAGGGCAAGATAAAGGGCAGACCTGATTCATTTAGGTGAGATTGAGACTAAAATTTACAGAGGTGAGAAAATTGTCTTTAAGAAGATACTGACCGACTGTGTTGTGATGGTAGAGGTTGCTTTTTTATACAAAATATTTTCAAGAAAGCCTTTTGAAAGCGCTTGTGACACAATGGATACAAAAGAGGATTGACAAAGGAATTGAACCACTGAAGCCAAAATGCAATTCTATACCAAACTGATTTAGGACCTGTTGCTGAGGAATAAAATGAAAGGACAATTGTGAACAGAGAATATGGAGCCCAGCAAACAGCAAAAACCCCTAAGAGAATGGCCAGTGACTTGGCTAATCTCCTGGCTCTAAGCAGTTCAACATGTTCCCTTTGGTGAAGAGCTACAGAATCTGATTGGGAGAAGGAACCCATTTTGGAAGCAATTGTATTGCTATTCATCTTGGTTCTTGAGGAAAACATGAGACTACTCTTTCTCCTCTGTCTCTCTGAATGAAAGGATGCAGGAACTTCTGTCGATGCAGAAAGAGATCTCCTTGAAGATAGTCTACCTCTGAATGAGTGTCCACAGATGTTGGAAGAGACAGCAGTCAGTCCAGGATGGCTTTGGCACCTACTGAGATGATCACGCTTCCACAGGCTCCAATAAATATTCATGTTGAAATAAGCGACTAAGATGACTGGGATCACGAATTCCAAGAATGATGTGATGGCAAGGATGTACCATTCCGAAAAAAATCCAGGTTCACATTCACTACCTTCATCCTTCCAAGACTCTGAAACTAGAATCATTGGCCCATTCACTAAGAAGGCCAGCACCCAAACGGCCACCATCAGAGTAACAATCTTCAAGACCCCAGTATGTTGAGTTCTATAAGACACCTAGAAGAAACCAAATTATTTTCAATATAATGAATGTGTATGTTGAATGCATAAAGTATCTCATAGATCCTTAGAAATTTCAGGGATGTGCAAAGGATGGAGACATTAACTAACCTGGGTATCACGATGTGGACCAGGACAGAGGGTTTGACTTCAGTGAAGCCTGGACCAAGAGGCAGACTTTCTTAATGGTTTTCAGGGGAGAAGACTGTTACCTTCAAGGTTAAATCCCTGAATACTATAGAAAATGTCAAGGCCAGTATGTAAAATAAGAAAGCAGTTTTTCCTAATTGACACTAATCTGAATGTCAAACAACTGAAGTTGGACGCACCTTACCACAGTATTGCTCAATCTTCAGGCTGAGCATGACCAGATCTTTTTAATGAAATAGAATAGTTGATGTCAGAATGCATCACATATAGTGAGGGTAGGTGTTCTTTAATGATGTTTCATCAAATAAAGCAATATGTCTTTGGGAATAGAGATACATATATATAAATAAAGAGAAATGCAGCTTCTCTGAATCACAGCACCAAATCCATTTCTCACTGTGGTCACAGTCAAAAGAGTTTGAAAGCCATTGCCTTATCTGATTCCAATATACAGAAAGAATCTACTCTGTGGTTTTTGCTGAGACTTCAAGGTGGAATCAAAAACAGAAAGACTCTCATCACTCCCAAGAAGATTAACCACAGACAAAAAGACTTTTTTTTTAGTTTTTATTTTATTTTATTTGTTTGAGACAGTTTCACGCTTGTCACCCAGGCTGGAGTGCAATGGCGCAATCTCGGCTCACTGCAACCACCGCTTCCCACGTTCAAGCAATTCTCCTGCCTCAGCCTTTTGAATAGCTGGGATTACAGATACCCACCACCACACCTGGCTAATTTTTGTATTTTTAGTAGAGATGGGGTTTCACCATGTTGACCAGGCTGGTCTCAAACTCCTGACCTCAGGTGATCTGCCCACCTCAGCCTCCCAGAGTGCTTGGATTACACATGTGAGCTACCGCACCTGGCCCAAAAAGGATTTTTAAACCTGCTGCAGATAAATACTACATTGCTATTAAGCATTACCAAGTCACTTCTTGGTGTTTGTTTGTTTGTTCATTTGTTTGTTTGTGACAGGGTCTCGTTCTGTTGCCCAGGGCTGCAGTGCAGTGGCACAATCACAGCTCACTGCAGCCTTGACTGCCTAGGCTCAAGTGATCCTCCTGCTTCAGCCTCCCAAGTGGCTAGGACCACAGATGTACACCACCACACCCAGCTAAATTTTTTTGTTATTTGTAGAGATAATGCCTCACTATGTTGTCCATGCTGGTCTCGAACTCCTAGATTCAAGTAATCCTCCTGTCTTAGCCTCTCAAAATGCTGTGATTACAAACTTGAGCCCACCCAGCCCACCCACGTTACTTCTTGATGCAAGTGTTTCCACCTGACAAATACAATGTCAAAGCTGTGACAACCAGCCACTTTGAGAGATATGACTGTGGCTAGTGCCACCATCTTTTTTAAGGATGAAGAATATTCTAACTCCCCTTGGTCACAAGGACAGGCTTCTATAAAGGAAAATGAGATTCTATGAGTGAGGACTGCCCTCCCATCACAGGACCCACAATCCTTATGTCAATCCTGAAATCTTTAATAATGTCTTCTAAATCTAAAGACCCCTAAGACCAATCACTCTATGAGGTATAAGGAACTCTTTAAGGTGACCTGAAACAGACAAACTCTCTGAACCTCATTTAAATCAGTAAGGTTTTGGCCCAGCACGGTGGCTCACACCTGTAATCCCAGCACTTTGGGAGGCCGAGGCAGGCAGATCACAAGGCCAGGAGATCGAGACCAGCCTGGCCAACATGGTGAAACCCCATCTCCACCAAAAATACAAAAATTAGCCTGGCATGGTGGCTCGCACCTGTAGTCCCAGCTCTCGGGAGGCTGAGGCACAACAATCACTTAAACCAGGGAGGCAGAGGTTTCAGTGAACCGAGATGGAGCCACTGCACTCCAGCCTGGTGACAGAGTGAGACTCTCAAAAAAAAAAAAATCAGTAAGGTTCCAAGGTTCCTTTCAGCTCTCATGTTCCATGTTTCTTTAATTTCCTCTCTCACAGGCAAAAAAAAATGGATCTACCCATGAAATTGGTACATGCTTCCTTTTTTCTATTTCTTGTGTCATATTTGTTCTGTGAGATTTTAAGTCTCGTTCTGCAATGGTTTCTCATGGTTTAAAGGGGTGCAGCATTGCCCAGCACTCTTTCTTTGATGGATCCTACAGGCTGAGAAGACCTCTATTGGCTGGAGGTAAAAGAAAGCTAGTTAATAATTTAAAAATAAAAACACTAAGTTTTCTTTTTAACTGTAGGGAGGTGCACTTGGTTGTTTTTTTTTTCTCTCTCAAATTGCTGGTCTTTTTGAGGCTAAGCTAAAATGCATATGGTGCTGACCATGAGCTCTCACATGCGATACACTTTTTTTTTTGCCTTCTGCTTCCTGTGCCACTAATTAATACATCTCTTGCACTAAATCTAATGATTATGAAGATGGTAACAATACCCAGATGGTGCTAAAGCTGCATTTAGTTTTTTAATTGCTCTGCTCAGCCTTGGTAATGATATAACACAATATGTTGGAAAGTGATCTCTCTTCCGTTATGCATAAGGTCAGTTGAGATAATGGACAGCCAAGGAGCTGTGAAGAGGATGCTGATCTGTGCATCTCCGGGGAGCATATTTGAAAGATAGACAGCTCAAGCATTGCTTGAATCGGAACCAGGCTGCGTGGAGTGGTGTCCCTGAAATCCCGCAGCGGCCTAGCTCTTGCCCACTACAGAATATGCCCATTATTCAGGACACTGTCTCTTACCCTACTTTTTTCCCGCCCCAATAAAATATCCACACCTTCTGTCAATCAGGTTTTTTTGGTGAGGCCGAGCGGCCTACTAGAACTTGTTGGTGTTCATAATGAGATGGATTTCAGGACCATTCTAAGTGCCTGTTGTGGGTTAAATTATGTCCCCCAAAAAGTATGGTGAAGTCCTAAACCCCTCAGTACCTGTGAATGTGACCTTATTTGGAAATATGGTGTTTGCAGATGTAATCCAGTTAAGATGAGGTCATACTGAATTAGGGGTCACCCTATCCAATATGTTCTCATAAGAAGAGAAAACAGAGACACAGACACAGACCCAGGGAGACAACACCACGTTACAACAGATGTAAAGACTGGAGGGACGCATCTACAAGCCAAGGAATGCCAGGGGTTGCTGGCAACACCAGCAGCTAAAAGACAGGCACAGAACAAGGTGTCCTGGAGCCTTCTGAGAAAGGATGGCCCTGTCAGCACCTTGATTTCAAATGTCTAGTCTCCAGAACAGTGACAGAATAAATTCCTGTTGTTTTCAGCAACCCAGTTTGTGGTCTTGTTTTGGTAGCTCCAGCAAACAAACACAATGCCCCAGCGTGTCCTCCCAGCCATGAGATTTCCTGTGGTCTTGATTTTACTGTCAAGTTTCTTTCTTCATCTGCAGGTAAAGAAATACCCTTCTTTTACTATCTTAATTCTGTATACTTTTTTGTACTTTTTTTTTTGAGACAGAGTCTTGCTCTGTCGCCCAGGCTGGAGTGCAGTGGTGCGATCTTGGCTCACTGCAGCCTCCGCCTCCTGGGTTCAAGTGATTCTCCTGCCTCAGTCTCCCGAGTAGCTGGGATTACAGGCGCCCGCCACCAAGCCTGGCTGATTTTTGTATTTTTAGTAGAGACTGTGTTTTGCCATGTTGGCCAGGCTGGTCTCGAACTCCTAACCTCAAGTGATCTGCCAGCCTCGGCCTTCCAAAGCCCTGGGATTACAGGCATGAGCCACCGCGCCAAACCCTTTTTGTACATTTTAATTCCCATTCCCTCCAGCTACCATGAAGCCCTGCTGTTCTCCTTCCCCACCCAACTCTGACTTCAGCCACATGGAATCTGCACCTCCAGAAAACCTCTCTGAGGACTGTAATCATGTGCTCCACCTGCACTGGGCTTTTCTTTTCCAAATTATTGTCAGATTTCCATTTCCCAGGCCACCCATCCCTTTCCCCTATCACACTGTCTCCTGTACTTTCAGCTACCGTAAGAGTTCAGCTTCCCCACTGCTACTTCCTATGGGATCCCAGTGTCTTTGAAGGCTTCCTTCTGTTTTCACACGGCTGCATTTGAACTATTCACCAGCAGAGATACAAGGTCTGCCTGAGCACCCCTGCCAGCATCCATACATTCATTTGTGGAACCCTATATATTTTACTCTGTGCTGTGCACTGGGGACCCAGGATCTAGCCAACCCATCCCTCACCAAGTTTACAGCCTGAATTTCCAGGGGAATTACTCGAGGCAAGACCAGGATTTAAAAACAAAAAACAGGCCGGGCATGGTGATTCATGCCTGTAATCTTAGCACTTTGGGAGGCTGAGGGGGGCGGATCACTTGAGGTCAGGAGTTCAAAATCACCCTGGCTAACATGGCAAAACCCCATCTCTACTAAAAATACAAAAATTGGCCAAGCGCGCTGGCACGCGCCTGTAATCCCAGCTACTCAGGAGGCTGAGGCACAAGAATGGCTTGAACCCGGGAGGGGGAGTTTGCAGTGAGCCGAGATCATGTCACTGCAGTCCAGCCTGGGCGACAGAGCCAGACTCTGTCTCAAAGAAATAAAAATAAAAACAAAAAAAGCAAAAAAACAAAAAGAAAGTCTACATTCCCCTGGGCATCATCCCTCATCTCTCTGTAACCTCTAAGCACTTTTCCCAACTGGGTAAGCTGTCCCTTTTCTGCCCACAAACCTGAGAGTAAATTCAAAAGCTGGGACATCTAGAGAAGGAAGCCCTAGGAACATCCAGTGGAGATTAAAAAGAAATGTTAACCCAGAAAGAAAGGAAATTTTGAAAGTACAAATGGGAAAGATTCTGAATTAGAGCATTATTTTTCAAACACTTGACTGTGATCTAAAGTAAAATTATATTGTATATCACAACCAAGCACACAGATGGAAGTATTCATAAATCAGTATTTACTTTTATTATGTACAAGATAATCTGAAGGTTTCTAATTTTTTATTTTGTTCTATTACATTTCTTTTTTTTTTTTTTTTTTTTTTTTTTTGAGATGGAGTCTTGCTGCGACACCCAGGCTGGAGTACAATGGTGCAATCTCAGCTCACTGCAACCTCCGCCTCCCGGGTTCAAGCAATTCTCCTTCCTCAGCCTCCCAAGTAGCTGGGATTACAGGCAAGCGCCACCATGCCTGGCTAATTTTTTTGTATTTTTAGTAGAGGCGGGGTTTCACCATATTGGCCAGGCTGGTCTCCAACTCCTGACCTCAAGAGATCCACCTGCCTTGGCCTCCCAAAGTGCTGGGATTACAAGCGTGAGCCAACATGCTCAGCTGTTCTATTCTGTTTCATTCCATATTTTTTTAATGAAAAAAAAAGGTCACAACCCACTAAATTGATTTCATAAATCAATAATGGGTCAAGGCCAGCAGTTTGAAAAATATGAGACTATAGGCATTTGAATTGTTAATCCAAGCTGATCTGCACTCTCCGCATACAATACAAACTGCAGTGGTCCCTGGCGCCAATGAAGTATGCGATGTTAAGGAGGAGACATAGCTGGCTGTCCTCCCACATCCATTCTCACCTCCTTCCTGACTATGTGGTGGCTCGACTAGAGTTTCCCAGCTTCCTTTGTGGCGAGATGGGACCATGTGACTAAGTTTCACCAATAAAATGTAAGCGGAAATGACTGTGTGATTCTGCACTACTTGGTTAAAAAAAAAAAATCCCTTGCTCTGGACTTCTTCCCTTTCCTAGAATCTAGTATGACAACAACCTGACTTTGGCCATGCAGAGGAGGAGAATGGACTAAAGCAGAGGCCAGAAAACTACTGTCCGTGAAACAAATATGGGCTAGGCGCAGTGGCTCATGCCTGTAATCCCAGCACTTTGGGAGGCAGAGGCAGGTGGATCACATGAGATCAGGAGTACAAAACCAGCCTGGCCAACACGGTGAAAGCCCATCTCTACTAAAAATACAAAAATTAGCCAGGCATGGTGGCATGCGCCTGTAATCCCAGCTACTCGGGAGGCTGAGGCAGGAGGATCACTTGAACCTGGGAGGCAGAGGTTGCAGTGAGCCAAGATCATGGCATTGCACTCCAGCCTGGGTGACACAGTGAGACCCTGTCTCCAAAAAAAAAAAAAAAAAAATAGAGAAACAAATGTGGCCCACCACCTGTTTGGGCAAATAAAGTTTTATTGGAACAGAGCCAAGTACACTTTTGTATATATCATCTATGGCTGTTTGGGGGCTACGATGGCACATTTGAGCAGTTGCAACAGAAACAGTAGGTTCTACAAAGCCAAATTATTTGCTATCTGGCTCTTGATAATGAAAGTTTGCCAGTCCCTGCCCCAAAGGGTGCAGAGCCACCCTGCCAGCAGGGTTCCTGGGTGAGTTCCTGGAGCAGAGAATCCACTCTTTCATGGACTGTTATGTAAGAGAAAAATAAACATTTATCTTGCTTAAGCCTCCACATTTTGGAGACTCTTTGTCACAGCAGTTTATCTATGCCTGATCTAATACACCTTCCAATCCTGTCAACCTCCAGCTGCACAATCGTCCCAGGCTAGATCTGTCACTGTCCTCTCAACACCCCAGGACAGCACTTAGTCCATTGTACTGAACCGATTTGTTCCTGGATCTGCCTCCACGTAGATGACTATGCTCGTCAAAAATACAGACTCACACAAAAAAAGAAACAATAGATACCGGGGCCTACCTGAGGGTGGTGGGTGGGAGGAGGGAGAGGATCAAAAAACTACCGATCAGATACTGTGCTCATTCCCCGGGTGACAAAATAATCCCTACGCCAAAACCCCCGCGACACGCAGCTTACTCATGTAAAAAAACCTGCACACATACCCCCTGAGGCCAAAACAAAAGTTGGAAAGAAAAATGAAATGGAGACTCTGCATATTCACTTCTGTATCCCAGCACTTAGCAAAATGCCTGTCACACAGTAGTCCCCCAAAGAGTTGGGTCCCTGAGAGGGGAGTGAAGGAAGTTTCCTATCTAGGCCTCAAAGGTTTCAGATCACTGCCCCACATTTCTATGGCCCCCTTGTCCTTATTTCAACTTTATTTTCTCTTTTGATCCATTGCTGAGAAATTTAGCTGACTTAAAAATTTCCACTAACTCGTAGATGAGGCTATTCCAAATCTTGAGTAAGTTCCACCTTTCTTGGCCCAGGTTCTAAAAGGGCATGAGGACTTGATCTTTCTGGCTGGTCCCACTGTGTAAACTGTAGCTTCCCTATATACTGTCTTTTCGTTTGGCCATTCAGAATTGATTTTCTCATCACATTTCAAAGTATGGGATTCTTTCTACTGCCCTCCAAGTTCCATTCCGAGGAATATATTCAGGTCATATACTCCATATGTCTGTGGAGTAGAACCCATAAACCTGTCATGAATGTCATGTCTATCCAATCTACTATAGACTTAGTATACCAGTTGGGACAACTTGCCTTGGGTTTTCTTTGATTCCTTCCCATTTCAATGGTGCATAGGTGAGTGAATTATCCAAGTCACACAAACTAACAACCAGCAAGAACTTTATGCCAGACAACAAAAGGATAGGGTTCCTCTAAGGCCTGTCGATTAAATTAACAATTAGGCTTAAAAGAATTTTTGCTTGAGGACCCATCATATACATTTACATAATCTTCTAAGGGGGATAAATTAATGTTTCGACTTACAGCATTTGAGACTGACAGGTATCGATCATAGCTGATGAGGACAATGTTATATACAGATGCTGTACATAACAGATAGTCAGTAGTGAGCCAAAATACACAGATTTCCTTTCCAAAATCCCATTCGAACAGCGTGTGAGGGATGTACAAAGGAATGGAGATCACACCTGCACAGGGAAAACATAAGTGTAAAAACATAGCGCACATCAATGAACACAAATGTGCATGTTTTAATGGCTACACAACACAATGACCTATCTGAATTCACTACAAATGATTTGTCTCTAATTTAGAAATTCACGGTATTTCATCAAGCAGCTCAGGACTGATTTTCTACACACTCCTTAAACGCCATTTTTAGAAGAGGGGTCATGAACATTGCACAGTGGGCCCTCTTTATCCATGAATTCTACATCTGTGGATTCAACCAACCACAGATAGAAAATATTTGGAAAAAAACTGCATCTGTACTGGACATGTATAGACTTTGACTAATGGTAATGACTTCTGGTCATTATTCTCTAAACACTACAGTATAACAACTATTTACATAGCACTCACATTGTCTTTGGTATTATACATAATCTACTGATGATTTAAAGTATACGGGAGGGGCCGGGCGTGGTAACTCACGCCTGTAATCCCAGCACTTTGAGAGACCAAGGTGGGTGGATCACTTCAGGACAGGAGTTCGTAACTAGCCTGGGCAACATGGTGAAACCCCATCTTTATTATTAAAAATAATAATAAATAATAAAGTATATGGGAGGATGTACATAGGTTATATGGAAATACTACAGCATTTTATATCAGGGACTTCAGCTTTCTTGGATTCTGCTATCTAAGGGGATTCCTGGAACAAACCCCCCACAGACACCAAGGGGCGACTGTACTTTCAATGGCTCCTTTCTACTTTCCAAATTAAGTACAGGTCTTGTATTTCTAGCCACAGGCAGCATAAATCATCTTTACTTTTTTCATGCTCTAACCCCAACAGGATGGACCACCCTTCCCCCAAACACATGGCACATTTTCACATCTCTTTTTTCTCTGCCAACATCATTCTTTCTTCCCAAAATGTCCACCTGTCTTCTACTAAAAAGTCAATTCAGGCCGGGCACGGTGGCCCACACCTGTAATCCCAGCCCTCTGGGAGGCCGAGGCAGGTGGATCAACTGAGGTCAGGAGTTCAAGACCAGCCTGCCCAACATGGTGAAACCTCATCTCTACTAAAAATACAAAAATTAGCTGGGCATGGTGGTGCACGCCTGTAATCCCAGTTATTCAGGAGGCTGAGGCAAGAGAACCGCTTGAACCCGGGAGATGGAGGTTGCAGTGAACTGAGATGGGGCCACTGCACTCCATCCTGGGTGACAGAGCAAAACTCTGTCTCAAAAAAATGAAAATAAAAAATAAATAAAAAGTCCATTCACTTCTTTCTCATTTTTCACTGAGGCCAAAAAGTGACCTCCTCCATGCCCTCTTTCTTGGAGCTTCCTCAGTGGAAGTGACCCCTCTGTCCTCTGCACTTTCCTGGTTCTTTGCTCATCTTTCCCTCTCTCATGCATTAATTACATTCTACTTTTATATCATAGTCATCTTTTTAGTCTGTCTCTCCTGAGGATTAGGGTCATATCGCAAATCAATCTTTGTATTTCCTACAACCTCTAGAGTTGGCCAATGACTTGTACATTTCACTTAAATTAGTAACAGCTAATATGTCTTATACAATTACCATATGGCAGACCCTGTGCTGTGTGCATTGCAAATGTCACCTCATTTCATCTTCATAGAAACTTTGTGAGGAAGGGACCATGCTGAGTTAACAGTTAAAGAACCTAAAGCTCAGAAAAGAGATAATTAGACCAAGGTCCACTCAACTAGCAAGTGGAGAAGATTGCATCTGAAACCAGGGATTGTGATTTCAGAACCTCTGACTTTACCTGCAACTCTTCACTGCATGAACAAATAGATAAGCTCTACCACAGTGATTCAGCCCAGCATAGAAACTGCTTAACTGAAAAGTGACGAAACGAGGTTCCTTTTCCTTTAGCTTTTAGGGGTTTGTAATTGCATTGGCATTTCAGACAGGTGTGATTAGTTGCTAAGAATATGATCTATTAAGTGGAAGCTGAGATGAAATCTTACTTTGTTGAGTTACTTCAAATGTATCAGGTACTTCCAGGAATTCCCATTTTTTCATGAGAACCAAATTAGTCTATTATTAAGAATAGTAAAGTTAAAGGAAAAGGAAAGGAAGAAGGAAAGCCTGCATTCTCCAAAACAAGACCACATGAGGCTATAATGGCATGGTTTCAGAACCAGTGGAAGGTAGTGCTAAACCCTAGTATTCTGTCCCTAGGTACAAGACACCACAGAGATGAAGAGTTGCGTGGTCAGTTCTTATATGTAGTTTAAATAACCTGTTTGTTTCATGTTTCAATTATATTTTTAATGATAAGTAAACTTCCTTAGGGTGCCTTTCATCTCCAGAGTATGTGTGTGTATGTCTATGGTATAAAATAGGTCACTGGCTGAGAGTGGTGGCTCATGCCTGTAATTCCAGCACCTTGGGAGGCTGAGGCAGGTAGCTCACTTGAGCTCAGGAGTTGGAGACCAGCCTGGGCAACATGGCAAAACCCTATTTCTACAAAAAAAAAAAAAAAATACAAAAATTAGCTGGACATGGTGGCACAAGCCTGTAGTTCCAGCTAACCAGGAGGTTGAGGCAGGAGGATCATTTGAGCCAGGGAGGTCAAGGCTGGAGTGAGCCATGATCACGCCACTGCACTCCAGCCTGGGCAACAGAGTGAGACCCTGCCTCAAAAATAAATAAATATATATATATAAAATAATATAGGTCACCAGGTCCACTTGAGGTAAATCAAAGTATCCCAAAACAGACATTTATTATATTTCAGCCCACGGTTGTGGCTTCCAATGTTCCCAACATGAGTATTTTCAACACTGGAACTCATTTCTTTCACAGAATGAGAAAGAAGAGAGATACTAGTAATGCATTCTAGACACCACTGACTGAGAGGTTCAGGGCAGGGGGTGGGAGGTAAATGCTCTTTGTCACACGCTTTCTGATTTATGCAAAAGAGGAAAGGTGTGTTCAAAAGCCTAGGAGCTGCTGGAAACAGTGGTTAGCTGAAGACAGGCTCTAGGATATTCCTTTGGTTTTCATAACCCCCACTGTGCTGTCACCCTGAATTCTAGGTAATGCTTCCGTACTTGTGTCATGCTCAGTTCCTCTGTCTTGTTGAGCAACAGAGATGTCTGTGGCTCGTTCCGAACGAGTTGCAAAAAAACGGAATCTGAACTATTTCTCTAATATACCTACTCTGAAGTGTTTCTACACCTTCGATTCTGGAATTGTGTTTTTGGGTCAAATGGAGCTGATAAGTAAAACTAAGAGCCAGTTTCTTGAAAAGATTAAGACAAAAGTAAAAGAAAACAAGCTATATGCCCCCACCTCCGCAGTCCCACTCCTACTTCTCACCCCTCAATCACTCCATCCCAGCCGTTCTGGCCTCCAATGCACCACCCACCCTTCTGCCTCAGATCCTGCGCACCTGCTGTTCCTTGGCGTGAAATGCTCTTCCCCCAAGGGCGCCTTCTGTTTGCTCAAATGTCTTTCCTTTTTGTTTTGTTTGTTTGTTTTTTGACGCAGTCTGGCTCTGTCACCCAAGTCGGAGTGCAGTAGCATGATCTCGACTCACTGCAACCTCCACCTCCTGGGTTCAGGTGATTCTCCTGCCTCAGCCTCTTGAGTAACTGGGATTACAGGCACACGCCACCACGCCCGGCTAATTTTTGTATTTTTAGTAGAGATTGGAATTTCACCATATTGGCCAGGCTGGTCTCGAACTCCTGGCCTCAAGTGATCCACCCACCTTGGCCTCTCAAAGTGCTGGGATTACAGATGTGAGCCACCACGCCCAGGCTTCAAATGTGTCTTTCTCAGTAAATTCTAGCTCCAAGGTTTAAAATTGCAGCCCCACTCCCAGCACACTCCCTTTCCCTCCTCTCTGCATTTTTTTCAGTAGCAATTATCACCCTCTAAAATACTATAAAATTTGTCTTAGTTATTTTTCTTGTTTATTTTCTGTCTCCATGCCCCTGCTCCCAGTAGAAACAGAAGCATCATGAGGGCAGGGATTTTCACGTGTATTTTTACTGCTCTATCCCCAGCACCTCAGAAAGTGCCTCCTTCAAAAGAAATAATTGTTGGATGAACAAATAGATGAGGATGGAGAAGCCCAGTTTGCTTTAAAATTGCCACCCATCTGGCATCGTCCCTTCTTTCTAAGCCAGCTAAGAAGCTATATCTTCCATGAGAAAATGGCAATCAAAAGATGGCAGGAGCTAAAATCCCCAAGTAAATCCTTTGGGCCGCCAGAGGAATGTGTGGATGATGGTGAGTGCACAGAGGGTGTTATGGCCTGAATGTGTATGTGCCCTCCCCAAATTCACATGTTGGAGCTCTAACCCCCCATGTGGCTATATTTGGAACTAAGACCTTCAAGGACAAAATTAAGAGTAAAACAGTTCATAAGAGTGGGGCCCTGATCCAATAGTGTGCTTATAAGAGGAGACAACAGAGAGCTCACTCTCTCTCTCTGTGCGCACTCAGAGAAAGGCCTCTTGAGGACGCAGGTAGACGGCAGCCGTCTGCAAGCCAGAAAGACAGCCCTCATCAGGAACCAATATTGGCCAGAATCTTGATCTGGGATGTCCCCAGCTCCAGAACTGTGAGAAAATAAATGTCAGTTGTTTAAGCCACCCAGTCTAGGGTATTTTGTTATGGCAGCCTGAGCAGATAAATACAGAAGGCCAGAAAAGAGTCTTGAACTCAGGCATACAGGTATCAAGATAAATTCTGCCATCCTGAACACTTGGTTCAGGCTCTGATAGCAGCAACCACCTTTATCCCCTGAAGATCCTGTCCAGCCATCTGTCACATGGTCATGTAGGCCACAAACGCCAACACAACATGGGGATGAGAAGAAAGTACCCACAAATGGAAACACTGGTTACATGGTAACACTTTTATTGATATTGATGTAGATATAGATAGTATGTTTCCCAAAATAGTATACAGATGAGGTGTATTTATATAACGTCCGGTATAGCTAGTACTAGAATTTTTCCTCAATAAATCTTTGCTCTCAACAGTAAATTCAGCCTGAGAAATTAGCAACTTGGGTGCCACAAATTTAGATTCTCCGCAGAGGGCCAGTTCTGAAACCTGGGGGGAAGAGGGCATTCAGCCAGCAAAGCCACAGTTCCAAGCACATGTGAGGGTCTAATCTGCCCTGCCATGGTCACATGGCTCTGGAGCTCTGGATCTCATGACCCCAAATGTTAAGAATCAATGGCTAACAGCTGCAGAAAACCTCTCACGAGTTCTGCCCTGCATGCTCACCACGTCCACGCCTTCTTCCAGGCTGAGACAAAAGGTTCATTTCCCAGCATGGCAAAGGAGAAAGAACAGCACTGCCAGAAAACTTGAATCCTGTTACAAAAAGCTCCCAGGGACTGTGTCATGGTGAGCCCTGCATTAAATATGCAGACCTCTGGATGAAGCTGGCAGGAGGCAGGGGAGATGTGAGGGATGAGGCTGGCAGGCAGATGAAAGGAGACTCTGACCTGCACCCAACTCCTTTAATCAGGAGCAAAAGAAATTATCAGAATTATATCTTCACCCACCTGCTGATGGAGGAGATCACCAGGACTGCTGAATAACTACATCTGCAGGGCCATTTTCCAAAGACAAGCTCAAGCCCTTGAGGGTGGGACTGCCATGATGCTGGTCTTGGGCCAGACATGGAGACATTTTTACCTAGAACCATCTTGATTCAAAAGCTTCAGGCCCCAGGCTCTCTCAGCTGTCTCACCCTTCCCACCCTAAAACTGGGGCAGTCAGGGCCTCACTCCCTTTGGGTTAGTAAAAGCACATCATCTATTTTAAGTGATGACTGTCATCTAAAAGTCACAAGATCCTGTGAAGAAGGAAGAAGCAAAGGATACATATATTTATAGTGGAACTTTCTCTATGTTCACATAAATAAACTCGTGTATTTGTACATGTTTATGGGAGCACAGAGAATGATGTGGAAGGATCTACATCAAGCAGCAAATGTTGGTTACCTGAAGGGACAGAATTGAGGAAACAAATGTGGAGACAGTGCATTTTTTCAATACTTCTTTATGGGTTAGCTGCCTTTATGTGTCATTTCTATGCCATGACTCCTAAATCAATCTCCCCAACTAGAATTTTTCTCCAGAACTTTCAGTGCAACATCAGAACCAGAGCTGTCCTGCCCAAATACTTCCTGTTTCTTTGAAGAGCACCGTACCGTTCTTAGTCTCAGAAGCCCAATCTTTAACTCAGCTTTCTCTTTTCCCGCCCAACCACACCCTTAGCTGCTCTGCCTGTTGGCCTTCCTTTCCAATCATCCTAGCTCAGGTCCTAACTGCATGATTTCTGCCTAGATTGCTGCAGGATCATCTCTGAAAGCATGCCGCCCCACACTCCAGTTTCCCCATTTCCTACGGCTCTTCCGATGTCTCTAAAGTAAAGCTTTGATCTGTTCAACCACTCTCCTGTTTTAAAATCTTTAAATCTCCACAAGGCCTGCTGAATAAATTCCACTCCACACTCACGCTGGTATTTAAAGGCCCTCACTTTATAGATTTCATCTTCATCTCTACGGCTCCCCTGCACCTATCTGCACACCAGCCAGCTCCAAGCTCACTCACCCTTAGGAAGATAAGCACAATGATTTTCTACCAGCATGCCTTTGCTCATTCTTGGAGCAAAGAATCCTTCGCCCTATCTCTGACTATGGAAATTCTATCCATCTTTCAAAGTTCATGTTAAATGCCTCTATTCGCTAACTAAACGTGCTTTATCCCTCCTCCAAGTGACCATAGCACTTCTTAGGTCTTCGTGGGGTCTCGTGTTACTCTATACTGCTATAGTCATTTCTGAACATCTCTTGTCCACTCTTCTACATCAAAAACTTACTGGAAGAGACTAACCTAATCTTCTATAGATCCCTTGATTACCTAATAGTGCTTGCATACCTAGCAGTATTATACAGGCTAGATACTATACTAACATTTGTGACCTAGATTGGGGTTGACCCATATCTGCAGAGAAATTAAAAAAAAAAAAAAAAGAGAACTAACATTTGTTGAGTAACAACTGTATTCCAGGGAATGAACTAAGTATTTTGTGTGTTTATTTCACTTTAACATAAATGTAAGCTTTATGTAGTTATAGACAAAAATAATCTGAATATGCCAGATTAAATTATACTAGAAACTCCTGTAAAATAGTATCATCAGCTGACATTTCTGTACATCTACTTATTATGATAAGCATTGTTTAAAAATAAGAAGCATCAGGCAGTGAAAAATTATAAAGTGCGTGTTTTCAGAGAAAGTTGGTTTGATTTCTATGGTCTCTTAACGATGATATAATGCTATGATATCATATTATATGCAAGGCAGTTTACAGTTGGGTATATTTTACAAAATTCTATGCCATATCATTAAATTAATACTATTAATCATATTATTTAATTGATCTGAATACGCTATTTTCTGATTGCACTGGTTACTAGCATATACATAATTTCTTATTACTCCAACATTGTGATACCAACAAAACCATATTTACTTAAAGAGGAATACTTATAAGCCTAAACATATGAGGAAAATAGCACCAGAAACAAGTAACTCTTACATTAAAATTTTGGAGCTATACTGGACTTATCTTTATTCTATAAAAAGAAAATAAACTGTTTTCAGCTGAAAATTCCCCTACCACACTGATTTACATATGTATAACATTCCCTTACAGTGCCATATAGCCCCCTCCAAAATTTAATACTTAAACTTTTTGTGTTTATTTTTCCCCAGTTGTATACAGTCCCCTGAAATAACAAAAGCTTATTTTAAGGATTTAGAAATAAATTAAAATCGGAAAAGACTGTCTTAAATAAAGACATATAACTTACCCACAAAGAAGTCAGAGATGGCCAAGTTAAGAAAAAAATAACTACTTCGATGTCTAAGGTTTTTGTCCACCACAAAAGCTAAAATGACCAAAGCATTTCCTAGCATTATAGCAAAAGCTACTAAGGACATAAAAAATGCTAAAGTAACACGAGTGCTTAGTGATAAATTGATTGTGCTATTAGTATCTGGCATCACATCAAATGATGAAGAAGGTCAAATTAGCAAATTAATCCAGCCAGACAATTCTGACAAGTATGTTTTCTAATCACATACCTAAAATGTGTAGTCTTCCACTCAAAACAACACTGTTTTAATCTAATGCTGATCTCATAGTACTTCCTGATTCTTGATAAAGTAAGCTTGTGGTAACAGTTTCCCTTTAACTGACACTGAGAAAGTATTTCCAAAAAACAGTGAAATGTTTTACCTTAAACATTTTACTGTGATGCATCCATCTCCATTATTAGAATAAAATCATGTAATATCTATAAAATATAATCATTATACAGGAAATAAATTGGGCTCACACAAGGTTCATTGTTGTTGTTGTTGTTGTTGTTGTTGTTGTTGTTGTTGTTGTTTGGAGATGGAGTCTTACTCTGTTGCCCAGGCTGGAGGCCACTGATGTGAGCTCGGCTCATTGCAACCTCTGTCTCCCAGGTTCAGGCGATTCTCCTGCCTCAGCCTTCCAAGTAGCTGGGATTCCAGGCACTCATCACCATGCCCAGCTAATTTTTGTTATTTCTTGTAGAGATGGGGTTTCACCATGTTGACCAGGTTGGTCTTGAGCTCATGACCTAAAGTGATCCACCCACCTCGGCCTCCCAAAATGCTGGGATTATAGGCATGAGCCACCACACCAGGCCATTTTTAAAACTCGTGTAGATTCAGTTCAATATTCTCATCTGGCCATGATGGAGTAACAGGGGCTGAATTTCACAATCCCATCTGAAACAGCCAAAAAACTAGACAATGGTTTTCAAGGCACTTGTCATTAACAAGGAAGGACGGTGATCCCTGAGAGAACGGATGAGGTCTGCAGTTGCCCCACCTTACTATCTTGAGAGTTCCCAGGGCATGGGCAGAGAGGGGAAA
This sequence comes from Homo sapiens, assembly GCF_000001405.40. Classification (NCBI taxonomy): domain Eukaryota; kingdom Metazoa; phylum Chordata; class Mammalia; order Primates; family Hominidae; genus Homo; species Homo sapiens. Next base: position 24,459,825 of record NC_000018.10, on the reverse strand, counting down.
TCCAGGCAGAGCCCAGGAGACTCCCTGGGATGAGGAAATGGAGTTGAGAGTACAGGAGTACCAGAGAGGATTCTGAACTGCAGAGCCACACTGAGCAGAACTCCAGAGATCTGCAGAGGACCCCCTTCAAGTATTCACCAGAGTACTGATTAGCACTTGTGGAGGAACTGTTTTTAGGCAAGAAAAAGAACCACTCGAAAATATTAGAGGCAATAGTACCCAATGCTCACAGAGGGCTGGTTATAGTGCCTGCTCCCATTAGCCAAATGGAAAAAGTTCCTAATTCATGGGACGTTGGGCAGTACATTCAGAAGGGTCTTGCCTCAGTAGTCAGGAATAATTAGCCCTATACTAAATATTTCTTGGGTTCTTCCTAGCAAATCTTAAAAGCAAAACCTGAAAGGATCAAACTGTTTCCAAGCAGCTTAATTGCAACCCTGAACACAGCTCAAGAATATTTATATAACATAAAAATATCCAGTACCCAACAATGTAAAACTACAATGTCTTAAATCCAATTAAAAATTATCTGACATGCCAAGAAGCAGGCAAATGTGATCTATAATAAGGGGAAAAACATCAATCAATTGAAGTCAACTCAGAAATCACACAGATATTAGAATTAACAGACAAGAACATTAAAATAGTCAGATGGAATATGGAAAAACGAAAATGGAATATAGCTGTATTCCATATTTTCAAAAAGATATGTAAAGATATAGAAGATTTTTTAATCAAACATCTAGAAATAAAAACTAGAAGGTCTGGACTAAACATACATTGGAAAGGATTAATGGCAGAGATTGCAGAAGATAAGATTAGTGAACTTAAACATGTAATGATATAATCCACCTACAATGAAACACAGAGATAAAAGAGATTTTTTTTAATTAACAGTGTATCACTAAGGTAGAAGACAACTTCAAGTGACTTAATATATGTCTAATAGGAGTCCCAGGAGGAAAGGAGAAAGGAAAGGACAGAAAAAAATTTGAAGAATCAATGGTTAAAACGTTTCAAAATGTGATGAGAAATATAAACCAAGAAGCTCAATGAACCCCAAACACAAGAAACAAAGAAAACTACACAAGGTATATCAAATAAAATTGCTCAAAACCAGTGTGAAAAAGAAAAGCTTAAGAACAGCAGGGGTTGAGGGGGGACACATAACATACAAAATAAGAAAGGTATGAGTGTCAGCATGTTTCTCATCAGAAGCAACAGAAGCAGAAAAACAGTGGCTGCAATATCTCTCAAATGTTGAAAGGAAAAAAAACTCAACCTAGAATTCTATATTTAGTAAAAAAAAAGAAAGTTTCATAAACAAAGACAAAATAAAGGGTTTTTAGATATATGAGAGCTGAAATAATTCACCACCAGCAAACTTGCTCTACAAGAAATGGTAAAGGAAGTTCTTCAAGCAGAAGGAAAATGATGCCAAATGCAAAAATGACTCTACACAAAGAAAGGAAGAGTAACAGAAATGGAGATTTTCTTGCTGGCCCTCCTAATAGAACATAAGTTGCTAAAGGGCAGAGACTGCACTTTGTTTCATTTTGTTTTTGTTACTTTTTTGTTTAAGTATATGTATAAGTCACAAATTGATAATTGATTAATTTTTACAAGCTGAACATAACCATGTAACCACCACCCACACCCTTTTCCAGTTACTCAGCCCTCATGGGTAAGCATTATCTGGACATTTAAAAACATAAGTTGATTTTGCATATTTTTATTTTATAAATGCAATTGTACATTCAAAAATTATATAAAATACTTCTTCATATATATTCATTCTATGTGATCCACATTTGGTTGATTAAATTATTTAAAAATCTTTGCATTCTGCTCTATCATAATTTATTAATGCCATTTGCTTATAAATTTATTAAAATGAAGATAAAAAGCAATTAATTGTTGTATTAGTCCATTTTCACACAGCTATAAAGACATACCTAAGACTGGATAATTTATAAAGAAAAGAGGTTTAATTGACTCCCAGTTTCACATGGCAGGGGAGGCCTCAGGAAAACACAGTCATGGTGGAAGGGGAAGCAGGCATGTCTTACACGGCAGCAGGCAAGAGAGAGCATGTGAGCACACAGCATGGGGGAACTGCCCCCATCATCCAATTACTTCCCTCCCTCGACACATGAGGACTACAATTCAAGATGAGATTTGGGTGGGGACATAGCCAAACCATATTAATTACATTTTCCCTTTCTTAATAATTTCACTGGGGGGAAAAAAACTATTATTTCTCATGTGCCAATCATAACCTGAGCCAGAAACTCCTTTACTGTATAATTCCAACTAATATGTATTCATTAGATATCCACTTCAAAAGCAAGACCAGAACCAGATTTTTTTAAAGGCAAATACCTGAGTTCAGAACCTACATCTTTTTCAGTTTAAAATTCACTGCCAAAAAGATGCAGTTTCCCACAGGAGAAAGACTCTGAGGAAGCAAGGGGCAAACTGAGATTCTCCCAACCCATCCCATTCCCCTACGTCAGACTTCAGAGAAACATAGAATTTTGGAAGACTTCTACCTTTTTTGTTTGTTTGTTTTTGAGACACAGTCTTGTTCTGTCACCCAGGCTGAGGTGCAGTGGCACAATCTCGGCTCACTGCAACCTCTGCCTCCCAGGTTCAAGCAATTCTCCTGCCTCAGCCTCCTGAGTAGCTGGGATTACAAGTGTGTGTCACCACGCCTGGCTAATTTTTGTATTTTTTGGTAGAGACAGGGTTTCACCATGTTGGCCAGGCTGGTCTCAAACTCCTGGCCTCAATTGATCTGCCCACCTCAGCCTCCCAAAGTGTTGTGCTGGAATTACAGGTGTGAGCCACCATGTCCAGCCAATTTCTACCTTTTTAACTGATCTAAACTGAAGATTAGTTAGATCGTAGTAAAGTCAACTGATGGCACTCAGTTTACTGCTCACATAGGCAATGACATGCAAAATAACATTGTATTCAATGGACTTATATTTATCACTTTCAAAGTCGTGGGTTAAAAGGAAATTGAAATGAATAACTAAAGTACCTGTTTAAGAAGGTGGGCGTAACAAAGAATCAAATGACTAGTCTACAAGCCTGCAGCTTTGTGTTTTGCAACTGTAGGTAAGGGGAACTAAAAGTGAAATTCCATTAGGTAAATGATTATATCTGTTGGTGGAATTAGGGAGAAAGAGATAAAGAACGAAACAAGTATTTGCATACAATCTTCCCTACTTCACCTCTATTTTTCTTTTCAATAATGCATCTAGTAATCCTTGCAACCAGGGCTACCATTAAGAATCCCAAAATCCACGTCGGGCATGGTGGCTCACGCCTGTAATCCCAGTACTTTGTGAGGCCAAGGCAGGCAGATTGCAAGGTCAGGAGATTGAGACCATCCTGGCTAACACGGTGAAACCCTGTCTCTACTAAAAATACAAAATTAGCCAGGCGTGGTGACATGCACCTGTAATCCCAGCTACTTGGGAGGCTGAGGCAGGAGAATCGTTTGAACCCGGGAGGCGGAGGTTGCAGTAAGCTGAGATCACACTACTGCACTCCAGCCTGAGTGACAGAGTGAGACTCCATCTCAAAAAAAAAAAAAGAATCCCAAAATCATATAATATTCCAAAACAAGGTAATATATATATTAATTTGAACCTAAATGCAAAAATTCCAAAGAGATTGATGGTATGGATTATCTGTTCCCTGCACTTTGCCAAGCTGGGGCTGACTATGCAAATGTTTTGTTGCTTCATGGAAGGATAGTACCCTTTCTTCATATTTATCCAGTGTGATCCCCTATTATTGGGAATGACCCCAAAGGGAAACCCTGGAATATCTCATCTTGCTACCAAAAATATGGGCTAGTCCAGTGACAACCAGTGGGACCTACTTTAGAGGGAAAGGTTTGGATTTAAATTAATGATAAAAGGAAGAAAGGTGAAATTGTTGCTGAGGGAAGGGTAGTTACAAAAGGGAAAATCTAATATAATTTTGGTGCCTTGAGAGAATCTCAGAGCAAAAGAATAATATTCTCTTTTAACTTTCACTCAGTGCCCCTTGCAGTAAAGGATTCAGTTTTCCAAAACCTCTTTCTGAAGAATCAAGAAGTAAGCAGTACAGAAGCCAACTCAATGAATGAAACATACACTTCTGAGAGTGGTCTTCATCCTCAAAATGGATGAGCAGATAGCAACTCTGACTACAACTATCTGGAACAATACAGATATGACTATGTCCTTTGGTTTCCATTTCATAGGATAGAGCTATGGTTGAAAACCTGAATTGGGAAGCAAACTACGGAATACATATCCAGTTGAATCTGGAAAACACTGATTACCATTAGTCTAAATGAACATTGTGTAACCATTGATTGTGATAATGAAAGTTTAAAGAAGGTACTGGGATATGATGGAAGACGTTCATCTTCAGCATGTCCCATCTGTCAAAACATTATGTACAAAAATAGCTCTTGTTCCTGTTATTGGGGATGGAAAGCCATAAAGAGATGGAGGAACAATTGAGATACTTGGATCACTGAGAAAGGAAAATGATGAAATCTAATTTGCAGGCTCAAGTACTGAGAATGAAAAATCAGGAATTCTATGTGGATGGGTATGGGAAGCATTATGGTATACCCAAATCAAAGTCCATTTAGAGGCCAGGCACAGTGGCTCTCGCCTGTAATCCCAGCACTTTGGGAGGCCGAGGAGGGTGGATCACTTTAGGTCAGGGGTTCAAGGCCAGCCTGGCCAACATAGTGAAAGCCAATCTCTACCAAAAATACAAAAATTAGCCAGGCCTGGTGGCACGTGCCTGTAGTCTCAACTACTCATGTGGCTGAGACATGAGAATCACTTGAAGCCAGGAGGTGGAGGTTGCAGTGAGCCAAGATCATTTGAGCTCAGGAGACAGAGACCAGCCTGGGCAACATGGTGAAACCCCATCCCTACAAAACATATAAAAATTAGCCTGGTGTGGTAGCATGCACCTGTAGTCTCAGCTACTCGGGATGTTGAGGTGGGAGGATCGCTTGAGCCAGGGAAGTCAAGACTGCAGTGAGCCATGATCAGGCCACTGCACTCCAGCCTGGGCAACAGAGCAAGACCCTGTCTCAAAAAAAAAAGTTCAATTTACAAAAACTAGTCACTTCCATAACTGGACATCCATAAGCAAAAAACAAAACAAAAAAAACTTTGACTTTAATCTCACACCTTATGTAAAAACTAAAAATGGAAAATAGATCTACAAGAAAAACACAAAATGATGTAACTTTAAAAACAGAAGAAAATCTAGACCTGGGGTTAGGCAAAGTCCTTAGATGTTGCATCAAAAAGAATGATCCAAAAAAGAGGAAAAAAAAAGATAATTAGATCTCATCAAAATTAACAACTTTACTCTGCAAAATACACTGCTAAGAGAATGAAAAGACAAGCCACAGACTGGGAGAAAATATTTGGAAATCATTTATCTGATAAAAGAATCGTAATCAAACTATTTCCTGGTTTTGCAATTTTACTATAGTTATACTACTGTCAGTGGAGGCTCAGTGATGGGTACACAGGACCTACTATTTTTGTAACTTCTTGTGAGGCTACAATTATTTCAAGGCAAGAAGGTTGTTTTTTTTTTTTTTGAGATGGAGTTTCACTCTTGTCGCCAGGCTGGAGTGCAAAGGCACGATGTGGGCTCACTGCAATCTCTGCCTCCCGGGTTCAAGTGATATTCCTGCCTCAGCCCCCCTGAGTAGCTGGGATTACAGGTGCCCGCCACCACACCCAGCTAATTTTTTTTGTATTTTTAGTAGAGACAGGTTTGACCATGTTGGTCAGGCTGGTCTCAACCTCCTGACCTCAAGTGATCCGCCTGCCTCAGCCACCCAAAATGCTGGGATTACAGACGTGAGACACTGTGCCTGGCCAAAAAGTTTACTTTTTTAAAAAGGATCTTGGGAGTTATCAAGCAAACTGCCTATTTTTTCCCATCTTTGGCTGGTATTAAATATTCCAACACAATATTAATGGAGCAATCACTGATAACACTTTCCTGGATGACAATCTGACTCAACTAATCAAAAGCTATTAGAATGTACAAACCTTGACCAAGAAATTCGATATCTAGGAGCTTTTCCTAAAGAAATAATCAAAGATACATACAAAAATCTGCAAATGATGTAGGTTTTCACAGTTGTTTATAACAGTGAAAAGTTGAAAAAAACTTAAAAATTGGAAATAAGTGGAGGACTAGTTAGTATAATACTGAGAAGACAGAATACAATGCAGTCATAAGACATTTAAGCCATAGAAGAATATTTATTGACATGGAAAATGTTAACAATATACTTCTATATGAAATATGTAGGCTACAAAACAGTATATACAGTTTAATACCATTTTTATGGAAAGAAAAATAACCATATATACAAAATCATGCATAAGAAAAAAATAATATAAGGATGTACATACCAAATATTAATAATAATGGCTATCTCTGGATAGTGGAATCAGAGGGATTATGTAATTTTCCCGATAAATTTTCCTGTCCTCCAAACAGCATCCGCTTCATACTATTATTTCTTGGTTGTAATTAGTTTGATATAATTCTCTTCAGAAAGGCTCTGTTTCACTATATATACCTCAAAGCATACTTTTGATGCAGCTTCTGCAATTCCCATCTAAAAAGTAGATAACACTTGCTCTTATATTCTGGCATATGAAGACTATTTGTAATTAACACACTATAAAATATGTCAAAGCAGGCCAGGCATGGTGGCTCACACCTGTAATTCCAAAACCTTGGCAGGAAGATCGATTGAGGCCAGGAGCTCAAGACGAGCCTGGGCAACATAGAAAGACCCTATCTTTACAAAAAAAACTTTAAAAATTAGCCAGGTGTAATAGCACATGCCTGTCTGTAATCCCAGCTACTTGGCAGGCTGGAAGGTCAAGGCTGCAGTGAGCCATGATCATGCCACTGCACTCCAGCCTAGGTGACAGAGCAAGAACTCATCTCTAAAAAAAAATTTTTAAATAAAGCAAAATATGCCACAGCATAGATCTGATTGTAGAAAATTATTATATGGAGAACTGAAAAATCTCCTAATCAAGACAAAAATTTTAAATAGAGGAAAAAAATACTATCTATCATTAGTTCAAGTTTCCATTAAGAGTAGAGTGTGAAGTAGCTCCAAGTTCAGAGCTGGAGAATTTTGCATCTCTCCCTCTTACCAGCCAATTGACTTTAGGTAAAGAATACTAGAGTTTTTTAGTTAGTAAAATATAGTTAATAATTCTGTATAAAGGAGCAAAAGTAAGTTTCTCATTGTTTCCTATCTCCCTTCATAGGTTTGACATGTTGAAATTGTGAAATTATTTAATGTTAATAGTTTTTAACTTCTTTAATTATGTAAAATAATTAATTTTTAAATTATTTTAACAGTTAAAACACAAAGCATACTTTTCATGGAACCAAGTGTTCCAAACACAAAAAGGTCATTCTCTGATGGCTCCTGATAACATACAACATAAAATATAGTTATAACAAATATAATTTAGAATTTATATTTCAGAATCCATCCTGGTGTAAAGCTATTTACTATAACCTTACTAAAAATACCAACGGTAAGGATGTTGGATCTTTTAAAGGTAAAACATCAGAGAAAAGAGAAAAAGACCTGTTTGTCCAATTCTCTGTGCTTTCCATGCTCTAGCACCATCCCAAAGTTGCCTCCTAACTTCTGTTCCCTCCCTGGGAAGGGAAGTCCAGGCAAATCTGTGATCAGTTAATAACTTTTAACAATTGTTTGCCATTACATCTGAAAGTGAACAGTTAATCACTTATTGTTATATCTCAAAGGTAAATTTCACTATCTAAATGCCTAGAGGTAACTGGAAGATGAAAGATACATAAAGGTTTGATGAATAGAGGGGAAAAAATGGGGGGGAGGGTTGTTTCTGTTTTTCCAATGAAAAGGTTTGCTCCTTCTCTCTGCAAAATCTTGGAACTGAGAAAGCCGTCTGGAGTGCAGATGGAAAGCATGCATCAAATTGATGTAACTACACAACATACTCCTGCCCTACACCAGGTTCATTCTGCCACCTCTATCCCACTCTACGAATGTCCCATTTGCCACAGCCTAACTTCTATCATAGTTCTAATTCCTCAGTGAAGATCACAAGAAAGGTACTTCCAGGTTGTTAAAAGAAACGAGAATGTTACACCAACACATTTCTGGGGTGGAAGGAGACTACTGACACTCCATATTTATTGCTTACATTACAAGAATTAAACAAAAAAAGCAGACTAGAAAATCACTTTCTGTAATTTCACAATCACCAATTTGCAACAGAAACTGAAGCATAATATTTATGCTAACAAATATGTTGGATGAATTATCACCTCAGCACATAACTGCAGATGGATACTCCTGGATTTTCACTTAATCCATTACTCAATGATGAACACTATAAAATGAAAGGTGACATACTTATGAACTAAAATCACAAGAAGAAACTCTCCAAGATCAATCTTAAATGAGCTCCTATTCCAATAAGCCATAAAGAGCAGTAAAAGGCAATATTCATTTAACAGTACAAGAATCTCGATGACAAGAAATCAGGTATTTATATTCCTCTAGAGACATTTCTTCTCCACCTAACAAAGGCACTTGACATGTACTGAAATGGACAGTTAATTCAGGTACTGCCCTGGGCAACTGTTACCTTGCTAAAATTAGATGAAGTGGTGATTAAGTTCAAATTAGTTCTCCCAAATAAGCCTGAAACACACATGAATAGATCATAAGTTCTCTATTTTTGGCAGATGATATAACCAAGAAGAAAAGCTAATGTTGGTATCCATGCTGAACTGGCTGACTTAAGCAGTCAAGGATACTCTCTCTGCACAATATATTCCTTGATGACTATGGAATGTATATATAATTATAGGCAAATTAACCTTTCCTATAGTTTCAGGTATTAATGTTCATTCCTCTTCTTGTCTTTTCTTACTTTTTTGTTCTTTCCCAAAGCCTTAGATGACTCCTCCTGAAAAAGACACAAATCAGTGCAGCATCTCTCCATTTACATAAAGATGAAATCTTCAATCTAATCACTTAGAATATATTTACACATATATATTCCACATATATTCATACATATATGTATGTATGTATATATGTTACAGTGAGGGTATAATCACTTTTATATGTGTCATTTCTGTGTTTTAAAGGGTACTTTCACTTATAGGCTAATATTTTTTAAACAATCAAGAATAATCAAGGAAACCTTATTTATCTAGTGGATTTATGTTTGAATAATTTCAAAATTATTTCATCTATTGCCCCACTTTCCCAAGGCAGTAAAATTTAAATAAGGCAGATATGAACATACCTAAAATATAAAACAAAATAAACTCAAAGTATAAAGGAAGAAAGCATCTAAAGGTATGCCAGTGAAGGGGGAGATGTTTTGACACTAACAGAGAATTTCAGAATTTTCTAGATGTTTAAAGAACATCTAGTCTGATGTGATATCAGCTACAACCACTCTGGGGCTCAATTTTAGGGATGGAACCTAGTTGGTCTTAAAAGGTTTTTCTAATTATAAAATTCTATGAACCTATGAAATCAAGGTGCGAAGGGATGAAGTGGTCTGTCCTATGAAATCAAGGTGCGAAGGGATTAAGTGATCGGTCCAAAGTCACGTGACTGGCCAGACACACTGTTTAGAGTCTAGGTCTCCAGGTTCTGAGTCCAAAGGTTTTACCAATTCACCACTCACATTCTGATTCATTCTTAATTTTCTGTCTTTTTAAAAAATTCCCAGGCAGTGATGAGAAATTCTCTAGATGTAGTACGAAGAGCCACTTACAGGTGAATTTGTGTAGTTCTTTTCCACTAGTATGTTTCTGGCACAGTTGTTGATATGTTTAAAGCGATCTGGTCCTAGCAGAATCCCTCCATACCAGCGTGATACTACCACCATGACATTCTTCACATTCAAAATCTGTTATTTTTTGGAAGCATAATTAGATACATAGACAGACATGTATAAATATGAGTTTTAAAAAAGGAGAATGAAATAACCCATGTATAAAATTGCACATAAAATTTCCCAGTGACTTTAATGGTAGAGCCATATGAGTGAGTAGGCACTGAGTGAGATTACTAACAATTCAGGGAGTGAAATGGAAGAACAGAAGGGAATCTGGAAAACCATCACTGTGTTTCACAATGTCCTCAAACTCCCAGATTTGGGGCAACTGGACAGAGTGAAGGGGAGACCATGCAAGTAGGATTCTAGCACCTGGTGACTTCAACCAGAACAGCTAAGTTTAGGCAGCATTTTACCACTAGGCCAAATAACAACAAAAAAAACCCTGCTTCTGAACAAAGCTACAGGGGCTGCACGAGGCATCAATATCCCTGGTGCTATTAGTAAGGTTTCATCAGTTGAGATCTAGATCAGTCTCACTCTGTCACCCAGGCTACAGTGCAGTGGCACAATCTTGGCTCACTGCAACCTCTGCCTCCTGGGCTCAAGTGATCCTCCCACCCCAGCCTCCCAAGTAGCTGGGACCTACAGGTGCATGCACCACCATGCCCAGCTAATTTTTGTGTTTTTTTAGTAGAGACAGGGTTTCACCATGTTGCCCAGGCTGGTTTCGAACTCCTGGGCTCAAGTGATCTCCCCGCCTCAGCTTCCCAAAGTGCTAGGGTTACAGGTGTGAGCCACCATACCTGGCCGTCTTCATCAGTTTGACATTTGTCAAATGCTGCCCTTAATGTGAAGCCCACCAGTTTACAGGCCTGACCCACAAACACAGTTACTATTCAAGGGAAAGGCCTTGTTAGAAAATAAACCTTCACATACAAGAGCAGAAAAAACCAGGTAACTACCTTAGGAAAAAAATAATCCAATCCTAAAATTAATGAACAATAAATGATCACCAGACAGATGAAGAAAATCCAGCAGCATGAAAGAGAAAGGACAAGATAAACAAACAAAAATGGACCAGGAAAAATTTTTTTAGGGGTGAGAACATCTTAAAAAAGAAACTCTAATTAATATAATCAGAGAAATTTTAGAAGATATTGGAGCCATAAAACAGAACAGGATATTCTTAAAAAGGAAAAACAGAAAACAAGAAAGAACTCTTAAAAATTAAATATATGGCTGCTAAACAAAATTTCAAATTCAACAGAAATTTTGGACAACAGTCAAGAAAATGTCTCAGAATATAAAGACAATGAGATGGACAACTCAATTTAAAAAAAAAAAATTCTGGATCTATCCAGAAGTTCCAATATCCAACTAACCGGAGTTCCATAAAGAAAGAATAGAAAAAATAAAGAGAAGGAAATTGTCAAAAAAACAAAGTGTTTTCCCAAAGTTGAAGACAATCTTCTATTGTCTATGTCTTGAAAGCATAGCACTTCTTATTAATTATTTGCTTTCTGTCCCACATCCACTGGTTAAAATTTTCATTCAATCAATATTTTAACATCAACTACTAATTAAATCAAATATATCTTATGTTACATAGTTCAACTGACTTAGCTATTACTAAATGGAGCTCTGTTTTGTTGAGAAATTTTATGGCTTGTACAGAACAGGATTGATAGTTTAACTTACACCTACCTCCATGAGATGAAGAAGACGCCCACCAGCTGCTGTTTCCCCATCATCCTCACAATCCTGTAAGAAGGTCTGTTTATCCTCACAATATATTCTGCAAATACATGTAAGAGTATTACACTTTGAAACTAAAATATTATAATAAAACTTATTCCTCAACATTTGTGATCATTTTGATTACTTCCAAAATCAGCATATTCATTTTTTTAAATCCTTCCTGAAATATGTATTATATTAGATATATTTTCACTGACGGTTTACTATCCAGTATGTTTGCCTTTTTATATACTTGGGAAAGCTAGGAATCAAAGGCATCTCCTTTATATCAGAAATGTTGCTATTATGGGAAGGTGAATTTATCCATGTGACATTCCCCTTACTTCATTTAACCTTGAAGTAACAAGAGCAATCATTGAAAAACATTTATTGAGAATATACTGTATAAAAGCAACAGGTACTAAGACATATTATAAAGGAAGTAAGTGGCATGCATCTGTCTTCAAAGAGCCTTAAGATGTAGTGAAACAAAAAGCATATAAAAAAAAGATGAAGGCAACAAAACCAACATAAGGTAATATTTTATACTTTCCTCTCATCTTATTCCAGCCATCAAGCATTTCTCTATTTTCTTCTAAGAATGTAAAGATTTAAATTTTCCTCTGGATGGTTACTAATATTAGAGACAAATCGTGGTATTTTTATCCATTTAAACTAGAAAGCTATATCTGAAATAATAATGTAGGCCTACAATACAGTAAAATAAGCTTGGCAAATAAGTGCTAGAGAGAGAAAAAAAAAATAGTGTCAGTTACAGTATGCCATCTGGTGGATTTCTTAGGGCCCTACCAATGGTATCATGTGGAACTGGGTAAATGTAGTAAAGACATCCTCCCAGCTCTGGCCATAAAAAGCTGTAAACTTTTAATGTAAATACTAAAAGCTATAAAAGCTCATCTACACACCTAAGTCAGTTATGTTACCTTACAGCAGTCACATTCATTCATTCACTCATCCTTCCTTCCCTTCATCCATCCATCCACTCAATAAATATTTACTGACCATCTACTATGAACATTAAAGTTAAAATACTATGAGTACTTTTTTCTTTTTTTACATAGCTTAGATACAAGATTGTTGAAGCTGTAGCCACAGCCATAGAGGAGTGAAATAAAGAAAACAAATGAAATTGGATTATCAAATTCAGCTCCATCACTTAACTATGGGATCTTGAAAAAGCTAACCTTTTTACAGTGCTAGAATTGCTAACTAATAAGAGTTAATTTACATAAAGTTTTGGCACAGAGTAGGCACTCAAAAAACATGTAGAATAAATGAACATTACAATTTTTACAGCCCATTTTAATGACTGAGAGTAGTCTAATTCCTCATTTTCCTATTGAAGGCCATAACTGCTTAAGAAAACATTAAAATTCTATCCAGTGATACTCTATTAAGAGGGGAATTACATAACAAATAATTGTTTGTAAGTTTTGGCACTTAAAGAGATGTGAAATTAGTAATATTAAGAACTCACCTACTCAAAATGATGAATTTTTGAGTTTCAGTTTCAGATAGCCTAGATTCTACAAATAGTCTCAATCACATTTTAAATTTACACCAAGTCCCTGTGTTCTGATTTATTTTAGGCCTAAACTATGTACTTTTAAAGTCTTACAAATTTGCGTATTTTTTCAAATGCCCTTCATCTCTTCACTTACAAATCAGCAAAGATGCATATAAAAACCTGAATTCTCAAAACTGAAACTCATGTAGTAAAAGAAATACTCTTAATTCACTGCTTACAGGAGCATAAATTGGTTTTAAAAACATTTGGGCTCACACCTGTAAATCCTAACACTTTGGGAGGCCAAGGTTGGCAGATCACTTGAACTCAGGAGTTTGAGGCCAGCCTGGGCAACATGGCAGAACCCTGTCACTACAAAAAAATACAAAAATTATGCCGGGCATGGTGGCTCGCACCTACAGTCCCAGTTAACGTGGGAGGCTGAGGTGGGAGGATTGCTTGGGCCAAGATCACGCCCCTGTACTCCAGCCTGGGCAACAGGGTTTTTGAGACCCTGTCTCAAAAACCAAACCAAAATAAAACAAAACCTTTGCAAGAAATTTGGCTATATATCAAGAGTTTCAAAATTGTTCACACTTTTTGATAATTCTACTTCTAAGAATTCTTTCTTCCTTTTATTATATTCCCATTTCATTTCAAAAAAGAATCTCAAGCAACCAGAACCTATCCTGAGGAAATAACCTAAAAAGTATACAAAGATGTTCCCTGGACCACTCTTTATAATGGTGAAAAACATGAAAAACTAAAAGGAAATGGTTAATTGTAGTATGGCATCTCAAATATTTTACAGCCATTAAACAGTATTTATCAAGCAGTTATAACAATATGAAAAAGTGCTTTTGTTTAATTAAGAAAAAAACAGGATACAAGGGTAAATAAAGCATTGGGAAAAATTAAACTTTGCAGAGAAAAAAATGAAACAAAAAACAAAATATTGTCAGTTACATTTGATGGCAGAAAATGCCAGATTTTTCCCTTCAATTCTTTTTTATCTTTTCTGCAGTTTCCAAATATTCCATGTCTATTACTATTACAATGGAAAAAATACACAATAGTTATTATTTTCTAAAATCATGCATCATTTCCCTCTATTTTTAACAAACTGAGTATACTAAAGCTTGTGATGATTACTCACCTGTAGGCATAGATGTTGTGGGTGGCACTAGCTATTTTCTTATTCTCATACAATTTGGAAAGAACCATTTTCACCTTAAAAACAGCAATAATATAAATAAGTATGCTTTTTATATTTGCTCTGTAAATAAATGCTAGAAAAATACCTTGAAGCATGCTGTATTAAAATAAATAGTCACTTAAAGAGTCTACTATACTCTGAAAAAGTCATTTCCAAAGTTTCCTTCTCATTTTAGGGGCAGAGACTGGTACTCATAATTGGTATAAAAATGACAGACCTGGTATTTTTGAGCACTAATTATCAACAAATATTTCGGTACTACTATGTCAAAGGGAAAGTTTGTTCCCCATGTAGGGAATTTTAAATGTATCATATAAAACTTCTAAAAACTAGCTCTGAAATTTACCAAATGTATACATCCAATGTAGCAGGTGTACAATAGTGGTATGTTCCAAATGTTATAAAACCACATCTTTCTCTGGGAGTCAAGTAAGGTTCATAGAGGAGGTCACATGAGCCAGGTCTTATAAGTGGCAGTTCTCCTGCATCAAAAGGAAAGATGGGGCAGGAAGAAGACATTCCACACAGAGAATAGGGCTATATGCAAAATACAGGGACTGGGTGACCAAATTTAGCAAATAAAAGTACAGGACATCCAGTTAAATTTGAATTTCAGATAAACGACAAGTAATTTTTCTACTATAAGTACATCCCATGCAATAATGTTTACCTGAAATTCAAATTTAACTAGGTATTCTGTATTTTATCTGGCAACCTTAGTGGGAACAAAAAAGAGAAAAGTTCAGGAAGCTTTACACAGCTTAACTTAGAGTATGAATGAGATGACAGAAGATGTGTCATGAATGATAAGCTAGGGCCATATTACAAAGGATCTGTGTAATAAGTTTAGATCTTCCCTTGTAGACATTGGAAATCAGCAAAGATTACATGTGTGAAGGTGGATAAGAGAGAGAACAGAATGACACATGGTCAGATTTTTCAGGGATGTTGTAATGGCAAGAAGTATGGAAGAAATATTGGTGGCAGGGAAGACTGAGCTAGAGTTGGGGACACCAATTTGGATCACAAATTGTGCAATCTTCTGTTTATCATTTTATAATCTTTCAGGTTCTCAAATTCTGATCAATAAAATAGACAATGACCTCTAAAACTTGTTTCAGCTCTCACAAATTATAATGCTATAAATCTAAGTGACTGTGATCAGAAACAGAAAGAGGATCCAGAATAAACAGATTCAGAATTAGAATGTCTCAGGAGGACCCTGGGAAGAAGATGTGACTAAGGGCCAGGGACAAAATAGGATTCCTGAGAGAAAAGACCAGAAGTCTGCACCAAAAGTTATGATCTTGACCACAAGTCAACGCAGAAAAGAACTTCCTCTTTCAGAGAGTGAAACAGCCTGGTACAAAGAGCTGTATCCCTGAAGCCCAGGGCTTTAAAGAGCTTCAAGAGTAGGGTAGCTGCAAAGACCAAAGGAAGAGACTCATGCCTAAAACCTGCAGTAAATGAGACATTTTTAAAAATGTAACTTTACAGGTAGTATTGAAATTGCCTCGTACATCAATAATGTAAGCTGAGCTACATTATAGAAGCAAGGAAGAAGAAAAGGATTCTGCTGAAAGGAGAATGAGAAAGGCAAAGACCTAGGAATAGTTTATGGCTGAAACCTCTCCCATTTATATCCCTGGGTGGAAATATGGTCACCTAAGATCAAGAAGCACAAAGGAAAGTAAGTCAGGTAGGGAGGACTTGGTTTAGCCAGTCTGTCCACTGTCCCCTTTGTTGAATAATAACAGAGGAATGGACTTAGTTTCACAGAACTCCCATTCGACAGGACAAATAATTCTTTTTGACAAGGTATTAAGCATCATAATTTTCTCTAATAACACAATGGGTATTTCTTATTTAAAGATTCATTAGAGGGTTAACCCCTAATCAGAGTTTAGATACAATTTTGAAAGCAGTGACAGGCCTGGCTAGGTGGCTTATGCCTGTAATCCCAATACCTTGGATTGGGAGGGCTGGAGGCAGGAGGGCTGATTGAGTCCAGATTGAGACCAGCCTGGGCAACATGGTGAGACACCATCACAAAAAAAAAGAAAGAAAGCAGAGACAAACAGAAACAAAACAAATCTTCCGTGATTCACAGTAATTTGGGAGTAGAAAAATGAACAAATAATTTTTATCTTATATGAAAATAAAACATAAAAGTAAAAACAAGGGGATTATTGCAAAATCATTTACCTGAATTATTTTAGTAATCATCAAAGTGAGCTAGACAAAGGAACTTTACCTGTTTGGGACAAACCACTGGAGCCAAGTGTGCCTGAAAAGTACTTCTTCGGTCTGTAATAGGAATGCCATGATCAATCGGAGGTAATTCTTCTACTTCTACTTCTAGAAATGTAAAAGAAACTTTATTTTTTAAAAAGCCTTACATTCAAATACTGAAAAAAATGAAATGGGGGGGCAGCTGGGAAAGAAATGTAAATTACATGGCAAATCAACTAAAATAACCATTAATCGCTATCTACCAAAATTAAATTTAAATTATAATTTTAAGTAAAAAGTTTCTAACTATATTGTACATAAGATTAAAATACTTGATTTATAAATGATTTCCACCTGCCAAGGTTACCCAGGGGAAGCAGTGGGTTGGGACTAATCTTGAACTGCTGCAGTCAGTAGTGTAAGTTGGTACAATATCTAATATATAATTTTTAAGAGTGTAAAGGAGTCCTGAAACCAAAGATTTATAGCTGCTAATATAAAATTTATTTATCAGTTTCACTGTTGTTAGACCTCTGAGTTGGGAAAACTATGAATTTATATTCTTTATATTGTGTAGCTATAATATAATGCCTTCTGCTAATGAAACTGTTTCTACTTCATATGATGGAATTAAATACATCAATAATACATCCAATTGGTATTCCTTAAAGAGCATCATGATTTCCAGTTATTATACCTCTTAAAACAAGTTTAAGGATCATGGCTGGGCGTGGTGGCTCACGCCTGCAATCCCAACCCTTTGGGAGGCCGAGGGAGTGGATCACCTGAGTTCAGGAGTTTGAGACCAGCCTGGCCAACATGGTGAAACCCCCGTCTCTACTAAAATACAAAAATTAGCTGGGCATGGTGGCGTGTGCCTGTAATTCCAGCTACTCGGGAGGCTGAGGCAGGAAAATTGCTTGAACCTGGGAGGCGGAGGTTGCAGTGAGCCGAGTTTGTGCCATTGAACTCCAGCCTGGGCAACAGAGCAAGACTCCATCTCCAAAAAAAAAAAAAAAAAAAAGAATCACTAATTAACCCTCAATTCTGTTGAGAGACTTAATCGTCCTGGCTACTACTACCTGCCTCACTTAGGATGAAAAGTTATTCAAGACAAGAAAGTAGGTTTATGTAAGATGTTTTACACCTTCCCTCTGATACTGTTCTTTTCCTGAATTGATTTTGACTGCTGTACTAACATAGTAATAAGTCAAATACAGTATTAGGGTCAATATGAACTACTGACCAATTGATAGTATTTATTTATGAGTATGATTTTTATCCTTTTTCTTTTCATGGTAGATCCTGTTTTCAAAAGATATCATATGTCAAATCCACACACAAATAAATGATTAAAATGGGAGCTACTTAGGCTAGAGCATAAATGAGAGCCCTGGATGCTCCCCACTCTTTCATTTCCTCTTTGTTCCCTTCTACTAGTCCTGGACACCATTCAAAAGCCTTAAAACTCAGAGCACCTTTTAAAAGCTACTGTGTAATGACACAGGAAACCCCTCACCTTCAAACAGAATGAATATTCCCCCTGGTCTACCATGTTTTCCTAAGAGGCTTAGGGAAACTAACAATAACATTCAAAATTTTAAAATATTAAAATGAAACATAATATCACAGCAACCTATTTTTATGTTGAATACTACTCGATTACGAAACAAATTTGTTTAAACGAAAACTAGGCCGGGCGTGGTGGCTCACGCCTATAATAATCCCAGCACTCTGGGAGGATGAGGTGGGTAGGTCATTTGAGGTCAGCCTGGCCAACATGGCGAAACCCAATCTCTACTAAAAATACAAAAATTAGACAGGCATGGTGGCATGTGCCAGTAATCCCAGATACGTAGGAGGCTGAGGCAGGAGAATCACTGAACTTGGGAGGCAAGGTTGCATTGAACTGAGATCGTGCCACTGCACTCCAGCCCGGGCAACAGAGCAAGACTCTATCTCAAAAAAACAAACAAACAAACAAAAACTGAACTCAAGCTGGGCACAATGGTGCATGCTTGTAGTCCCAGCTACTCGGAGGCTGAGGTAGAAGGATCACTTGAGCCCAGGAGTTCAAGGTCAACTTGGGCAACACAGCGAGACCTTGTCTCTCAAAAAAAACCTCTTAAAGGCATTTTACTAGCTTTAATTTCCAGGGCTGCACTTTCAGTTAATATATTTGTATTTGTGAGCACAGACTAAAATTTAATCCTGAAACATCAGGAAACAGCTAAGGATTTCAATACAGAAATATAAAAACATGATGTTAACTAAAAACGTTAATAGCCTTTCTTAGTTTCAATTTCTTCCATCACTAAATCAAAACTCTAGAAAGTAGGGGGAAAAGAGTAAATTTCCATTTTTTCCTTGCCATTCTGATAAGACTTGGCAAACACCAAAATTGCCAACAGGCAGGAAAAAATTAATCTTATCTGCAAATTAATAACTCCTTCCTAAAACTGGAGAAAATTAGTAAATTTCTCTATCATCTCAAAGAACAATACATAATACTACCAACCCACTCTCCTCAAAAGAAATTAGTTAGTAACATTATACCTGTCCGAGTTTCACTGATATCAAAATCCAATGCTTTAAGCGAACTTTCCGGCTGACATGCTAAAATGAGATCATCTTCACATTCAACATCTTCCTCTTCAGTTTTCTTCTTTACATCTGGGCCTATGTGAATATGAGACACAATTACTTTATGACGCAGGTAAGAAACGATGCTTTTTAAAAAAAAATCACTGGGTCTTGGGTTCTAAATACCACTCTTCAACGAAAGGAACCAGCACTCAGCCCGTAGGAGAACTGGTTGATTCCTGAGTTGGAGCAAGGAAACTACAAGATGAACCTGGAACCTCATGTGGATCCACAAACTGGGAAATGCTCAAAAAGAGATGGGGCTTATAAAAAGAACACAGGAGTTAACCTGAAGGGGCTCTTAAAGGTCAAAGCTAGAACAATTTGAGCAACAAAAAAATATGATAGGATGGCATTTTAACCCATGGACTGAAATAATATACATGAGTCCATACTGATATAAATAATAAACAGATAAATAAATACATAAATGGGAAGAGACATCCCTTCCTCATAATAGAATTCCAATTACTAAATGAGGAAGGAATGAAGAAAATAGAAAATCATCATCAGGCAAACACCACAGTAATAAATATTGTTGACAAGTTCCATGGATAGATACTAAAATTAGTGGCAGAAAGTTTAAGGAGAAACAGGATATTAGCATAGCTTCAAAGTATCTCCCTCAAGCTACAAAGAGAAAGACAGTGACTGCAATGGTTAATCTTACATGTCAACTTGTCTAGGCCACAGTACCCATATATTTGTTTACTTTTGTTTGACACAGAGTCTCATTCCGTCACCCAAGCTGGAGTGCAGTGGCACCATCTCAGCTCGCTGCAACCTCCGCCTCCCAGGTTCAAGTGATTCTCCTGCCTCAGCCTCCCAAGTAGCTGCAATTACAGGTGCGTACCACCACGCCTGGCTAATTCTTTTTTTTTTTTTTTTTTTTTTTGAGCCGGAGTCTCGCTCTGTCGCCCAGGCTGGAGTGCAGTGGCGCGATCTCGGCTCACTGCAGGCTCCGCCTCCCGGGTTCACGCCATTCTCCTGCCTCAGCCTCCCGAGTAGCTGGGACTACAGGCACCCGCCACCGCGCCCGGCTAATTTTTTGTATTTTTAGTACAGACGGGGTTTCATCGTGTTAGCCAGAATGGTTTCGATCTCCTGACCTCGTGATCCGCCCGCCTCGGCCTCCCAACGTGCTGGGTAATTCTTGTATTTTTAGTAGAGACGGGGTTTCACCATGTTGGCCAGGCTGGTCCTGAACTCCTGACCTTAGGTGATCCACCCACCTCGGCCTCCCAAAGTGCTGGGATTATAGGTGCAAGCCACTGTGCCCAGCCTCAATACCCATATATTTGGTTAAACACTATTTTAGATTTTTCTCTGAAGGTATTTTTTGGATGAGATTAACAATTAAGTCAGTTGAATTTGAGTAAAGCAGACTGTCTTCCATATGGGCCTCATCCAATCAGCTGATGGCCTTAACATTAAAAGACTGACCTCCCCAGAAGAGGACATTTTTCCAGCAGACCATCTTTGTTTTCAAACCGCAACATTCATTCTTCCCTGGGTCCCCAGCCTGCCAGCCTATCCTGCAAATTTTGGACTTGCCACCTTCCACAACTGTATAAGCCAATTTCTTAAAATATATTTCTCTCTCTTTGTGTGTGGGTACATACACACATGTATATACACACATATATTCAATTGGTTCTGTTTCTCTGGAGAACCCTGACTACAGCATTTACAGTGGAGACATTTGGCGAACACCACCGTAACCGAGACATCAAGGTAAATATCACCAATAATAAGGCATATGATACAATAGGCACAGTGACTCACACCTGTAATCCAAGCACTTTGGGAGATCAAGGCAGGAGGATCACTTGAGCTTAGGAGTTTGAGATCAGCCTGGGCAACATAGGGAGACCTCGTCTGTAGAAAAAATTTTAAAAGTAGCTGGGAGTACACCACCACTCCCAGCTACTAATCTCACTCCAATCATGAGAAAACAATGGACAAACCCAAATTGAGGGGCATTCTACAAAATAACTATCAGTAGTCTTCATAAGTGTCAAGGTTATAAGTCAAGGAAACACTGAACAACTGTTTACAGACTAAAGGAGAGTAAAGAGAAACAACAATGGAAAGCAATGTAGAATCCTAGACAAGACCCTAGACAGAATGGGACAGCCCAAGGTTTCATAACATTTTCAGAATGGCACACAATTTAAAACTTATGAATTATTTCTGGAAATTTCCATTTAATATTTTCAGACAACAGGTGACCACAGGTAACTGAAACCATGGAAAGCCAAATCTCAGATGAGGAGGAATACTGTAATACAAAATCAAAGAGGCTAAACCTTATAGAAATAAATAACTATAATTACATGAGCAATTAAACTTTTCAGAGAAACTTGTATTTTATAATATACAAACCATAAACCAGAATACAGATTTTCACATTAAATTTCAACTAGAGTATCTACATAAAAATGTAGTTATTATAAGTTAAAAGAGTATTGATAGTATTTTTCAATCCTACCTGGTTCTGTCATCTGAGATTTTTGTATAAGAACATCTCTTATTTTCTCCACCCACAGGTAAAGAATACTTTCACCGATATTCTGACTAAACAAAATTCAGGGGAAAAAAAAAATTGTTATTTCAAAAATCATCTTCTCAAATTCAAGAAGATACAGACATTTGCAATCCAAGACATTATAAACAATCTAACCATTTCTTTTTTAAAATAATTTATAAAAACCTGGGGTTTATCAACATTTGTGTCTGAGTAGTTAATACAGGTTATAGCAACGTTAAAAATTCCAGTTGACTCCAAAATTAACATGGCTTACTTTAAAATAAGCAGAAGAGCTGTAACCAAAGAGGGGAATAAACATTTCCAAACTAGATGGATTAAAGAAATATAAATGTGACTTAGTTTCTGTAAGTGGATACAATCTTTCAGTATCGATGTCTGATCACTGCTTGCTTTTTTAAAGTTTTTTAAGAATTTCAAACCCCTTATTTGGTACACTTATCATTTAGTATACTTATCTCAACAAGAAAGAATGTAAAGCATATGGGAAACTCCTTCAGGGAGTCAATTTACAAGACCTAAAAGACAATTCAACAATTTTATATTCATATCTTGTTTCTGACAAAACATTCTATTGCCTAAATTGATTCATTTTGGTTCCAAATGATGTTTGGTTGCCTCAGGTAACTAAATCCATCTCAAAGGATCACTGAGAAAAAGAATGTGTCACAGGTTTTAAAGTCATGTCCATAGTTATGTTAAATGATGGTAGCAGCAATAAAATAAAGGCCCAAGTGTCTGCTCTTTAGAAAAAGACACTAATTGTAGTAAGTATGGTATGTGTTTAAAGATATCACCACACTACTATATAGCAACACCTCACCTCCTTCCTCTAAAAGTTTCCCTTGAAACCATTATCTCTCTTTATCACTACTCATCAGCACCCACCAAAACTTTCGAAACAAGAGACAGAAGAAAACAACATTGTTTTTAAATAATTCTATACCCTCAAATCCTCCCCATCACACCCACAATTCCTAGTACTAAAACTAAATACTTGTATTGGTTGATATAACAGTAAAGCTATTCACTAAAATGCACTAAGCTGTGTGAAGTTAAACTAATCACTTGATCTGAGTTTCTGTCACCTAATTTTCAATATTATAAGCTGGATGAGAAGATTTTTGAAATAAGAACATCCCAGAGCCGGGCGTGGTGTAATCAAAACACTTTGGTGGGCCGGGGTGGGCAGATCACTTGAGCTCAAGAGTTCGAGACCAGCCTGGGCAACTTGGCAAAACCCCATCTCTACAAAAAAAATACAAAAATTAGCCAGATGTGGTGGTGCGTGCCTGTAATACCAGCTACTCAGGAAGCTGAGGTGGGAGGATTGCTTGAACCTGGGAGGTGGAGGTTGCAGTGAGTGGAGATCGTGCCACTGCACTCCAGCCTGGGCAACAGAAAAAGACCCCTTCTCAAAACAAAAACAAAAACAAAACAAAAAAAAACAGGCCAGATGTGGCAGCTCACACCTGTAATCTCAGCACCGTAGGAGGATAGCTTAAAACCAAGAGTTTGAGACCAGCCTGAGCAACAAAGCGAGACTCCGTTTCTGTAAGAAATTAAAAAACTTAGCCAGGCACAGTGGTGTGTGCCTGTAATCTCAGCTACTTAGGAGGCTGAGGTGGGAGGATCACTTGAACCTGGAAGTTTGGAGGCTGAAGTGAGCTATGATTGCACCACTGCACTCCAGCCTGGGCGACACAGCAAGACTTCATCTCAAAAAAATAAAAAAATAAAATTTTTAAAGAACAAAAAAATGATAGCTGCTAGTTTAATGCTTACAATATTATCCCCTTTTTACAGATGAGAAAACAGACACAAAGAGATGACACTATTTAAAAAACTGACTCCAAAAGCCTGACTGAAACAGCCTTAACCTCAGCTCGACTAAACTTTATATGGGCCCATTCCTGACTCTAGGCCCTTACCTCCCTTTTCTTAGAGCATTTTCTTCAGAAAACTTGTCATTGTAAATTCCTTCTCCATCTCTTTGAGATATATGTAAATCTTTTTACAGAAAACTTTAATTGGTTTTACAACCCAGGAAATGTCTTTCTCAAGGACCTGGAAACCATCCCTTTGAAACACAGCATCAAAGAAGACACTGCCCTTATCTTCCAGTCTCTGTGGGAGAATAGGAGGCTAACTTCAACGGGTACCTATTAGTAAACACAGATGGCCTACTCACAAAGAGAAATATTTGCAAACTCAACAATAACTCAATATGCCCAACACACCCGATTAACTGCCCCACATAATATCTTTCAGTATTTTTCCACTAGCTCATCCTGGCCCTTAAAAACCCTTCTGCCTTTTGTTTCAGAGGAGTTGAGTTCACACTTAGTTCTGGCCTCCTTCCCCTATTGCAGCGGCCTTGAATACAGTCTTCCTTGTCTGTTTGACTTTATCCAGTGTAATTTTTGATTCAAGAAGCCTCACTCACCAACATTAAAACCTAACATGCCATGATACATCGAAATGTGAAGAGATGTAGAAAATTTCAAAAATTATTTTCTCAGATTTCTAAATTAAATATTGCTATAATAGAGCATCACAAAGTCAAATACTATAAAAAACTTGTAATCCTTTTCATTTTCTCTTAAACAGTATCATATTCTAAGTATTTTAAGTGTATTTACTTTTTGTTTTATCAAAAGTTATTTTCATTTATTCAAAATATTCACATGCAAAATATTTAAATAAAAATTAAGGACTGGGCACAGTAGCATATGCCTGTAATTTCAACATTTTGATATGCAGAGACAGATAGATCACTTGAGGCCAGGAATTTCAGACAAGTCTGGGCAACGTAGCAAGACCCCTTCTTTACAAAAAAATACAAAAATTAGCCAGTGGTGGCACACCTATAAACCCAGATACTCAGGAGGCTAAGGTGGGAGGATCACTTGGGCCCAGGAGGTCAAGGCTACAGTGAACCATGATCATGCCACTGCACTCCAGCCTGGGTAACAGAGATAGACCCCACCTCAGAAAAAAAAAAAAGTAGGTACAACAACTAAATATACATCTAATTAATCACCAAATCCTAGCTTTTATATATATATATACACACACATATATATACACATATATATACACATATATATACACATATATATACACATATATATACACACATATATATACACTTATATAATACACATATATATACACACACACACACATATATATATATATATATATTTTTTTTTTTTTTGAGACAGAGTTTTGCTCTTGTTGCCCAGGCTGGAGTGCAATGGCACGATCTCAGCTCACCGCAACCTCTGCCTCCCGGGTTCAGGCGATTCTCCTGCCTCAGCCTCCCAAGTAGCTGGGATTACAGGTATGCACCACCACATTCAGCTAATTTTGTAGAGATGGGGTTTCTCCATATTGGTCAGGCTGGTTTCGAACTCCTGACCTCAGGTGATCCGCCTGCCTCAGCCTCCCAAAGTGCTGGGATTACAGGCATGAGCCACTGCGCCTGGCCAATATATTTTTAAGTATTTCTTTAACTGACCTTCTTCTCCATTCATATTCTTTTTGCCTTAATAAAGGCCTCCACTATATCCCTCCTGAGTTACTGACTGCTCTTCTAAAGAGCCCCTTCCCTTCTTCACAGGCTTACTTTTTATATATTTATTTTTGAGACAGAGTCTCACTCTATCACCCAGACTGGAGTGAAGTGACTGAACCTCGACCTCCTGGACTCCAGTGATCCTTCCACCTCAGTCTTCCAAGTAGCTGGGATTACAGGCACGCCCCATCACACCCAGTTAATTTTTATGTTTTTAATTTCTATAGAGATGGGGAAGGTCTCACTATGTTGCCCAGGCTGGTCTCAAACTTCTAGCTTCAAGCAATCCTCCCACATAGGCTTCCCAAAATGCTGGGATTACAGACAAAAGCTACCACACCTGGCCCATGTTTAATTTTTAAAAACCTGTATTTCCCCCTTGCTGCCCTCTGCTGGAATTATATGGAAAATATGATTAAAAGTTGTCACAAAAGGCCAGGCGTGGTGGCTCACGCCTGTAATCCCAGCACTTTGGGAGGCCGAGGCAGGCGGATCACTTGAGGTCAGAAGTTCAAGACCAGCCTGGCCAAAATGCTGAAACCCCGTCTCTACTAAAAATACAAAAATTAGCCAGGCGTAGTGGTGCACACCTGTAATCCCAGCTACTCAGGAGGCTGAGGTACAAGAATTGCTTGAACCTGGGAGGCGGAGGTTGCAGTGAGCTGAAATTGCACCACTGCACTCCAGCCTGGGCAACAGAGCAAGACTCGGTCTCAGAAAAAAAAAAAAAAAAAAAAATGCTGTCACACAAAAGTTTTAAAAATAAAGCCAGGTGTGGTGTATGTGCCTGTAGTCCCAGCTACTCAGGAGGCTGAGAGGCAGGAGGATCACTTGAGGCTTGAGCACAGGAGTTCAAGGCCAGCTTGGGCAACACAGTGAAGTCCTATTTAAAAAAAAAAAAAGTTGGCCGGGCGCGGTGGCTCACGCCTGTAATCCCAGCACTTTGGGAGGCCGAGGCGGGTGGATCATGAGGTCAGGAGATCGAGACCATCCTGGCTAACAAGGTGAAACCCCGTCTCTACTAAAAATACAAAAAATTAGCCGGGCGCGGTGGCGGGCGCCTGTAGTCCCAGCTACTCGGGAGGCTGAGGCAGGAGAATGGCGTGAACCCGGGAGGCAGAGCTTGCAGTGAGCCGAGATTGCGCCACTGCAGTCCGCAGTCCGGCCTGGGCGACAGAGCGAGACTCCGTCTCAAAAAAAAAAAAAAAAAAAAAAAAAAGTTTTAAAAGTAAGATGTGTATTTCTATTTAGACTACATGTGTGAAAATAATACCACTGGACCAAGGTTATTCGAGCGCATTAAATAAACAAGACCCCATATTCCACCATTAGAACAAACTATATTGTAATCTCTGACACTTCGTAAGTTTCAAATAGCTCAAGTGAACTAGTTAAAGAGAAAAGGAAAGTTGCGTCCTGTGGGAAGGTATCTTTTAGTAAAAGGAGGACTTTTGGGATAGGGGATAGGCAGGTGAAGAGCCACTTCTAAGTGTATGACATTGTACATGGGTAAGAAAAAACGCTAACTGATGAATGTGATTAACATGATGGAAGCAGTGTGGAAAGATTTTCAAGGAGGAGGAAGTGGTCAATACCACCAAAAGTTAGGTAAGAGCTGAAAAATGGCCACTAGATGAACAATTCTGGTGTTAATGGTGAACAAATCCACAGTATACTGATCTTATTCTACTGGGGGATCGGGGGGGCAGATAAATTGGCAAATATGAGAGGATTATAGAAAGAAGTTTGTTGGGGGCACAAAAGTTGGAGTGGCCAGTAATGTTAGGGAGAGATATCAGAAAACATTTAATTAATGAAATACTTATACTTCCGCCAAGGATGACGGAATCACTAAATGGGGACCCAAGGAAGACCATACTTGCTCTAGGCAGGAATAAGCAGAATGGATTCCACAACAACTCACCATTTTCTAATTAAGTATTTTGGGAGGAAAAGAAACCTGGCCTGGATCCCAGGGACACAAAGAGGGACTGTCACTGTACCAAATGGAGTGGCCACCTAGAACATATAATACAGTCCTTACTAGATCCTGGATTACAGTAAAACTGATATTCCAGAACATTATTTGTTTTACTAAATTATTTCATTAAAATTAATCTAAATCATAGATATTTCCTCTCTAGACAACTGCATTAGCCCCCTAACTGATGTCCCACATCTACTCTTGCTACCTTCCAAACACTACTTCAAACAGAAAATAGAATGATCTTTTTTAAATGAAAATATTATCATGGCCAGGCACAGTGGCTTAAACCTGTATCTCT
Source organism: Homo sapiens (assembly GCF_000001405.40). NCBI lineage: Eukaryota > Metazoa > Chordata > Mammalia > Primates > Hominidae > Homo > Homo sapiens. The sequence goes on along the minus strand of NC_000018.10, from coordinate 24,432,118 downwards.
GCACCTTGGGAGGCCAAGGCAGGAGAACTGCTTGAGGCCAGGAGTTTGAGACCAGCCTGGACAACAAACCAAGGCTCCATCAGTACAAAAAAATAATTTTTAAAAAAATTAGCTGAAGGCAGAGCATGGTAGCTCACACCTGTAATCCCAGCACTTTGGGAGGCCAAGGTGGGTGGATCATTTAAGGTCAGGAGTTCGAGACCAGCCTGGCCAACATGGTGAAACTCCGCCTCTACTAAAAATACAAACATTGGCTGTGCGTGGTGGCGGGCGCCTGTAGTCCCATCTACTCAGGAGGCTGAGGCTGGAGAACTGCTTGAACCTGAGGGGCAGGGGTTGCAGTGAGCCAAGATCATGCCACTGCACTCCAGCCTGGGCAACAGAGTGAGCTTCCATCTCAAAAAAATTTTAAAAAAAATTTTAATTAAAAAAATTAAAATTAGCTGGGCACGGTGGCACGTATCTATAGTCCCAGCTACCCGGGAGACTGAGGTGGGAGAAATTACTTGAGCCTGGGATGTCAAGACTGCAGTGAGTCACTACTGTGCCACTGCACTCCAGCCTGGGCAAGAGAGCAAGAACCTGTCTCAAAAAAAAGAAAATCTTATCATGGCACCCTACTACTTAAAACCCTTCTCTGCTTCCAGCTATTCTTAGTATAAAGACAGAATCTTCAACATAACCTACAAAACTCTGCAGGATCTGTCTTGTCTACCTCTCCAGGTCCTTTTCCTACCATATTCCCTCCATCTCATCCTGTCTCTTACCACTGCATATCACCATTACTGTTTCCTGTAATGTGCCAAGCTCCCCAACACCAAGCCCTGTGCTGTGGCCTCTCACTGGAATTATCATCCCCTAATTAACTCCACTTTTAAGTCAAACAAGCCATCCCTCACCTCCGAGACTATGTCAGGTCTTGTTTCAAACTCAATTAGTTTTGCATATCTTCCTTTCATAGAACTTACCACAGCTATTGTTATATTCATTTTTACAATATTATAAGTAATATCTCTGCCACACCATAAATTCTAACTGCCATGAAAAAGGGCACTTCTGTTCATGCTAGCCATACCTGCACCCAGGATCTAGTACAGTGCCTGCCATGTAATATTTATTGAATGAAGGAATGAATGAAGAATATAGCCCATCAATAGATTCTGAGTCTTATGGCCTAATACAAGGGAAATTACCATTCAAAGTACATAGACATTTAAGAAATAATTATGCTTAGGATTCTGTAATCAATTTCATTCTACATAGCCTATGAAAATACCAAATCAAGAGCAGTATCTCTGAATTTACTTTGACAAGTTGGCTAAGTGTTTTTGTTTTTTTCATTAAGATCCTTTTAGCAAATAACTTTTTTTTAATTTATTGAGATTGAGATGGGGGTCTCACTGTATTTCCCAGGCTAGTCTCAAACTCCTGGGTTCAAGCAATCCTCCCATCTCAACCTCCTGAATAGCTGGGATTACAAGCCTATGCCTAAGTGTTTTTTACAGTTGTTAGCTCTAAATATTACTGTATTTTTGTATCTAAGTAGAAGCTATCAAATGTATATATAAAATTATATAACTAACCTTTCGAGGTCTCTTCAAGTGAGTCCTTTTTGTTAAAGCAGAAGTAGCTTTAAAAAGTTTAGAGAGGTTCTAACAAAGGGTTCACAGGTTCAACAAAAGCCCACAATACAATCACTAACAGAATTATTTTAAAAAATCGCCTGTCACTTACATATATATTTCCTCAAGGCTATTTGATAAATCCGCACGTTCTTGCCCTTTAAGCCAAGGAGCACTAAGATTAAATAAAACAATTAAGAAGATTATTCAAGGATTATGTTTATACCTCAAATTACAGATTACATCACAAATAAATTTTTTTGGCTTTAAAAAATTATTTTCATAAATGGTCTTATATTTGTATAAATCTATATAGTTGCAAAATGCTTTCATTAGCATTAATTCATTCAGCCTTCCCAAGAAACCATGACAAAAACAAAACCCACACCAAAATTACCCTGTTTTAATGGTTTAAAAATTGGCCAGGCGTGGTGGCTCATGCCTGTAATCCCAGCACTTTGGGAGGCCGAGGCGGGCAGATCACGAGGTCAGGAGATCAAGACCATCCTGGCTAACATGGCGAAACCCCGTCTCTACTAAAAATACAAAAAATTAGCTGGGTGTGGTGGCGGGCACCTGTAGTCCCAGCTATTTGGGAGGCTGAGGCAGGAAAATGGTGTGAACCCGGGAGGCGGAGCTTGCAGTTAGTCAAGCACGCCACTGCACTCCAGCCTAGGAGACAGAGCAGGACTCTGTCTCAAAAAAAAAAAAAAATTTCTTAAAAGGACATTTATGTTTATAAGAATTCTATATCTATCATTTGCAATAAATAAAAATAAAAATTTACAGAACCATTATTAACAGTAAGCATTAATGCCATGGTTTTAAAATATGTGCACAAAAAAAACTAATAGGTACAAATTCTAGTAATTGAGTTTGTTTGTTTTTTAAGGCTAATTAAGTGAAGCAGTGGGAGTGAAGAAGAAACAAAGAAATCTAACCAGTTGTGATCAATTACTGGTTATAAACCAATCACTGGTCTACAATCAGACCGGCCTAGTAACTGAGATTTTTATGCAATTCTGTTCCCAAGGGTTTATACATATTACTAGGTGATGGGGCCAAGGTAGATGAAATATCACTTGCATCAACAGGTCATGGCTCATAAAGATTAAGCTCGGGCTGCTAAGAAGATGGTTCGTCAACATCAACGGGGAAAGGGGCAGGGAGAAACACCAGAAGCATCATAAGTAACTCCTGGAAGGCAGGCAGTCTTACAGGTACATCAAGGAACTGTGGCTAGGTCAGGAGATCTAGGTTAGGAGTAACTCTAAGGGCCAAGGTTGCTAGATTACTAGGCTAAAGAGGAAGGTTTCCTTCCTCATCTCTAAAGACAATTCTGTACCTACTTCACCTCTACGAACCTTGTGATTCTCTTTTATACTAAGTGGCATATTTTATTGTTTTATAGAATTTAATTTTTATTTAAATGCTCTATACCAAACCCAAAAGGTATTTTTAATTTCTATATACATGTTAATAAGAAAGGTATTTTATGTAAACGCAAAGTACAGTATAAACATCTTTCAGAATAGAATCTTTTTATAGCAATATAAACGTAGAAATACAGCTTACTTCAACTGGTAGATAGGTGGAGCTGTACCTGGGTATTCATTCGGCAGCATCACCTACAATGCAGGTTCAAAAACATCTGTTTACACTTCATCAAGGTTCAAAAGTAACCATATTTATAAAGCTAGCAACTGGACAAAAAAGGCAAGGAGGACAGAGATGAAAGGAAAAGGAAAACTGAAATATGGACATTATACCCTGACCCCAAGTGGATGAAGTGGCATTATAATATTTTCTGGGTACTTTTCAGAAGAAATACTACAAAAATCCTAGGAAACACCATTAACTATATGAAATAGCTAACATATAATAGAGAACCATACATACTTCTTTTCAAATCAGTATTATAAAAACAAACACTGGCAAAAACTGTTTTGCATCCTTTATGTTGAAAGTACATACAAGCAGTCATCAAAGATTAAGCACTAAGAAAAGCCATAGCTGACCTTTTCATTTATTTTATCCTAACTACAACTGATCATTGATCATTGATTCTCAATTAATAAAGAAATGACTGTCTCCTCTACGAGTCATCTACATTACTAACCTCTCTTTCCTTTTAAATGTTAGCCATCTTTCCAGGTTTGGACCCTCTCCTACCAGATGAAGAGAATAATGAAGGGAAGCAAAACTACAGTCTCTCAAGGGTACATTAACACTTTTAAATGATTAAAAGCATTGGATTAGAAAGACTGGAACTATCAATTAATGTATGATTTGAAAGTGATCTGAGATGTAACTGCCCATGTGTTTAATCATTGAGAAAAGCCAAGAACAAAGATAATTTAGAAAACAACACAATCATTAGAATACAGAAGTCAACAATATAGTTCATACTGTAACTGAAAGATGGCTGCAAGGAAGGGGGAAAAAGTACCTGCAAGCAAAGTGTCCATTTGGGGTCATCTATATCGTCGCTAATTCTAATACAAAATATTTTGGCACAGTCATCAATGACACACCACTCCTCGCCATAAATGGCTGCCATTGCTTCAATTTCCTCATTCTGAAAGAAATTGATTTTTTAAAAGTCAACAAATGTACACATCTTAAAATCCTATTCTTACTACTTTATAAGGTATTCAAATTCAACATTACCAGAGTAGATCAAAAATTCCTAGATGAGCCTCACCAGGCCAAGAGTTTCTTAAGAGCAGGTCACCATGTTCTGCTCTCTGGGTGGTTGCTAGGCGCTACTGCAATGACTGGAGCCAGCCTTGCTACTGCATTACTGTGCTTTTGGCCACTATTGAGTCAAAATATAATATATATGCACTCCCATACTTTGTAGTGACCATTCACACGTGAAAAGATAAACCTATCTTCTCTGTTCCACCTTCTCTTTTTTAACAGGTAATCTCCACCCCTGACTCCCACCCCCAATAGCTCTGCCCCACATTATCTGTGTACTCCTGCTGGGTGTCTCACTGGTTCCTTCGTATTAAATTTTGTGTTGGGGGGAGGTGGGGAGGGGGTACACAAGGACTAGATGGGTGGGTGGTTGCTTGGTAATCAAACCCTTAAAACGTTTCATAAATTATTCTTTGGGCTTGGGGTTAAAAAAGAAAAATAACTGGAGGACCTAAAGGGAAAAGATGGGAAGCAAAGTATCCATTCGACTTCGTAGCATTTCATTTTGTACTCACAGCCCTGTAGGAAAAGACTTATGATCGCCCACGTGAACAAGGCACAGGGAAAGCTCGATGCCAAGGACCAGAAGGAGTGAGATTCGGTGGGCTCTCGGGACCTGCAGGGTCTGGGCTATTGCCATTTTGCAAAGGGGGAAACCCGAATTCTTAAGTGATTTGTCCAAGATGACTCGGCGGCGGCAGGGTGGGGATCGAAACCCCGGTTTTTGCCTTCGGCCCAGAGCTGCTTAGTCGCGTGTTAATGGTTGACGAGGACACCGTCCGAGACAGGCCGAGACCGCGGCCGCCGAGGAGCCGCCGGCCTAAGAGCGCTCGGCCGACGGGAAGCGCCGGGAAAATGGAACGCGGTGGAGCAAATGGCGTGGCCAGTGCTGGCGGAACCCGGGGCGGCCCCAGGCGGAGGGCCCCTCGGCTGAGGAGGACTGGCATGGCGAGGCGAGCCGGAGCCGAGCCTGGAGAGACAGCACCCCGCCGGGGCCTCACCTGCCTCTGGTCGCTCCCTGCGTCCCCCTCAGCCATGTGGCCCCTGGACCTGCCCTGCAGCCGCCGCCTGCCAGGTCCGGAGCGCGGGGGCGGGGCGCTGCGGCTGCGAGCCGAGAGCTGGCTGCGGCGCGGCCCGACCCGGAACCACAACCCTGCCACGCCGCGCCGCCGGCATCTGCTTCCGGGTGGCGGGCCGAAGGGTGTAAAGGGCTCCTGGCCCCCGGGTTTGGGGTGGGGTTCTCGGTTGGGGCCTTGCTCCCGCCTTCACTGTCTCCCGTAGGGCGGAGACCCAGGGAAAGCCGACCCTCGCGAGTTGCAGCCAGAGGCCCTCACGGCTCTGTCTCCTAGGAATGCGCCGGGGCGGGGGGCTTTTGCTTGCCCATTGCGGCCTTGGCGCCATCGGAATGGCCAGGAGACTTTAGGGAGTCATTTACCACCGCGTCCCGGGAAGGGACTCAAACCTCAGTCCACAGTCCCAGACTCGTCTTTACATTCCTAGGGAGAGTTTTTGTGTGTTTGTTTGTCTGTTTTTAACATGTTTTAAGTTTTGTCGGATTTTGGCAAAGATAGGTTTGATTTACCAAAACTGGAGAACAGAGAAGGCAGGCGGTAATTTTGAAAGCGTGAGGGGGAACCTTATTCTCCCATTCACTGTTGTATTGCGATCGTTTTCTTTAGTCTCGAATATTTTGGGGGCAACTTTTGTGCCAGTCACTAGTTATGCCAGTCAACATAAGGAGCATTGATTCATTTTCCCAAAAAAATGAATCAGTTTGTCATTACTCCCTCGCCCACAAGTTCAATGACATTCTAATACATTGGTTATGAATTATATCAACCACCTTATTCGAGACGCCTCAGTCAAGACATCTCTTGATTGCAAGGCATCCTTGCTTGCTTCACTTTTCGTCACACATAATATACAAAAACTCAAAATATTACATCTTTCTCCCTTAATCATGGGTATTTTTCTGCCCCTCTTTAAAACCGTTGTCTTAAGATAAATCATTGTAGAGAAAAATAAAACTCTTCTCAAGAGTTAGGAGTTCAACACCTGTAGAGAATTCCACTTACATTACTTTGAGTATAAACCTTGTGGATTTACTAGTTCAACAGACATTTTTTAGGCTCTTACTGTGCTAAACACTGGAGATGCAAAATCATATGTCATACATAGCCTTTAAGGGGCTAAGATGTGAAGGGAACAAAAGTAAACCTGAACCAGAAGTACAGTAATGAATCTCTTAAAGATTGGATAAATTCTGAGAAATTTACCCTTAATTTCATCGTGATAGTGCGAACTTCATAGAATAATACACTTACACAAACTTGGATGTTATAGCCTACTACTTATCTGGGCTATGTATCGCCTGTTACTCCTAAGCTACAAACCTGTACAGCATGTTACTGTACCTAATAGGCAGTTGTAACACATGGCATTTGTGTATCTAAACAAAGAAAAGGTACAGTACAAATATGGTAGTACAAATACCATAATGTATGGTAGTACAAATACCATATTACAGATATGGTATTGGACATGCAAGTGGTCTTATGAGACCACTGTCATATATTTGGTTCATCAGCATAAGTCACTATAACCTCCTGGGCTCAAGCAATCTTCCTGCCTCAGCTCCCCTAGTAGCTAGGACTATAGGCATGTGCCACCACACCCAGCTATTTATTTTTTATATTTTGTAGAGATGGGGGTCTCACTATGTTGCCCAGACTGGTCCCAAACTCCTAGCCTCAAATGATCCACCCTCCTCAATCTCCCAAAGCACTAGGTTTACAGGTGTGAGCCACCACACCCATCCCTGAACTCTTTCTTCACTGACCTTTTCATATTTCTGCAGCTTCTATGCAAACATAATGGTTTTCACACTTTTTTAAAAGGCCATGGAACCTTTTCTTCAATGAAAGCTTATGTAAAACAAATTTGTTCTGGCTGAAATGAAAATAGGACTGATTGTTCTGGCTGAAGTGGAAATAGGACAGAAGTCCCAAGTACTTAGCAGTACTCCCTCCCTCCCAGCAGCCCCACTAAAACTTTAAAACCCAAGTTTGAAAAACGCCATGTTAAAACTTAACCTTCTAAACAAAGCACAATATATTCAATTAGTTACACATAGTACCTCTATTCTTACCACATATCATAGCAACCCAGGCCATCTTCTACAGATTACACCCATGATTTTCTATTAATTCCTATTTCCTCAAAGCTACATTTTAAGTCTTCTTTTGAGCTCAAATTCTAAATGGAAATGGCTCTTTCTGCCAAAGGGAACAGAAAAAAACCCTCCCCGTTTCTCTGGCCTGCATTAGCATGTAGCCAATACAGAGAACCCTGAATAAGGCCCCAAACTTGGACATGCAAGGAGACCTTTGAAAAGAGAAAGAGAGAAGTAATTTAAAGTAACAAGTGTAGCAGGCAACCTACATTTTGAAGAACATGTTGGAAAAATGCAAGATGGTATAGACAATTCAGTTGAAAAGACTACTTGGTGTAAACCTTGAGCAGTTGCCTAAGCAGAGACCGAGAATACTCTGCAAATAAAAACAGCCCTGGATCCAAGAGGAGGTCTTTAAGACAGATTTCGGTGATGTACATATCCATGTACTCAAATGGTTACTGGCTGTCCCCCTTAAACTCAGTATGTTCACAACTGAACTCAATCACTTTTTCCTAAACTTACTCCTTTTTCTATATTTCCCAGTTCAATAATTGGCAACCCTCGGACCCTTGCATCCATAATTGTCCAAGATTGAAAATTGGAAGACATGCTATACTATACTCTTCATTCCTTGCCTCCATACTCAGGCAGCAAGTTCTGACGACTCTGATTCCTTGATATCCCTTGTATTCCTCATATGCTCCTTCCTAGTCTTTCTGATTGCATCTGGACCTTCTTCAAGTTATCCTCCTCTCTCACCTCTGCCAAAGTAATCGAACTGTGTAAGTCTGATCATGTCTCCTCCCTTGAAATCCTTTGGTTGCTCCCCCTTGCTTTCATGGTAACACTTAAACACCTTAACTCTCAAGATGTGTTCCTGGTCATCTCTCTAATTTCGTCTCTCATTGTTTCAGCCATTCCAGCTTAATCTACTTAAGCATTCTTTGAAGAAAGAAATCCATGGCTTCTGGAAAGTATGAAACTGCTGTTTTATGCAGTAGACACAATGTAGGGAATTGAGCCAAGATATGTAAAGGGGTCAGTAACTAAAGTGAAGGAAGGGCACAGGTCTTTTTTATGATAGACGGACGGCTACACGGTCAGGATGATAACTGCACAAATCTTCAGGCAATTGGGAGGAGATGCACATCCCCAAATCCCTGAGAACTCACACCTAGAAGATAAATTTATGATAACTGGCTGCACCAAACTTTCTGTGTAGGGTGGATTTTGGAGACCAATATTGTTAGGAAGGGCTTGAAATGTTTTGCTTAAGATTAGGAAACAAACCGTCCATACCAAATAGTTGGAGGGGGAAGAGGATATGATTGACATCATAGAAGGTCAAAGCCCTCTCTTGGCACCAAAAATGAATGCACATATGCAGGTGATACAGAGATAATCATGAAGGGATTGTACAAGTAGTATGACAAGAAGGGCTTGACAGCTGTGATTTTACACAAGGAAGAATGAGTTATTTGAATGGCAAAAATCTAACCTAGAATTGTATATATCTGTTTTCAACAGAATTGCCTGGCACATCAGGGGTGAGGCATTAAACCTGTGAAGAGTTCTCAATAACCTGTTTAGATGGCCTGAATAAGACGCTTTCAAATATTCTCTAGGCCCTTGCTACTTAAAGTGAGGTCTGTGGACCAACAGCATATTATCTGAGGGTTTGTTAGAAGTACGGAAACTTAGGCCCCACCTCAGACCTACTGAATCTGCATTTTAATGAGATTCCCAGGTGATTTGTGTGCACATTAAATTTCGAGAATCTTGTGTGATGACTGAGTAAAAGCAGCTCTTCGATCTTAGACAGCAGGAAGAGTAATTGACTGAGGGCTCCAGCTACTGGGCTCAGATATCTATTACTATGCTTGCACTGAAACCACGTTCTTCATGGGCAGCTCTCAGGCAAGAGTATGGCAGTTACTCAGGTGGGCCTACTTTTGGGAGACAGGACTCCTCTGATGGGGTGCTTGGGCTCCACGCCTTGCTGAACTTTCCTTAGAAAAACTGCCGCACAACCTTCCTCTACTTCTTCTTCTTTTTATTTTTTATTTCTTAGAGACAGGATCTCTGTCGCCTGGGCTGGAGTGCAGTGGTGGGAATCATAGCTCGCTGTGGCCTCAATTTCCAGGGCTTAATTAATTCTCCCACCTCAGCACCCCCAAGTAGCTGGGACTACAGGCACACGCTACCACACCAGGCTAATTTTTTGATTTGTTTTAGAGTGGAGGTCTCACTATGTTGCCCAGGCTGGTCTCAAACTCCTGGGCTCAAGCGATCCTCCTGCCTCAGCCTCCCAAAGTACTGGGATTACAGGCGTGAGCCACAGCGAAGGCCCTTTCCTCTACTTGTTTCTCAACATTCACTCAGGATCAGATTAGTATCGGTGTGATGGTTCTCTGAGCCTCTTCAAGTTCCTTCCCAATTTTCTACAGGCATTTCCCCTAACACATTTCTTGCATATTTAACTTCATTTTGGTATCTTCCTCTCCAAGAAGACTAGAACAAACTGCTCTAGGATACACTGTAACACAGGCAAATTCTGTCCATATGGTTTTGTTAAAATAATTAATTGGGAGGCCATGAGGCTAAGACAGTTCCATTGCCTTGTGTTTCTGAGTAAGCAAACAGAAATAGAACTCAGTGTAAACTTAAGCTTAACCAATCAGAAACCACTAAGTGACATCTAACTAGGGACTTTCTAGTTTAAGCCATCAAATATTTTCTTTATCTTGCTTCTGCAAACACCTTAGAAAAATTTCTCCCTCCCACCAATTTAGTGGAGTGTTGAACTGTTTGAGCTCTGGTGCTGCGTGATTCATGAATAGCTTCATTCTCAAACTCGTGACAATTTTAATGTGTTTATCTTTTAACAATATTAACTTACAATATTATCTGGTTCTGAAATATTTTTCTTAGGGAAATATGTCCTCAAAATATTTTAGAAACAAAACACAAACCATCTTAGTACACAATGATCTTTTCCCTCCTGTTCTCTGTGTGTTTACCTTAGCTCCCAGACAATGAAAGCCAAAATATAGCTGACTACAAGGACAATGAATGCTGAGGCTCTTCCTTCTCTTTGTGCTGTTCATTTGCTTACTCAATAATTTGACCCACTATGGCTGAAGATTAAAATACTGGATATTAAACTATAAGTTTTATGGAGAAGTTCTTGTCAAAGAAGTAATCAAGGAAACAGAGTCAATGTCAAGCAAGCAATTAGGGGAGAGAGAAAATCCTTTAATATTATAATTTCACCATAAGTAACACTGTATCCTGGGAAGATTAGCTGATAATTGTATAAACATAGTTAGAAAAAAATAATAGAGCCTGGCCTGGCATGGTGGCTCATGCCTGTAATCCCAGCACTTTGGGAGGCCGAGGCGGGCGGATCACTTGAGGTCGGGAGTTCAAGACCAGCCTGGCCAACATGGTGAAACCCCATCTCTACTAAAAATACAAAAATTAGCCAGGCATGGTGGCGTGTGTCTGTAATCCCAAATACTCTGGAGGCTGAGGCAGGAGAATCCGGGAGGCGGAGGTTGCAGTGAGCTGAGATCCCACCACTGCACTCCTGTCTGGGTGACAGAGCGAGACTCTGTCTCAAATAAATAAATAAATAAAATAATGGAGCCAGAGGCATTTCCTGACTTCAGGAGATTTGAAGGGAATGGAAGAGTGGCATCTCAGGTGTTATGTTAGAGTTCACCTAGAGAGGAACTGTGCTGTGTGGTAGGGACCCTGTTACACCACCTCCAGTCAGCACCCCCTTTTCAGAAACAGGTACTCCTATCCCCCAAGCAGTTTTGCAAGTACTTCATTGACCGCTACGGCAGGTTTGTTTCCCCAGTAACAGCATGTTCAAACAAGTGTTCCACAGTAATTCATCCGCCTGTAATCCTAGCACTTTGGGAGGCCAATGCAGGTGGATCACTTGAGCTCAGGAGTTTGAGACCAGCCTGGGCAACATGGTGAAACTTCATCTCTACAAAAAACACAAAAATTAGCTGGGCGTGGTGGCTCATGCCTCTAGTCCCAGCTACTTGGGGGGCTGAGGCGGAAGGATCAATTGAGCCCAGGAGGAGGAGGTTGCAGTGAGCCAAGATTGCTCCATTGTACTCCAGCCTGGGCAACAGAGTGAGACTCTGTCTCAAAAAAAGAATTAAATCTGATCTTTTTATTTTTTCATTTTCAAGAAGCATCTTCTTAATGAATAAACTTCTAGAAGGGATAGTTACAAGTTCTTTTGTTAATTATTCATTGAAACTTTAGCAAGGATTGGGTTATAGCCAACGGAGAACAGGTTCTTGGGTGGGAGTGGGAGTGGGTAAAGCCAGAGATAAGCCTTCCTCAGCACCATGCACCCTTAACTGCCACACTTGACTTCCTTACCTCTTTACGTGACATCTCAAATTTTTTCCCTCCAGAAGCTTTTTTGACTAAAAGTAGAAAATGGCCGTATGATTAGCTTCCCCATAACCTCAAAATCAATATTCAGAGGAGATGTGTGTGAAGTCAAAATTGTTGGTTAAGAAATACAAGTTATTTGCTTTTCCCTTTTGCCTCTGAGTGGAATGTTCTTCCCTTAAATCTTCAAATGGCCGTCGTGTGTGTGTGTTTGTGTGTGTGTGTGTCAGTCTCACTCTCACACAGGCTGGAGTGCAGTGACCTGATCTTGGCTCACTGCAACCTCTGCCTCCTGAGCTCAAGTGATTCTTGGGCCTCAGCCTCTCAAGTAGCTGGGATTACAGGTGCTCACCACCACGCCTGGCTAATTTTTGTATGTTTAATAGAGATAGTGTTTCACCGTGATAGCCAGGCTGGTCTCAAACTCCTGATCTCAGGTGATCCGCCCGCCTCGGCCTCCCAAAGTCCTAGGATTGCAAGTGTAAGCCACTGCTCCCGGCCTTTATTTTATTTTATTGTTTTTTTGGACAGTCTGACTCTGTTGCCCAGGCTGGAGTACAGTGGCACAATCTCGGCTCACTTCAACCTCTGCTTCCCAGGTTCAAAAGATTCCCCTGCCTCAGCCTCCCAAGTAGCTGGGACTACAGGCATGTGTCATCACACCTGGCTAATTTTTGTATTTTTAGTGGAGACAGGGTTTCACCATGTTGGCCAGGCTGGTCTCAAACTCCCGGCCTCAAGTGATCCACCCATCTTGGCCTCCCAAAGTGCTAGGATTACAGATGTGCGCCACTGCACCCAACCCAAATGGCCATCTCTTTACCTTTCACTTTTTAACACAATGTTACCTCCTTATCAAAGATTTTCCTGGTCACCCTAACTAAAGGCTTCTTCCCCTCTCCCCCTTGTTGATGCTGTCAGAGCAAAGGGAAAGCTACCCCTTCACCCTCTGAAAGTTTGCTGAAAAATCAACTGGCACAAGGCAGTTGAATAGGAGCAAAGGCATTAAAAAACCTTTCTGGACATGCATAGCAGGAGAATCACATGAGAATAGTCACCAAATGGAGACAGAGGTTTATAAACCTTTCTACGTAGAGGATGGGGAGATGGGGAAATGTGGCAATTTGAAGGCTAGTAAATGATTTTTAGGGAGAAATGAAAGGAGTTGGAGAACATAAAATGGCTTGGGACACAATCTGTTGGGCCTGCAGAGCAAACAACAGTTTATGACAAAAATCTGTCCAGGTGGCTGGGTGGGCGTGGTGGCCCAGGTCTGTAATCCCAGCACTTTGGGTGAGGTGGGCAGATCATGAAGTCAAGAGTTCGAGATCAGCCTGGCCAACGTGGCGAAACCCCGTTTCTACTAAAAATACAAAAATTCGCCAGGCATGGTGGCACGCGCCTGTAATCCCAGCTACTTGGGAGGCTGAGGCAGGAGAATCACTTGAACCCAGGAGGCGGAGGTTGCAGTGAGCCAAGATCATACCACTGCACTTTACCCTGGGCAACAGAGCAAGACTCCATCTCATAAAAACAACAACAACAACAACAAAAACCTGTCCTGGTGCACTGACAGACTGCAGTCTTTCTTCCTGTTATATGAATTAAATTAATGAAAACTCAGGGAAGGGTCCAGAGGTTTTCTTCTTTGGCAGATCCAGATTTTAGTCAAATTAGAGAACTTCAAAGTGAACAGCTTCATAGAGACAGGAGGCAGGGTTGGGTGGGTGGTCAGAGAGAGCTTGAGACTGCTTCTTTAGGCTAGCACGCCAAAGTACCATATTTTGGGGTATCAGTTTCTGAGCCCCAACAATGCCTCCTAATCAAAGACCACCAGATATACACTATAATCCAACAAAGTTGGGCTTATCGGTGCTTGTGGCAGCAAGTGAGACCACACACCTTGGCAAATCTTGGGATATCTTGGTAAGAAACTCTTACAAGAGGCGGTGGCTCACGCCTGTAGTATTAGCACTTTGGGAGGGCAAGATGGGTGGATCATGAGGTCAGGATTTCAAGACCAGCCTGGCCAAGATGGTGAAACCCCGTCTCTACTAAAAATACAAAAATTAGCCAGACATGGTGCCAGGCACCTGTAATCCCACCTACTCGGGTGGCTGAGGCAAAGAATTGCTTGAACCTGGGAGGCGGAGGTTGCAGTGAGCCACTACACTCCAGCCTGGGCGACACAGCGAGACTCCGTCCCAAAAAAAAAAAAAAAAAAAAAAGTCTTTCAAGGGACTTGTTAGAGAGTTTGGGCTTGTATTCAAGGAAGGGGGTTTATTCTGGATTGAGGGCTGTTAGGAAAGGAGGGTAATTCAATGATTGGGTATCTTAATGACTCTTGTCTGGGAGGCAGGAGGAATGGAGTGGGACTAAAGCTGCTATTGGCAAAGAGGTAGCCCTCACTCAGCTGGGAGAAATGGCTGTTTGGTCATTTTAGTGATTTGCAGTGTCCTTGTTTTGTCCCTGCTCAGACACGATTACAGAGTGGTCTTTTTTGTTTTGTCTGTTTTGCTTCATCACGACCACAGAGTGAGCTTATCTGATGTTGTTGTGCCATGAAACTGTTGATGTTTGATGGGAGAATGCTGTGATCTAGCTGTGTGTGCCAGGCCAGCTTCCAACTAACAGGTGATTTTTTTCTTTCCCACTGTAAACCAGGGGTTCCCAACTCCCGGACCAGGGGTCTGTTAGAAACCACACCACTCAGCAGGAGGTGAGCAGAGGGCGGCGACACTGGAGCGAAGCTTCATCTGTATTTACAGCTGCTCTTCATTGCTGGCATTACTGCCTGAGCTCTGCCTGCTGTCAGATCAGCAGCGGCATTAGATTCTCATAGGAGCGCAAACCCAATTGTGAACTGCGCACGCGAGGGACCTAGGTTACACGCTCCTTATGAGATTCTAACACCTGATGATCTGTCACTGTCTCCCATCACTTGCCCCCAACCCTATGGGGCCATCTAGTTGCAGGAAAACAAGCTCAGGGCTCCCACTGATTCTACATTATGGTGAGTCGTAGAATTATTTTATTATCCATTACAATATAATAATAGAAGTGAAGTGCACAATAAATGTAATGTGCTTGAATCATCTCGAAACCATCCCCCCATCCCCCAAGTCTGAGAAAAATTGTCTTCCACAAAACTGGTCCCTGGTGCCAAAAAGGTTGGGAACTGCTGCTCTAAACCATTATCCTGTGGAATTATTTATTTTAAAAAAAAATTTGAAATAAGTTTATTCTTTACAAATGACAGAAATAAAACTTCATGATTCATTTGGATTTTACATTTATTTGAAAACTCTTTTCCTTCTTTAAATTGTTGTACTTGAAATAGGGTTGACAGAATGGGCCCAGGTGAATAGTGAGATACCTGAGGGCCATCTATCTTGTGGAATTTTTTCACAGGGTGAATCAATATTCAATAATTATCCAAGATATGTATCTTTCTTTCTTTAATTTTGTTTTTTTAAACATAAAGACGGGGTCTCTTTATGTTGCCTAGGCTTGTCTCCAACTCCTGGATTCAAGCTCCACTGGCCTCCCAAAGTGCTGGGATTGCAGGTGTGAGCCACCATGCCTGGCCCCAAGTTACGTATCTTTAGTGTGTGTGTAGTTTGTCTTCCTCAACTGCATGTAAGCTCTATGTGGGCATAGGTGTTGTCTGTCTTATTCACGGCTGTGTCCCCGACACCAGAAGCAGCCCCGATGTATGGTAGATACTCAATAAATATTAGTTAAATGGATGCCAAACTTAGATGGTTGGGGAAACAGCTCATCTGGAGGTGGAAGAGAGAGTCTTCACATGCTGAAGGGATGTAAGGAAGTGACAAAGCACACACAAGGTGGTTAGGCCAATTCAGATCATCTCTAGGGTTGCTATGTCACCCTGGGATAGGACAACTGATCTGGGCGGGTAGGAAACTCCAACTCTGGAACAAATGGCTTTTTGAATTCTAATTAAAGAGTCTTTGAGATTGTGAAATGTTAAAATCTAATTTACTCTGTCCAGTTAGGTACAGGAGGTATTCTAGTCCTTGCCAGTTTGGACTATGATTACCTTGAGAAAATAGAACATGAAAAAAATAGCCTTTCAATCACCTTCATACAATGGCCATCATAAAGTGTCTTCTTAGAGCTTTCATTTTTAATTTTCAGACCAAGGTTTTCCTGTACATGAAAAAAGTGAATATGGCGCTTTTCCTTTCTTTAAAATACTGTGGTTTTCCTGAGTCAAGGACTAGAAAAAAAGAAAAAAAAAAAAAGAAAATACTTTGGTTTGTCTGAAGACCAATCTAAGGCTTTCAAGGAAAGAACTCCGGGTAAATGAGCTTTCTACTGCACTCAAAGACTATCAGTGACCATTTTAAACAATATTCTTGAAAATATTATTTGAACCATTATCCCAAAGCTAGCAAAAATTTGTATCCAGGAGGTAATGATGATTTATGTTGATATTTACTATGTCTTTTACTATCACTGTTTGCTTGCTTGTTTTTCATGACTCCTGGTACTTTTTCTTACAAAGCTACTGAAAAGTTACTAGTTTGGTTAAATTCACTGAATACTTATTGAGTGCTTGTTTTGTGCTGTGTACAATGCACTATGTGATTCACTTACAAGAAGGCTAAGCAAGTGTAAAGGAAAATGCATAACTAGGCTTTTTTCAGTAGGACTTATTTTCGACACTGAATGGCACACTGAATTATCCTGACTAATGGTTGCTGAAGAGATTCAAAATCATTGGCCTTAGCCAAACACTGTTGAGCATCCTCTTGCGAGGTTGATGTGGTATACGTTTAAGCTGCTATGGGTATACAGTGTACTTATGTTCTTTGGAAACACTCCAGAGCCAGGATGCTTAGGTATAAATGCTGATTTTGCCAATGACTAGCTGTGTGACTTAACAGCTCCATGCCTCAGTTTCCTTCTCTCCCTGTAAGTATGAAAATAATAATATCTGTTTTATAGGATTAGTGTGAAAATCAAATGATATAACTTATGTAAAGGCTTTAGTATATTGCCTGGCGTATAGTAAGCATTCAGTAAATACTATATTATGTCATTTTATAATATATCGCTATTATATATTATATTTTTATCATAGAATTTACAGAGCTGTACAATTAATAAACATTTTACAGTAAAACATCTCTACAGTATATATTTTTTTGAGATGGAGTTTTGCATTTGTTGCCCAGGCTGGAGTGCAGTTGCATGGTCTCAGCTCACTGCAACCTCCACCTCCTGGGTTCAAGTGATTCTCCTGTCTCAGCCTCCCAAATAGCTGGGATTACAGGTGCCTGCCACCACACCCAGCTAATTTTCATATTTTTAGCAGAGACAGGGTTTCACTATGTTGCCCAGGCTAGTCTCGAACTCCTGACCTCAGGTGATATGCCCCCCTCGGCCCCCCAAAGTGCTGGGATTTCAGGCCTGAGCCACTGAGCCCAGCAACTCTACAATATTTCACACAGAAAACAGTATGAAGTTTCACTATTTAACTTAGTCATTATTTTTTGCTGCTTGATATGTGGAAGTTTCATAATGATGCTGGAGATAAGAACATTAGTAAGACACAGTTCTTATTCAGCAGCTCCCAACTGCAAACTCAGCAACTGCTGTGTGGTGGGAACAAAACTCCAGATTTCTTATCTGCTTTTCTAAATGTATATGGTAAACCAATTTTTCTGTTTTCTCATCTCCTGTGACCTCTCTTGGTTATCTAAAGTTCACCCTTGCCACCGTGGTATAGCTTGATCAGTCATGCCCTTTGTACAGTATCAAGAAATCTCAACCTCTTATTAACATATGCACTATCTTTCCTTCCTACTACCTGTACTGCTGTTTTACAGCTACCTACCATTTATTTCTCTTTTTTTCTTTTTCTTTCTTTCTTCCTTTTTTTTTTTTTTTTTTTTTGAGAGGGAGTCTCAGTCTATCGCCCAGGCTGGAATGCAGTGGCTGGATCTCAGCTCACTGCAACCTCTGCCTCCCAGGTTCAAGCAATTCTCATGCCTCAGCTTCCTCAGTAGCTGGGATTGCAGACATGCACCGTCATGCCTGGCTAATTTTTGTATTTTTAGTAGAGATGGGGTTCCGCCGTGTTGGCCAGGCTGGTCTGCCCAACACGACGAAACCCCATCTCTACTAAAAATACAAAATACACCCACCTTGGCCTCCCAAAGTGTTGGGATTACAGGTGTGAGCCATGGCACCTGGCCTGATGTTGTATCCTTGGATGCATAAGTAGAAATGGTCTCCAACAGGAATAGAAAAAAAATGATAGAATAGGGTGGTTCAAGTCACTTTATGGCGTTACTATAGCTATAGATGAACACTAGAGTTATGAATAACCATTTCTGTAGTCAAGCTAATGAAAAGAAAGGATCTCTCTTGGTACAGAATATGCAATATGGACTTAAAATTTCAGTATGTGGTACTAAAATGTAATTTTGACTACAGTGGTCACTTGTGCCCCTTTTGATGGAACAAATTAAATCACCCACAAAAATAGTGCATTGGTAATTGAAATGGAATTAGTATGAGCTAGTAAATAATGTATCTGTTAGGGTTTCAACAGAAAACAAATGGCATACTCAAAGGATTCAACTGAAGACAGATTAAGGAAGGGATGATTTACAGAAGAATGAGCAATACTAAGGGACCACACAAGAGATTAGAGAAACAGCCAGAGACTCTTAACTGCAGGAAGCCATTAGGACCCCAGGATTGAGAATAGTATTATTGGAGGCCAGCAAGAACTGGAGCCATAGAACAGGAACTGCCCAAGAGAAGCTGTGGCTGCAGGAAAATGCAACTGCGGTGCCGGAATTCTCCACAAAGTGTCAGTGGAGGGTAGGGATGGGCAAGGAAGTGATAGAGACCTTTCCTTTCCTCTTTTCCAGTTTCTACTCTCCTGCTGCTACCTCTCATCCTCTGAACCCAAATTGGAAGCCAGAGAGCAAGGAAGCTCTGATGGTTGATCCCTAGAGACCAGCCTTTCAGGACAGAGAGCAGAATAGAGAAGGGCATGGAATGGATTGGGAGGCAAATGTTTCTCCTTAATTGTTCAGTCAACAGTCAAGCTCGAGTTTGAAGGCATTGAGAGAACACAAACAGATGGTGGATTAGTTCGTTTTCACGCTGCTGATAAAGACATACCCAATACTGGGTAATTTATAAAGAAAAAGAGGTTTAATGGATTCACAGTTCCGTGTGGCTGGGAAGGCCTCACAATTATGGCAGAAGGTGAAAGTTACCTCTTACATGATGGCAGTAAAAAAGAAAGAAGGAGAGCCAAGTGAAAAGGGAAATCCTTCACAAAACCATCAGATCTTGTGAGACTTATTCACTACCACGAGAACAGTATGGGGGAAACCACCCCCATGAGTCAGTTATCTCCCACTTGGTCCCTCCCACAACGTGTGGGAATTATGAGAGCTACAATTCAAGATAAGATTTGGGTGGGGACAAAAAGTGAAACCATATCAGATGAGTAGAAGTGATACAAACCGGCTGGGCGCGTTGGCTCACGCCTGTAATCCCAGCACTTTGGGAGGCTGAGGTGGGCAGATCACTTGAGGTAAGGAGTTCAAGACCAGCCTGGCCAACATGGTGAAACCCTGTCTCTATTGAAAATACAAAAATTAGCTGGGTGTGGTGACACATGCCTGTGATCCCAGCTACTCAGGAGGCCGAGCCAGAAGAATTGCTTCAACCTGGGAGGCGGAGGTTGCAGTGAGCTGAGATAGCACCACTGTACTCCAGCCTAGGTGACAGAGTAAGATTCTGTCTAAAAAAGAAAAAAAAAATTGAAACAAACCACTTCTAGGTCCATCCATAAAACCTCCAGTGCAGACCTGCAGGCTCTCTCTCCCCTTCTGCAGGAATTCTGTGATTCACCTATTGACAGTGGTGGTGCTCACAATGGAAGAAACCTGGAGTGGAACCTCTATCCTTGACTGCATTGCATTATGTTATGAAGCCACCGAGGTTTCAGCTTGTTTGTTTCAAATGTCAGATGGGGGTGCAGTGAGAGACGTGATTAACACTGATGTCTCCCTACTGTGCCTCTCTCCAGATTTCTTCTCTCTTCTGGACTTCTGAGCACTACTCTTTCTGTATCTATAAGACATTTACAAGTGGGTATCTTAGATGTCACATCTTAAACTCAACATTTCACAGCCATTTCATCCTAGTCCAGCGGTGTGAAACAAATTTTTTTTAAAGAAAGAACACTTCAAAGCCAAATTCAAAACATTCTTAGGTGGGGAGTGGTGGCTCATGCATGTAATCCCAGAACTTTGGGAGGCTGAGGTGGGAGGATTGTGTGAGTCCAGGAGTGCGAGACCAGCCTGGGCAATGTAGACTCTACCTCTACAAAAAATAAATAAATAAATAAATATTAGCCAGGGGTAGTGGCAACTGCCTGCAGTCCCAGCTACTTGGGAGGCTGAGGTGGGAGGATTGCTTGAGCCCAGGAGTTTGGGATGCAGTAAGCCATGATCACATCACTGCACTCCAGCCTGGGCAACAGAGACCCAGTCTCTAATTTTTTTTTTTTGAGATGGAGTCTCACTCTGTTGCCCAGGCTGAAGTGCAATGAAGTGATCGCAGCTCACTACAACCTCTGCCTCCTGGGCTCCAGTGATTCTTGTGCCTCAGCCTCCCAAGTAACTGGCTTTACAGGCATGCACCACCACACCCAGCTAATTTTTGTATTTTCAGTAGAGACAGGGTTTTTACCATGTTGGCCAGGCTGGTCTCAAACTGCTGACCTCAAGTGATCTGCTTGCCTCAGCTTCCCAAAGTGCTGGGTTACAAGTGTGAGCCACCACACCCGGCCAAACTCTAAATTAAAAAAAAAAAAAACAAAAACAAAAAAGACCTTCCCCAAACTATCTTGCTTTCATGTATACTCTGCCTATCCAACTTATGTATTCATTAGGTTGGTTATTCAAGAATATTTATCAAGACTTGATCTATGCCATAATTTGGCTATATATTGAAGATATAAAAATAAAGAAGACATAGTTTCTGACTTTAAGAAGCCCATAGCCGGTGGGCACGGTGGCTCACGCCTGTAATCCCAGCACTTTGGGAGGCCGAGGCAGGCAGATCACGAGGTCAGGAGATGGAGACCATCCTGGCTAACACAGTGAAACCCCGTCTCTACTAAAAATACAAAAAATTAGCCAGGCGTGGTGGTGGGCGCCTGTGGTCCCAGCTACTCTGGAGCCTGAGGCAGGAGAATGGCGTGAACCCTGGAGGCAGAGCTTGCAGTGAGCCGAGATCACGCCACTGCATTCCAGCCTGGGCAACACAGCGAGGCTCCATCTCAAAAAAAAAAAAAAAAAAAAAGAAGCCCATAGCCTGTCAGAGTTAAACATATAAACAAATAATTCCTGAGAATGTGTTATGTGCTGTGGTGATACGTCAGTTGCATCCTCTCCTTTATACCCCACATTGACTAAGTCACAAGTACCTTATGTTCTTCATTGGTAGAGTCTGCATTCTCAGGGTGTTCTATTCAAATGATAACCATATTGTCTCTCTGCCTCCATTATCCTTTCTTTTCTCTGGTTGATCCCTTGTACACTGTTGTTAGACTAATGTTCCTTAAACATTCTTTGTCCAGGAATATTATAATATTTCTCCCCCACTGAATCAAGTCTCAGTTCCTCTGCTTGGCTTTCAAAGACTTTTGGATAGCCCCCTAATCTGGCTATTCAATATATTCTTCAGGACTCTCCATTGTAACTGCCAAGCCCTGTCTATTGTTACTTCCCCTCATCAGTCACATTAGCTTACTAATGGAGAAACCAAACTCCATGAAATATTTTAAATAGGTTTGTTCTGAGGCAGTGTAAGTCACCATGACCAGGGAAAATGCAAACCCAAGAAGCCTTGAGTAAGTAGTCTCAAGGCAGTCAGATTACAGCTTGGTTTTATACATTTTAGGGCGGCAGGAGTGATAGGCAAAGACATAAATCAGTAGTACATGGAAGGTATCCATTGGTTCAGCCCAAAAAGGTGGGAGGGATATCTTGAATCGGGAGCTTTCAGGTTACATGTGGATTCAGAGGTTCTTTATTTGCAATTGGTTAAAGGAGTAAGGCTCTGTCTAAAACTTGAAATCAGCAGAAAGGAATGATTGTTTGCAGGTGTGACTTAACCCGCCTTAGGTCTTATTCATAATTTGGTATCTTATTGCCACGAAGAGCCCGTTTTGTTGTGTGTGTGTGTGGTTTTTTTTTTGTTTGTTTTGTTTTTTTTTTTTTGACAGGGTCTCTATCACCCAGGCTGGAGTGTAGTGGCATGATCATGGTTCACTGCAGCCTCGACCTCCTGGGCTCAGGTGTCCCTCCAGCCTCAGCTTCCCATGTAGTTGGGACTATAGGTGTGCACCGCCATGTCCAGCTAATTTTTTTTGTATTTTTTATAGAGACAGGGTTTTGTCATGTTGCCCAGGCTGGTCTCAAACTCCTGAGCTCAAGGGATCCGCCTGCCTCAGCCTCCTAAAGTGCTGGGATTATAGGCGGGAGCCACTGTGCCTGACCTTGTCAGTCTTATTATCTCTATTTTAACATTAATGCTGGTCATTGTGCCTAAACTCCAAAAGGCATGTGGTATAATGAGGCATGTCTCACCTCTCTTCCCATCATGGCCAGGAATTCAGTTTTTTTGGTTTTTTTCTAGAGTCTCCTTGGTCAAGAGGGAGTTCATTCAGTCACTAGGAGGGCTCAGGATTTTATTTTAATTTCTAAGACCCTTCACTTCTTTCTATTCCAGTTGCTCACCTTAGTTCAGGCCATATCACCTCATCCCTATACTACTGCAGGGACATCTTAGCTCCTTGTCCTGACTCCAGACTTTTCCCTTCTACCTATCCTGCCTTCAGCTAACAGAGCTCTCTCATTAAAGCATCCACTGTTCAAAAGCCTCTTCGTCTGCATTCCCAACCTCAGGAAATGGCTCCTCTACATGCCAGTTGCCTGGACCAGACACATGGCAGCCATCCTTTATCTTCCTTGTCCCTCATCCCTCTCATTCAACCATCACCAAGTTCCTTCTGTCCTATCGGCTAAGGACTAAGTTCCTTCTGTCCTGAATCTGCCTACTAATACTTTGCACCATCCCCATAGTTCCTGCAGAAATTCAAGCCACTGCTACCTATTGACTGAGCCCCCTGCAACAGCATCCTTGCTGGTATTCTTGCTTCCAACTTTACCATCTTAGAACCCATTCTCCACATCGCCACCATCTTTATCTCTATGATGGAAATCCAGTACTGTGACTCTCCTGCTTGAAACTGTTTGGGGTTTTAACTCCAAGGCCCTGAGAATGAATCTCAAACTTTATGACACAGTATAGGGCCCTTCGAGATATGGCTCCTGCTTCTCTCTCCAGTCTCATCTCCTCACCCCAGCTGTCTCCAGTACCTTAGGTTCTAACTCACTGAACTACTTCGCTCCTGATAATGAGGGATGTGATTGCTTGCCTGCTACAGTCCTTCTAGCATGTCACTCCCAATATGTGGGATGTTCTGTCCTCCCACCTCTCACCTATTTCTATATATATCTTTTTAAACTCAGCTTCCTTAATGCCAGTTACTAAGTCTTCATCCTTGTATCCCCAGCATGCAGTACAGTGCCTAGCACTTTGTGGGCCCTCCATCCAGAGAAGGTAAATACATTGTGGTCTTATAGCTAGTTAAGACACAGAGAACTGGGATTTGAACCAACTTTCTGATTCTTAATTTTGTGTACATTCCACTTCCCTGTACTGCCTTCTTATAAAACATCTTAGACATAAAACATCTTAGACATAAAGCCCCAGTTCATTTCATTCATTCAACAACCATTTATTGATTTCTGAATATGTGCCATGCACTATGTTAGATAAAAGGGATAAACTGGTAAGCAAGGCATTTCTGCTAAAAGGCCAATCTACTTCTAGATTAAAGATGAAAGATATAGTTAAATCAAGAGTCATTTGCAGACCGTGTGATGATCATAGGAGTAAGTACAAAGTAATAGGATAGCCTATAGGAAGGGCCCCTAACCCAGCCATATGGAGTCAGGAAGGCCTTCGGAGAGAAGTGATTTTTTTTTTTTTTTTTTTTTTAGATGGAGTCTTGCTGTGTCACCCAGGCTGGAGTGCGGTGGCACAACTGGCTCACTGCAACCTCTGCCTCCTGGGTTCAAGCCATTCTCCTGCCTCAGCCTCCCCAGTAGCTGGGATTACAGGCATGCACCACCACGCCCAGCTAATTTTTGTGTTTTAGTAGAGACGGGGTTTCACCATGTTGGCCAGGCTGGTCTTGAACTCCTGACCTCATGATCTGCCTGCCTTGGCCTCCCAAAGTGCTGGGATTACAGGCGTGAGCCACTGCACCTGGGGAGAAGTGGTTTTTAAGCTCAGACTGCATGAAGCATAAATATCAGGAAGACGAAGAAACTGGGAAAGCATTCAGAGCACCAAAGAACAACATGGGCAAAGGCTCTAAGCATCAAATACTGCATCAATACTGGGAACTGAAAGTTGTTCATAATTGCCACAGTGTGAAATACCATGGTGATAGTGATGAGAGATGAGTCTGGACATACGCATGGCTTTATGACGCTAAGGGGTTTAGACTACGTCCCAAAAGATGTAGAGCTGAAGCTGGGAGTGGACTGGTGGTGCTCCTGTGGTCCCAGTTACTAGGAGGCTAAGGCTGGAGGATCCCGTGAGCCAAGGAGTTAGAGGCTGTAGTGCGCACCATGATCGCATGTGTGAATAGCCACTGCACTCCAGCCTGGGCAACATAGCAAGACACTGTCTCTACAAAAAAAAAAAAAAAAAAAAAAAAAAGAGTGAATTTTCAGCAAGGGAATTAATAGATCAGATTTAAATTTTGGAAATGTCATCTGGCTACAAAGTAAAGAATAGATTGGGGTTGTGGAGGCAGGGAGAAAGCCAGGATGGGGAGGATAGAGAAAGAGAGTGCTTACCTCCAAGAAAAAGAATATAAAAAGGAAAGCAAGAGGTTGGGAGGAAGAGGAGAAATTGAACTTTTGGTTGAGTTTCATTAATTGATGTGTGAGTCAGAGGCTCGGAAGTGACATTGGGACCTGAGTTAGAGACTTGGGAGACAGGAGTGTATAGAAAGTTATTGTAGCCATGGAAGCATATGTGCTCTCCTAAGAAGAGTACCAGGGGAAGTAGAGTTTCAGGCAGAACATTCAACAGTTAAGAGAAGAGCCAAGAACTGGGAGCTCAGGAAAACTAACAGAAGAGCATTCTCTGAAGGAGGGAGGGACAGGGTCTCACTCTATCACCCAGGCTGGAATGCAGTGGCATGATCATGGCTCACTGCACCACCTGGGCTAAAATGATCCTCCCATCTCAACTTTCTGAATAGCTGGGATTACAGGTGTGTGCCACCATGCTCAGCTAATTTTTGTTTATTTTTATGTAGAGATGAGCTCTTACTATGTTGCCCAGGCTGGTCTTGAACTCCCTGGGCTCCAGTGATCCTTCTGCCTTGGCCTCCCAAACTGTTGGGATTATAGGCATGAGCCACTGCGCCTGGCAGCAAGGACAGTTTCAATGGAGTTGTGGGACCAGAAATGAGAGTGGAGAGGAAATAGAGAGTGCCAGTGTAGACTACTCTTTCAAGTAGTTAACTCTGAAGGAGGAATGAAAAAAATGGTGCCATCTGGCAGGAGGGTTTTTAAAGATGGCAGACATTAGAGAACATTTATGTAGCAGGTACATTTTGAGAGCACTTGAAGATCTAGGAGAGAGCGAGTTGATGGAATGAGGTTGCTGAAGAGGCAAAGGGAGGAATTATATGAACATCTGTGGAAGCTCCAATCTTAGGATGGATCCCTCTTCCATTTTAACAGAAAAGGGAAAAGAAGAAATTATATAGGTGCTGAAAGATTTGTTGGTTTGGTGGTAAGAAGTTTGGAGGGCCTTCATCTAATGGCTTTTGTTTTCTTGGTAAAGTAAGAGGTGAAGTCACCTGTTGAGACTGTGGAAGGGAGCTATGGGAAAGGGATTTGAGGAGAGTGAAGAAAGTTACCTGAAGGGCAGGAAATAAAGCACAGCTCTAACTCCTTTTCTCCTCACTTGATTCCCCTTTCTCCCTAAACCATCTTCTGCTGGATATAAATTTGTGATCGTCTGTGTGGAGGTGACATGAAGCCATGTCACCTCCACACAGACGATCACAAATTTATATATCTAGTCCAGAATTTACATCTGAACTCCCATCTGTCATCCACACTTGGGTATCTCAAAGGCTCCTTCAACTACCTGTCCCTCTAGCTTTGGCTCAGGACTGACTAGGGAAGGACAAAGGATAGAAGATTGTTGGGCCTTCCTGAGAATCCAGTCAGTGTTTTGTTTCATGCATTTGCATTGTGGTCTATTGTGTGCAAGGTCCTCCTCTACCTTTTGTGTCCACAGTCCTCTACCTTGGTCAGTTTTGCTTATACTATTTCATTTGCATAACATGTTCTCTAATCATTTCCATATGTTGAAATCCTATCCATCTTAAGCATTTAACTTTTGTCTTAGTCTGTTTTCTGCTTCTATCACAGAATATCACAGACCGGGTAACATATAGAATAGAAATGTATTTGCCTCTCAGTTCTGGAGGCTGGGAAGTCTAAGAGCATAGCACTGCATCTGATTAGGGCTGTGTCGTCCAATGGTGGAAGGGCACCATGTGGAGAGGAGGTGCAAGCATGAGATAGAGCAGGATTGGAGGCTGAACTTGATCCTTTTATCAGGAACCCACCCCGATGATAACTAACTCACTTCCCAAATAACAGCATTAATCCATTCATGAGGGTGGAGCTATCATGACCTAATCACCTCTTAAAGGTCCCACCTCTTAATACTGTTACAGTGGCAATTAGGTTTTTAATACATGAACTTTTTGGGGACACATTCAAACCATTGCAACTTTAAAACTCACCTTTTCTGTAAAGCATTCACTGATCATCCCCTACTGAAAACAGACAAAGCCAAAAAACTTTCTTCCTCTTATTTCTCCTTTATCTGTACTTTTCTCATGGTTATTATTATTTTTTAATTTCTTCATATACCTGCTGATTTACAAGTCTTATTTCATCTTATCTGTATTTCTAGATTAAGTCCTTGAAGAGAAGGACTGTTATTGGATTTATCTTTTATCTCTCACCAAGCCTAAAACAGTGTCTGGCACGTATATCCACTCACAAAATCATCTCATTTACTAAGTTAATATGTATATATTTACTGACTTATGAATAAATGAATTAATCAATGATGAAAACAAACTCTCTGTTCTGGTAAGTCTTTTTTTTTTTTTTTTTTTAAGATGAGGTCTCACTCTGCTGCTCAGGCTGGAGTGCAGTGGCGCAATCACAGCCCACTACAGCCTTGTCCTCCCCAGGCTCAGGTGATCCTCCCACTTCAGATTTGTATTTTTAGTAGAGATGGGGGTTTTTCCATGTTGCCAAGGCTGTCTATTAAGTCTTTACATGTCATTATCTCAATCTTCTTTCCATTGGTAATGCTATACAACATCATGGATATTTGTGGACGATTCAAAAATCTGTTACTAAAATAGCCCTGAGCTCTTGTTCAAAGTATATTCTCATATTTTGTTTCTTGCTGCTTCTCTCAAATGTGCTATGTTGAGGGTACTCATTTCCCGTTTCCTGGTGTTTCCTATACAAAGCTGAGGCTAAGTGTAAATACCATGACTTCTTTTCTTTTTTTTTTTTTTTTTTGAGACGGAATCTCACTCTGTCACCCAGGCTGGAGTGCAGTGGCGTGATCTCTGCTCACTGCAAGCTCCGCCTCCAGAGTTCACCCCATTCTCCTGCCTCAGCCTCCCTAGTACCTGGGACCACAGGCGCCTGCCACCATGCCTGGCTAATTTTTTTTTTGTATTTTTAGTAGAGATGGGGTTTTGCCATGTTAGCCAGGATGGTCTCGATCTCCTGACCTCATGATCCGCCCACCTCGGCCTCCCGAAGTGCTGGGATTACAGGCGTGAGCCACCGCACTCGGCCAATACCATGACTTCTAAATGTCTTCTCTATTCTAGTCCTCCTAAATCCTTTAGAATTTATTTTACTTACCATTTTTGGCTGTTATGGCTTGTCTTTTTTATGAGTTTTAATTGTATACTTTGCCTACCAAATTAGATTATAAACTTCATGAGGCCAGGAATTTGTATATAAATGTATAACTTCTTTGCTGCACTCCCTGCTTTCTTTCTCCAATCTAACTCCACCACCTCCTTCCCCCTGGTCTCTATTAAGTGAGAAAAATTAGCTACCACCAGACAGCAGTGGAGAGGTCAGAGATGACATGTATGGAAAAAAGGCCATAGGTTTAGAAAAATTGATATTATAATAGGACTTACTAAGATAAGACTTTCCTACCCTCTTTGGCTTCACAGAAAAAGTTGTGATTTGTTTAATTCTGTGTTAGTCTAACTGTGTTAGACTACCATGACTAGTTGGAGCATGAAGATGGGTTGAGACATGGGGGAATGTAAGCCTGGAAAAGAAATATCAAGGTAGCTCATGACTGTTGTCTTCAAACATTTTTGTTTTTTTTGAGACAGCCTCTAACTCTGTTGCCAGTGCTGGAGTGCAGTGGCACGATCATGGCTCACTGCAGCCTCGACCTTCTGGGCTCCGGTGATCCTCCGGTCTCAGTCTCAGACTACAGGTGTGTGCCACCATGCCCAGCCTTTTTTTTTTTTTTTTTTTTTTTTTTGGTAGAGACAAGGTTTTGTCATGTTGCCCAGGCTTGTCTTGAGCTCCTGGGCTCAAACGATCTGCCCGCCTGGACCTCGCAAAGTGCTGGAATTATAGGCGTGAGCCACCATGCCTGGCCCCGCATTCTTAATGTTGGAAAACAAATGGTTGGGCTGCACTGTGAAGTAGTGACCTGCCTGTCTGGAAAGTTCCCAGCCACAGACAGGGGTGGGAAAACTTCTTCCTAATGTGATTGAGGACAGTCTGGCTTTAGGCTTGAGGTTGAACTAGATTATTTCTGAGGACTCTAACAAATCTAACACCAGGAGTCAGTGATTTGGTTCATACTTCCAATTTAGGCCCAGAGACTGCCGGCCCATGAAGTTCCCACCCTTGATCTTTGTGACTTCAGTGAATAAAGTAAAATCACCTTCTATTGTAACTCATTGAGAATGGGGCCTTTGACCTGTATTAGGTGCTGACAGGTGACTGAGATATAGATAGCGGTGGTTAGTAGGTATCTGGAAAAGAGATGTATTTCAGAAGAGTCAGAAGAGCGAAGAACAACATGAGACCCTGAAGAGATGGCTGTTGAAAGGAAAGGAGGTATCCACAAGGTTGTTGGTTACAGATTAAAATGGGAGAGATGAGAACAGGAAAGGGGGTAGTAATGGTGTATTAGGCTCTTTCTGGGCTCAAGGAATAGAAAAACACTCAGGTTACATCAGATAAAGAGTAAGAATTTATTGCAACAATACAGAGACATAAAAGCAGAGACATCACGCTGCTGCAGAAGGTTGTTGAAGATTTAACTGCAGCCCACCATTCTGGACCTCTCAGCAGGGGGCGCCATCCTTTGCTCCCTACCCTAGTGTTTCCGCACTCTGGGGTCTCAATCATTCTCTCTCTGCTCTTGCTTCTGCCGCTCCTGGTCATCTTTTCTGTATTCTCCTTTAGGCTGTCCCATGGCTTCTGCTTACTCTCTGCTCTCACTTCCCTCTGTGAGCCTTTCTGCATCTACCTTGACTAAGGACTGTCCTTTGCATGCGTCACGGTTAAACCTACCCAAGAGAGAAATCTAGATGGTTCAATGCTACTCAGTATAGAGATTTCCTGTTGGGCAAAGCACATATACCAGGCCTTTGGTAAGCCTAATAGAAAGGTGCCATTTAGGAGGCCCTGCTCTTGCTCCTTCAGCTGAGCCAAGAATTGTAGGTTGCATAATGAAGTCCTCAAAAAGGGGCAATAGGCAGGGCAGACTTTCCAAGGCTTCCTAGAAGGGGTCATGTGACTGTCAGGCACACTGCTTGAGCAGACAATTAGGGATAGAAAAGCGGAATATATTCTTTTTTGTTTGTTTGTTTGTTTGTTTTTTGAGGCAGGGTCTCTGTCTCCCAGGCTGAAGTGCAGTGATGTGATCTCAGTTCACTGCAGCCTCCACCTGCCAGGTTCAAGTGATCCTCCCACCTCAGCCTCCTCAGTAGCTGGGACTACAGGCCACACCACCATGCCTGGCTAATTTTTGTTTTGTAGAGACAGAGTTTCTCCATGTTGACCAGGCTAAGCAGGGTATATTCATGATGAATAAAGAAAGGCCAGGTGAGGTGGTTCATGCCTGTAATCCCAGCACTTTGGGAGGCCAAGGTGGGCAGATTGCTCAAACCAGAGTTTGAGACCACCCTGGGCAACATAGTGTGACCCTGTCTCTATAAAAAATAAACAAAAGTTAGCTGGGCATGGTGGCTCGCGCCAGTAGTCCCAGCTACTTGGGAGGCTGAGGTGGGAGAACTGCTTGAGCCTGAGAGGTTGAGGCTGCAGTGAGCCATGATCATGCCACTGTACTCTAGCCTGGGTGACAGAGCAAGACCCTCGTCTCAAAAATAAAAAAAATAAAGAAAAAAAAAAAGAAAAAGCAAGCTAAGGGCTAAAGGTTGAGTTGAAAATGTTGCCCAAGGAGAACATACCTTATGGGAAAAGCTATGAAAGACTATCTCTCAACTTTGCTTCTTCTGAAGAAAGACAAAAGGATAGGAAAATGAAAATAATTGGAACATATTCTTTCCCAGTGTTGGCACTGAGGAAAAACTATAGACTATTCCTACTACCCACATCCCCAGGAGTGCCCTAATCCGGCCTTTGCCAAGCCAGATTTCCAGCTGTTTCTTTGATGTCTGAGTGATATATTCTTTATTTGCTTAAGTTAGCCAGCACCAGTGCTTGCTGCTTACAACCAAGAAACTCTACAGAAGACATAAGGGTCTCTTCCAAACTTTTTGTGTGGGGAACCAGCAAAATCAATCACTGCTGGAAGGCAGTTGCTTAGACATCTGTGTGTCATACCTGCAGGAAAAGAGAGATGGGTACAAAATTAAGTCTAGACCAAAAGAATTTAATATCTGAAACTATACCAATTCATTCCTGTTATTAAATAAACTGAGTGAAATGGCACAAATGACAAATAACAAATTTAGACCACTTTTAAGAGAGAAAAACTCCCAATGACCTCATAGCTTTGATGGTCTGGAGTTAATAGTAACTACAAAGTCTTTCATATGTAGGTATAAGGGAATGATTCATTTCCCTCAACTCAATGGTTTATCTGCATTCGCCTGATGACATCTGACCTACTTTTCAGTATTCCAGGCAGTAATTACCCAAAGCCCTCCCCAAAGTCTCAGTCCATAAAATCCTCCTTTTAATGAGACTTAAGCCTTTAGCGTGTTCCTGCACCACTTCAAAGTCACACTGGCACCAGGGGAGTGTTTTTAAAACATGCAATGCACTAAGTGCATTCTGGGATGTCTCAGGCTTGAGACAAAACTGCAAGGACCAGACATTAGGTACTACAATCTAAAGAGGATCACATTCTGAAGGAGGTCATTGGAATGCGGGGAGGGGGATGACAGTAGAGAGATTTGGGCTCCTAAGTTTCCTGAAACAAAAGAGTCCAAGGTGAATCCAGTCTGAACCAGGCAATGAACAATTCTGATGAAGCCCATCCCAGTCTTAAGTTACCCGGTTCACTTTTCAATGTGGGTCAGGCAGGCCCGGGAATGGCAGGGCCAGGGGTTAGATACTCCCAAATCCATTTCACAACCAGTCAGAGCTTCCATTGCAATTCCTACTTATATATGTAGGGATTATATTACTAGTTACTTTAATATGCCGCATCTGCAAAGTTAAAATATCTATCTGCCTAAAGCTCAGAAAGGAATATGAAGGAAAATATTTATTAACTAGTTCCAGAGGTTCTACTTCTGCCAAATGTTTCTTAAAATAGAGTATGATATGACGGGGACAATCTAGTGATAGTTTTGTTATTCTAGAACTGCACTGCCCAATATGGTAACTGCTATCCACATGTGGCTATTTAAATTAAATAAAACTTGAAACCGTCAGTCACACTGGCCACATTTCAAGTACTCAATAGCCACATGTGGCTAGTGGCTACTGTACTGGACAAGGTAGAATTATAGAACATTTCTATCATCGCAGAAAGTTCCATTAGACACAGTGTTCTAGAATAATGAATTCTGTTATGCCATCATGGTGATTTTACCTGTACTAGCCGTCAATAATATAAATGCCCATGAGATATCTTTTCTGCATATTTTATGGAAATACCAAATAAAGTCCTTTAAAGATACAGTATAAATAGTAATGCTATCAAGATTGGAACTTCTCTTATTGATAACTGTAGTGATTACTACTTCATCCTCCTATTGACTGCAATCTGTTTTTCATTTGCAAACTGTAGAAGGGAGTTGCAAAGTGCAAGTTGTGAATTTAGGTAATTAAATCATCACAGAGAGAATGAAGGCTTTCATGGAATCATGGAAAATTATTTCAGTAGCCAATTATTATTGTCATTATTTCGGTAGTTTTATTTTGGCTATGAAGATGGTTCAAGGCTGGGTGTGGTGGCTCACACCTATAATCCCAGCACCTTGGGAGGCTGAAGTGGGTGGATCACCTGAGATCAGGAGTTTGAGATCAGACTGACAAACATAGTGAAACCCTATCTCTACTAAAAATACAAAAGTTAGCCGGGTATGGTGGCACGCACCTATAGTCCCAGCTACTTAGGAGGCTGAGGCAGGAGAATCGCTTGAACCTCGGAGGCAGAGGTTGCAGTGAGCTGAGATTGCACCACTGCACAAGAGTAAAACTCCATCTCAAAAAAAAAAAAAAAGATGGTTCAATATCCTTAGATAGTAAGCCCTGAGGTTTCTTCTTTTCCAGACAAATACAGCTGCTTTAGTTACCACACATTTTGCAGTTGAAGTATTGTGCTAGTAAAGTGCCTGCTTTGTTAATAAAAGATGATGCCAGCCTGAGATACACCAGCAGGATTGCTTGTGGTATCCAAAAACATCATTTCAAAAGATCTGCCATATGCTGTTTCACACATATCACAATGACCAAAAGGGCCTATTATAGGTTCTCAATACATGCTTCTAGACTTGATGGAAAAACTACAGTCCTTTTAAAAATGATACCTATTTATTACTTTTTCATTGCAAAAGAACATGTTCATTAAATACATTTAGAAAATTCAGGAAAGCAGAAATCAGTTTTCGTATGCTCGTAATTTCCTGTCTTTTTAGTTATGCAGAAATGCTTTTAAAAAGCAAAGCTGTGGCCTGCAGGGGTGACTCACGCCTGTAATCCCAACACTTTGGGAGGCCCAGGAGTTGGAGACCAGCCTGGGCAACATAGGGAGAGTCTGTCTCTACTAAAAATACAAAACTTGTCCGGGCGCGGCAGGGCGCGCCTGTAGTCCCAGTCCCTTGATTACCCGCCTGTAGTCCAGCTGAGGCCGGAGGATCGCTTGAACCCAGAAGACGATGCTGCAGTGAGCCGAGATCGCGCCACTACACTCCAGCTTGGGAGACAGAGTGAGACCTTGCCTCAAAAAAAGAAAAAAACAAAAACGGTGGAATTATACTAGAGTTTGAACCTTCACGTTATAGACTATTTGCTAACTCCTCTAGCTAGACGCCTTGTGCATGGAATCTGGAGGAGAGGAGGTGAGGAAATTTTGTAAATCCTTGTCTCACGCATATCTATTCTATAATGGTTACACCTGTATGGCATTTTAAGCGCTTCCTTTCACAGGTGAAAGTAAAAGGAGGTGTTTTTTTGTAAATTGTCTAATTTACATTGCCAATTAAGTTCCCACGGGTCGAGTTGCAGCCAAAGCAAAAAAGAAAAAAATCTGGGCAGCTGGATAACCTATTGCTTAATGACAGACTTCAGACTATTAACCCAGGACTTATATTTTGCCTGGGGACGCGAGTCTTCCACTGGCTCACACGGGCGGTTCCTTGTAGTCTCCGGGTAAGGCCTGCCACTTCTTCCCTCGGGGTGTGGTGGGAGGAGCGCGAAGGCTTTACGCGTCCCTAGTAGCTGGCAAAACCTGGAACCAGCGCCGGTGGCCCAGGCGGGACAGGAGCGGGCCGGGGGCGTGGGCAGGCCAGGCAGGGGCGGGGAGTGGGCGGGGAACGGGCGTGTCCCCGCTGCGGTCACGTGTCGGGAGGGATGCCAGCTCGCCAGGAGGATGCGCGTTCCAGGGGCGGGCTGCGGGGAGGGGCGGCGCCACCTCGCGCTCCGCCGTGGTCCCGGCGCCGGGTCCCGGAGACAGACGTTACGCGGGCTCGAGCGTCCTCGGGGAGTGCCAGCCAGAGTTGGTGACGACCACTTCCTCGACGTGGGGCGGGCGGACGGGAAGCCTGGGGTCGTGGCCACCGCCTCGGGAGCTCTGGGAGCCCGGGTGACCGCGTAGGTCAGTTTCTCGCGGCTGTCCACGCCTGGAGTTCGAGGCCGGTTCCCGCGCTGACGGGTTCCCGCCGGGCTGCGCTCGGGAGGTCTGTCCGCGCCTGGTTGGGGGTGGGCGCTCCCGTCCCGGGCGTCTCAGAGGATGGTCGGGTCGTGGCGCGGCGACGCAGGGCTGCAGCCGAGCTCGGCTTCCCGGCGGCCGCTGGCTGCTCCAGCGCTGCAGGAAGTTAGGCGTTAAAAGTAACAAGATGTTGGCGTTTGTTGCACTTCCCACTCGGGTGCCACGACCATGCTGGTGCCGCATGCATCCCCTACCAGATCTTCAGCTGCGTGCCTTCTCGGTACTTTCGTGTGTCCATGTGACTTTTTAATTTCCTCCTAACAAGAGGAGGATTGATGCACAATGGAAGTCACGCATTGTTCATGTGACCGTTTCCCAATGTACCGCGTGGTCGGTTCTACAAGCATGAACGAATATCCAAGGGAGATTCTGAAACTGAATGAGAGCGCAGCTGCACAATAGACTTTAACAATTCACTTATCCCGCTGCCCTAATGATTGGCAGGAGGCATTGAAAAGGGTTATTCTGATTTAGTATTAGTTTTCAGTTCAAGTTGTCGTTTTTAGGCAGACGGTATTGTGAAATGGAACTGTGGGCAGTGTGATATTCTTAGCTTAAATAAGGTTGCTTGAATGTTGCAAATGTGGCTATTAGGTGTCTGTGAATAGTTAATAATATAATTAAATCAGCTTTAAAATCGGTGATGTGTTTTCCCTGAAAACTTCAGTCTTTGCCCTGTAATAGGTGCATTCTGGATTTGGAGTTTGGAACCTCCTCACCTCTTTACTCAGCATCTGGGAAATAATTTGCAGATTCGTTTTGAGGGGTAGAAGTATTTGCAGTCTAACCCCGATACAATGAATTTTTTGCAGCAGTTTGATAGGTATAAATTCTGAACCACCCCCCTCCCTCCCCACCCCAAGCTGGAATTGTGAAGATTTCTTAATTACAGCATAGTAACAAAATCCACCTTTTAATTCCCTAATTCTAAACCACTAGGTGGGCTTTGTCTACAGTTTATAGGGGGAAAAGAGGAGAAAACTGTCAGTAACATTCCTTTCTTAAAATTTAACTATTCTTTTTCATTTCTCCCAGGCAGTGTAACTCTTCTCCAGCATTGAGCAACGGATAGTCAAAATAGGAGTTAACTGCCAAAGTTTGAGTAGATTAATCTGAAACATTTGTTATCTTAGTATTTTGTGAAGGTTGTTTATGAAAATGATACTTGCTAAATATCTCGTTGTGAATCAGCAGAAACTTATGGTGGGTGGCTAATTCTTCTCTCTGGAGGCTGCTCATTTTTGCATGTATTATTGTAGCCGACTTTGATTCAGAGCAGTCAGGTATGATTTCTCTGTCTCTTTTTTTTTTTTTTTAAATTGAGACAGAGTCTCGCTCTGTTGCCTAGGCTGGAGTGCAGTGGCGCGATCTCAGGCTCACTGCAACCTCTGCCTCCCGGGTTGAAGCAATTCTCCGGTCTCAGCCTCCCAAGTAGCTGGGATTACAAGCACATGCCACCATGCCCGGCTAATTTTTGTATTTTTAGTAGAGACGAGGTTTCACCATGTTGTTCAGGCTGGTCTCGAACTCCTGACCTTATGATCCGCCTGCCTCGGCCTCCCAAAGTGCTGGGATTTACAGGTGTGAGCCACAGATATTATTTCTATAAAAGTATTCCTGGCCGGGTGCCATGGCTCACGCCTGTAATCCCAGCACTTTGGGAGGCCGAGGCGGGCGGATCACTTGAGGTCAGGAGTTCGAGAGCAGCCTGGCCAAAATGATGAAACCCTGTCTCTACTAAAAATACAAAAATTAGCCGGGCGTGGTAGTGGGCGCCTGTAATTCCAGCCACTTGGGAGGCTGAGGCTGGAGAATCCCTTGAACCCAGGAGGCGGAGATGGTAAGTGAATGGAGATCGTGCTGTTGCACTGCAGCCTGGGCGACAAGAGCGAAACTCCGTCTCACAAAAAAAAGAAAAAAAAAAATTCTCCCCATCATTTCCTCAAAACAAGGGGAAATGATACTGTTTTAGAACCGACAATTAGGTTGAAGAATACAGCCAGTCTTTTTTGAGTAATAACATGGCACAATGCCGGTTAAATATTAATACATTACAAATTTTCTCCTTGTGGCTTTATTTTACTCAGAGATACATCTGTATATCTGATCATAATATTTTTAAGTGGAACTGTGTCAGTTTCTTACCTCTTGACATTACTGGAAGCTGAGCTTTTATACATCATATGTTTTCATTGAGAAAAGTAGTAGGCAGAAAGTAGAAATCAGCCAAATGAATAACTTAGTGGAGAAGAGAGAATATGATATCAAGTGCGTGTGAGAAACTTGATATCCTTCAGAACCTTGTCAGTTCTTCCAAGCTGAGTCTGAACTTTGGCAATCAGAGCTTTTTTGATGACCTAGCAAGTTCTCTGAATTTCCTAGAAAGAGGACAGGTTTTAGCACTGCAGTCACCAGCTTATACTAACAATTCATGAAGTTTAAGAAAAGACACTGTCAGGTAATCTGTATAGTGTATGTATATTTATGATTGTGGTGTCATATAAGTATCTTATGTGATGTTCTTGGTCTCTAGAAATGTTTTTCCTCACGTGGCCTCTGCCACTAATTCTGTGTTGGTACTGTCAGTATTAAGGGGGCTGTGTGAGGTGGGCTAGTATAAGAAATAGTTTTAATGCTATTACTAGGAAGATAAACTAGGTCGCTCACTTTACTTTTATTTATCAGCCTGCAAGTAGGAAATTACTGTATAGTGAAAGCAGTCTTTAACTGTACAATTTCGTATCATGTGACAATGGAAAGTAACCACATGTTTTTACTTTGTGTTTAAAGTTTTTCTTTAAAGAGGTATTTCTGTGATGCATAAATGGTCAGTATTATTATACATGAGTTTAATTGAGTTTGAAAGATAATTTTCAAATGTGAAATAATTGAAATGGGAAAATTTTAATGCATTTTTCTAAAATTTAGGGAATTTTGTCATTAAAAGGTAACAATCAGCCTCCTTGCTAGGATTTTTATTACTAAACTTGATTTGTTAAATTTGTAGGGTTCTCTGCTCTTCATACCTGCTCTGTTTTGAAACAGTAGTAAATAGTTTTCAGAATCTGTCAAATTGAAGTTCAAATCAGGGGTGCATCTAGGAATTAGTGCTTAATTGTTAAAGCAGCTAAAATTATAGCACCAAAGTTATTTTAAACAACTTCATTAAGCAAAGCTATGAAGCTTATTTAATTTTTACTAATTTTAAGAAACATTAAAATTTCCAACCGAATATGGGTAAGATAAATACCTGGTGATATGGTTGGTTTTTTATTATGTCCGTATGGTATCCAAGTTGGTGTGGGTATGGAATGGATATGAATAAGAGAAGGTAATGTAAATTTATCAAATATAAAGTAAATAATAATTTGGTATAAACATTTTATGATTTCAATGCTTTATAAACCATTAGATGACACATAATTGTGGCCAATTCTCCATCATTTCTCCTGTGGGAGATGAATGCTTTTTATTAGGGCACAAAAACTTATTGAGGAAGTTAGAGAAAAAGTTTCACTGAATTAAAAATTAAGTGATTAAAATTTTGTCTTATAACTTAAAACGATACAGGTTAGTGCTTCCCAAAATAGGCTTTATAATTTGCTCCTGTTTTCCTTAAATTGCCATGTTTTAGGTATTCTTTTCAGTTAATAAATAAAGCTTTTTAAAATGAGGCACTCAAAACATAATTCAGATTCAAATTCCTCAGTGCTTACACAGGAACACTAATGAGAATCAATGGCATTTAACTTTTGCAGCTGAATTGAATTTTATAAAATACATAGCAATGCCAGGTGCAGTGGCTCACACCTGTAATCCCAGCACTTTGGGAGGCCGAGATGGGCGGATCACGAGGTCAGGAGATGGAGACCATCCTGGCTAACACAGTGAAACCCCGGCTCTACTAAAAACTACAAAAAATTAGCCAGGCGTGGTGGCGGGCAGCTGTAGTCCCAGCTACTTGGGAGGCTGAGGCAGGAGAATGGTGTGAACCCGGGAAGAGGAGCTTGCAGTGAGCGGAGATCGTGCCACTGCACTCCAGCCTAGGCGACAGAGCGAGACTCCGTCTCAAAAAAAATAAAAATAAAAATAAATAAATAAAAATAAAATACGTTGCATTATTTCACCCCTTCTACATTCTGGCTGTGACTCTACTGTTAATACTTGGCAAGTAACTTTGCCTTTGGGCTTTTCAGTTGCTTCAGCTCTAGAATCAGAGTGTTAGATTAATGAATTCGTTTACCAATGTTCAGTTTCTAAAACAAGCAAAAAATGCATTTGTTTATGTCATCACAAATGTCAGTTTTCTGTATACATAATATGTGTATCTATGCACATGTGTGCATAATGTATACACATGTACATACATGTAGGTATATGATTGCATCAGAGAAATTACTGATTGCTAGCAACTAATCATAGTTAGAGCAAATAAGTATTTTTTTTTTGCCATTGCCATGTTTTTATGTAGTTACTTTAATCTTTAATACCTTGCTGGTATTAAAAGAATATAACGTCAGGAGAAAACACACCATTAAGCAGCTAACTACAGGCTGGGCGAGGTGGCTCATGCCTGTAATTCCAGCACGTTGGAAGGCAAGGCAGGATAATTCCTTAAGGCCAGGAGTTCGAGACCAGCCTGGGCAATGTAGCCAGACCACATCTCTATAAAAGATACAAAAATTAGCTGGGTATGGTGGCGTGCACCTGTGGTCCCAGCTACTCAGGAGGCCAAGATGGGAGGATTGCTTGAGTCCAGGAGTTTGAGGCTGCAGTGAGCCACGATTGTGCCACTGCACTCCATCCTGGGCAATTGACTGAGACCCTGTTTCAAAAAAGCAGCTAACTACTTTGGAGCGCAGGGCTAAGCACGGTACTGGTTTTTATGTTTTTAAGATTTAGTTTATAGGATGTGTTTGTTCATAGACATTTAATTTTTCTCATTCAAATTTCTAGCATACAATGTATTTTAAATATTAATGTAACATTCATAAAATCAGTATCTGAGAATTTAAAAACTAATCGCAACATATATTTTTAATAATTTTTGAATAGTCTCCCTTTGTCTTTATTAGAGTATAGGGCCGGGTGTGGTGGCTCACGCCTGTAATCTCAGCACTATGGGAGGCCGAGGTGGGCAGATCACCTGAAGTCAGGAGTTTGAGACCAGCCTGACCAACATGGAGAAACCCCATCTCTACTAAAAATATAAAATAGCCAGGCATGGTGGCACATGCTTGTAATCCCTGCTACTCGGGAGGCTGAGGCAGGAGAATCACTTGAACCCGGGAGGCGGAGGTTGCGGTGAACCGAGATGGCGCCATTGCACTCCAGCATGGGAAACAAGTGAAACTCCATCTCAAAAATAAAAAGAGTACAAATGCTGGCTGGATGCAGTGGCTCACGCCTGTAATCCCAGCACTTTGGGAGGCTGAGGTGGACAGATCGCTTGAACCTAGGAGTTTGAGACCAGCCTGGGCAACACGATGAAACCCTGACTCTACA
Source organism: Homo sapiens (assembly GCF_000001405.40). Lineage (NCBI taxonomy): Eukaryota > Metazoa > Chordata > Mammalia > Primates > Hominidae > Homo > Homo sapiens. Next base: position 24,392,035 of record NC_000018.10, on the reverse strand, counting down.
AAAAATACGAAAATTAGCTGGGCATGGTGGCGTGTGCCTGTAGTCCCAGCTACTTGGGAGGCTGAGGTGGGAGGATCACTTGAGCCCAGGAGGTGAAGGTTGCAGTGAGCTGAGATTGTGCCACTGCACTCCAGCCTTAGTGACAGACCCTGTCTCAAAAAAAAAGAAAAAGTACAAATGCCATTTGGCAATTGTGCCAGTCGTATTTTAGATGCTTCCTGATTTTTTGTGTGTGATAAAATGTACATAACATCAAATTTGCCCTTTTAGGTTTTTTTGTTGTTGTCGTTTGTTTGTTTGTTTTTTAAAAAAGAGTTTCATTCTGTGGCCCAGAGCTGGAGTGCAGTGGCATGGTCTTAGCTCACTGCAGCCTTGAACTCCCGGGCTCAAGTAGTCCTCCTGCTTCAGCCTCCCAAGTAGCTGGATCTATAGGTGCGCACCATGACATTTGGTAATTAATTTTTTTTTTTTTTTTGTAGAGACTGGGGTCTTGCTGTGTTGCCCAGACTGGTCTTAAACTCCTGGTCTCAGGCTATCCTCCTGCCTCAGCCTCCCAAAGCAGTGGGGATTACAGGCATGAGCCATCACACCTGGCCTGTTTTAGCCATTGTTAAGTGTATTATTCAGTGGCATTGCATACATTCACATTGTAGTACAGCTATCACCACTGTCCATCCCCATGACCTTTTCCTCCATCCCAAACTGAAACTCTGTTCCTGTTAAACATTACTCCCTATTTCTTCCTCCCTTCTCCGAGCCACCGGCAACCACCATTCTATGTTTTGTCTGTATGACTTTGACTATTTTAGCTGTCTCATCTAAGTGGAATCATACCATATTTGTCCTTTTGTGAGTGATTTATTTCACTTAGCATGATGTATTCCAGGTTCGTCCATGTTCTAGCATGTGTCAGAATTTCCTTCCTCAATCGATTGAGACAGAGTCTTGCTTTGTCGCCCAGGCTGTAGTGCAAAGTGGTGGGATCTCGGCTCACTGCAACCCCTGCCTCCCGGGCTCAAGCCATTCTTGTGCTTCAGTCTCCCCAGTAGCTGGGACTACAGGCACGCACCGCCACACCAGGCTAATTTTTGTGTTTTTAGTAGAGACGGGGTTTCACCATGTTGGCCAGGCTGGTCTCGAGCTCCTGACCTTAGGTGATCCGCCCACCTCAACTTCCCAAAGTGCCGCGATTACAGCCGTGAGCCACTGCACCTGGCCAAAAAGTTACCTGAATCTGCTGAAATTTGGAGAGCAAGAGCATGGAAAATGAGAAACACAATATTTGGGATTTCAATTTTTTTTAATTTAATGACTTTTTTTTTTTTTTTTTTTTTTTTTTTTGAGACGGAGTCGCACTCTGTTGCCCAGGCTGAAGTAGAGTAGCACGATCTTGGCTCACTGCAACCTCTGCCTCCCAGGTTGAAGTGATTCTCCTGCCTCAGCCTCCCCAGTAGCTGGAATTACAGGCATGTGCCACCATGCCCAGCTAATTTTTGTATTTTTAATAGAGGTGGGGTTTCCGTGGTCTGTTGGCCAGGCTGGTCTCGAATTCCTGACCTCAAGTGATCGCCTGCCTTGGCCTCCCAAAGTCTTGGGATTATAGGCATGAGCCACCACGCCCATCCTTCCTTTTAAAGGCTAAATTATATTCCCTTGTATATGTCACGTTTTGTTTTTCCATTCATCTGTCAATGGACGTTTAGGTTACTTCTCCTATGAACATGGGAATACAAATATCTGTTTGATTCCTTGCTTTTAGTTCTTTTGGGTATATACCCAGAAGTAGAATTGCTGGATCATAGGTAATTATGTGTTTAATTTTTTTGAGGAACCCCCATACTTCTCTGATGTTTTAAGATTTACAGTTGCATGTTGTTATATGTATGACTAGGTGAATTGAGCCTGGATGTCTGAGATTTTAACTTTTCTAATACCTTTAAGAACTCTATTCCTGAAAAGGGCACATTGTTAAATATTTTCAGTTTCTGGCACTCAGGTGAATTGGCTCTTATTGTTGAATTTTATTATCTTTGATTTCTGTAGGAATTTTTATCTTGGTTCTATAGATTTTATTTTATTTTATTTTATTTTTTTGAGACAGAGTCTCACTCTGTCACCCAGGCTGGACTGCAGTGGTGCGATCTCGGGTCACTGCCAACTCTGCCTCCTGGGTTCAAGTGATTCTTGTACCTCAGCCTCCCCAGTAGCTGGGATTACAGGCATGCACCACCATACCTGGCTAAGTTTTGTATTTTTTAGTAAAGATGGGGTTTCGCTATGTTGGCCAGGGTGGTCTCAAACTTCTGGCCTCAAGTGATCTGCCCTCCCTGGCCTCCCAAAATGTTGGGAGTACAGGCGTGAGCCACCGCACCTGGCCAATTCTGTATATATTAAGCTGGAATTTTAAAGAAAAGTAGCAAGCAGTTCAAATGATAAAATAATAGACTCCAACCAAATTTAACAAGTCATCGCCCTTGGAGTTGTTAAGTTTTAAAATCTTTGTCAATATTTCAGAACTGTTGGGGCCATAGAACTTATCTACTATATTAAGTGGGGATTCAGTGGCATAGACTATCAAGTATGGTCACCAGTTTAAGTAATTTTATGATATTTATAAGGCAACAAAATATAAATTTTCTTTCCTCAAAAGAATTTAAAAATTAGAAGTCTAACTTTCCCTAGTGGACCTTGGAGGAGAGAAAACATAAGGCAAAAATGGTCTCTTATCTCCTGATTTTTGAAGCTCAAAATGTTTTCCATCTAATTATTTCCTGGAAAACATTCTCATGGCCATGAAAATCTCATTAATCTAAAAACAGAGCTTGGAATTGCGTGAATGTGAGAAGAGCAGCTGAAAAGTGGTCTTGAAAAATACCATGTGCGCTGATAGAAATGGCTGCAATCCATTGTGACCAGCTGCATTTGGGAATGCTTATCTTCTTCTTTTGGCTTAAACATCAGAGACAAAGCGCTTTTCTGGAATAAGCTCTCATGATTTGGAAGAATGTTTTTAAAAAATCTGTTCAACATATGAATTTAGATGATTCCTTAAAAAATCAATCTTGAAGTTTCTTCTAAATGTACCTTTTAGTCAGAAATTAATGGAAATTAAATAGTTTACGAATTAAAGATGCATCAAATTAAGAAAGTAGTTATCAACCTCAATCTGTGGGGGGGTGTTTTAAACAATTTCTCCCTTTTTTGTTATTTTTGGTTTTTTTTTTTTTTTTTTTTTGAGACAGAGTCTCACTCTTGTCGCCCAGACTGAAGTGCAGTGGCGCGATCTTGGCTCACTGCAGCCTCCACCTCCTGGGTTCAAGCGATTCTCCTGCTTCAGCTTCCTGAGTAGCTGGGATTACAGGTGCCCATCACCACGCCTGGCTAATTTTTGTACTTTTAGTAGAGACGGAGTTTCGCCATGTTGTCCAAGCTGCTCTCGAACTCCTGACCTCAGGTGATCCGCCCGCCTTGGCCTCCCAAAATGCTGGGATTACAGACAGGTGTGAGCCACTGGGTCTGGCAGTACAAATTTTTAAAAATGTGTTTCCCATGGCTTATTAGAAAAAAAAAACTGTTAATTTTATGTCACTAGATGTACCTTTTGTAAGGCATTGCCTGTAGACCTCCCTACAGGGAGACTGGATTACTTTGTTTTCAAAGGACTAAGTCCTCATCCATCCGCCCATCCATCCATCCGGTTAACTAATATTTGGTTGCCTACTGTGTTCTAGGCACCTTGCTAGGGATATAATAGGGGAACAGAATAGACACGAGGCACTTGTTCTCATCGAGTTTACAGTCTAGGGACAGCAAAATAAATGACCACACTGATACCCGTAGACTCATGTATTGTGGCAGGTTGCCATGAGGACTTATCAAGGAGCTCTAGGTGATATTGGAGATGGAGAGAGCAAGTCAGACCACTCTCCAGAAATGTGGATAGTAGTTTATTTGTACACTTGTCTTCCTTATAACATTTAAAAGTTCTCCTAGTGTAAGGCCTGGTTTTATTCATTAGTGGCATCGGAGTTTAGAACAATGCCTAGAATGTGGTAAGCCTTCAAGTCATTGGCTATCGATTCATCCCCTTGTGTGGTATTAGAATTAGGGAAGGCGATGCAGGCCTGGTGGCAACAGGGAAACTGCAGCTTCTGGTGGCTGTCATGTTGGACACCTGATGGTGGGATAACTACCTGAATGTTCACCTAAGGGTTAAGGTTTCAGATACTCATGGGCATTCTAGATATTCAAGTCTACATAGACAGCAGTGGACTTTCAGTCCACATTTAGTGGATGGTTCTTAGATGAGAAAAGAAATTGTGGGCTGGGTGCAGTGGCGCATGCCTGTAATCCCAGTGCTTTGAGAGGCCAAGATAGAGAATCACTTAAGCCCAGGAGTTTGAGATCAGCCAGGGCAACAAAGCGAGTCCCCATCTCTTTAAAAAAAATTGTGATGAATGGCTTTATTCCTTGGTTTGAAACATTTTATTAGTAGTTTCTTTCTTTGTAGTGTAGCTGAAAGGAATATAAAGATCATTTTATTATAATGATCTAATTAGTATTGCTGTCATTTTTAGGAGGTTTTCTCAATTTTTAAATTACAGATATTTCTGGAGTTGTGCTATTGTGCCTGGGTGTTAGAGCCACCGGGAAAGTATTTTGCTATAAAAAAATATTTTTGGGCTGGGCATGGTGGCTCATGCCTGTAATCCTAGCACTTTGGGAGACCAAGGCAGGTGGATCGCTTGAGCCCAGGATTCAAGACCAGCATGGGCAACATGGGGAAACCCTGCCTCTACAAAAAAATACAAAAATTAGCTGGGCATGGTGGTGTGTGCACCTGTAGTCTCAGCTACTCGGGAGACTGAGTTGAGAGGATCACCTGAGCCTGGGAGGTCAAGGCTGCAGTGAGCTGATTGTGCCACTGCACTCCAGCAGTGCAGGAAATATCTATATATGTATTTCAAAAATACATATTTCAGAAATATATATATTTCAAAAATATATATTTTTCAAATATATTTCAAATAGATATCTATTTGAAATAAATATATTTCAAAAAAGTATATATATGTTTTTGACATAGGGTCTCACTCTGTCACACAGGCCGGAGTGCAATGGTGTAATCATGGCTCACTGTAGCTTTGACCTCCCTGGCTTAAGCAATCTTTCCACCTCGGCTTCCTGAGTAACTGACTACAGGCGCATGCCACCACGCCCAGCTAATTTTTGTATTTTTGTAAAGATGGGGTCTTGATAGGTTGCCCAGGCTGGTCTCAAACTCCTGGGCTCAAGCGATCCACCTGGCTTGGCCTCCCAAAGTGCTGGGATTACAAACATGAGCCACCATGCCCGGCCTGTACTTCATTTTTATTAACTCATTTCCAAGAGGAGGTAAGAGAAGGTGCCAGTCTCCTCCCCACCCCTGCCATTCCTTTCTAAAGTTATAAAAGATTATAAGGGAAAAGCAGTGAAAATGCTTGTTAGCATTTTGGAATTTATCCTCTAGGTATTGCTTGTTTGGTTAAGTCTAAAGTTTCATAGTCAGAAAATCTTTAGAGTGTGGTTGGGCTGCACAACTAAACTAGTTCTGATGCATGTAATGTCAATTGCTTTGAACATGTAGTGTCAGATTGCTTGGAATATGTAGTATTAATTGCTTTGAACGTGAGAGAATGTCCAAATTGCTTTAAGAATATGATTTAGTCAAATGCCTGTCTTAAAACTGATATCTGTGGGCTTTAGGCACAAGGCAACGTGAGTTGTTGATTTTTCCTTTTCTTGGTGAAATTTAACTGGCTCTGTTCCTTTCTCTTTCTTAAAAACAATAAAACAATCTCTATGACTGTATTGACCCCGTGACCCATTTTTTTTCTCTCCTACCATCCTGTCTTATAGGAAGAGTCCTCTCTCCTCCTCAGGCACCTACAAATCTGTCCCTTTTCTTATTCTGGAAATTGGCAGTCATCAGATAGGAGCTCTCCCCCTGGCTCCCTGCCCCTTAACCATCCTCATCATGATCCTTGCCGTCTTTCCTGCCCGCCAGCCTTGGTGCAGTGCTTTCTTGGGCTTCAGGGCCATCCTTCTCTTGGGCTTCTCTTCTTCCTCAGCTCCTCAGCACCAAGGTTTGCCTCTCTTCCTGGCTCTTGCCTTACAATCTTTAAACATGCCCAGGTGTCTAATATCCTAAAAGTGAAGCTGTTACTTTCTCTTCAGAAGGAAGTTGCTTTAAAGGAGTCTGGTGCAGTCTCCTTTTTATCCCCCATTCACTCCTCTGTTTACCAAAACCTATGTTTTTGCCTGTCTGAATTCCACTGGAGATACTCTTGGAGCTCGTCAGTGGCCTTCTTCTATTTGCCAAAGCAGCTGGTGTTTTCAGGCCTTGTCTTTCTTGCCCTTTCTTTCGTACCCATCCCATTCCCTGAAACACATTCCTCCCTTGGTTTCAGCTGCTGCCACCCTCTTCTGTGTCCCCTCTCCACTCTTGGTCGTTTTTTGCCAGCTCCTCTTCCCTGGCCTCCTTTGCCTTAAATAAATGTTGCTTTTCTCCCATTGAGGGTTCTCATTTATTCCATTGATTTTAATGACCACTTATATGATGATAACTCCCACTATTTAAATTATTTTATTATTTATTTATTTTTAGAGACAGGATCTCCTTCTGTTACCCAGGTTGGAATATAGTGGTGCAATTATAGCTCACAGCAGCCTCGAACTCCTGGGCTCAGGCAGTCTTCCTGCCTCAGCCCCCTATGTAGCTGGTATTTAAATTCTAACCTACAGGCCGGGTGCGGTGGCTCATGCCTGTAATCCCAGCACTTTGGGAGGCCGGGGCGGGCGGATCATGAGGTCAGGAGATAGAGACCATCCTGGCTAACACAGTGAAACCCTGTCTCTACTAAAAATACAAAAAATTAGCCGGGTGTGGTGGCGGGCGCCTGTAGTCCCAGCTACTTGGGAGGCTGAGGCAGGAGAATGGCGTGAACCCGGGAGGCGGAGCTTGCAGTGAGTCGAGATTGTGCCACTGCACTCCAGCCTGGCCAACAGAGCAAGACTCCATCTCAAAAAAAAAAAAAAATTCTAACCTATAACTGCTTTCTTGTACTTAAACTGTTATTGATTAACTACTTTCTTTTTCTTTCTTTTTTCTTTTTTTTTTTTCCGAGACAGTTTCACTCTTGTCGCCGAGGCTGGGGTGCAATGGCGCGTTCTCGGCTCACTGCAACCTCTGCCTGCCTCCCAGGTTCAAGCGATTCTCCTGCCTCAGCCTCTCAAGTAGCTGGGATTACAGGGGCCCACCACCACGCTTGGCTAATTTTTGTATTTTTAGTAGAGACGGGGTTTCACCATGTTGGCCACGCTGGTCCGGAACTCCTGACCTCAGGTGATCCGCCCATCTTGGCCTCGCAAAGTGCTGGGATGACAGGCATGAGCCACCCGCCCCCGGCCCTTTTGTTTGTTTGTTTCTGAGACAGGATCTCGCTCTGTCACCCAGGCTGGAGTGCTGTGGCATGATCTCAGCTCACTGTAACCTCCCGGGTTCAAGTGATTCTTGTGCCTCAGCCTCCCAAGTCGCTGGGACTACAGGCATGTGCCACCACCCGTGGCTAATTTTTGTATTTTTAGTAGAGACAGGGTTTCCCCATGTTGGCCAGGCTGGCCTCCAACTCCTGACCTCAACTGATCTGCCCACCTTGGCCTCCCAAAGTGCCGGGATTACAGGTGTGAGATACCACGCCCAGTCTGCTAGTTTCTTATTGAACATCTTCATCTCTGTTTCCCACAGGAATCTCAAATTCACCACAACCAAATAGAGTCACATCTTCACTCATGTTGTTTATTTTCTATCCCATATATTGGTTAATCTCCCTGTTATGTATCTGGTGTCCAAGGAATTTTGTTCACCCCTGTGATCTTGGTGAACTTCTTATTCAAGTACCAGTTTACATTTTTCTTTCTCTGTATCTAATCACTAATGTTGGCAGAGAGCTAGCCACTCCCCTTCTCCTCTGTGCAGCCACTGTTCTGTGTACATTGCTGTACTTGACACATGTTGTTGTGGTTGTCGTTTGCATGTTTGCCCTGTTCTGGAGGGCAGGGACCATCTTATCCATCATGGTACCTCCAGTGCCTATAACAGCCCCTATTATCAGTAGATACTCAAGAAACATTTGTTGAGTCAATTTTAGTTTCAATCCCAGCATTTATGAGTAACTATTATGGTTTATATATTATAATGGACTGTTTAAGTAGATAATAGATTTCTTTATTTATTCATTTTTTGAGACGGAGTCTTGCCCTGTCACCAGGCTGGAGTGCAGTGGCACGATCTCAGCTCATTGCAACCTCCGCCTCCTAGGTTCAAGCAATTCTCTTGCCTCAGCCTCCCGAGTAGCTGGGACTACAGGTGAGTCACCATGTCCAGCTCATTTTTGTATTTTTAGTAGAGATGGAGTTTCACCATGTTGGGCAGGATCAAGTTGATCTTTTGACCTTGTGATCCGCCTGTGTTGACCTCCCAAAGTGCTGGGATTACAGGCGTGAGCCAAGGCACCCGGCCCAATAGATTTATTTTTATCCTTTTCATATTTATTGTACAGAACTTGAGAATTTTTTTAATCTTTTTTTCTGTAAGCCCAATATAGTAAGAATCCAAGGAAAATGTTATAAAAAACTTCTTGTATGTTTTGAAGATACTTCAAACATTTTTTGATTCATTCTTTAAAGGCATGAAAAGAATATTAAACCTTTTGTGTAATATGCCAGCAAGTCTAGACCATCACTCCTTGTTTAATGTACATGATTGAAAATATATTTAAAAATCCCCTGTGATAAATGCCTTATTAATTAGACATGAAGCTTTTTTGTTTTTATCTTTAATAACTTAACATTTTCCAGTTATAAAATGCCTTTATAGTGTAGGAAATTTGGAAAATACAAATAACCAAAGAAGACATTTAAAACCATTCATAATTTCACCACAGGAGTAACCACTGTTGACATCCTGATATCTTTTCCCTCTGTTTCTCTGCCGATATTTAGCAAATATATATAGAGCTTAATCTATATAAGTACCATCTGTCCTAACAATATATTGCAATTTCATAGTTTTATAAATTATTTAAACATTTTTTTCTTTTTCTTTCATTTACTATTTTTTTTGAAACAGGGTCTCACTCTCACCCAGGCTAAAGTGCAGTGGCGTGATCTCAGCTCACTGCAGTCTCAACTTCCTGAGCTCAGGTGATCCTTCCACCTCAGCCTCTCAGGTAGCGGAGACTACAGGCGCGCACCACCATGCCTGGCTTAATTTTTGTATTTTTGTAGAGATGGGGTTTTACCATGTTGCCCAGGCTGGTCTTGATCTCCTGGACTGGAGATCCACCCACCTCGGCCTCCCAAAGTGCTGAGCCGTTGCCCCCAGCTTCTTCTATAATATATTTTTATTAAAAAAAATTTTTTTGAGACGGAGTCTCTGTTACACAGGCTGGAGTGCAGTGGCATGATCTTGGCTAACTGCAGCCTCGACCTCCTGGGCTTAAGTGATCCTCCTACCTCAGCCTCTCCAATGGCTGGGACTACAGGCTCACACCACTATGCCCAGCAAATTTTTTTTTTTTTTTTTTTTTGAGACGGAGTCTCACTCTGTTGCCCAGGCTAGAGTGCGGTGGCACAATCTCAGCTCACTGCAAGCTCTGCCTCCTGGGTTCACGCCCTTCTCCTGCCTCAGACTCCTGAGTAGCTGGGACTACAGGCGCCTGCCACCACGCCTGGCTAAATTTTTTTTTTTTTTTTTTTTTTAGTAGAGACGTTTTCACCATGTTGGCCAGGATGGTCTCGAACTCCTGACCTCGTGATCCACTTGCCTTGGCCTCCCAAAGTGCTGGGATTACAGGCATGAGCCACTGCGCCCAGCCTCATGCCTAGCTGATTTTTTGTATTTTTATAGATATAGGGTCTCACCATGTTGCCAGGCTGGGTCTTCTGTAATATTTTTAATGGTTTCATAGTATTAGGTGAATGAACCTTTATTGACGGATCTTTAATTTTTTGTTCTTTCTTTCTTTCTTTTTTTGAGGTGGAGTCTCCCTCTGTTGCCCAGTCTGGAGTGCAGTGGTGTGATCTCTACTCACTGCAACCTCTGCCTCCCGGGTTCAAGCGATTCTCCTGCCTCAGCCTCCTGAGTAGCTGGTTTTACAGGCGCCCACCACCACGCCTGCCTAATTTTTGTATTTTTAGTAGAGATGGAGTTTTTTTGCCATGTTGGCCAGGCTGGGCTCGAACTCCTGACCTCAAGTGATCTGCCCTCCTCGGCCTCCCAAAGTGCTGGGATTACAAGAGTGAGCAACTGTGCCTGGTCCTGATTTTTTTTCTTTATAAATAATGCTACAATGAATATAAATATTGCTAACATTTTAAAAATATTAGATATTTTAACAGGTGAATGAATGCAGAGGGGATTAATATAAAAGCTGATTAGCAAACTGAAGAAAGGGCATTACAATCACTGTTAGATGAAGTTCCCCCAGAAATTTACTCTGAAAATAAGATTCTGAGTCATGACAGAGATTCTTTACTTGGCCAAACTTTAATCAGACTTCTGAACCTTCTGTTAGGTCCATCTGTGCACTTCCTTGTAAAATCCGGTTTTAGCAAGAACCCTCCACCCTTGATATCTGATCAGGTTCCTCATCTTCCACCATCCCCCAGGTGGTGTCTGACCACCCTGGCCTGTCTTCAGCAACAACCCTGTTAGTTTGGTTTACCCAGAATCCCCTTTGCCCCTGATGTTTCCTCTGAGTACTTTTCCACCCACTGACCCTGACCCTACTCCTTGGCTATAATCCCACTTGTCCTTGCTGTATTCAGAGTTGAGCTCAAGCTCTCTTCCCCACTGCAGGACTCTCTTGCAGTGGTCCTTGTAACTACCACGGGGGTCCTGAATAAAGTCTTTCCTTTCATGCTTTAACGAGTATCACTGAATAATTTTTTCTTTAAACAGCCTGAGCCTGGGTTTGGCTTCCTGCAGAGTTTATAAGAGCTTTTTACTTTTTCTTTTTTCTTTTCTTTTTTTTTTTTTTTTGAGATGGAATTTTGCTCTTATTGCCCGGGCTGGAGTGAAGTGGCACAATCTCAGCTCACTGCAACCTCCGCCTCCTGGGTTCAAGTGATTCTCCTGCCTTGGCCTCCCAAGTAGCTGGGATTACAGGCATGTGCCACCATGCCTGGCTAATTTTTTTGCATTTAGTAGAGACGGGGTTTCACCATGTTGATCAGACTGGTCTCGAACTCCTGACCTCAGGTGATAGACCCGCCTCAGTCTCCCAAAGTGTTGGGATTACAGGCGTGAGCCACCGCTCCCAGCCTGTAAGAGCTCTTTCAAAGGGAAGCTACTGAGCGAGGCCTTGTGCGAGCACTGGAAACAGGCCTTAGCCAGGCTGGTGGCTTGGTAGGGCTATAGAAGGGACCAGATGTGGGATCCTGGATCCAGGAATTTGTTGGGGGATTAGGCTGCTCTTCACTTTCTGCCTCTGAGCTCACAGGTATTTCTGAGGTGTGGGTGAAAGGAGAACACTTCTGAGGGGTGGAATTAGGACCCTCAGCTGGACATGCAGCAAAACATCCTTAGCGTGTGGGCCAGATAAACCAAATATGGATAAGAGCTAGGCCAGGCCCACAGCTAGATATCAGGGGTTTCCCCTCACTCTGGGGATTCCTTTGCTAGTTTTCTGTTTCTAATGTCTTTGCTAATGTCTTCCTCTTCCTTGGTTTTTTAATTTTGGTGAGCTACACCCCTGGTGGCTTCCTGAGAAGTGTTGCATGGGAAATAAATTTACATACTGGTATATTTTAAAATGTCCTTATTCTACTCCTACTTTTGATTGGCTGGTTATAGAATTGGGGATTGGAAATAATTTTCCTCCAGAACTTTTAGGTATTGCTTTGTTGTCTTTTGGATGCTTATGTTGTGATAGAGAAGTCAAAATCATTCTGATTCCTGCTCTTTTGTTTATTACCTGATATCTTTTGTTACCAAAGTTCTAAAATTTCATGATGATGTGCTTTCATAGGTTCTATTTTGTCTGTAGATCAGAAATCTTCCAGAATTGTTGGGCTCTCATTAGGCCTTTCAATGCTGTAAGACTTCCTTAAATTCTTTTTTTTAAGACGGTGTCTTGCTCTGTTTCCCAGGCTGGAGTGCAGTGGCGTGATCTCAGCTCACTGCAACCTCTGCCTCCCAGGTTCAAGCGATTCTCCTGCCTCAGCCTCCCGATATAGCTGGGACTACAGGCCTCCCCTACCACACCTGGCTAAATTTTTTTTTTTTATTTTTAGTAGAGATGAGGTTTCACCGTATTAGGCTGGTCTCAAACTCCTGGCCTCAAGTGATCCTACCACCTCGGCCTGCCAAATAAATTCTTTATTTTCTCTGTCTCTCTGTTTTCTTTTTTTAGAACTTCGTTTCAATGTTTGACCTCCTGGACCAATTCTCTTAACATTCTTTTTTTTTTTTTTGAGACCAAGTCTCACTCTGTCACCCAGGCTGGAGTGCAGTGGCATGATCTCAGCTTACTGCAACCTCCACCTCCCAGGTTCAAGTGATTCTCCTGCCTCAGCCTCCTGAGTAGATGGGGTTACAGGTGTGCACCAGCAGACCCAACTAATTTTTGTGTTTTTAGTAGAGTTGGGGTTTCACCATGTTGTCCAGGCTGGTCTTGAACTCCTGGGCTCAAGTGGTCCACCCGCCTCGGCCTCTCAAAGTGCTGGAATTACAGGCATGAGCCACTGTGCCTGGCCAACATTCATCTTTTATCTCCCATTTTCTTAACATTTTATTTTCTAGGAGATATTCTCAACTTATTTTCCAACTCTTTTATTGAAGTTTTAATTTTTGCTATTTTTATTTCCAAAGTTCTTTTTCTCAAGCTTTATTTTTTTTTAATAGCATCTTGTTTTTGTTACAGGACAGAATGTCATTTATTATCTAAGGATATTAGTTATTATTTTTTAACATTTTCTTTGATACCTTGTTTTCTCTAGGTTGCTTTTCTTCCCTGTTTGGTTTTGGTCTTTGTCTTTCATGTTTAAGAGTGGGGAGCTAGAAAGTTGATTGAAAACTGAGAGAGTGGGTGGGCCCTGTTGACTGCTAACTTCATTGTAAGGTTTGCCTGGCTTGACCACTTGCTGGGACCTCCTGGTGTCTCTCTTGTACTTTAGGGAATATAACCAGCTAAGTCTCATAGAGGGTAAAGCCTGGCTTGCCTGCATAAGAAATGCCGATTAGGGCAAGAGGGCTGGAGACAAGCTGTTTGCTCTGCTCTGTTTTGAAACCATGCCTTCAAAACCCATCCAGTCACCAGCCTATACAGCCCATCTCTTTTAGCCTCACTGGAAGATGTATTTAACCAGTCCCCTGTTGATGACATGGAGTGGTTTCTAACTTTTCCACTATTACAAATAATGTAATCTTTATAAGCATGGTTTCAAAATAATCTTGTATAAGATGACAGCAAAAGTGAGGGGAAAAATAAACATTGAAATAAAAATCTTGTGTAAATGTTTTTGCAGGATAGATTTCTAGAAATAGAGTTGCCTAGACAAAGTAAATGGTATATATGAATTTTGAAGTTTATTTGATATTGCCAAATTGCTGATCTCCACCTGTAATGTATGAAAGGTTGTATGCATTTATATTCATTTTAGCAGTCTACAGGAGTGCTATTTCCTGCCCATGCCAGCATTGTTTCTTGTCTTTTTTTATTTTTGCTAATTCAATGGGCATGAAAAATATCACTTGTGTTTGAATGATTTTTATTTATTTGATTATTAGTAAGAATGACATACTTCTGGGAATTGCTATTTGTAATATTTGCTCATTTTGACATAAATGCTTGAAATTTGGTTGTAATTTTCTATATTTGGTTTGGGGCTTGATAAGAAAATGTGACAGAAAAAATAAATTTGTTTACATATAGCCACTTCAGGGCATTTATCTATAATGAGTTTCTATTCAGAATGATTCTTTGCACAGTTTTGAATGTGTTAGTTTACATGTTAGTCTTACACTATTCCTATATGAATGGTCATATAGGAAATAAAGTCATACTTTGACTTTATCTCTAATTTTGTTTTTTCCTTTTATGTCTAATTTTTAATGTAATAACTATTTGCATAATACTATGTATTTGACAGAATGCTTTCACATACATAATCTTACAACAAACAGCTTATGCGGTTGGTTGTATTCTGCAGATGAGGAAACTAAGGCCTTAAGAAGTTAAGAGACTTGCCCAAGTGTCTCCTGTACTGCTTCAATAATAATAGGAAGGGCAAGGGGTCTCAGGCTCAAGTTCTCACCCTGCAACGGATTTATTCAGTTGTTGTGTCTGTCTTATCAGCTGCAAAATGAGGATTCTTTCCCCTTTCTGTATTAGCAGGTGATATCTAAAAGCTAATTATGTTCTTAAATAATAGCAATGTTATTATTTTCTTAATTTAGAAATGAACACAGAAGCGGAGCAACAGCTTCTCCATCACGCCAGAAATGGCAATGCTGAAGAAGTAAGACAACTATTAGAGACCATGGCGAGGAATGAAGTGATTGCTGACATTAATTGCAAAGGTAAACTTTGAATGGATTTTGTAGCTTTCTCTTATGAGTCTGCACTACTCTTAGCATTTATTTAATGCTAACCTTTCTTATCTATCATGTAATTAATCTCTATCTCTCATGCTAGGAAGAACCCCACAGATTGGAGGAAATGTCTCTCCTAGCCCCCTCTGAGTCAGAGAAAGTGACATAAGAATTTTAAATTCTTAAAATTGTTATGGATCCCAAATATTACAAGCCACAAGGGTGGCTCTAGCCCACAGGATACATCCTATTGAGAGGTGACAGCGTGCTGGCAGTCCTCACAGACCTCGCTCGCTTTCGGGCCTCCTCTGCCTGGGCTCCCACTTTGGCGGCACTTGAGGAGCCCTTCAGCCCATCGCTGCACTGTGGGAGCCCCTTTCTGTGCTGGCCAAGGCTGGAGCCGGCTCCCTCGGCTTGCAGGGAGGTGTGGAAGGAGAGGCGCTAGCGGGAACCAGGGCTGCGCGCGGCGTTTGCGGGCCGGCTGGAGTTCCGTGTGGGCGTGGGCGTGGGCTTGGTGGGCCCCGCACTGGGAGCAGCCGGCCGGCCCTGTCGGCCCCTGGCAATGAGGAGCTTAGCACCCGGGCCAGCGGCTGCGGAGGGTGTACTGGGTCCCCCAGCAGTGCCAGCCCACCGGCGCTGCGCTGGATCTCTCACCGGGCCTTAGCTGCCTTCCTGCGGGGCAGGGCTCAGGACCTGCAGTCGGCCATGCTTCAGCCTCCCACCCCCTCCATGGGCTCCTGTGCGGCCCAAGCCTCCTCGATGAGCACTGCCCCCTGCTCCACAGCGCCCAGTCCCATCCACCACCCAAGGGCTGAGGAGTGCGGGCGCATGGTGCAGGACTGGCAGGCAGCTCCACCTGCAGCCCCAGTGCGGGATCCACTGGGTGAAGCCAGCTGGGCTCCTGAGTCTGGTGGGGAGGTGGAGAACCTTTATGTCTAGCCCAGGGATTGTAAATACACCAATCGGCACTCTGTATCTAGCTCAAGGTTTATAAACACACCAATCAGCACCCTGCGTCTAGTTCAGGGTTTGTGAATGCACCAATCAATACTCTGTATCTAGCTACTCTGGTGGGGCCTTGGAGAACCTTTGTGTCCACACTCTGTATCTAGCTAACCTGGTGAGGATGTGGAGAACCTTTGTGTCTAACTCAGGGATTGTAAAGGTACCAATCAGCACCCTGTCAAAACAGACCACTCGGCTCTACCAGTCAGCAGGATGTGGGTGGGGCCAGACAAGAGAATAACAGCAGGCTGCCGGAGCCAGCAGTGGCAACTCGCTGGAGTCCCCTTCCACACTGTGGAAGCTTTGTTCTTTTGCTCTTCGCAATAAATCTTGCTACTGCTCACTCTTTGGGTCCACACTGCTTTTATGAGCTGTAACACTCACTGCGAAGGTCTGCAGCTTCACTCCTGAAGCCAGGGAGACCACGAGCCCACCGGGAGGAACAAACAACTCCAGACGCGCCGCCTTAAGAGCTGTAACACTCACCGCGAGGGTCCGCGGCTTCATTCTTGAAGTCAGTGAGACCAAGAACCCACCAATTCCAGATACACTATGATAATTTTTTTTTCTTCTTGAAGACATTGCAGTTGACCCAGCAGGTCTGAGTGTTTACTGTGTGTCTTGGAGATAATGATGAAGAGACACATGGGATCCCTGCCCTTATTGAGCTTAGTCTAGTAGATTAACAGATCAGACTAGTCTGCATTACAAAATAGGTACCAGGATCTGGAAGTGCAGGTGTCATGGGAGAGGTGTGAAACTGGAACTTGAAGGATTTGCTTCTTGGAGGAGACGATTCTAAGATGAAATGTGAAAGAGTAGGAGTTAACCAGGTGACGATAGAGAAGAAAAAATGGTTCAAGGAAGAAGAAACAACATAGCAGCCAAGTCATAATATGCCATGTGTAGCAAAGTGGCCAATACATCACAACCTTGCATCAAATGTGCAGAGAAATAAAACGTGTTCTCAAAATGGCTCTGGTATTGTAATAAACCTCTTCATGTTCTGGGAGGTATGGGGAGAGTAAACGTTAGTCTTTGGGTACTTCTGTCTTTTTTTTTTTTTTTTTTTTTTTTTTTTGAGACAGGGTTTTGTTCTGTTGCCCAGGCTGGAGTGCAGTGGCATGCTCACAGTTCATGGCAGCCTCAGACTTCTGGGCTCAAGCCTTTGTCCCACCTCAGCCTCCAGAGTAGTTGGGACTACAAGCACATGCCACCACGCCTGGCTAATTTTTGTATTTCTTGTAGAAACGGGATCTTGCTGTGTTCCCCAGGCTGGTCTTGAACTCCTGGTCTCAAGCGATCCTCTCATCTCAGCCTCCCAAAGTGTTGGGATTACAGGTGTGATCCATTGCATCTAGCCATACTTTTTTTAGTAGCCTTTTTGATAAAGTCTTGATCTCCCTTCCCCTGTGTTTCCTCTAGCTTGGTGTTTGAGTGTAGAGGTGAGACTTGCTGTGTGTTCGTGTGGTGGAGAGGCAGGTTTTCCTCGAATCTATGACTTGGCTTTGGGTCCTCAGCCACCCTTGTCTTCCTGGTGCTCCTTAAGCATTGGAAGCTGACGTGAAACTCAGGTAGAAAGTCAAACTCAGGTCTCTCAGTGTGTCGTGTGGCATAGGTAAGGCTCCTTGGCTGTATCAGGAGACTCTCATGTTGGCTTGTGTTACCCTCTGTCACATCTTCATCTGGCACCTGGCCTAGGCTTGCTGGTTCAATGCAGACACACTCCTGTTCCCTTCTTGGGAGAGTGGCATGTGGGAGCCAATGACATGGGGGAACCTAGAGCAGCTCTGGTTAGCCAAAATGCAGCCTTCCCTCAGGACACCTTACTGAGTCTGCTTTGATGTGGCATCTGGCAGGGGAGTGCTAAGATGGGCGATCTAGGGGGGGTCTTTTCCTGCATCCCGGAAGCAGCTTGCCTGTTCTCTATGTCTCCTCAATGTATCCCACTTTCCGAGTTTAAGATCCAGAGCCACGTGTCTCAGCTTTTGTCTTTTTTTCTTCCACAGTTCCTCAGTCCCAGAAAGGGCTGGCTTCAGGTGGATATTTTATTCTTTTTGCTACTTCCTCCTCCTGTACCAGGGCAGCAAACCTCATGACCTCACCCTCAGTGGGGAAGAAATAGCATCTTTGCAATAGGGAAGAAACTGTGATCTGAGGATCTGGGTTGTCTAGAAACTGAGGTGGTAAAAGGAATTTTAAAATATCTTTGTTATGGAGAATGATCTGAGGAAAAAATATTTAAAAAATAAAAAAATGTATAAAATTTCCCCCCATTCTTCAGCAAAGACTGGCTCTTTATCTTTACCTCAGGATTCTATTTTGAATGCCAAAACATTTGATCATCCTCAGTGACCCTTTTCTGTCTCCCCTTCCCACCTCCACCCATGTTTGCCTCAGGCTAATTAGGAGAAAGTCATCTACTTGGAAATGTAAAGCTGAGAAATATGTTAATATTTTTTTCAATTTTCACCTCATTATACCTGTCAGTCAGACTTTATCTTAAGGGCAGTTTGAAGGGTTGATGCAGAAGGTGACATAGTCAGATGATATGCAGTTCTTAAGGGAGTGGGGAGGGGTGGGCAAGACCAGGCGTGAATAGTGTTTCCATGTGGGGGGTTCCTTCCCGGCATTTCTTGGTTTTCTTTCCTTTCTTTCCTGTTTTTCCAAATAATGACAAATTGGGAAAATGGTATAAATTACTATAATTCTCCTGCAAGAATTAAAGGTTAACAGTCAACATAGAGATGTTACTGTTTGGAAGGAATTCACTGATGTCAAGTTGAAAGTGAGGGAAAGAAGGGCTGATGTGAGTGGAAAGTGAAGGTTAGTGTTTTTAGGGTCTGGGAGAGGAGGATAGAATTAGTTTTGCTTGTAGCTGGTGTTGTGTTACAAGTATGTGTTCATGGTCCTGTCTTGCTTGTGTGAGTCATTCTTGCAAATAAAATAAATATTAATACGTATATGCATAACATACTTTTTGTAAATTCTATGAGTGATGTTCCAAGAAATAATAAATTTTGGAAGCAACCTAAGTACTTATATTGGCAGTCTCAACACACAATTCTGTGTAGTGCTGTCACTTTACTAGGAGGTCCAAATGTGAAGTTATTCGAATATTCCCCAGTAATACCTGCTGGTATTTTAGTGTTTTAATATTATGTATAGTGTACTGTTCTTTGTAAATACTCCAAAGCTTGACATTTCTTATTCATTGAACACATCCTTTTAGATAAGTAGTTAAAGATACCTATAAGTAGTTAAACTTAAAATACTGTTTGAAGTATTTTAAGAGTAAATGTAGGATCTTGGAAATTTTTTTCTTTTTTTGAGACATAGTCTTGCTCTGTTGCCCAGGCTGGAGTGCAGGGTGCAATCTTGGCTCACTGCAACCTCCACCTCCTCTTGGGTTCAAGCGATTCTTGTGCCTCAGCCTCCCAAGTAGCTGGGACTACAGGCGCCCACCATCACACCAGGCTAATTTTTGTATTTTTAGTAGAGACAGGGTTTCACCATGTTGGCCAGGCTGGTCTCCAACTCCTGACCTCAAGTGATCTGCCCACTTTGGCCTCCCAAGGTGCTGGGATTACAGGTGTGAGCTGCAGTGCCTGACTGGATCTTGGAAATTTTGATTTCTTGATCCAGAATCCTATTTGGAAATACTAGATGTGAGGACACCAGGTCACAAGCTGTCAGAGGAAGTGAGAGGAGACAGTGTGGTTTGGATGGGGGCAGACGCAGTGGCAATGGAGAAAACTAGATGTAATGAATATTTAGGAGTTGGAGTCAGTCGAGCTAATTGAGTGTGGGGTGAAAAGGAGAAAGCAGGAAGGTGCTGCTGCTGTTGAGTGAGGAGGGGAATGAGGGGCCACCCATTGTGAATACACATGTGGGAGGGGCCTGGTGGTTCCTGCGAGTGTGTGTACGGAGGACGACAGGTGAGTTCAGCTTTGTGCTTTCTGAGCATTGAGGAACCCTTGCCCAGCCCAATGGAGATGTCTAGTGGACACTTTGGAGATGGAAATATGGATTTTGAAGTCAACAGCACAGAAACAATGGAAGCAGTGGAAGAGGGCCATGAAATACCTCTTTTTTTCTTTTTCTTTCTTTTTTTTTTTTTTGCGACAGCGTCTTGCTCTGTCACTCCGGCTGTAGTGCAGTGGTGTGATCATGGCTTACTGCAGCCTTGAACTCCCAGGCTCAAGTGATCCTCCCACCTCAGCCTCTGGAGTAGCTGGGATTACAGGTGTGCGCCACCACGCCTGGCTGATTTTTGTATTTTTTGTAGAAATAGGGTTTCACTACTTGCCCAGGCTCATCTTGAACTCCTGACCTCAATCAGTCTATCCGCCTTGGCCTCCCAAAGTGCTGGGATTACAGGTGTGAGCCACCATGCCCGGCTGAAGTACCATTTTTGAAGTTACCAGTAATGGAATAGTCGGGGAAAATAAATTTTCCAAAGGATATGGAAAAGTAGTGCCAGAGAAATGAGAGGACCCACAGGGTACAGGGCTGTGGCAGCTAGGGAAGAATGTGGCCATGCTGTCCTGTGATGCAGTGATGGCAGAAACCTGCCCCTGGGACCCAGTGACAGCATTTCTTGATAAAAATTGAAGATAGTGTTCATGACCTGGTGGGAGATGAGCCTCATCTGCAATGGGTGGGGGTTGACAGGAAGGAATGTTAGGTAGAAAGAGCCAGTGAAGAGTAGAATGGGGAGGGTGAGGGGTGCAGTAGCTGCCAGGGAGCACAGAGTAGGGAGGGTTTCATTTATGTTTCCTCTTTAGATGGGAGACACCAGAGTTCTTACTCCTTCCCATCAGCAACTAAAGGGGGAGAGGTTGAAGACAGGCAAAAAAGGAGGGCCTGAGAAGCAGGAAGGGATGGGCTCCAGGATCCAGAGAGAACGGTTAGTCTTAGACCTCGGGAGGAAAGTTTAGCAGAGTGCCTGTAGATATAGGTGGGATGGTTGATTTGGTGCTGGAAGCCCAGGGAATTCTATGAAAGCTGTTTTCTCTGTGAAGCTGAATATGTCATTTGCTAAGGTAGAGTTGTCTCGGTAAAAGGCTTGAGGAGACTAGTGAAGGACTGAATTACTTTTTGTTGGAATATATGAGAGATGCTTGGACAGGGCCTTATAGAAGTGCCTTCAGCTAGTGTGAGATCCTGAGTTTATGGTGTGTAAATCCACAGGGCTCTGTTGTTTTTCTTCACCGTTGGTTAGCGACCTGGGTGTGGTTATGGAGAAACTGGGCTCGTTGTACTTCTCAGGCTTTGGAGGTTTTTTAGGCTGCTGTGACAGATATTATAGTGAAGCCAGAATTTTCAGGATATGATAAACGTTGAAGTGAGGGATTAAAGAATAGACACTGAATTTATTGAAGGAAGTGAAGATGGAGGGTATTTACATATACATGAAAGTCATTAGGCCTGGTGCAGTGGCTCACCCCTGTAATCCCACCACTTTGGGAGGCTGAGGTTAGAGGATCACTTGAGCTCAGGAGTTTGAGACCAGCCTGGGCAACATGGCAAAACCCCATCCCTACAAAAGAATCCAAATATTAGCCAGGTGTGGTGGCGCATGCCTGTGGTCCCGGCTACTCGGGAGGCTGAGGTGGGAGAGTTGCTTGAGCCCAGGAGGTAAAGGCTGCAGTGAGATGTGATTGTGCCACTGCACTATAGCCTGGGTGATAGAGGGATACCCTTTCTTGAAAAAAGAAAATGATTAGAGCTGGGGGCTGGATAAGTTGAAAAGAAAGTCTGGGGGATAGCTGTGTGGACAGGCTGGGAAGTTGGGAGTGCTTGGGAAAGTGGCTTTCTGTGTTCTGAGTCCAGGGGTGATGATGGCGCCCAGGCTGTGGCTCTGGCAGTGGGTCCCTGACCTTAAACAGAGGCACAGTTTGTGAGAAATGAGGGAAGCTGAGAAAGTGAGAGACCAGGGTGCTGAATAGGCAGTTGACCCCCTGAGGATGGTGGCAGGATTTGCAACGGGGTGAAAGAATATGCTGCCCAAAGTTATTTGGTGAGGGGCAGGCCACTGGGAGGCTGGCAGATGGCAGCAGAGAAGGCATGCACAAGAGCTTTGGCTTAATGACAGAAGCCTCAAAGGAGGAGCTGTGATGTGAGTGGAGAAGTCATCAACTAAAGGCAGTAGTGGGTTTTTTGTTGTTGTTTTGAGACAGTGTCTCGCTTTGTTGTCCAGGCTGGAATGCAGCGGTGCAGTCACAGATCATTGAAGCCTTGACCTCTTGGGCTCTGGTGATCCTCCGCCTTAGCCTCTGGAGTAGCTGAGACTGCAGGTGTGCACCACCAGGCCTGGCTAATTTTTTAATTCTCTGTAGAGATGGGGTTTCTCTATGTTGCCCAGTCTGGTCTTGAACTCCTGGGCTCAAGCAGTCCGCCATCCTTGGCCTCCTAAAATGCTGGCATTACAGGCATGAGCCACCATGCTCGGCCAGCAGTGGGAGTTTTGATGTGGAGGTTCACACGACTTCTGTTCAGTGAGGGACAGGGGGGATGGGGGACCCCACCTGAAGAATAAGGGGGAGATCCTTATCAGGATGAGCTAGGTTTCACTAAGAACAGAAAGCAAAAGATAGGTTCAGTGAAAGAGACTGAGGCTCTGGGATTTATTGACTGTGTAATTAGGGGTTCCACAGGACACACACTTGAGAGGAAACAGATGTAGGAGTTTGGGTAAATGGCAAACAATCCCAGGGACACTGCTGGCAGCTGCAGTCCCTTGGAGGGTTGTTAGAGGCCTGTTGTGGGTGTGCTGAGGTTGTTGGCTGAGGTTTCTGTGGGTTCAGATCCTGGAATCCAGGAGCTGAGGGCAGTGTATCATGTAAGTGAGGTACTGCTATCTACAGTAGCTGTGAAACCATCGCTCTTTCCCTGCAGTGGCCCCTGGAATAACATGTTCTTGGGCTGTAACAGCCCCATCAAGGCAGGTGACTTTGGGATTTGATAGGGCTGTATTTGCTACAGTCTGATTGGGAATTTTGGGAAGCTTTTGGGCTTCCTCAGCTCTAAATAGTGCTCTGAATATCTTTTTTGCTAAATTGAATCTGTGATTTTAGTTTTTGCAACACTCAGTTGTTTATGTCTTTCCTCAGCTCTACTCCTAAGATCTGACACTTCATTGTCTTTAACTTCGGTCCTCTCTTTCACCTTGGCAACCCAATATCCTCATTAACTGAGACTTTATCTGAAGTCAAAGACTCCACTTTCAGGCACTATCTGTAGAGTTCACAGCTTTCCAAATCGTATTAGTCCATTTTCACACTGCTATAAAGAACTACCTGAGACTGAGTAATTTATGAAGAAAAGAGACTTAATTGACTCACAGTTACTCAGGCTTACCAGGAAGCTTGACAGGGAGGCCTCAGGAAACAACCACACACTTTCAGAGAGTTCCTGAGAACTCACTCACTGTCACGAGAATAGCAAGAGGGAAATCCGCCCCTATGATCCAATCACCTCCCACCAGGCCCCTGCTCCAATTCAACATGAGATATGGGTGGGGACAAATCCAAACCACATCACAGGTGCTGCAGGAACTATCCTTTACTGACTCTTGATGTGGTACAGGTGTACAGAGAGTTGCTGTGAGCTGCCTTCAGCTCCTCCATACCCTCCTGATACAGGTTTTCAAAGAGAGTTGCTTGTCGTGAACTATGTCAATAAAACCCCTCTTGACCTGATGATGGCAAGATGATTAAAGACTCGGAGCCCTAGAGTCAAGAAGCTGCTAGAGATCATCTAGCTCGAATGTAACCCCCGTCCTGTCTCCCTCTATCCCTTTAGAGGTGAAGACATCGAGTCAGAAGGTGGCACCAGATCTGCACCTTGTGAGTTCTCGTCCTTTACACCCATTACACTTCTTGGTCACATATCTTGCCTCTCACTTATCAGCAATGCATTGCAAAGGAGATTATTGAGGTAGCTTGTTATGGAGAAGTTAATTTCGTTGTAAAATTACCTAAATATGACCTAAAAATACCTTATATTTTTCCATTTTTAGGAAGAAGTAAGTCTAACTTGGGCTGGACACCTCTACATCTGGCATGCTATTTTGGACACAGACAAGTGGTCCAGGATCTGTTGAAGGTCTATTTATGACTTTAATTTTTAATGACTACAGTAAATATTATTGTTATGGAAATTTTAAGATGAAAGTCTTAGAAAAGCCACCTGAGCCATAATGACTTATTTAAAGCAATAGTTCATCATTCAAGACACTTAATTGTTCTTTATTAAATAAATACATGAATTAGGTTAGCCTGATTAATTAAAATTGTATGTTTAATCATTAGATTTTTTTATTACTAGCTTTTAAAAATAATAAAAGTAGGCATATTAATGAAGATTTTATTTTCAGTTCTGAGTGTGACAGTTGAAAAAATAACCAAAGCACACCCTAAATAATTAAAAAATAATGTCAATACACAAATAAAAATTAAAAAGAAAAAACAATGTCACAATCTCTTAGCACTGTATTTAAAGAGAATTGAGAGCTCATATTTCTTAATTCTATGATGAATAACTTCTCACATTCTGATAGTTCTGAAATTTGCTTGCATCTTACAATTCATCTGTACATTTAAATAATGGCATCTTTTTTCCTCAAAACTTATTAAATTGATAAAGGAGGAAATGTGGTATTTCATTCAGAGATCATTCTCCTTTTTTCAATATGACTGCTTCTAAAGTAGAGTGAAGGTGTATGGATTTTTTTTTTTTTTTTTTTAATCAAGACAAGGCCTCACTTTGTCACCCAGGCTGGAGTGCAGTGGCGTAATCTCGGCTCACTGCAGCCTTGACCTCCCAGGTTCAAGTGATCCTCCTGCCTCAGTCCCCCAAATACTGGAGCTATAGGCACGTGCCTCCACACCTGGCTAATGTTTTTCTATTTTTTGTAGAGACGGACTTTCACCATGTTGCCCAGGCTGGTCTCAAACTCCTGAGCACAAGCAATCCGCCCACGTCAGCCTCCCAAAGTGCTAGGATTACAGGTGTGAGCCACTGCGCCTGGCCAAGGTGTATAGATTTTTAGTGAAAAGTACCTTTTTACTTTTTATTTTTCTACCTATCAGGTAGATTTTTACCTTTCAGAAAACCTACCATATATACACTACTATATGTGTACATATATATATATATATATAAGATGGAGTCTCGCTATAGTGCCAGACTGGCCTTGAACTCCTGGGCTCAGATGATTCTCCTGCCTCAGCCTCCCAAGTAGCTGGGACTATGGGCTCAAACCACCGTGCTGGCTTTTTATTGTTACTTTAAATTTAATTTATTGTTAGTACTGACACCTAAACAATATTAACAATTTTAATTTTTTAAGGCCTTAATATATTTTGAAGGAATGATTTTCACCATTGTATATTTCTTGGTATTTAAAGTGGTCATGTTTACTAGGCTGGTGCAGAAGTGAATGTGTTGAATGACATGGGAGACACGCCGCTTCATCGAGCTGCCTTTACAGGACGAAAGGTGAAAATCATTCTATGTTCAATGTTTGTAAGTGAGGTATTTGGAGGAGTAGTTACCATTGTTTTCTCTGTTATAACCATCTGACCAGCAACCGAAGAAAGCCACACAAAAAAATGTATACACCAGCACTTTGGGTCAAAAGGCCACAGGATCTTTGAGTCTGACAGTGAGGTCCAGTACTAAGGTCATGGAGACCCCCACTCTGTAGCATCCCTGTGAGGAGATCATTCCGTTTCTGCTTGTGTACTCCAGCAATGGGGAACTCCTGATTATTCTTTTTTTTAAAAAAAAAATAGCTTCATTGAGGTATAACTTACATTGCATAAACTTCACCTGTGATATTGTGAAATATATATTTGGTCTTTGACCTTGTACACTAAAGATGTACAAAAAGATGGCTGGCAACCCCTAGGTGGCTTCAGGATGGGGGCTGGTCACCAGAAAGACCAAGGCAGGACTAGGGGGTTGGGACTTTCAGCCGAACTTTGCAACCTCCAGGGAGGGTAGAGGGGCTGAAGGGGAAATGGCTCGCTAATGGCCAGTGGTTTCATCAATCATGCCTATTTAATGGAACCTCCATAAAAACCTGAAAGGACAGGGTTCTAGGAGCTCCTGGGTAGCTGAACACGTGGAGGTTCTTGAATGATCACACCCAGGGAGGGCATGGGTGCTCTGTGCCCTTCCTCCATGCCTTGCCCTATGTATCTCTTCATCTGTATCCTTTGTAATAAAGCAGTAAACATGTTTTCCTGAGTTTTGTGGGCTGCTCTAGCAAATTAATGGAACCCAAACAGGGAGTCATGGGAACCCTAATTTAAAGACCATCAGTCAGAAGCTCTGGAGGTCTGGACCTGCAGCTGGTGTCTGAGGGGTGGGGAGAAGTGCTGGGACTGAGCCCTCACCTGTGGGATTAATGCTATCTCTGGGTAGATAGTGTTGGAATTGAATTGAAGGACACATAGCTGGTATTTGCTGCAGAACTAATTGCTTGCTTGGTGGTGGGGAGAACTGCCCCCACCCATATTTGGTCACAGAAGTCTTTAGTGTTACTTGCTGTAGTAGGAGAGCAGAGGAAAAGCATAATTTGATCACATATTGTAAGTGTGCATTTTAGTGATTTTTATACATTTACAAAATTGTGCAACATCACCAAAATCCAGTTTTAGAACATTTCTGTCACCCCAGAAGTTTCCTCATGCCTGTTTATATTCATCCCCTTCCCCTTTCCCATGCCCCAGGGTACCACTGAATTGTTTCCTTTCTCTAGATATTAGATATTTGCCTTTCCTAAACTTTTTTTTTTTTTTTGAGACCGAGTCTTGCTCTGTCGCCCAGGTTGGAGTGCAGTGGTGTGATATTGATTCACTGCAACTTCTGTCTCCCGGGTTCAAGCAATTCTCCTGCCTTAGCCTCCCAAGTAGCTGGGATTACAGGCACCCGCCACCATGCCCAGATAATTTTGGATTTTTAGTAGAGATGGGGTTTCACCATGTTGGCCAGGCTGGTCTCGAACTCCTGACCTTAGAGGATCCACCCACCTCAGCCTCCCAAAATGCTAGGATTACAAGCGTGAGCCACCGCACTCGGCCTAAACATTTCTTGTAAACAGTATCATACAAACTTTTGTGTCTGGCTTCTTTAATTTAGCATAATGTCGTTGAGGTTCATCCATGCTGTAGCATGTATCAGTAGTTTGGTCTTTTTTATGGCTGAATATTCCACTGTATGGATACACCATCTTTTGTTATCTGTTCAAGTTTTATTGAAAAGACTATCTTTTTGCATTGTATTGCCTAGATACCTTTGCTGGAAATCAGTTGACCATAATTTAAATGTTTCTGGATTTTTTTTTTTTTTTTTTTTTTTGTTGTTGTTTTTTGAGACAGGGTCTCGCTCTTTCACCCAGGCTGCAGGGCAGTGGCACAGTCTCAGCTCACTGCAGCCTCCGCCTCCCAGGCTCAGGTGATCTTCCCCTCTCAGCCTCCTGAGAAGCTGGAACTACAGGTGTGTGCCACCATACCTGGCTAATTTCTTGTATTTTTAGTAGAGACGGGGTTTCTCCATGTTGCCCAGGCTGGTCTCCAACTCCTAGGCCACCCACCTCGGTCTCTCAGAGTGTCGGGATTACAGGCATGAGCCACCATTCCTGGCCTGAAGTTTTCAACATAGAGATCTTGCAGTCCTTTTCTTAAATGTATTAACCAGCCTGGCTTTAATCTGTGGAATCTGGACTGAGTCTGGCCAGCTAATATATCTGCTGAGTTAAAAAAAAAAAATTAAAAAAAAATTGTTTGTTTGTTTTAGAGACAAGTCTCACTATATTGCCTAGGCTGGACTTGAACTCCTGAGCTCAAGTGATCTTCCTACCTCAGCCTCTTGAGTAGCTGGGACTGTAGGCATGCACAACTGTGCCTGGCTTTCAGCATAGTATTTTAGGATTCATGCCTGCATCTGTGTAGCCTAGTGGTGAGCCTGTATTTGAGCAGCAGTGGGCTCCATTACTCAATCCCCTTAGGCTTCTGTGCTCTGCCCTGGATCTATGTGTAGGCTGGAGAGTGCTTTCAGAGTCCAGGCATTTCTCGCTTCTTCCTCTGCTCTGACTTTTGCAAGGCCCCCTCTCCTTTCTCCTGCAAATGTGTGGAGTTTCCCAGCAGCCTGGGGTACCTGGGAAGCTCACCTACTCCTACTCCAGTTCTTTTGTTTTCAGGGTTGTCTCATTAAGTTTTAGGCTGTTTTGCCATTTGCCTGTGTGGTAGGCAGAATCATGGCCCTCCAAAGACATCCACATCCTAATCCCCCAAAACTTGTAAATATGTTAGATTACACAGCAAGGGGAAGTTAAAGTTGCAGATGGAGTTGAGATTGCTCATCAGCTAACCTTAAGGTAGGAAAATTATTTTGGATTATCTCGGTGGGCCCATTGTAATCACAGGTGTCCTTAGAAGTGTAAGAGAGGCTGGACACAGTGGCTCACGCCTGTAATCTCAGCACTTTGGGAGGCCAAGGTGGAAGGATCACTTGAGCACGGGAGTTTGAGACCAGCCTGGGCAACATAGGGAGAATCCCATCTCTAAAAAAAAAAAATTGCCTGGTGTGGTGGTGTGCATCTGTAGTCCCAACTGCTCGGGAGGCTGAGGTTGGAGGATCACTTGAGCCGGGGAGGTCGAGGCTGAAGTGAGCCATGATTTCACCACTGCACTCTAGCCTGGGTGACACAGGGAGACCCTATAAGAAAGAAAGAAAGATAGAAAGGAAGGAAGGAAGGGAAAAGAAAAGAAATAGCTGGATGTGGTGGCATACTCCTGTAATCCCAGCTACTCGGGAGGCTGAGGCAGGAGAATCACTTGAACCCAGCAGGCAGAGGTTGCAGTGAGCCAAGATTGTGCCACTGTATTCCAGCCTGGACAACACAGCGAGATTCTATCTCAAAAAAAAAAAAAAAAAGGAAAAAAAGAAAAAGAAAGAAGTGTAATAAGAGGGAAATGTGCTTATGAGAGATTCGTCAGAGAGATACGGTGTTTCTGCCTTAGAAACTGCAGGAAAGGGGGCTGTGAGCCAAGGAAGGTGGACAGTCTCTAGCAACGGGAAAAGCAAGGAAATGAATTCTCCCCTAGAGCCCTTGCAACACCTTGATTTTTCCCAACAAGACCTATTCTGGACTTCTCAAATACAGAACTGTGAGGTAACACATTTCTTTCTGTTGTTTTAAGCCACCGAGTTTGTGGTCATTTGTTATAGCAGCGGTAGAAAGCTAGACACTCTAATAGAAAAAGCAGCCTCATGCTAGCAAGCATGTAGGTGTTCTCATTTGTTTTCTGCTGTATTTGCTACTTTTACTGGGTTTTTGCCTTTTGTTTTAAATCAAGTCATTTCCCTCTGGCAGCAAAACTGCTGGGTTTCACTGCCAGGCCTGCCCTGGTCAGACTTGTTTGGGGAGGTGGGGAGGACTAATAGCCTGTGGCTAGAAAGCTAAAGACTCCCAGTGTTCTTCCTCCAAGTTCCTGCCATTCCTCTGGAGTAACTGCCTCTCAGTTTGTTTCTTTAATGGATATCCAGCACCACAAAATGGTTAGTTTTGACAATTTTGTCCAGCTTTATGCTCATTTTTTCAGGATAACAGTTGTCTTATCCTTTCATAGCTAAAAGTTGCTTTACCCCATATTAATGTTTTTTTGATTATTTAAATGATATGCAAAATTAACTATGACATAGAGTGTATTTCTTGTATATTCTAGTTGTTGACCATAGTCCAACATGATACCTAAAGGTTATTTCGTAAGCACGTGATTGGAAGCTTTATGTGAATTTATCATGAGTTAAAGAACAAATTTATTATTATATTGTTTCACACTTTTCATTATTCTAATGACTAGATTTAACTAACTTTTAATACGTTACCATGAGTCAATTCTGTATGTGCTAAGCATGTTTGAATTAGTACATTTTATACCACTCTTGTCTATTTGTTCATAAATTGATACTTGTGAACCAGATATGGAGTCTTAACTCAAGCTGAGAAAAAAGAACCTTTTATAATAAACAATAAAGGTTGTGGTTAATTTCTATGCTTGACTTTGTGGGGTTTCAAATATGAGCTGCAGATGGCTCGATTTGCCTGACTACGTGAACTACTTGCTGTTTTTTTTTATGGTCTTGCTCATTCTTTTCTATATACCTAAGAAAATTCTATTGTCATCTATTTCTACATGGCCCAGATCTACCCATTCAAAGTGCTACTCAAATGTAATATCCATAAATTCTTTCCTAACATCTTGCAGCTGGAAGGAAACTATACTCTTCCAGGATTCCTGGGCACAGTACAGCACTTTCATTCGTCTTCTACCTTGTATTAGTGTTATTTTTGTCTATGTCTTTTTTTTTTTTTTTTTTTTTTTGAGATGGAGTCTCCCATTGTCACCCAGGCTGGAGTGCAGTGGCACGATCTCACTTCACTGCAATCTCCGCCTCTCGGGTTCAAGTGATTCTCCTGCCTCAGCCTCCTGAGTAGCTGGAATTACAGGCATGTGCCACCATAGTGTGTATTTTTAGTAGAGACAGGGTTTCACCATGTTGGTTGGCCAGGCTGGTCTCAAACTCCTGACCTCAAGTGCTCTCAATCCCAAAGTGCTGGGGTTATAGGAGGGAGCCACTGCACCCAGTCTGTAGTCTGTGTCTTAACTCTGCTACTAAGTTGCATTAATCTTGCTAGCAAGGAATTATCATGTCTTGTTTTTTGTGTCCCCATGAGCACAAGGTAAGTTTTACCTCCCATCTCTGTAATCACCTAGATCAAATAAGTTCATTTATCTATGTTCAGCTCTTTACATATTTGGCCATTTCTGCTATTTTCTTGAACTTTGAACGTGAGACCATGCTAAATTGAGCCTTAGTTTGACATGAGCATCAGCATATATACAGTAAGTCCTCACTTAATGTCAATGATAGATTTTTGGAAACTAACTTTTGGATAAACGATGTATAAGGAAACCAACTTCACCATAGGCCAATGCATATAAACAAGAGTTAAGTTCCTACAGAATAATTATAGTCACAAAAAAACATCACTGCCAGGCATAGTGGCACATGTCTGTAATGCCAGCACTTTGGGGCGCTGAGGCAGGTGGACTGCTTGAGCCCAGGAGTTCAAGACCAGCTTGGGCAACATAGGGAGACCTCACTTCTACAAAATCAAAAATTAGCCAGATGTGGTAGCATGCATCTGTAGTCCCAGCTACTCGGGAGGCTGAAATGGGAGGATCACTTGAGCCCAGGAAGTTGAGGCTGCAGTGAGCCGCAGTTGTGCCACCACACTCCAGCCTGGGCAGCTGAGTGAGACTCTGTGCCAAAAAAGAAAAGAAAATTACCACACTTCTAAATGAAGAGCAAACACTTCTGATATTAAACATTGAAATAAATGTGAGCTATTCATACATTTAGAAACATTAGTAAAAACAAGATAATTATTTACCCATTTATTCCAGTTCAGGTGTGAGGGTGGCTGGAACCTATCCCGGCAGCTCAGGGAGCACAGGGGGATCCAGGCCTGGAGAGGATGCATCTTGTCACAGGGCCACTCACATACACACCCACACTCACACTGGGACAGTTCAGACATGCCTGTTCACTTGCTATGCACATCTTTAGGAGGTGAGAAGAAAACAGAGTACCTGAGATACCCACGCAGACACAAGGACATGTGAACTCCAACAGACATTGGCCCCCTCCAAGAATCGATTTTTTTTTCTTGTGAACATTGCAATGAAATGATGTTGAATGAAATGGTGTTGTTTGAAGATCTGCTGTATTTTGTTATCTGTTGTCTTAGAAAATAACATTTAGCTGAAGTTACATGATTGTGTTATGTAGGAAACATTAAAATTAAAAAATGTATGTGCTCAATATCTAAGCATGACTGAATTGTGCAAAGAGTTTGGTTTCTAATTCTCATGAAAAGAATCAAGTTATCTCATTCCTATGTGATCATTTACCATGAAGATAATTTTAAAATATCTTATGATCCTGTGATTCAGTAAGTAGAATGTTGAGTTGAAAAGGGATTTGGCTTATTATAAAGCACTTTAAACTCTTATCCTCTGGAATATTTAAAAAATGCAGCTCCCCAGCTTGGCACGGTGGCTCATGCCTGTAATCCCAGCACTATGGGAGGCCAAGGCGGGTGGATCACCTGAGGTCAGGACTTCAAGACCAGCCTGGCCAACATGGTGAAACCCTGTCTCTACTAAAAATACAAAAAAATTAGCTGGGCCTGGTGTCGGGTACCTGTAATCCCAGCTACTTCAGGAGGCTGAGGCAGGAGAATCACTTGAACCTGGGAGGCGGAGGTTGCAGTGAGCCGAGATCGCGCCATCGCACTCCAGCCTGGGTGACCACAGCGAAACTCTGTCTCAAACAAAAACAGAACAAACAAAAAAATCATGCAGTTCCCCAGCTCTTGAGGCACCTTTGGGCTTTTCTTGGTACATTAGTGCCCCCTAGTGTTCTTTGGTAAAAATCAGAATACCAGAATTTTAAAATACTGTGTTTAGTATTTGTTCCTTACTTTACTTTCAGATGCAGTTATAAAGTTTTTATGCCTTTTATAATCAATTTAAAATAGGAATATGGTATGTATAATGAATATTTGGATTGTTGCACTGACCTTTTAGCAGAATTGAGAATACTTTTATTTTTTTTTAATTTTTATTTATTTATTTAGATACAGGATCTCACTCTTTCACCCATGCTGGAGTGCAGTGGGGCCCTCATAGCTCACTGCAGCCTTGAACGTCTGGGCACAACAGATCCTTCCACCTAGAACTATACGCGTGCGCCACTGTACCTGGCTAATTTTTAAAAATCTTTTGTAGAGACAGGGTTTCACCGTGTTGCCCAGGCTGGTCTTGAACCTTAAGCGGTCTTCCTACCCCAGCCTCCCAAAGTTCTCGGATCACAGGCATGAGCCACCACGCCCAGCTGAGAATGCTTGTAAAACACATGCTTCCAGAGCCGGGTGTAGTGGCTCACACCTATAATCCCAGCTACACAGGAGGCGAAGGCAGGAGGATCGCTTGAAGTCAGGAGTTAGAGGCCAACCTGGGCAACATAACAAGACCCCCTCTTCCCGCCCCCCACCATATCTCTCTCTTTCTCTCTCTGTCTCTGTCTCTTTCTCTATAGACAGGGTCTCGCTCTGTCGCCAAGGCTGGAGTACAGTGGTGCAATCTCAGCTCACTGCAACCTCCACATCCAGAGCTCAAGTGATCCTCCCACCCTAGCCTCCCCAGGAATTAGGACCACAGGCATGTGCCACTGTACCTGGCTAATTTTCTGTATTTTTTGTAGGGACAGGGTTTTGCCATGTTGCCCAGGCTGGTCTGAAACTCCTGGGCTCAAGTGATCTGCCTGCCTTAGCCTCCCAAAGTGCTGGGGTTATAGGCATGAGCCACCGTGCCCAGCCAAGACCCCATCTCTAAAAAACTCAAAGCTGGATGTATGGCATGTGCTTGTAGTCCCAGCTACTCTGGTGGCTGAGGCAGGAGGATCGCTTGAGCCCCAGGAGTTTGAGGCTACAGTGAGTGAGCTATGATGGCACCACCGCACTCCAGCTTGGATGACAGAGCAAGACCCTGTCTCTAAAATAGTAAATAAACAAATACAATAAATGCTTCCTATGTTCTGTGTCTCAGAAATTCTCTCTATCTCACCTAACATACAGAATATATGTATAATCCTGGGCTTTAGGATTTCCTAGGAGACCATTTCTCATGTTTATGTATTGAAGGCCTACTGTGTTTCAGGCGATGCCCAGACAACTTGACACGTATCGTTTCATTTGATGGAGAATGACTGCCTTGAAATATATACATATAATTTGTTCTAGATCTGTTCTCAGGGAAGCTGAGATGGAGATGAGTGGGCAGCAGGTTTATGGAGTGCTCGTGGCATCACACCTGTGCACGAGGGTGGGGAAGAAGTGGACAGGAGTGGACAAGTCAAGTAGTGCTGCCGGCTCAAGCGATGCCTCAGCCTTTCTGCTGTGTGCGAAGCTTTGCAGAGGAGATGATGCTTCAAAGTTGTCCCTGTTGGGGATGAGCAGCCAGGCCTTTATACACTGGGACAGTCAGTCATGGATACGTGGATACTCTGGAAACCCTCATCCCTGGAGGTCTGAGCCCCTGGATACCATGCCCTTCTTAGGCTGGAGTTGCTGCCCTTGTCCATTTACCATAAAAATTGGACAAGAGAATACCAGGACACACCTGAGTTTCTCATCGTATGCTAAACCTGTTCTTCCACGTACATCCCCAATGTGTACAGCCCTACTTTTTTCTGCTGATCAAGTTCAATTACTTCTGCTAAGATGGTGACTATTCTTGCCTGCTGGTCCTTGGATGCAAGGACCCCAATGTTCAGGCAGCCTTTGGTGCCTTCTAGCATACGAATCAGAGCATTATCTTTAGGTGTGGAATAAGCTGCCCCAAAACCTGTTGAAGCCAACCAGGCACTGTGCTCCCTTCTGTTATGGGAAGTGCAAGATGCAGTAATTTATTCTTCTGAGGAAGTGTCTTGTCATTGCCCAGACCAGTGAACTTCTAAAAATTTACTGACATGGAAAAGCTCCTGAATTCTTCCTAAGTTTTACCTCCCACCCACTGGATCAGATATGTCTTACCAAGGCTTTGAACATCCTAGCCTCGTGGAGAAGAAGCCTCTTCTCCTGGTTCTGTTAGCATGATGTTATGAAAGGAAATTAAATTTTGGGACCCCAAACTCATTTTGCCAAAGGGAAAAATCAAGCTGAGAACTGGGTCATGCAAACCTGCCTCCCCCTTTTGGTTCCTAAATAAGGTGGCTACAAGAGGAAAAGCTACATGCCTCCCCCATATTTTGCTCACAAGGAAATTCCTAGTGAGCAATGCAAAGTGATAGCTTATCTTTACAGGTGCAGTCACCCAGGCCCACCACACGCAAATGCATATCTAATTGTTCCCCTGCCCCATTTTGTCTGTGTTATGTAGAATGCAGATTCCCTACGTTTTTCTTCTGCCCCGTTTATGTCATCTTATGTAAAAACATGCAGATTCATGGAGCCAGACAAAGGCATGACTATCTTTTCCCACCCACCCCCTTACCTGAAAATTGTGTACTTCTCAATATCCTGCCCTTTCCCCTTTAAATTTGAAGCCCTCAAAAATCATCTTCAGAGAAAGATGTCTGTCTCCTGGGTGCGTGTCCTTAACTTTGGCAAATAAATCTAAAATGATTGAGACTTGTCTCATCATTTTTCTTGATTGACAATGTTATTGATAAAGTGGACCAGTGTGATTTGCTGCCAGATTCCCAGATGGCATGAGGCGGAAGCTGTACATGTATACTCTTGTCCATGTGAATCCAAACTGTCTTTGATTTTTTTTCCTAATAGGGATAGAAAAGGTACATTTGCCCTATCGGTTGCTGCTTACCATGTACCTGAGGTGGCAGAGTGGCTATAATTGGGGTCACTATTTGGTTGAGTTTCTGGAAGTTCAGTGTCATCCTCCACATTCCATCTGGGTTTTATAGTGGCAGATGAGTGAATTCAATGGAAATATGATAGGGACCATGGCCCCTGCATTCTCTTAGGTTTTTAAGGGTGGCACTGATTTCTGCCATCCCTTCCCATATGGGATATTGGTTTTGATATGTCTTGGCCATGGCTGGGGGTGAGTAGCCACTTCCATTTGGCTCCTATACAATAGACCAAGATGGCAATGTGAGGGTTGTACCAACAACTAAGTGTGTCTATTCCAATTTCATATTCAGGGACTAGGAGAATGACCACTAGGTGTATTTCTGGACCCAACCAGCACCCGCACCGTGAGCCAGACCTCAGCCAGGGCGCCATTTATCATCTCACTCCCATGCATGCCCCCTTTCTAACACAGGGGCCTCATGACATTTTGGATCTCTTGGTGTCAGTGCCAGTTTGGACCTTAGATCTAACAGCTTGTGAGATGTCTTGGTGATCCGCTTTCTCCACTGTATAGTTTCTTGAGTAAATGATCATTGGTCCCTTTGGGAATGGTCGGGGGAATTCACGACAGTTCATGTTTGCTTTGGTGTTGCAGAATCTTTCCCTGGAGGATCTGGCCTCTCCTTCAGTAAATAGTTCTATGTCCAAAGTTGACTCAGGTCCAGAAACTGGACAAGGTATCATAACTTTTTTTTTTTTCTTTTGAGATGGAGTCTTGCCCTGTTGCCTAGGCTGGAATGCAGTGGCGCGATCTCAGCTCACTGCAACCTCTGCCTCCCAGGTTCAAGGAATTCTCCTGGCTCAGCCTCCCAAGTAGCTGGGATTACAGGTGTGTGCCACCATGCCTGGCTAATTTTTCTTTTCTTTTTTTTTCTTTTCTTTTTTTTTTTTTTTGAGACAAGAGTCTAGCTCTGTTGCCCTAACTGGAGTGCAGTGGCATGATCTCAGCTCACTGCAACCTCTGTGTCCCGCGTTCAAGCAATTCTCCTGCCTCAGTCTCTTGAGTAGCTGGGATTACAGGCGCATGCCACCATGCCTGGCTAAGATTTGTATTTTTAGTAGAGTCAGGGTTTCACCATGTTGGCCAGGCTGGTCTTGAACTCCTGACCTCAGGTGATCTGCCTGCCTTGGCCTTCCAAAGTGCTGGGTTTACAAGCGTGAGCCACTGCGCTCAGCCGGTATCATGACTTTTAATGGGGTGACTCTCTTCTGCCTCTTACCTTTCACTGTTGATATCTTTTGATGGTGCAGATTGAGTTGTACTTGGATGGGTCCTAGGATCAGGGAAAAAGAAATGGTCCCCATTAAGAGATGTCAAGAGGCCAGAAGTGCCATGAAAGACAGGTTTTTTGTTGTTGCTGTTTTTTGTTTTTTGTTTTGAGATGGAGTCTCGACCTGTTGCCCGCGCTGGAGTGCAATGGTGCAATCTCAGCTCACTGCAACCTCCGCCTCCCGGGTTCAAATGATCTCCTGCCTCACCCTCCCAAGTAGCTGGGATTACAGGTGCCTGCCACCATGCCCAGCTATTTTTTGTATTTTTAGTAGAGACGGGGTTTCACCATGTTGGTCACGGTGGTCTAGAACTCCTGACCTCATGATCCTCCTGCCTCGGCCTCCCAAAGTGCTGGGGTTACAGGCGTGAGCCTTAATAAGTGGGCATGCTAGATTGGCTGTAGTATGAAGTCCAGAAAACATATCAGGTAATTAAATGCCATGGAAGGGCTTAGAGGTCCTATCATTTACCAAAGCAGAAGAAATTGCTGGTGAGAAAGGCAACAGCCTCACGGAGAAGCTCCCTGGCAATTCCCCTTCAGGGTCTGGGGCTGCTGTGAGAATGCCACTGTGGACCTGAGTTCACTGACAGCAAGGGGTGGTGTGGGGAAAGTGATTGGACCCCAAGGCAGTAGAAGCCAGGAGAGGCAGCACTTAACCATCAGGAGCCAGGGGGGCACAGTTATGGTAATGAGTGGCAGGTTCAGCAGGGAACAGTGGGAGGGCTGACCTGCAGAGTTAAGGAAACGGTTAATAGAACTCAGCATTCTGAAGGGCAAAGTTAGATGGACAAATGGTAGCAGATACTACTTTCATCATCTTTTTCTTTCTTTCTTTTTTTTTTTTTTTTTTTTTTTTTGCTATATTGAGAAACTACTGCCTTGTACTACACTGATGTCATTATACAGCTATTGGGTGCTCAGTTCTGTTTCTTCTTTTTTCTTTCCTTTTTCTCTTAGAGTTTGGCTGATTTCTGCTGACCTGTCTTCAAGTTTACTGAACGTTCCTCAGTGGTACTCTGATATCTACTGATGAGCCCATTGAAGGCATCATTTATCTCTGTTGCTATGATTAGCTGTTGCTATGGTTACTTCCAGTGCACCTCAGGCTTCACCTTCCTTCAGTTTCCAAATTCGGTGTTACCTCTGCAGAGGGCACAGGCTGATTCACTGGAAGGTGTTCCCCCGTGTTCCTGCTTCACCCTCAACCTTAGGCCTGCCTTGTGTGCCTCAGCGGGTTCTCTCCACACGTTGGCTTCTGTCCGCTAAGAGACTGCTGTTGCCTGTTCTCAGTAGTTGCTAGTCTTGGGGTAGGAGTAGAGGATGTGAGCTGGGGGTTCTCTGTTATCTGGGTCTAGCCTCCATCCTAGTTCTGTGTCCTTGCTTAAGGGGAAGGAGACCTTGAGGTGGTTCTTTACCACTTCCAGAAGTACCTACTTTTAATACTGTTAGTTTTAACTTGAGTTTTTTTTTTAACCTCCTGTTTATAGATAACATAGTTGTCACTAATTGTTGTTTTTCTTTTTTTAAATTTTATTATTATTATACTTTAAGTTTTAGGGTACATGTGCACAACATGCAGGTTTGTTACATATGTATACATGTGCCATGTTGGTGTGCTGCACCCATTAACTGGTCATTTAGCATTAGGTATATCTCCTAATGCTATCCCTCCCCCTCCCCCCACCCCACAACAGGCCCCAGTGTGTGATGTTCCCCTTCCTGTGTCCATGTGTTCTCATTGTTCAATTCCCACCTGTGAGTGAGAACATGCGGTGTTTGGTTTCTCGTCCTTGCGATAGTTTGCTGAGTATGATGGTTTCCAGCTTCATCCATGTCCCTACGAAGGACATGAACTCATCATTTTTTATGGCTGCATAGTATTCCATGGTGTATATGTGCCACATTTTCTTAATCCAGTCTATCATTGTTGGACATTTGGGTTGGTTCCAAGTCTTTGCTATTGTGAATAGTGCTGCAATAAACATACATGTGCATGTGTCTTTATAGCAGCATGATTTATAATCCTTTGGGTATATACCCAGTAATGGGATGGCTGGGTCAAATGGTATTTCTAGTTCTAGATCCCTGAGGAATCGCCACACTGATTTCCACAATGGTTGAACTAGTTTACAGTCCCACCAACAGTGTAAAAGTGTTCCTATTTCTCCACATCCTCTCCAGCACCTGTTGTTTCCTGACTTTTTAATGATCGCCATTCTAAGTGGTGTGAGATGGTATCTCATTGTGGTTTTGATTTGCATTTCTTTGATGGCCAGTGATGATGAGCATTTTTTCATGTGTTTTTTGGCTGCGTAAATGTCTTCTTTTTAGAAGTGTCTGTTCATCTCCTTCGCCCACTTTTTGATGGGGTTGTTTGTTTTTTTCTTGTAAATTTGTTTGAGTTCATTGTAGATTCTGGATATTAGCCCTTTGACAGACGAATAGGTTGCAAAAATCTTCTCCCATTTTGTAGGTTGCCTGTTCACTCTGATGGTAGTTTTTTTTGCTGTGCAGAAGCTCTTTAGTTTAATTAGATCCCATTTGTCAATTTTGGCTTTTGTTGCCATTGCTTTTGGTGTTTTAGACATGAAGTCCTTGCCCATGCCTATGTCCTGAATGGTATTGCCTAGGTTTTCTTACTAGGGTTTTTATGGTTTTAGGTTTAACATGTAAGTCTTTAATCCATCTTGAATTAATTTTTGTATAAGGTGTAAGGAAGGGATCCAGTTTCAGCTTTCTACATATGGCTAGCCAGTTTTCCCAGCACCATTTATTAAATAGGGAATCCTTTCCCCATTTCTTGTTTTTGTCAGGTTTGTCAAAGATCAGATAGTTGTAGATATGCAGCATTATTTCTGAGGACTCTGTTCTGTTCCATTGGTCTATATCTCTGTTTTGGTACCAGTACCATGCTGTTTTGGTTACTGTAGCCTTGTAGTATAGTTTGAAGTCAGGTAGCCTGATGCCTCCAGCTTTGTTCTTTTGGCTTAGGATTGACTTGGCAATGCAGGCTCTTTTTTCGTTCCATATGAACTTTAAAGTAGTTTTTTCCAGTTCTGTGAAGAAAGGCATTGGTAGCTTGATGGGGATGGCATTGAATCTATAAATTACCTTGGGCAGTATGACCATTTTCATAATGTTGATTCTTCCTACCCATGAGCATGAAATGTTCTTCCATTTGTTTGTATCCTCTTTCATTGTTGTTTTATTTTTCTAATTTTAGATTTTCTGTTGGCTTATCTCTGGAAGATAAGCAATTTTTTCTGCTCTTTGTCTCTCCCATTCTTTTTGTTTGTTTGTTTTTGAGACAGGGTCTCACTCTGTCACCCAGGCTGGAGTGCGGTGGCACAATCACTGTTCCCTGGAGCCTCAATCTCCCGGGCTCAAGCGATCCTCTGACCTCAGCCTCACAGCTAGGACTACAGGCTCATGCCACCATGCCCACCTAATTTATATGCTTTTTGTAGAGACGAGGTTTTGCCATGTTTCCCAGGCTGGTCTTGAACTCCTGGGCTCAAGTGATCCCTGCCTGAGCCTCCCAAAGTGCTAGG
The DNA here is from genome assembly GCF_000001405.40 of Homo sapiens. Taxonomy (NCBI): domain Eukaryota; kingdom Metazoa; phylum Chordata; class Mammalia; order Primates; family Hominidae; genus Homo; species Homo sapiens. The sequence continues at coordinate 24,352,054 of NC_000018.10, read as the reverse complement.
ATTACAGGTGTGAGCCACCGTGCCAGCCTGTTTCTCCCATTCTTAATCCTTGCCAAAGCTACTTCACCTTTTTCATTCTCTTAGCCTATGACTAGATTTTGGTTAAATAAATATTGAGTTTATGTTATTCTGACTGTGCTAGCTTGAGCCACTTAGGGGCCTATGTTTGTTTGTTTTGGTATAACGCCTTATTTTTTCTGGAGTTAACAATTGCAGGCTGGGCACAGTGGCTCACGCCTATAATCCCAGCCATTTGTGAGGCTGAGATGGGCAGATCACCTGAGGTCAGGAGTTCCAGACCAGCCTGGCCGACATGGTGAAACCCCATCTCTACTAAAAATACAAAAATTATCTGCGCATGGTGGCACACACCTATAATCCCCGCTACTCAGGAGGCTGGGGCAGGAGTATCACTTGAACCTGAGAGGCGGAGGTTGCAGCGAGCCAAGATTGTGCCATTGCACTCCAGCCTAGGTGACAAGAGCGAAACTCTATCTCAAAACAAACAAACAAACAAACAAACAAAAAACAATTGCATGGGGTTTCTTAGTTTAGTTCTTTTTCTCATCACGTAATTTTAAAGTCTTTGTAAGAGCTCCAAAGGTCTTTTTACTGTCTTTTACTATGATCATATATGTCATGTAATTATCCCTTCTGGGAGCAGCTCTCCTGATTTTTTTATGTCTTTTTTTTTTTTTTTTTTTTTTGAGACAGAGTCTTCTCTGTTGTCCAGGCTGGAATGCAGTGGCACGATCTCAGCTCACTGCAACCTTTGCCTCCCGGGTTCAAAGGATTCTCCTGCCTCAGCCTCCTGTGTAGCTGGGATTACAGGTGTGTGTCACCACACCCAGCTCATTTTTCTATTTTTTAGTAGAGACAGGGTTTTACCATGTTGGCCAGGCTGGTCTCGAACTCCTGACCTTAAATGATCTGCCCACTTTTGCCTCCCAAAGTGCTGGGATTACAAGTGTGAGCCACCGTGCCCAGCCTGATTTTTTATGTCTTCTTGCTCTGCCTAGACTAGTTGGCCTCCAGAGCTGTACACATGGTGGTCATTCTGGAGCTTATGTCTTAGTCATTCTGGGAATTCTCTTCACCACTTTCTGATATTGGATTTCCTGTTTCCTGGGCCCCATGTCTTCCTCCATCTTGATTTGTCTGTCATTTGGTGGCGCACAGCCTTCAGGAGCTTCTTGAGAAAGGTTGCATGGGAAATATTTTTTTTGAGAATTCTTATGTCTGGAAATACCTCTTACCTTTGTATTTGAGTGATAGTTTGGCTATGTATAGATTTCTAGGTTGGAAATCACTTTCTCTCAGAATTTTGGAGGTATTGTGTCACCGTTTTCTAGCTTTTAGTGTTGTTGTTGAGAAGTCTAGTGCTATTCTTATTCCTGTTCCTGTGTGTGTGACCTGATTATTATTTAATCACTGGAAGTATATAAATTAAAATTAGAATGACAGGCTGGGCTCAGTGGCTCATGTCTGTAATAGCAGTGCTTTGGGAGGCTAAGGAGGGAGGACCACTTTAGGCCAGGAGTTTGAGGCCAGCCTGGGCAATATAGTGAGACCCTATCTCTACCTACCCCCACCCCTAAAAAAAGAATGACAGATAACCTAATACAGTGACTTACAAAAAAAGTTAGTTTATTTCTCTGTAACCTAAAAGTCTAGATAAGTGGTCTTGGGCAGGTGGCAAATACTCAAATACTCAGATTTCTTCTGTCTTAATGTTCTACAATGTGTGGCTTTGACCATATCATCCCAATTGGGAGCATCCCAATCCCAGGAAGCAGGCTAGGGGAAGCAAAAAAGGGACAAAGAATATATACAGACTGCCCCTTCTAGAAGATTCCCAGAGGCTGTTATATGAGACTTCTGCTTAATCCCATTGACTCGAATATTCATGGCCACACTAGCTAAAGGGGCCACACTAGCTAAAGGGGAGCGAGGAAATGTAGTCTTTATTCTTGGTGGCCATATGCCGAGCTAAAAAATGTTCGGGGTCAGATGGGATCTTCCCTTCACCCTTGGTGTCCTAGAATTTTACTGTTTACCTTTAGACTTTTAAACCTGCGAATTAGGTTTCTATTGCTGCATAACAAATTACCATAAATTTAGAGGCTTAAATCAACACCCATTTATTATTTCACAATTCTGAAGGTCAGAATTCCAAGCACACAGCCTAGCTGAATTCTCTGCTCAGGGACCGTGAAGACTGAAATTAAGGTGTCAGCTGAACTGTGTTCTCATCTGTGGTTGGGGGCTTTTTGCAAGTACACGCAGGTTGTTGGCAGAGTTCACTGTTGTTGTTTTTTTTTTTTTCTTTTTTCTTTTGCAAGGGATCACTCTCAGCTCTTACAGGCCACCCTCAAATCATGGCCACACAGCCATATCTGGACTTACTCACACTTCTCATCTTCTTTGCCAGGAAGAGGCTAGCCCCTTTTGAGGGCTCACTTCAATAGGTCGTGTCTGCCTGGGATATTTTTCTTAAGGTTGACTGTGCCATGTAACAAAACCTAACCAGGGAGATGTCTTCAAGTCCGTCTTCTAGTCTTTCTATTGCATATTTTATTTCTGCTGTTATTTTTAATGGTTAAGAATTTTAACTTTTTGACCGGATGTTCATTTTTTAATAGCATCCAATCTTGGTTAATGAAGAAATTTCTCACTTCTCTGAGGATATTATAGTTCTTTTAAAGGTTTTCTTCCACATTTTCATGTCTTTCAAACTTTTTTTTTCTTGTCTGTCTAGATCTTTCTCCTTTGTGCTAGTCATATGTCAGATCTCAGGTTGTAATTGGCTATTGATTCATATTTAATATTGACACTTTTCAAAGCCTATAGAAGTTATGAGAGCATGAGTAAGACTTTTTTTTTTCTTTGAGACAGGGTCTTACTCTGTCTCCCAGGCTGGATGGCAGTAGTGTGATTACAGCTAATTGCAGCCTCGACCTCCTGGGCTCAAGTGAACCTCCCAGCTCAGCCCCCCAAATAGCCAGGACTACAGGTGTGCATCACCATGCCTGGCTGATTTTTAAATTTGTTGTAGAGAAAGGGTTTTGACACGTTGCCTAGGTTGGTCTCGAACTCCTCGGCTCAAGTGATCCCAGACCTGGATCTCCCAAAATGCTGACATTACAGGAGTGAGCCACCGCACCTGACCATGAGTGAAACTTACTGTTGGGCTTCATTGTGGGGTGAACTTTGTTCAGTTTGTATAGTAGACTGTGGTGTATCTTTTACCTTTTTGAAGGCTTTTTTCTTTTTTTTCTTTTTTGAGACAGTCTCAGTCTGTTGCCCAGGCTGGAGTGCAGTTGTGCGATCTTGGCTCACTGCAACCTCTACCTCCCAGGTTCAAGCGATTCTCCTGCCTCAGCTTCCCAAGTAGCTGGGATTATAGGTGCGCATCACCATGCCCAGCTAACTTTTTATATTTTTAGTAGAGATGGGGTTTCACCATGTTGGCCAGGCAGATCTCAAACTCCTGACCTCAAGTGATCCACCTACCTCAGCCTCCCAAAGTGCCGGGATTATAGGCGTGAGCCACCATGCCTGGCCTGAAGGTGTTTTTATGTATTGTATAAAACATATTAACCTCTGTGCCTCAGGTTCCATATCTTTAAAAAGAGGTGTAATAATAATAATACCTTCCTCGTATGATTTTTGTGAAGATTAAAATGAGTTTAATAAAAGTAAAACTTTAGAACAGTGTCTGATACAAGTAAATGTTAATTAAATATTGAGTATTATTATATTTACTTGGAAATAATTGTTTAAGTCTTTAATCTGGCCTTAAATTTGGTATATCTTTGATTTTTCTCAGGAAAGAACTAATATATTATCTTTTAAGTGGATATACATTTATTGTTGATATTTTTCAATAAAAATTTGGGTTTTAGGGGATACTTTCTTTATTTGCCAAAGTCTAGGGAGTTGTATTTCCACACATATGGGCATTGGATTCAAACTTACCCTTTCAGGTAACCATCTTTTGGTAGCTGAGTTTTTAAATGTTTTAATATATTATCCTGCCCTCTCTATAACAGTATATCAACATGATTAAACCCCAAAAAGGTGTTCTCTTATTTCCTTGGAGTTGTATTAATACGAGTTGTACGACTCATTATTTAAACCATTTTTTTGAACCTCTCTTTGTAGTCTCTAGGAGTTCAATAAGCATAATTCTTTTTTTTTTTTTTTTTTTTTTCAGATGGAGTGTCGCTCTGTTGGCCAGGATGGAGTGCAGTGGCATGATCTCGGCTCACTGCAGCCTCCACCACCCGAGTTCAAGTGATTCTCCTGCCTCACCCTCCCGAGTAGTTGGGATTACAGCCATGCACTACCATGCCCGGCTAATTTTTGTATTTTTAGTAGAGACGGGGTTTCACTATATTGGCCAGACTGGTCTCGAACTCCTGACCTCATGATCTGCCTGCCTCGGCCTCCCAAAGTGCTGGGATTACAGGTGAGAGCCACTGTGCCCAGCCCAATAAGCATAATTTTTAGAAATTATTTCTCCTTTCTAATCTTGAAACCTGAAGCCTGCATTAAGAAATTGCTTTACGGCCGGGCGCTGTGGCTTACGCCTGTAGTTCCAGCACTTTGAGAGGCCAAGACGGGCGGATCGCCTGAGGTCAAGAGTTCAAGACCAGCCTGGCCAACATGGTGAAACCCCCATCTCTACTAAAAGTACAAAAATTAACTGGGCGTGGTGGCGGGCGCCTGTAATCCCAGCTACTCGGAAGGTAGAAGGCTGAGGCAGGAGAATCGCTTGAAGCTGGGAAGCAGAGGTTGCAGTGAGCCAAGATCTCACCACAGCACTCCAGCCTGGGTGACGGAACAAGACTCATGTCTCAAAAAATAAAATTACTTTACAAGAAGTAAAACTTTTCATGTGGTATTTCTGTTGAAAGTAGATACTTTTATAGAAAAAGTATATCTTTCAAAATCAATACGGGAACATTCATAGCAGCATAATTCCTAACAGTTAAAAAGGAGAGACTGAGTTTGGTGGCTCACATCTGTAATCTCAACACTTTGGGAGGCCAAGGCGGGAGGATTGCTTGAGGCCAGGAGTCCAAGGTCAGCCTGGGAAACATAGCAAGACCCTGTCTCTACAAAAAATGAAAAAAAAAAAAAATAGCTAGGCACAGTGGCATGTGCCTGTAGTAGTCCCAGCACTTTGGGAGGCTGAGGTTGGAAGATCTCTTGAGCCAGGAGCTTGAGGCTGCAGTGACTATGATCATGCCACTACACTCCAGCCTGGGCAACAGAGTGAAACCCTGTCTCTACCTAAAATAAATAAAAATAAAAAGTAGAAATGACTCGAATATTCATTAGTTATTTAATAGATAAACATGTGGTATAGTCATGCAATGGAGTATTATTCAGAAATCAAGAGAATGAAGTACTGATACACACCAAAACATAAATGAACCTTGAGAACATGCTAACTGAAAGAAGCCAGACACAAAAAGCCACATATTGTTTGATTTATTTATAGAAATGTCCAGAGTAGGCAAATCCATAGAGACTGAAAGTAGATTAGTGGTTACTAGGGGATTATGAGGAGGGGAAATAGGCAGTGATTGTTAACAGATATGGGGTTTCTTTTTGTAGTGATGAAATGTTCTGAAATTAGATAGTGATGATGTACAACTCTATGAATATACTCAAAGCCACAGAATTGTGCACTTTTAGCAGGGTGAAGTTTATGGTATGTGAATTACACCTCAATAAAGCTGTTATTTAAAAAAAATAATCTGGGCATGAGGATTTTTCTCTAAGCATTTCATCTGAGATGACTTGTGTGATGGTGACAGCAATATAATGGCTCAATAAGGGAATGACTGACTGCTGAGCGGAAAGTGGAGCTGGGGCGATTTGGGAGCGTGATTCACGGCTGTGTTAACTTTGTTCTTTGCCCTCACCCGTGTGCTGCTGGTCCAAACATACTCTGTGCAGCCATTAAAAAATAAAAGTATCATGCTCAAAGTGAATACTTTACTCCTCTGACTTTTTAGTAGTTAGTTGTCAAATTGGCCAAAGTGCTGTCTTAGCCAGGAATATTTTCAGTAAAACATCTTTATTCAGGAAAAAGTATTCAAAAACAAATAGCATTGCTCTAGGGGCAGGGAGTATAGCAATGAACAAGAGACCAAATACCTTTTTTCATAAAAGAGGAGCAAACAATACAGGCATTTAGAAGTGCTATGAAAATTAGTAAGGTAAGGGGATGAGAGTTTGGGAGTGGATAATGCTACTTTAGACAGTGAGTGAGGAAGGCTTCTCTGAGGAGGATGCTTGGATTTAAAAAAAATTAAAATATATCTACATCTCCTTTATCAACTACTTTTTTTTTTTGAGATGGAGTCTCGCTTTGTTGCCCAGGCTGGAGAGCAACAGGACAATCTCAGCTCATTGCAACCTCCGCCTCCTGGGCTCAAGCAATTCTTCTGCCTCAGCCTCCCAAATAGCTGGGACTACAGGTGTGCGCCACTACGCCTGGCTAATTTTTTTATTTTTAATAGAGACGGGTTTCGCCATGTTGGCCAGGCTGGTCTTGAACTCCTGATCTCAAGTGATCCGCCCACCTCGGCCTCTCAAAGTGCTGGGATTACAGGCGTGAGCCACAGTGCCTGGCCTTTCAACTTCCTTAACACCTGATTATTTTGACCCTTTCTAGTCTGAGTCTGGCTCTCCCAGTTAACTTAATTTTTTTCCAAAGGTCGGCAGTGGTTTATATACTTTAAGAGTTTCTGTTTTCTTATTTTTCCATAGCTACACTTTAACGAGGCTGACTACTTCTCTGGGAGGAGGCATGCTACAGTTTATTTCTCTGGCTGCTTTTATGATTGTTGCCTTTTTTCCCCCTTACCCTTCATTATAGATGTTCTTTTGATTTTTTTATTTTTTTTTAAACATTCTTCTCAGCTGGGTGCAGTGGCTCATGCCTGTAGTCCCAGCACTTCGGGAGGCTGAGGTGGGCAGATTACTTGAGCTCAGGGATTCGAGACCACCAGCCTGGGCAATATGGCAAAACCCTGTCTCTACAAAAAAATGTAAAAATTAGCCAGACATGGTGGCACATGCCTGTAGTCCCAGCTACTTGGGAGGCTGAGGTGGGAGGATCACTTGAGCCCAGGAGGTCAAGGCTGCAGTGAGCCGAGGTAGTGCCACTGCATTCTAGCCTGGCTGACAGAGCTAGACCGTCTCCCCCCAAGAAAACAAAAACAAAAAATCCCCCACATTCTCTTTTCTTTTGAAACTTTCCCCCTCAACAAACCAATCTACTCTATGGCCTTATTTTCTCCTCCTGGGATTCACTGGACGTCGGCACTTTCACCTGTTGCTCAGCTCTAGGCATCCAGGTCCTCTGCTCTGCTGCATGCTGGGCGTCCCTAGCTGCCCCTTGGGCATCTGAAACTTCACGCACCTAAAATGGGCCTCATCTTCCTCCAGCACCTGCTCCCTACACAATATTTGAGTTGGTCTTTGAATAGTTTTCACTGCAAATCCTCCTTTCTGCTATCTCCACTGGAGAACATACCCATCGTGTTTAACCTAGACTTCTTATTTTATTTTATTTTATTTTTTGAGACAGAATCTTGCTCTGTTGCCCAGACTGGAGTGCAGTGGCATGATCTCCACTCACTGCAACCTCTGCCTCCCGGGTTCAAGCAATTCTTGTGCCTCAGTCTCCTGAGTAGCTGCTGGGACTACCGGCATATGCCACCATGCCCGGCTAATTTTTGTATTTTTGGTAGGGACCAGGTTTCACCAGGTTGGCCAGGCTGGTCTCAAACCCCTGGCCTCAAGTGATCCGTCTGCCTCAGCCTCCCAAAGTGCTGGGATTACCTTCGTGGGCTTATTGACCATTTGTACATCTTCTTTGGAGAAATGTCTATTCAAATTATTTGCCCATTTTTTAATCTGGTTATTTGTTTTGTTTTTGAGTTTTAGACATTCTTTGCATATTCTGTATATAAATCCCTTGTTAGATACATGATTTGCAAGTATTTTTTCCTGTTCTCTGGGTTTCCTTTTTCTCTCTTGATAGGGCCCTTTGATGTACAAAAGTTAAAGTTTGATGAAGTTTTTCATTTTTTGCCTGTGCTTTTGGTGTCATATCCAAGAAATCATTGTTAACTCAGGCCTTGTGAAGCTTTCTTGGTATTTTTTCTTCTAATAATTTTAATAGTTTTAGTTTTGACATGTTTGACCTATATCGAGTTAGTTTTTGTGTATGGTGTAAGGTATGTGTTTAACTTCATTCTCCTGCATGTGGTTATTCAGTTTTCCCCATACCATTTTTTGAAAAGACTGTCTTTTCTGCATTGAACTGTCTTGGCACTTATGTCAAAAATCATTTGACCATATATCCGAGAGTTTATTTCTGGGCTCTCTATTCTGTTCTGTTGGTCTGTGTGTCTATCTTTATGCCAGTACCACATTGTTTTGATTATGGTAACTCTGTAGTTAGTTTTGAAGTCAAGATGTATCTTTAACTTTGTTCTTCTTTTAAATATTATTTTGGCTTTTTGGGGTCCCTTGAAATTCCATGTGAATTTTAGGATGGGATTTTCTGTTTCTGTAAAAATGTCGTTAGTATTTGATAGGGATTGCATTGAATCTGTAGATAGCTTTGGGTAGTATTCTCCTCTTAACAATATTAAGTCTTTCCATCCATGATCGCTGGATGTTTTCCCATTTATTTATGTCATTTTACATTTCTTTCAGCAGTGTTTTGTGCTGAGTCTTTTGTGTATAAGCCTTTTGTCTTCATGGTTAAGTTTATTCCTAAGCATTTTATTCTTTTTGATGCTACTATAAATAGAATTGTTTTTCTTGGTTTCCCTTTTTGGATTGTTCATTGTTGTCTTTGCCCATTTTTAATTGGGTTGTCTTTTTATTATTGAGGTGTAAATGTTCTTTATATATTCTGGATACAAGTCAAGAGACTTGTATTTGTAAATTTTTTTTTCTCATTCTGTGGGTTACTCTACTTTCTTTAATTAATATGAACTATTTAGGTAAAGCATGAAAACATGAGCCCCAAAATGTTACCTTTAAGATGATAGAAAATGTTAAGATATTTTATAAGAATTCACTTTATTAAAATATTAGGATATTTTAAAAAACCATTTTCCTGTTTTTTTAATGTGGTAGTACATTTTATATAATAATACTCAAATATGAAAAATGTGTAAACACCATGTACTGTACTGGGAAATGTAGCTATAAAACAATTGTGGCATGTAAGTAAAATCATGTTACGAAAACTCAAATTTTGCCTAGGGAAATTGATTAGTAAGAAATATGCCAAAATGTTTATAGTGGTCATAAAATGATGAGGGTAATAAGTATATGTATTTTTTGCCTGTTTATGTTTTTTAGATTTTATTTAAGCATTTTTTGCTATGAAAACATTCTAAAAGAATGTAGGAAATGGACGTCATGGCCCAAAGGAAAGATGAAATTCCTAGGACAGCATAACGTGTAGCAACACAGGATATCACTTCATATTTTACAGGCACTGTCAGTCTAGAAGTTAGAACAGCACAGTTTTTCAGCCTCCCTTAGTGCAAGACTGAAGAGCAAGCATTGCCATCATCCCCTCCCTAGGTGTTGTGTATCATAAGATAATCAAACATCAAATTTCTAATACTGTCCGCAATATCAGAAATTCTGTTCCTCCATTTCTGCTGTCTTGTTAAGTTGTATAACTGGCCCAGTGATACTGGACGTATGTACATTATCATTTGAAATTTCCATAAGAGCAGCTAGCCACTTAGAGTAAATAAAAATATGTAATATATTATCTATTGTTGAATATTGACTCCAGGAGACTGTCGTGCTTATCTAATGCTTAATGATAATGCTTCATTATAAACCATTCCTTCAATAATGGTGTATCCCATCAGTCAATAATGGTATATCACTTTAGAAAATAATGCTTTATTTTGTTTAAATATCAAGATTAATTTTTAAAAATCTTGGTCTGTTGGGCAGAAATTATATTTCTCAACAGGCCTTAGAGGAATGATCTTCAGTGAATGTACTTCCTTCTCTAATTTGAATATTGGCTTTGTTTACTAATACATTTAATTTGACCACATGAATTATTTTGGCAAAACAGCCAGATAGTTTACATAAAAATCAATTATAGAAGTTGGCTATGTATCAATTGTGGATTGGCAATTGTTTAGGCAGTTGTCAAGTATTATCACAATTAGTTGAATCACTCATTTATTATAGACATAACGTGATACATTCTCACCTGGTGCTTTTTTCTATTGTGGAGACTCTGTAGTAGTTAGTAATTTGGAAAAGGGTGGTAATGCAATAAAATCTTAGCTTAATAGTTAAAAATAAATTCTCTGATTTTTAGGAGTTGGTAATGCTTCTCTTAGAATATAATGCTGATACTACTATTGTTAATGGGAGTGGACAGACAGCAAAAGAAGTTACTCATGCTGAAGAAATCAGAAGCATGCTTGAAGGTAAATATCATGGATGTGAACATAAACAGCATTTACTTTCATTATAACCAAGGTTCTGACTAAAAATGGCTTCTGAGAAAGAGGACAAAACAGAGGATAACCAGCTGATGCTCTAATGATAATGTCATCTTGGAGTCATTGATTAAACACACAATTATCTATATGATAGTTTCTTCACTTAAAGCTTTTAAACTCTTAATTTGTACAAAATTATGGCAAGTTTTAAAAATCTGTTTTTCAGGCTGGGTGCGGTGGCTCACGCCTGTAACCCTAGCATTTTAGGAGGCTGAGGCAAGAGGATCACTTGAGGTTAGGAGTTCTAGACTAGTCTGGGCAACATGGCGAAACCCCTGTCTCTACAAAAAATTTTAAAAAAATTAAAAATTAAGTGGATATGATGGTGTGCACCTGTAGTCTCAGCTACTTGGGAGGCGGAGGGAGGAGGATTGTTTGAGCCTAGGAGTTTGAGGCTGCAATGAACCCTGATTGAGCTACTGTACTTTGGTCCAGGCAACAGAGTGAGACCCCCCAGCCGAAAAGTTTGTATTTTGGGCCTCAGAAAAAATATCTGTTTTTCAAATACTCAACAAAATTCAAAGTAGAAAATTAGAGACATGAGGGAATGTGGCTAATAGACTGATGAAACATGACAATGAAGGGATACAGAAGTGCAGGACAGTAAGAGGTGGCAGTGCAACCTGTAAGAGGTGTTGCTTTTGGGAGTCACTTGATGTTGGCTCTGGCTGCCTCAGTTTTCTTTTTGCCCAGGCTGGAGTGCAGTGGCATGATCTTGGCTCACTACAACCTCCGCCTCTTGGGTTCAAGCGATTCTCCTGCCTCAGCCTCCCAAGTAACTGGGATTACAGGCATGTACCATCACACCCGGCTAACTTTTTGTATTTTTAGTAGAGACGGGGTTTCAGCATGTTGGTCAGGCTAGTCTTGAACTCCTGACCTCAGGTGATCTTCCCACCTTGGCCTCCCAAAGTGCTGGGATTATAGTCCTGAGCCACCGTGCCTGGCTCGCTATTTATTTATTGAGATGAGGTCTCACTATGTTGCCCAGGCTGGTCTTGAACTCCTGGTCTCAAGCGATCCTCCCATCTCGGCCTCCCAAAAGTACTAGGATTACAGGTGTGAGCCACTGTGCCTGGTATTCTCAGTTTTCTTGAGGACTTCATTGCAATATACCAGGCAGCAGTAATTTCTTGATGGTTGAGCTTCATTGTTATGAATGTCAAAGACTAATTTGCATTTAAGAAAACATGAGTCTACAATAACTCAGGACTTTCTCTAAAGCAATTTAAAACAAAAACCATTTTGATGCTTGCATTTGGGCACCCTCATACAATAGGATCTTTCTTTGAATGGCCAGGGCTTTCCTATAATTATTTTTTAGTAGTATTTCTAATGTTGAGAAGAGAAGATCTTTAATTTTCTACTTAATGAGTAAAGGTACTGAATTAGAGTTGCAATTTCACACATAGCCTTTCTTTCCTTTGGAATTCAGAGAAAGGCAATATAATTTTGTACTTAAAGGATGTTGATTTCTTAATTTAAATTTTCAATATTTTTATTTATGTAAAAACCAAGATCCTGCTGTTTATTACCCCGATTAGTCTTGAGAGCTAAAATCTTCTCACTCATTCTATAGTTTAAAAAACAACACAAAGTCTACTTGTCAGACTTCTTAAGGTCAGTGTCTTGTTTCTGCACTCAAAATGAACCCTCTGCTTATCAATGAACAAGCAAATTAACACATAACATCTTCTATCAGACACTGTGTTATATGAATTTAGTAACGTGGAGAACATATTAGCTGTGGTTCCTGCCCTTTAATAATTTGTGACTGAATAGGGAGGATGAGGTACTGTCTTTAATTATGTCCTGTCATTTTAATTATAACAAGAAGAGAACCCAGAACTGAGGTTTTCCTGACAGACTGGAATGTTAGGTTAGTCTGACAAGTTGACATTTAATAAGGGCAATTGTAAAGACATGCTCTAAGACATTTCCAAACTCAAACTGCACAAGAAAAAGGGCTTAGTTGACTTTACAGGTAATATGATTTGTCAGCTGATGTGGTCTTAGCTTGGGAAACAGAAGTAGAGACTGAATTGAGTGATTCTGCTCTAATGAGAGCACCTTACCCACATATAATAACATTTGTGGATAGAGTGTTAAATGGATCATTGGCAAATTACTGGAAGTACCTTGAGTAACCCACTATAAGTAGACCATAAGACCATAAATAGATCAGAAACCATGTCATAGGGGCTGGGCGCAGTGGCTCATGCCTGTAATCCCAGCACTTTGGGAGGCTGAGGTGGGCAGATCACTTGAGGTCAGAAGTTTGAGACCAGCCTGCCCAACATGGTGAAACCCCATCTCTACTAAAAATACAAAAATTAGCTGGGCGTAGTAGTGGACACCTGTAATCCCAGCAACTCGGGAGGCTGAGGCAGAAGAATCACTTGAACCCGGGAGGCGGAAGTTGCAGTGAGCTGATTGCACCACTGCACTCTAGCCTGGGAGGGCCAGGTGCAGTGGCTCACACCTGTAATCCCAGCACTTTGGGAAGCTGAGGCGGGTGGATCACGAGGTCACAAGTTCAAGACCACCCTGGCCAAGATGGTGAAACCCCGTCTCTACTAAAAATACAAAAATTAGCTGGGCACGGTGGCAGGCAGTTGTAGTCCCAGCTACTCAGGAGGGTGAGCCAGGAGAATTGCTTGAACCCAGGAGGTGGAGGTTGCAGTGAGCCGAGATTGTGCCAGTGTGGTCCAGCCTGGGTGACAGAGTGAGACTCCGTCTCAAAAAAACAAACAGAAAAGAAACCATGTCATAGGATAATGCATGGAGAGACAAGAAATGTTTTACCCTAGAAAGAGAGACATAGGCAGGCACAATGAAATTATACTCAAGTACCTGAGAGCTGTTACTTGGGAGAAGGGATGATCTTACTTGTGGCCAAACCAGGGCTGTTTGATTGCCTAGTTGATGGAGTAGCAGGGAGTTTATCTTTGGGTCCGATATATAGAAATAATGACTTGGATTGCCTTGAAAGATACATGATGGGAGGTATTCAGCAAAGGATAGACTATTGTTAGGCACTATTACTAACGCAGCCTTCTTCTACATCTTGTCTTTTTATTTTGAAAAATTTCGGCCGGGCACGGTGGCTCATGCCTGTAATCCCAGCACTTTGGGAGGCCAAGGTAGGTGGATCATGAGGTCAGGAGATCGAGACCATCCTGGCTAACACGGTGAAACCCCGTCTTTACTAAAAATACAAAAAAAAAAAAAATTAGCCAGGCATGGTGGCAAGTGCTTGTAGTCCCAGCTACTGAGGAAGCTGAGGCAGGAGAATCACTTGAACCCGAGAGGCAGAGGTTGCAGTGAGCCGAGATTGCGCCACTGCACTCCCGCCTGGCCAACAGTGAGACTCTGTCTCAAAAAAAAAAAAAGAAAGAAAAAGAAAAATTTCTAATCTATGGGAAAGTTTCAAGAATACTGCAGTAAACATTTGTATGTCCTTCACTCAAATTCACCAATTATTAACATTTTGCCATATCTGGTTGAGACTGTTACATATTTTATGTTATTTATTTACTTTTAATTTTTTTGTTGAACTATTTGAGAGTAATTTGCAAACATAGTGATACTTCACCCCTAAGTACTTCAGTATCTCTTAAGAACAAGGATTATTTTCTTACATAATCAAAATATAGTGCTCGATTTCAGGAAAATTAACATTAACATAATATTATATAATATATATTTTTATATTCAGATTTAGCCAGTTGTCCAAATAATGACCTTTGTAGCATTTTCCCCTCCCATCCTGGATTAGATTCTAGGATCTAATCCAGAATCCCACATTGCATTTAATTGTGACATCATCCCTTTCATCTCCTTTTATCTGAAACAATTCCTCAGCCCTGTTCTTGATACTGACTTTTTTTTTTTTTTTTTTGAGACAGAGTTTCACTCTGTCACCCAGGCTGGAGTGCAGTGGTGTGATCATAGCTCACTGAAGCCTTGCATTCATGGGCTCAAGCGACTCTTCTGCCTCAGCCTCCCAAGTAGTTAGGACTATAGGCATGCACCACCATGCCTGGCTTTATGTTATGTTATGTTATGTTATGTTATGTTATGTTATGTTATGTTAATGTTATGTTTATATTATGTATTACTTTATTTTATTTTATTTTGATAGAGAAAAGGCCTCAATATATTGCCCAGGCTGGTCTGGAGCTCCTGGCCTCAAGTGATTCTCTTAATTTGGCCTCCTAGAGTATTGGGGTTAACAGGCGTGAGCCTTGCCACCTGGCCGATATTGACCTTTTTGAAGAGGAAAGCGGTTATGGAATTATTTGTAGAATGGCCCTTGATTTTGGTTTTTCTCTTGTGATTAGATTCAGGATATGTATTTCTGTCAGAAGCATTATGTAGGTGAGTTTCTATCCCATGCCAGTGCATCCTATTAGGAGGCACATAATGTCACTTTGTTTCATTATTGGTGATGTTAACTCTGATCACTTTGTGGTCCACTGTAAAGGCATCTTTTCCCTTTGTAATTAATAAATGACCTGCAGGGAGAAAAACTGAGACAAAGTAAATACCCCATTTACCACTAAACTTCTACTCAGTGGTTTTAGCATTCATGGATAATATTTGCCCTAATCATTGATTACTCTAGTGGTTGCAAAGTAATGTTTTGCTATCATGAATGAAATATATTTTCCAGGTGCTCTCCTGCATTTCAAGTGTACTACTATTCAGCCTATTCTCTGCATGTATGTAAGCATCAGTCAGGACAGAGGTAGACTTTGTGACCTCTAAGATCCTCACTAACTTGATTCTGATGGAAAAGAAAGACAGTTTAGAGTGATACTAAATTTAAATCTTATAGGACAAATATTTTTTGGATTTGTAGCATTTGCTTTAGGAATATTTATTGAGATATAAAGTATATGCAGAAAAGTTCACATCATGAATGTATAGCTCCTTTAGAACGATTTCTGTAGAACACATCTCTGTAAACAGCATCCATATCAACATTGCGAGCATTCTAGAAGCCTGACCACCCAGACTAGAATATTTGTTTTCATTGATGTAATCAGCAGTTTTATTTCAGTGTCCTGAAAGAATACAGGACAGGAACATAATCTAAGAACATATATAGTATTTTCAACTCCATATTCCTGACCCTTTTCCTTCATTTATGAGCCTAGACAACCTAGAAAGAAACAATAGGGTATCTTTTCTTTTCCTTCCCTAAAACCTGGGACAAACATTAAGCATTATTTGAATATTCAACACGTATTTATTGACCAACTATGCATCGTGCCAGATGCTGTCATAAATGCTTTGGTTACACAGACAGATAAGAACAAGTACCTGACTTCAAGAATGACAGAGGGGATAACTTACAGGTCAGGGTGATACATGCAGTGGTGGAGGTATGTACGAGAGGTATAGGAGATGTCACTGTTCTCAAAGAGTTCCTAGTTCAGCAGCCATAGAACCAGTGGGAGGAAAGATTGAAGGTAGTGCATCCCAGCAGCAGAAGCCATGGACAGTCTACAGAGAGTCTTGGCTGTCTTCTGAGGTAGAGTCTGGGTGTGGAAATAAAAATGTGGGAAAAGAAGATGATGGTATATAGCAATGTTAGTCATTTCTTAAGACAAAGGTAAACTAATTTCAGCAGTTGCTGGATTCAATACATGTGTTCCCTGTAGTTTAAATGCAATGGTACGTGTAGAGTCTTAAACAGCATTTAGCACATAGTGATTACTGTTAACAAATGTTCATCTGTTTCCCCAGTCACCTGGCTCCCCAACCTGCTTCTCTGTCCATGACTTGACTTTAGTCAGGATGACCTGAAAAACCTTTCATAGTTCCTCCTTTGCAGCCTCTGCACAGGACATTGTAGACGTATATTTAGTGGGATCACCAAGTCGTTCTCTGAAATTGCTTCCTTTCTATAAACCAAAATAGAATTCAGATCTAGCAGAAATTAGATCTTACCGACATATTCCATTCTCTCACACAAATCGGATTGCCAGTTGCTCTTTTCCTGTAAGTATGACTTCAGAGGAAGCGTAGTGATAAGAGCATGGACTCTGGAACTAGCCTGCTTGAGTTCAAATCCCAGCTCCTCCACTCTGATTGTGTGACCTTGGTTAAATTCCATAACCTCTTGGTGCCTCAGTTCCTTTGTCTGTAAAAATCAATATAATAACAACACCTACCTCAGAGTAGTTAATGAGGATTTAATGAGTTAGTATTTTTAAGGAGCTTTGAATAGCACTTGGCATGTAGTAAGTGCCAAAGTATTTTTAAAGATATAAAAATAGGCAAGGTGGCTCATGCCTATAATCTCAGTGCTTTGAAAAGTCGATGCAGGAAGACTGCTTCAGGCCAGGAGTTTGAGACCAGCCTGGGCAACACAGTAAGACCCCCATCTCTACAAAAAATAAAAATATTCACCAGGTGTGGTGGTGCACACCTGTGGTCCCAGCTACTTGGGAGGCTGAGGCAGGAGAATTGTGTGAGCCCAGGAGTTTGAAGCTGCAATGAGCTATGACTGTGCCACTGCACTCCAGCCTGGGCGAGAGGATGACAGGCTTGGTGATCCCACTAAATATACATCTACAATGTCCTGTGCAGAGGCTGCAAAGGAGGAATTATAAAAGGTTTTTCAGGTCATCCTGGCTAAAGTTATGGACAGATGACTTTCTCAACATATATACATACATACATAAATTTTATATTTTTATGTGGCAATTTATAAATAAATTGGTATGTCTGCATATATTTATACGACATGTACATCTTTCTATCAGTGCTATTTCTTGTTATTTTTCACATTCTAAGGTTCTAGAAGGTATGAACCCCACTTACCTACCTTTCCAAGGCAAATATGTAATAGTGTTTCGGTACATAAAAGTAATCCATAATTAGTTTTGATGGTTATTGTTAGTGAGTAAAATACTTAAAGACTTCTGAATTGAAAACCCAAATTCATCCAAACCTGAAATAAATAGAATTCTGTAATCTGAATTGTAAGGTAATAACAATAAATTTTAACTGCATTTGAATTACAATCCAAAACATTTTGGTTTTTCTCATCATGATCACTTTATTCTTTATAATGAATTTGTAATTGGATCCTGACTAGCAGTGGATAATAAGTACTTTTCTTTTGCAGCTGTAGAAAGGACTCAACAAAGAAAGCTTGAAGAATTACTTTTAGCAGCAGCAAGAGAAGGCAAAACAACAGAACTCACAGCTCTGGTAAAACAAACAAAAAACCCCCAAAAGACAAAAAGCAGTCTTTCTTTACACTTCAGGAAAATTTTTACTTAATGTTAAGTAAATAATTTAGTTGAATTGTGGAACCAAGAACTCCAGAGATCATAATAGTAGAACCAAAGTTCTTAATATCTAAAAACACTCAGCATGGTGATAGTTTAAGCAGGACACATTTTAAATGGTGATATTTTTCTGAATTTCTGATTTACACCCACCCTAATCCCCCTGAAAACCTGATGGATAAGAATCTGATTTTTCATGGTAAATAGTTAATGTAAGGACAACTTATATATATATTACATATATTTTGTGATTAAGCCAATTGAAACATAATAAATAGGACCCTATAAAGGAATAAGTTTTTCTAGTTTTGATCAGCAGTAGTTTCTGGGAGGAATGCTACACTTCTGGAAGGTACTATGCAAAGAAGGGACAGTATTTTGGAATACTTATACCACATTAGACTGAAAGGTTTGCCTGTTCCCCGCCACCTTAGAAGACCTACTTTCCAGCTTCCATTCCTGCACAGTCTCATTAAACATGAAACTCTAAATTTGTTCTGAATTCATGACTGAAGCACTGCCATTTGCTTTAAAGTTATTTCAGCTCATTTGAAAGGGCCTCTTTGGTTTCTAAGTATAGCACCTAAAGCAGTTTTTAAATTTTGTGAAATGGAGGCTATATAAAGAAGCTTCTAAAGCAATAAGTTGGGAACAACAAATTCAGTAGAACCTTGACATTTACACATTTAACATTTATGGTTTTAACTCTTCTGAAGGACTGGCAGACTGATTTGTAATTCTGCTGTCACAAGTATGAATTGCAAGCCTGGTAGGGGCATGTAAATCATTGTGAAATCTTAGTGTCTGAGGTGTGTGAGATGGTGCTGGCACAGTGCAGAGTGTCTCTTGTCAGAGGAGTGTGAGACCCGGACACAGGCCTGAGATCTATCTCAGGGCATCTGAGAATAAGCATGGGTGTGGCAGGGTTGGCTGGTTTAGTGAGCAAGAAACCACTAACAGCCTGGATGCCAAGGAGCTTGGCTATTCTTCGGGCTCTGCTGATACACCCTCCTGTGAATTATGAGAGGAAAGTCTATCTTTGATATATAATTCTGCATTGCATTTTTTTAATTGTTAGCTCAACAGGCCCAATCCTCCTGATGTTAACTGTTCGGATCAGTTAGGAAATACACCCTTGCATTGTGCAGCTTACCGGGCCCATAAACAATGTGCCTTAAAGCTTCTAAGAAGTGGAGCAGACCCTAATCTGAAGAACAAAAATGGTAAGCATATTGGTGAAAACCATCGTTGGCCATTTTGAAATTATAAAATGAAGTCAATGCCATATAAAATTGTTTTGTTTCAGTATCCAGCCTTTGTTAAACTGTATGGTTTCTATTTAATTTTGGAGCCAAGGCATTCACACAAAAGAAAAAATGATGACAAAGGTAGATCCTACCCTCAAGGAAAAGATAAGTACAGTTGATTCTTGTTATTTGCAGTAGCTGTATTCTATAAAGTTGCCACCAGCACTGAATTAGGGAACACTGAACTATTGTTCCTAGGGGAAAATACAGGATTAGGTTCCTGCAAGCCTTGGGTCACAACATTTTCATGAATTGATCATTATGAAACCTTTTTTTTTTTTTTTTGCTGTTTCTATTTAATACATATTGTTGACTCATTCACATTGAACTCATAGCCAACAGCATCATAGCTCACTCTTGAGTAAAGTTTTCTTCATAAGGCATATCACAGCCTTTTCCACTGAGGTACATTAGACAGCACTTCAGCACAATGCTAGGGGCCTTTTTTTTTTTTTTTTTTTTTTTTTTTTTTGAGACAGAGTCTCTCTCTGTTGCCCAGTCTGGAGTGCAGTGGTGCCATCTCAGCTCACTGCAGCCTCCTCCTCCTGGGTTCAAGTGATTCTTCTGCCTCAGCCTCCCAAGTAGCTGGAACTGCAGGCATGCACCTGTAGTGTACCATGCCTGGCTGATTTTTTTGTATTTTTAGTAGAGATGGGGTTTCACCATGTTGGCCAGGCTGGTCTCGAACTCCTGACCTCAAATGATCTGCCCACCTCAGCCTCCCAAAGTGCTGGGATTACAGATGTAAGCCACCATGCCTGGCCGCTTGGGGCCATTTTAAACAGCAAAGTCACCAACAAAAAATACAAAAGGTGGAAAGTGTGACCCTAAATAGACCATGACGAGGACATTTGTTTATAGTAGGAGAG
Source organism: Homo sapiens (assembly GCF_000001405.40). Taxonomy (NCBI): domain Eukaryota; kingdom Metazoa; phylum Chordata; class Mammalia; order Primates; family Hominidae; genus Homo; species Homo sapiens. The sequence goes on along the minus strand of NC_000018.10, from coordinate 24,331,988 downwards.
CTTCTAGAATGAAACAAGAAGGCCAGGCATCACCTTCTTCTACCTCAGCTGGAAAATGAGCACTGGGCAACCCACATTTTTCACCACTCTGGGCATGTTTGTGAATGACTGAGAAACTACAATGAATATTGACCTTGGGATTACAAGTGAATTTTAGCAATAGCCAGATATGCAAATATGGAATACGTATATAATGAGGATTGACTGTACATGTGTGACAATTTGAAAGACAGAATCAGAAGCCAGAAAAGAAGCTATAAAAGGTGTCTTGGGTATTTAAAAGAGGAACATGCCGCCGGGCGCGGTGGCTCATGCCTGTAATCCCAGCACTTTGGGAGGCCGAGGCGGGCGGATCACGAGGTCAGGAGATCGAGACCATCCTGGCTAACACGGTGAAACCCCGTCTCTACTAAAAATACAAAAAATTAGCCGGGCGTGGTGGCGGGCGCCTGTAGTCCCAGCTACTCGGGAGGCTGAGGCAGGAGAATGGCGTGAACCCGGGAGGCGGAGCTTGCAGTGAGCCGAGATCGCGCCACTGCACTCCAGCCTGGGCGACAGAGCGAGACTCTGTCTCAAAAAAAAAAAAAAAAAGAGGAACATGCCATCAGGGCCTTTTCACATCACTTTTTAGGATGCTTCCTGCTGCCTGCTACCAGCCTGGGTTAGGCCTCATCAGGGGTCCCACAGGACCCTGCGTTCACCTCCATCAGAGCCTAAATCACACCCCATGGTATTTGTTGGCTTATGATGCTATCTCCCATGTGACTGAACTCCTAAGGGCAGGCCTCATACTTCATTGTCTGGTTCACCCAGCACCTAGAGTAATGCATAGCACATAACACCTGGGAAGGGCTGCATGTTTGTTGAAGGTTTGGAGTCATTAGAAATAGTTTCACAGGCCAGGCCGGTGGCTCAAGCCTGTAATCCCAGCACTTTGAGAGGCCGAGGCTGGTAGATCACAAGGTCAAGAGATTGAGACCATCCTGGTCAACATGGTGAAACCCCATCTCTACTAAAAATACAAAAATTAGCCAGGCATGGTGGCGTGCACCTGTAGTCCCAGCTACTCGGGAGGCTGAAGCAGGAGAATTGCTTGAACCCAGGAGGTGGAGGTTGCAGTGAGGCGAGATCATGCCATTGCACTCCAGCCTGGCAACAGAGTGAGACTCTGTCTCAAAAAAAAAGAAATAGTTTCATAAAGGAATAGGTACTTGATACAGATCCTGAAGCCCTACTAGGATTTAAAAAATGTTTTCATTTCTAGGGGCTGGGCACTGTGGCTCACGCCTGTAATCCCAGCACTTTGGGAGGCCGAGGCGGGTGGATCACCTGAGGTCAGGAGTTCAAGTGGTGGCACGTGCCTGTAGCCCCAGCTACTCAGGAGGCTGAGGCAGGAGAATCGCTTGAACCTGGGAGGCAGAGGTTGCAGTGAGCCGAGATTGTGCCACTGCACTCCAGCCTGGGCAACAAGAGTGAAACTCTGTCTCAAAAAAAAAAAAAAAAGTTTTATCTCTAAATACTTTACTTTGTACCTTCATTACCATTATTGTCTTTTTATCTTGAGCCTTTTTGTCTTGATAATAATGGTAGTTAATAACAATACCATTATAATCTAGTAAGATTTTGATAAGCAGGAGTTTGGGAAAGGGTATTCTGAGCAGAGGGAAGATTATCAGAAAAGGTTAAGGTGAAAAATCCAAGTCAGGTATAGGTGAAATCCCCAGTTTGCTGCATCCAAGGGCACATCCAGGGGAGCAGTCGGAGGTCATCCCAAAATTTACACTTGTACAGCAGGGCCATTGAAATGGTCTTGGGTGAGAGGTGATTAGGACCTGAACTTTTTATTTTCAAGGAGCAAGACACATTTATTTCTTAATAATAAAACAAAAATTCTTCAAGCAGATATCATATTCAGTACCAAAAAGCCTCAGGATAAAAAGGTGCCTTAAGCTTGGCATAGCCAGGTTACATTTAAGTACCGTCGTGGATCCACATAACCAATCAGCTTTGAGGAAAATAGTTTTGCCATCACAACAGTTTAAGATAAAAAAATACATTCAATTTAAAATTTATAATGTTATTATAGGAGCTGTCAAATCAAGTGCCTTATGTAGAATAACGGTCTAAAAAATGAGCTTACCATAGTAAGATTTAGAAGATGCTTTCCTTGGTGAATTTGAGTTTTGAAGTTTAGAGACTTTTTTTATACAAAGATATTTGTGGAAGCAAAGGTGAATATTAACTATATGCTACAGTCATAAATCATTAGCCTTCATTGCAAGGCAGGCCAGTGTACCTATGTTTAATTTTATATATTCAGTTAATATATATTTTATATGTAATTAAAATTAACTGGTATGTTATATCCATGGACAACTCAGTGACTTGATTTGTATTACATAAGGCTAGCAGATCATACTGTTCTTTTTTTTTTTTTTTTTGACAGAGTTTCACTCTGTCACCCAGGTTGGAGTGCAGTGGCGCGATCTCGACTCACTGCAACCTCTGCCTCCTGGGTTCAAGCGATTCTCCTGCCTCAGCCTCCTGAGAATCTGGGATTACAGGCATGCGCCACCACACCTGGCTAATTTTTGTATTTTTAGTAGAGATGGGGTTTTGCCATGTTGGCCAGGCTGGTCTCAAATTCCTGACCTCAGGTGACCCGCCCGCCTCAGCCTCCCAAAGTGCTAGGATTACAGGTGGGAGCCACTGCACCTAATGTCTTTTAAAAATTTTCTCCTTAGAGATGGGGTCTCACCCTTTTGCTCAGGCTGGAGTGCAGTGGTGTGATCTTTGCTCACTGCAGCCTCAAACTCTGAGCTCAAGTGACCCTTTTGCCTCAGCCTCCTACGTAGCTGGGACCACAGATGCATGCCACTATGTCTGGCTAGGACCTGAGCTTTATTGACATCAATAGGAGTAGAAAGGAGAAAGAAAATTGGTTAGAGATCCCCTGCTTGACTGGCTGTTATGCTCTAGACTCTCACTGTCTAATAGAAATATGATGGGAGTCACATATGTAATTTTAAATTTCTAGTAGCCATGTTAAAAGTGAAAAAAGAGGTGAAATCAATTGCAATTATGTGTTTTATTTAAAGTAATATATCCAAAATGCCATTTCAACATATAATCGGTAAACAGTAATTATCAGTGAGATCTTACATTCCTTTTTTGATACTAAGTCTTTGAAATCTGGTGTGTATTTCTGCACTTACAGCACATCTCAGTATGGACTAGCCACATTTGAAGCACTGTGTAGCCGTATGTGATTACTGTCCACCATATTGGACAGTGCAGCTCTACACATAATGAACTGTCCTGGAGGCTCTCTGGTTCACTGTGTTGTCCTCACCTTGCACATACTATTCTCTCTGCCAGAAGTGCTCTTGTCTTTCTTGTCCGTCTGGTAAACCCTAGTCTTGCTTTAAGAGCTAGCTCAAACTCTGCTTCCCCAGAGAGCCTTTCCCTGTGTCCCTAAGACAGATACAGGTTCATGGAGGAGGAGAGAATTCAGAAATCAACCCATGTAAGTATGGTGATTTAATTTTCGACAGAGGTGTGAAGACAGTCAATGGAAAAGGATAAACTAAGAGTTACAAAAGCAAATATTGATGTCAAAGTGAGATTTTGGCCAGGTGCAGTGACTCACACCTGTAATCCCAGCACTTTGGGAGGCTGAGGCGGGCGGATCATGAGGTCAGGAGATTGAGACCATCCTGGCTAACAAACCCTGTCTCTACTAAAAAAAAAAAAAAAAAAAAAAAAAAAAATACAAAAAATTAGCCGGGCGTGGTGGCACGTACCTGGTAGTCCCAGCTACTTGGGAGGCTGAGGCAGAAGAACTGCTTGAAGCCAGGAGGTGAAGGTTGCAGTGAGCCAAGATTGCGCCACTACACTCCAGCCTGGGTGACAGAGTGAGACTCCATCTCAAAAAAAAAAAAAAAAAAAAAAAGTGTGATTTCTAGTGTCTTTACCAGTTTGCCAAAGACTTGAGCAGTTTTTCTGTGTGGTATTTTATAATGATTTTTCCTTCAAAAATGTAGATTCAGAAGTGTCCAAATGAAATAAGAATTAATATAGTTCCATACAAATACCAGTCTAAATGGAAAAAAAAAAACTTCCCTTGTAAATATTGAAAAGTTACTATTGGTATTCAAATATATATTTACTCTATAGTTTATACTAGTAACCAAAGTTGAACATTCCTGTTAAAGCTATTAATTTGTTTTTGACAAAAGTCAGAATGGCATCTTCTGAAAGAGAATAATTTAAAAAAATCAGGCCAGGAGTGGTGGCTCAAGCCTGTAATCCCAGTACTTTGGGAGGCTGAGGCAGGCGGATAATTTGAGGTCAGGTGTTTGAGACCAGCCTGACCAACATGATGAAATCCTGTCTCTACTAAAATATAAAAATTAGCCGGGTGTGGTGGCAGGTGCCTGTACTTCCAGCTACTTGGGAGGCTGAGGCAGGAGAATCACTTGAACCCAGGAGACGGAGGTTGCAGTGAGCTGAGATCATGCTACTGCACTCCAGCCTGGGTGACAGAATGAGACGCCATCTTAAAAAGTAAAAAATCAATCAATCAATCAAAGGCTGGGTGCGGTGGCTCACTCCTGTAATCCCAGCACTTTGGCAGGCCATGGCGGGTGGATCACTTGAGGTCAGGAGTTCAAGGCCAACATGGTAAAACCTTGTCTTTACTAAAAATACAAAATTAGCCGGGCATGGTGGAGCACGCCTGTAATCCCAGTTACTTAGGAGGCTGTGGCAGGAGAATCGCTTGAACCTGGGAGGTAGAGGTTGAAGTGAGCCAAGATTGGGCCACTGAACTACAGCATGGGTGACAGAGCAAGACTCCGTTTCAAAAAAAAAAAAAAGAAAAAAGAAAAAAACCATAAGAGCAACATTTACATTATAGAAATTCTTCAAAAATAGGAAAAAAGAAAAAACCCGCAAATTACCCAAGCATAGCCACAGTTACTTTGGCATCCTTCTAATCTATTTTCAGGCCTATTTTAGAACATTTTTTAAAAATTGTAGAACTAATGCTTGTTATAGTTGCAATGAGGAAAACAAAAGCACTAGAAAAGTATATAATCACCTCTAACCCAAACGTCCAAAGATTTAGTTTTTAGTTGTTAATGTTTTAGTTTTAGTTGTTAATGTTTCATAGTAACATATATTTTTTAAAAAGTTTTAAGTAATGATACTACCTCAAGAATATAAGCAAAAGAAAAGTTATACATTACTCACAGACGAATACACAGTCATCTCATGATATTCCAAAGTGGGAAATGGCATTAGGCATCAGATGGGATGGAACTGGGAACCAGAGAACTGTTAGGAACCCAGATGGCTGCCTTGTGTGTCTGTCTCTCACTGCGTGGTCTGATCATGTCTTCTAGCAGACCAGCTGTTTTGTTTTCCAGGATACATAATGGAAGATGGCTGCCCCGTGACTCCACTCAGGAGACCACAATCTCTCAACCTCAATGTTACATTTCAGTGGGAGATAATGTGTTAGTACCTGCTTGTGTCAGGCGTCTGTGCCTAGTGTGGTCACTTGGGACTTTAGGGGCAGGACATATGGTACAGAGGTGACTGCCAAGGCCTCCTCCTGGCAATGTGGATAGGGACAGAGAGGGGTGAATGGATGAGGACTGGCAGACACCTCAGAAAGTGTCTCTTCATTTTAGTTGACAGGTTGTAAATAGAGTTGGCCTGATAAAATTCCACTTTTATGAAGCATCAACAGCTTTTCCACATTGTCCCCAGAAGCACAGTCATCATGGCTCACCTTATGGAAAGTACTTCATGTGGATATAACATAATTTTTTCACTCAAAAGTCTAGTGATAAGAACAATTCTGTATGTTTTTTTTTCTAGAGTGAAAATGTCCTAGTCTTTTTTTCTTTTTTTCTTTTCTAAAAAATAAGGGGCTAGCTATGGTGGCTCACGCCTGTAATCCTAGCACTTTGGGAGGCCAATGCAGGAGGATTGCTTGAGCCCAGGAGTTTGTAGGCTGGGCAACACAGCAAGACTCCATGTCTGAAAAAAAATAAAATTAAAATTAAAAAATAAAAGCAAGGATATTTAAAATTTTTAATCAAATTGGTTAATCCATCTCTTTGATTTCTTCTAAGACTTCTTAGCTTAGGTAGAGATTTGATAAATGTTTAATTTTGTTTCCTCCCAGTTTAATCACATTCATTCATTCAGCAATGCTGCGCCTCCACTGTGTGCCAAGAACCGTCCTAGGTGCTGGAGGCCCAGCAGTGAACACAGCCCAACAGTCCCCGTGCTCTTGAGCTCATATTCTGGTGGGAGGAGGTAGACAACAAATAAATGCATATGTGCTGTCAGGCCATGAGGTGCAGGAAAATAAAATAGGATGAAGGGACTAGAGAGTGATGGTAGGATGGGGGGTATCTTAGAAGGGATGCAAAGGAAGGGCTCTCTAAGCAACTTTGAGCAAACAGCTGAGTTGAGTACAGGAGTGAACCCTGAGGAAGTCTGGCAGAAGAGCATTCAAGGAAAATGGAAAGCCAGTGTAAAAGCTCTGGAGTAGAAGAACACGTGGCACATTGAGGAAAAGGAAAACTGCCAGTGTGCCCAGAGCAGGGCGAGCTGGAGAAGAGTGGATAGCATCAGAGCTGCCAGAGGCCCAGGCCTGCAGGGCCTGGTTGGCTGTGAGCAGGAGCTTGGTGGTATGTGAGTGTGGTTGGAGGGCTTTGAGCAGCAAAGTGAATGTGAGAGTGTGTGTTAGGATGTGGGAGTCTCAACTTGTCCATCCCTTACGTTTATACCCTTTATCAAGTAATCTTTCCTTTTCCATTATTTTGTCATGCCTTTCTTATACATTCTAAGAATTCCTTTTCTTTCTTTCTTTCTTTTTTTTGTTTCGATACTGAGTCTCGCTCTGTCACCCAGGCTGGAGTGCAGTGGCGCAATCTCGGCTCATTGCAACGTCCACCTCCTGGCTTCAAGCGATTCTCCTGCCTCAGCCTCCCGCGTGGCTGGGATTACAGGTGCGCGCTACCATGCCCAGCTAATTTTTGTATTTTTAGTAGAGACAGGGTTTCACCATGTTGGCCAGGATGGTCTCGATCTCTTGATCTCTTGATCTGCCTGCCTCGGCCTCTGAAAGTGCTGGGATAACAGGCATGAGCCACTGCACCTGGCCTCTTTTTTTTTTTTTTTTTTAATAGACAGAGTCTCGCTCTGTCGCCCAGGATGGAGTGCAGTGGTGTGATCTCGGCTCACTGCAACCTCTACCTCTAAGATTCAAGCAATGCTCCCACCTCAGCCTCCTGAGTAGCTGGGACTACAGGCATGCGCCACCGCACCTGGCTAATTTTTTTTTTTTTTTTTTTTTTTTTTTTTTTATATTCATATTCATGTTTTTATTGGGAGTCTGGAAATACGCACCAATGTATACACGTGAGTTATCTATGGGTGAGGGAATTGTTTTATGTGTATGCATGTAGTTTATCTATTTGATATAATTTTTTTTTTTTTTTTTTTTTTTTTTTTAACTTTTTCAGAAAATTTATTGAGAGGGAGGGAGAGGGCAAGACAGAAGCATCTGAAATTTAGTCTTCTGCCTGTGAGGGCCCTCTGGCTGAAGTTCAAAAGGAAAGAGGAGCTTTGCCCAAGGAAAACTATTCAAAACTATGTTTGGTGCACTTGGGAAAGCCTGGTGGTGCATTGTTGGCCCAGAACAGGTTCTCTGGGATTCAAAAGGCAGGGTGAAGCTTTTTTTTTTTTGAGACGGAGTCTCACTCTGTCACCCAGGCTGGAGTGCAATGGCGTGATCTCAGCTCACTGCAACCTCCGCCTCCCGGGTTCAAGCAGTTCTCTGCCTCAGCCTCCTGAGTAGCTGGGATTACAAGTGCTCACCACCACTCCTGGCTAATTTTTTTTTTTTTTTTTACCCAAATGAGTATAAATCATGCTGCTATAAAGACACATGCACACGTATGTTTATTGCGGCACTATTCACAATAGCAAAGACTTGGAACCAACCCAAATGCCCAACAATGATAGACTGGATTAAGAAAATGTGGCACATATACACCATGGAATACTATGCAGCCATAAAAAATGATGAGTTCATATCCTTTGTAGGGACATGGATGAAATTGGAAACCATCATTCTCAGTAAACTATCGCAAGAACAAAAAACCAAACACCGCATATTCTCACTCATAGGTGGGAATTGAACAATGAGATCACATGGACACAGGAAGGGGAATATCACACTCTGGGGACTGTGGTGGGGTCGGGGGAGGGGGGAGGGATAGCATTGGGAGATATACCTAATGCTAGATGACACATTAGTGGGTGCAGCGCACCAGCATGGCACATGTATACATATGTAACTAACCTGCACAATGTGCACATGTACCCTAAAACTTAGAGTATAATAAAAAAAAAAAAAAAAAAAAAAGAAAAAGCCTCACCCTGGCTGGGTGTGGTGGCTCACGCCTGTATTCCCAGCACTTTGGGAGGCTGAGGTGGGTGGATCACGAGGTCAGGAGTTCAAGACCAGCCTGGCCAAGATGGTGAAACCCCGTCTCTGCTAATTTTTGTATTTTTAGTAGAAATGGGATTTCATCATGTTGGCTGGGCTGGTCTCGAACTGCTGGCATCAAGCGATCCACCCACCTCAGCCTCCCAAAGTGCTGGGATTACAGGCATGAGCCATGGTGCCCAGTCTCTTTTTGTATTTTTTATTGTTTTTTATTCACTCATCTGTCTCTTCTTTCGACAGTATCGCATTAAAAAAAAGTTTTTAAGATAGTATTGCACTTTTAATGGTTATAATGTTTTAATATGTGAGATTTCCCCTTACCATTTTTAAGGATTTTCTTTGACATCCTTATCTGTTTATTCTTCCAGAAGGCATTTAAAATAATTTTCTGAGGCTCTTCATTGGGATTTAATTGAAATTACATTCTATGTAAATTAATTTAAGGAGAATTGGCATCTTTATTAAATTTTCCCATTAAGGGACAAATCTGTGTCATGCAAACTTTTAAATATTACATCATTCCTGTTTTTCACTTTATTTTGTTGTGGTTGGTAAGAGAGATAGTGTATTTTTTAACTGGTGGTGGAACCCATCTAGATTCCATCTAGGAGGCTATTTCATTTAGTTCAAAAGCATTTTATTGAATTCTTACTGTGTGCCAGGCATTTTAGACATCAAATCCAGAAATGAGGTCTCTCTTCTGGAATTTCATCTAGTTGGCAGGAGTTCAGAATTTATTTTTGGTATTAGGGCAGAATTCTATGAAAGAAATCATAGTGTTGTCTTTCTCTCTGCCTAAAGAAATAATTTCTCCAAAGTGCCCTGTAGGTAGAATGAAAATAACACAGAATTGGCAGACCTCTATAAGGCATTTTCCTATGTGCTAGGCAGAAAAACTAAACTGAGTATTAATTTTTTGGTTAATGTTTTAAAAAGTTTTTTCCCCACTAAAGAAGTAATGTATCACCAGCCCCAGGTTCCCCATCAGCAGCTCTATAAATCTTCCTCCAAAATAAATCTTAAAGCCACATACAAGGCCGGGCACGGTGGCTCACACCTGTAATCCCAACACTTTGGGAGGCCCAGGCGGGCAGATCACGAGGTCAGGAGATCGAGACCATCCTGGCTAACACAGTGAAACCCCATCTCTACTAAAAAAAAAAAAACAAATACAAAAAATTAGCCGGGCGTGATGGTGGGCGCCTGTAGTCCCAGCTACTCAGGAGGCTGAGGCAGGAGAATAGCATGAACCCGGGAGGCAGAGCTTGCAGTGAGCTGAGATGGTGCCACTGCACTCCAGCCTGGGCAACAGAGGGAAACTCTGTCTCAAAAAAAAAAAAAAAAAAAAAGTCACATATTTCTCTCTATGTTAAAAATGATCTCCATTTTACTACTGACTTTCTAGTCCAAACCACCAGTATCCTTTACCTGCACTATTGCCATCTCTTTGTAATTAGCCTCCCTGCATTTCTTTTGCCCACGTTTACAAGCCATATTGCACACAACAGCCAGAGTGACCTTTTTAAAAAAAATCATGGAAATTATCAAAGCTTCAGAAATCAAATAGCATAATTAATTGATGTACCCATCACCCTCCTCCAGAACTTAGCAATAATGGCCACTCTGTATCTCTTCCTACTCCCTGAATTCTTGTGAAACAATTCCAGATATCATGCCATCTCTTTTTCTTTTTAAAAAATTTATTTGTTTTTCTTTTCTTACCCTCTCAACCCAGCTTTTCCCAATTCTGGGAAGAACTGGAAAGAGAAGGCCTGTCATGCCATTTTATTCATACATACCCAGTGCTCCTCAACTTACTGTGGGGCCACGTCCTCATAGAACCATTGTAAATTGAAAATACACTTAAGGCCAGGTACAGTAGCTCACACCTGTAATCCCAGCACTCTGGGATGCTGAGGCTGGCAGATCGCTTGAGCCTAGGAATTTGAGACTAACCTGGTGAAACCCCATTCCTACAAAAAAATACAAAAATTAGCCAGGTGTGATGACACATGACTGCAGTTCCAGCTACCAGGGAGGCTGAGGTGAGAGGATCACTTGAGCCCAAGAGGTCGAGGCTGTGGTGAGCTGTGATAGTTGAAAAACCATTAAGTTGAACTGTTGTAAGTTGGGGAACATCTGTAGTCCAGTATATTAGTAAAAAATAAGGACACCCTTTAACAAAAACCACAAGCATGTGATAGTTGCACAACTCTGTGCACCTATAAAAACCATTGAATTTGTGCAGTTTAAGTGAGTAAATTGTATGTTAATTTGTATCTCAATGGGGCTATTAAAAAACATAAGCACAATAGCATTATCCTATTAATAATATTCTAGTAATTTATCAAAATCATGGAACTGCCAAAGTTTGTGTTTTCCCAGTTATTATTATTATTCTTTTCTTTTCTTTTTTTTTTTTTTTTTGAGACGAAGTCTTGCTCTTGTTCCCCAGGCTGGAGTGCAATGGCGCGATCTCAGCTCACTGCAACTCCGCCTCTCAGGTTCAAGTGATTCTCCTGCCTCAGTCTCCAGAGTAGCTGGGATTACAGGTGCCTGCCACCACACCCAGCTAATTTTTGTATTTTTAGTAGAGATGGGGGTTTCACCATGTTGGCCAGGCTGGTCTCGAACTCCTGACCTAAGGTGATCTGCCCACCTCGGCCTCCCAAAGTGCTGGGATTACAGGCATGCGTCACTGCACCCGGCCTATATTATAATTTTTTAACACTTTGACAGAGTTTTAAACATGAGTCAGATCATGTTACTCTTACTTAAAACCCTTCAGTGGCTTTTCATCCTATTTAGAATAAAACTCAAACTCCTTATGCTGGCTTACAAAAGTCTGGCCTACAAACCCCTTGTGTGATGTGGCCTCTGCGTGCCTCTCTGACTTTATCTCTTGCCTGCTGAATTGTTCCTACCTCAGAGCCTTTGCATCAGCTGTTCCTCTGCTAGAATGTCCTTCCCTGTATTTTCACAAGGCTGGATCCTTCTTTTCAACCTAGACATCCCTTCCTCAAAGAGGCCTTCCCTGATCAACCCCTCATCCTCCAATCTAAAGTGGTATCCCAGTTACTCTGTCAAATCATTTATTTAAAAAGTCTGGGCGTACCGTGGTTCATTGTCTGCTGTATCTTTAAGAATTAATTTATCATCTGTCTTTCCCACCTTCTATGCTTTCCCATCCCCCCAGTATTTTTTCTGTTATGTTCACTGCTGAATCCTCAGTGCCTAAAATAGTAATCGGTACATAACAGACCCTCATTAGGGGATATCATACAAAAAAATTGCCAACACATACCAGATGTTTGGTATTTATAAAAATATTATTATTTTAAACCACCCCCAGCCCCCCTTTTTGTTTTTAGAGACAGAGTCTCACTCTGTCACCCAGTCTGGAGTGCAGTGGTAGCTGGGACTGTAGGCACATGCCACCGTGCCTGGCTAATTAAATTTTTTTTTTTTTTTTTTGTAGAGATAAGGTCTCACTGTATTACCCCGGCGAGTCTTAAGCTTCTGGCCTCAAGCCATCCTTCCGCCTTAGCCTCCCAGAGTACTGGGATTATAGTTGTGAGCCACTGCGCCTGGCCTAAAAGGTTATCTGATAGAATATATCACCTTCCTGCATAAACAGTTCCAGAGTTCTCATTGATATGTTGTTTTGAAAGGACTGTTCTAATTTTCATAGGTAGCTTTCATTTCTCTAATAATAAGCTATTTGAGGCTAGGAGATGGTTTGATTTATTTGTGGGTTTTTGTTTGTTTGTTTTTTTACCTTTTGTCCTTCATTTAATGTCCTGCTCACTTCAGAACTCTATAAATAACTTTGATAAGACAAACTCCATTTTTGTTGTTGTTGGGCAAAACATGGAATGTGCATGTGTAAGGTTGGAAAAATTAACATTGATAGCTTGCCGGCTTTATTCTCCATTGTCACCTTTTTCTTTTGTCCTAAATTGTGGACCATCACACCCTCAGCTTGTGAGCCATCTCTGCTACCCATTATGCAGCGAGACGGCTGAAGCGTGGCTGTGGTCGGCTAAAGAGTGGACCCCAAATTTGTGATTAGTTAGGTATCTTGAGATGAGGGGAAATCCTGAATTATCCAGGTAGATCTATGTAGTTACAAGGCTCCTGATAGGAGGGAGGGCTATAGAGAGAGAGAGAACAGAATGCTGGAAGCAGAGGTTGGAATGATGTGCTTTGGAGATGGAGGAAGAGACCCCATGTCAAGTCAGGTAGTTGGCCGCTAGAAGTGGAAAAGGCAAGGAAATGTCTCCCTTAGAGCCTCCAGAAGGAATGCAGCTCTGTCCACATGTTGATTTCAGCCCAGTGAAATTGATTTCAGACTTCTGATCTCTGAAACTGTAAGATAATAAATTTGTATTGTTTAAGCCACAAATTTATGAGTTCATGATAATTTGTTGTGAAGTTAATCTGATTTGCTGGCTTAATAGTTAGCGACCAAAAGGGAGGCCATAAATAATTGAGATGGCAACCTCTCTCTGGTAGGTAATTTTCTGGGGAAAGAAAAAGATATAGGCAATAGAAAAATGAAGGACTATTAGATGCTGCAGTTACAGCATTGATTGTCATAGTACATTTAAGCTGTTGATGGCTTTTTTTCTTTGTATTTTGCACAGATCAGAAACCTCTTGACCTTGCCCAGGGTGCTGAAATGAAACACATTCTTGTTGGTAATAAGGTACAGAGTAATGAATTAAATTTATCTAATAATTTTTAGAAAAAAATTTTTGAATGTTTGAAATATGTAGATGCATTTTTCATGAAAACATGTTTTTGACAGGTCATCTACAAAGCATTGAAACGATATGAGGGCCCTCTCTGGAAGGTAAGTTGAGGTGGTTTTTTAATTATATAACTGTAAAGAATAATTCTCAGGTGCTCTATTTCTGTTTAAAACTTTTAAAAAATCATTTCTGAAGTATATGTGATTTAATCGCTCTTGGATCGTATAATGTAAACCACTGATTTTTTTTTTTATTTTTAGTTATTGAGACAGAGTCTTGCTCTGTCACCCAGGCTAGAGTGCAGTGGTATACTCACTGCAACCTCCACTACCTGGGTTCAAGTGGTTCTCCTGCCTCAGTCTTCCAAGTAGCTGGGATTATAGGCGCCCGCCACCGTGCCTGGCTAATTTTTGTGTTTTTAGTAGAGACGAGGGTTCAACACCTTGGCCAGGCTGGTCTTGAACTCCTGACCTCGTGATCCACCCGCCTTGGCCTCCCAGAATGCTGGGATTACAGGTGTGAGCCACCGTGACTGGCAAGCCACTTTTATACTACTGGATTTCAAGAGGCTTCCACTGGTTGTAGCCATTACTTTTCTGTGTGTTGATGGTCCCTTTTAGGTGTTTTTTTGGTGTTGATGAGTCACTTTTAGGTGACTAAGTTTTTATGAAAAGGAGTGGGGGGAAAATACATTTTTTTCTTACTAGATCAAAGAATTACAGTATTATTTTTGTTATGAACATCAAACCATGGAAGACTTAGAAGAAAATTAATATTTGAATTATCACATGGTACATATATAAAATTTTTCCAGTCCTAACAGTTTCTACATTTTGGAGAATCCTGTTTTCTAGAATTAACCTTGAAGAGCACATAATTTCTTTTGCATTTGCAAGCAATCCCTTAATCTATTTATGTATCTGTATGCTTATATTGTATAAGATAAATTTAGGATAATTTTCTTTTTTAGACATTCATTCATGACTTTGAGGAAATTGTCTTTGAAGCCCACAACTGGTATATTTTCTGTAAATAATCCCTGAACAGTTTTGTCAGAACCATAAACTGTAATCATCATTGATCTTATCAGTATGGCATTTCTGCTGTTCCTGTCACCCTGTAGTGGTATGTTTTCATTACTGCACTTAGTACCTAAGTTCATGTTTGATCATTTTTTTTTACTGTTCAGTGCTACTGTCTAAAGACTCAAATATGACTGTCCTCACTTAATTACTTTTTATCAGTCAAGCATTTGAATCTAGATGTGTCAGCTTGGGAAATCTTTGTTATTTTTCCCTTAGAGTTCAAGATTTTTTGGCTGGAGATTATTCTGGGTAGTGTTAGAGCATGGAGTCCTTTCATGGTATAGGAAACAGTAAGTATTATGATCTTTACACTTATCAAATTTCACTGTATAAATTTTGAAATACGAATTTTTTTCACTTGTCTCTTTTCCTTTTGTCTTGATAATTTCATTTTTATTTTGAAGGCCTGATGCAGTTCATAATATTTATCGCCAGGGATGCAAACACCTGACTCAAGCAGTATGCACGGTAGGATGAAACATGGATCATTTGCTCCTCTAACTGTGAAATCAGTTCTTCAAGTGATTGACCCAAATCATTTATACAGCCTTGTAAAATCTTGGGGTTCTGTGGAATGCTGTAGAAAACACTTGTATATATTTTAATTTGATAACAAGTAAAGTCGTGGCATCTCCATTTTGAACAAAATTTTAAAATATAGTTAACTTTTATTTATCTCCATGTATTATTATGGAATGAGAGATGGATTGTCCAAAAATATTTGTCAAATTTACCCAGGCTTATTTGATGATGAAATATCCTAGTACATGCAATTGAAAAGAATGTGTATTTTGCTATTATTGTTGGTTGTTTTGCTATTGTTGTTGGTTGTAGGGACCTATCAATATTAATTCAGTCATGGTGGTTGATAGCATTCAGATCTTTTGTGTCTTGGTTTTGGCTAGTGGTTGTATCAGTTGCTGAAAGAGGAATGTGAAAGTGTCCTACTGTGCTTGTGGAATGTTGCATTTCCTTCTCTGTTATTGATAACATACTTATGATTGTTGTCTTCTTGATTAATTGATCCTTTTATTGTTTTGTGGCCCTCTTTATCTCTTGTAATACATTTTGTTTTAAAATTTATTTTGTCTGATATGAACATAACCACTTTGGCCTTCTTATGTTTACTGTTCGCATGGTGTCTTTTTCCTATCCATTTGCTTTTAGCCTATATGTATCTTTATATTTATTTTCTGTCTCTTGGAGATAGCGTATGTTTTAGTTCCTATTACCCATTCTGGCAATTTTTGCCTTTTAATTGGATTTTTCTTTTGTGAATGTGTTCTACTTTCATGCTTCTTCATATGTCAGGTAATTGTGGGTTTGGTTTTGTTTTGTTCTTGTTTCTGTTTTTTTGAGATGGAATCTCGCTCTGTCTCCCAGGCTGGAGGGCAGTGGCACGATCTCAGCTTACTGCAACCTCCACCTCCCAGGTTCAAGCAGTTCTCTGCCTCAGCCTCCTGAGTAGCTGGGATTATAGGTGAACACTGCCATGCCCGGCTAATTTTTGTGTTTTTTGGTAAAGACGGGGTTTTGCCATGTTGGTTAGGCTGGTCTCGAACTCCTGACCTCAAGCAATCCTCCTGCCTTGGCCTACCAAAGTGCTGGGATTATAGGCATGAGACACCGCACCCAGCCCGTATGTCAGGTAATTTTGGATGGTACTCTTAATATTATTAATATTATTATTATATAATTATAATATTATATAATATATAATATCTTTAATATATTTTATTATATAATATATACTATATATTATATATTTTATTATATAATATATACTATATATTATATATTTTATTATATAATATATACTATATATTATATTATATTTTTTATTATATAATATATACTATATATTATATTATATATTTTATTATATAATATATTACATATATTATATATTTTATTATATAGTATATAATATACTTTATTATATATTATATATTATATTATAATTTTATATTTTACTATATAATATATATAATTAATTATATTATGATTATAATATATAATAATATTAATATGATTATAATATATAATAATCATAATATTATTAATATTATGAATGTTGAGTTCTGGAGATTTTGGATTCTGTTGTTTTTCTCTGTTAAGTGTTGTCCATTGCAGCAAGTCCTTTTCTTGGTTCGGTTTGGATTATGAGCTATGTGTCTTGGGCAGTGGCTCTGGACTCAGTTCAGATAGGTTGTGTTTATATGAGCTGCTTCTATGTGTGTGTGGCTCATGAGTCAGAGATGTGAGTAGCAGACAGAATCTGGGGACCATCTCTCTGTCTCTTTCCCTTGGGGGATTCCCCTGTTCTCCTTGGTGCTTATGGGTTCCCAGGTTTGCTTTATTAATGTCCAAAGACAGGAGTTGCCACATGTGCCCTTGCTGCTGTCCTGTCACCATGTGGACTGTGCTTAGTCCCAGGTGCAAAACCTTAGGCATGGGAACTTACTTCCACAGCTCCTTGGCCCCTTTCCTCCAGAGAGCGTGACTCCCATCGGAGTCTGTCAGCTTTTGTTCAGGTCCAGGTTCCTCCATGTGGTTGCCTTTTCTTTCGTATCCGGGTTTTATAGTTGTTTTCTGCAACAGGTGGGGGGCCTCTGATAGGGTCTTGAAGAAATCTACCTTTTCCCATTCTTAACCCATTTATGCCTGGTGTTCCATTATTGGAACGCTAAGCTTGTGGGAGTTATTTATATCCTACTGCTCAAGGTCATCGCCAAGGTCTGATTTTTCACAAAACATTTTGCAACCTCTGGCATAAATGGCTTAAAATCCTTTTCATGCCAAATTTTTATTTTAAAACCCATAATTATTTCTGATCCGTCTTACTCTCTTTCCCTTTTCTCCTTCTTTATCAACATTATCTACTGCTGATTATTTTATACTCAGCTCAAACAAAAAGGTAAGGCGACGGGTATGAATAAAAAATGGGAACTGTGGTAGCTAAACGATTTTATAACCCAAGTGCATGTTAAGTTATACTTAAGAAAAGATAAAAATAAAACGACAAACCTGATGAACCATAGTATTTATGTTGAGTAACTAAGAAGTTGAGAGCCAGACTCAACATAGTTCTACAGTGCATTTGATACTCCCACTGTAATCTATTTTTTTCCAATTTTTATCTGTCAATACTTAAGTGTTCAACTGGGTATCGTTAAGTCATGTCACTACTTTAAATTTTATGTATAGATAATTTTAGGGTCCTCTTTTATGTGAATGAATGTTGTCTTACTGACTTCTTTATATCCAAGGTAAAATCCACTGATAGCTGCCTCTTCTTTATTAAATGCTTTGATGACACCATTCATGGCTTCCGGGTTCCTAAGAATAGCCTTCAGCAGTCAAGAGAGGTAATCTTATGGATTCATGTATCTTTCCTAAAACTTACAGAACATTTAAAGACACGGAGAATATAACATAGGTTCAGTGGTAACATCCAACATCTTGTTGATTGTACTTTTAATTTTTTTAAATTTTTATTTATTTATGTTTTTGAGACAGAGTCTCACTCTGTAGCCCAAGCTGGAGTGCAGTGGCGCGATCTCAGCTCACTGCAACCTCTGCCTCCCAGGCTCAGGCGATTCTCATGCCTCGGCCTCCTGAGTAGCTGGGACTACAGGCACGTGCCAATACGCCTGGCTAATTTTTTTTTGTATTTTAGCAGAGACAAGGTTTCACCACATTGCCCAGGGTAGTCTCAAACTCCTGAGCTCAGGCGATCTGCCCGCCTTGGCCTCCCAAAGTGCTGGGATTACAGGCATGAGCCACTGTGCCTGGCCTGATTGTACTTTTTAAATGAAGCCTTTAAAATTTGGTACATGAATTAGTTCTTTATCAACATGTACCTGCAGGTATTTTCTGTTCATAATTTGTTTTTCAATTTTAATTCTCTGAATGTAAGGGGCATCCTTTTAATGTAAATGACAGGTCTACGCCTTAACTTATAGGTGAGGAAACTAAAGATTGTAAGATTGAAGTGATTTCCCAAGGCCAGGCAGCTTGTGAGTGACAGAACCTGGACTACAAGCCAGGCGTTCTGACACTCATTACAATGGAGACTCAGCCTTCCTAGTGATAAATTAAACAACAGCAGCAAGCTAGAAAATTGGGATTTACTTGACCAATACTTATGGTGCAGTCACTTAATGGACTATCCCTATTCTTTTTTTTTTTTTTTCCGCCCAGGCTTGAGTGCAGTGGTGGGATCTAGGCTCATTGCAACCTCTGCCTCCCTGGGTCAAGTGATTCTCCTGCCTCCACCTCCTGAGTAGCTGGGATTACAGGTGCATGCCACCATGCCTGGCTAATTTTTGTGTTTTTAGTAGAGACAGGGTTTCACCACGTTCGTCAGGCTGGTCTCGAAATCCTGACCTTGTGATCCGCCCACCTCAGCCTCCCAAAGTGTTGGGATTACAGGCATGAGCCACCGCGCCCGGCCCTTTTCTTTTTCTTTTATTTATTTATTTATTTAGAGATAGAGCCTCCCTTGCTCTGTCACCCAAGCTGGAGTGCACTGGTGTGATCTTGGCTCACTGCAACCTCTGCCTTTCTGGTTCAAGCAATTCTCCTGCCTCAGCCTCCCGAGTAGCTGGGATTACAGGCATGTACCACCATGCCTGGCTAATTTTTGTATTTTTAGTAGAGATGGGGTTTCACCATGTTGGCCAGGCTGGTCTCGAACATGATCCGCCCACCTTGCCCTCCCAGAGTGCTGGGATTACAGGCATGAGCCACCGCGGCAGGCCTATTCTTATTCTTTTAAATCAAAGCAGTGTTCATAGACATATCTTGATTTTTTGGTAAACTATGTAAGAGGTTAAAATAATCTATTTTCCAAAGTGGTAAACTTTGGCCATGCAAAGAACCCTAAACAATCTAACTCATGACTCTCCCAACATTTCATAAAATGGTAAGATTTGACCCTGAGTATAGTGTAAGAAAATGAGGAAAAAGTAAGATAGGGTATTTTTAGGCCAAACATTCTTTTTGTGAAATCACTGTTATTTAAAAAATATAGTAAAAGTTAATGCATCAGGGCAAGTATTGGCTGTTTTAATATGACCTTAGTTTCTTGTGCTTCTAATTTGAGTGTAAGTTAGTAAAATTGTGTGTCTGGATCCATTACTATATAGTAACTTATTCTGTTAGGTTATAAAATTACAGGTTCTCAATATTGAAAACGAGAACCTATAATTTTAAGTGACAAAGTTTTCTCCCATTATTTAATTTCTGTAATGTGTTTGAATATTAACATTCATGAATATGTAAACTTATAGATGATATTTTTTAAAGTACTAGGAAAAGCTTTTATCCAGACATATCATGGACAAGAGACCCACATTGCTGTTTCATTACTGGTTGCTTTGCTTTCCCTTTTGAGGCCATAATATTTATTTCACTAGGTAAATTTTATGCTTATCAGATCATTGTAATATTATCTCTTTGGAATAAAAATGCTTTTCACTCTCATTTAAATTCTTGCATGATTTCAGGACTGGCTGGAAGCAATAGAAGAACATTCTGCTTACAGCACTCACTACTGTTCCCAGGACCAGCTGACTGATGAGGAGGAGGAAGATACGGTTTCTGCTGCAGACCTGAAGAAATCATTAGAGGTAAATAGGAAAATGTAACCTGACCTTTATAGCTATCTATGTCATGAGGTTTAATCAAGAACTTTTTTCTTTAAGATGTAAGGTTTTGAAATTATGATTTCTGACAACAATAGAAATAGTACTGTTCTTCACTGAGTTGCATTGTGTTGGTAGCTTATGTCTCTCATGGTAATACTATCAAATGCATTTGTAGATATGCTCTGATGAGATGGACATGTGCCTTAAAGGCACTGTACTTTTTTAGCTGAAACTTTTTACGTTGCTGTTAACAGACCGTCATTTTGTTTGAAAGTTGCTGCGAGGATGGGGAGCATGCATAGCTTGACTTGATGCCCTTTATGACTTCACTGCACATTTCAGAGTTTAAATAATGCAACCATAGTGATACCTTTCCTGGTTGGTAGGTTTCCTTTAAAACCACTTGTAATCTGTAGCTTGGTTGCTAAGAGATAAGGTAAAGCATCATTAATGAATGGAGAAGTCTTCTGAAGTGACACCAGTGCCTTATCCCTAGAGGAATATCAGCATAGGTAATTGAAATGAAATAGGTGTTTTGAGGGGTCATCAATTTTCTGGCTGTACCTTTTATTTCCATCTTGTGTCTAAAAGAATGGGAATTGAGTTCGGAAGAATTAGAACTATGGAATGATGATGAGTTTCAGTCTGAATAATTACGTCAGGATATATGAATTTGCCTACTAAATTTAATTTTTGTCTTTATAAATTAAATGAGTTGGCGGCAAGATTTGAATGTTTCTAGTTCAACTTTAATGAAGTTAAATTCCCCAATACCTATGGAGTTTTATCAACTTAGGGACCTTTACATTAAAATATAAAAGGTATTTTGACTCTTTCAATCCCTAATCTTAATTTATGATGGAACATTAAAGAATTTGAACTCTCCCATGTTTGTTGAAGACATTCCCCAGAATTGATGACAACTCCTTTACCATACTACCTCTGGTTTAAAGCCTAATGTGTATGTGAGAACCATAAACAAAATTTTCAGATCAGTGAACTTTGCAAAGGTAACATCTACTACAGCATTTAAGTAACATTAAAACTGGGAAAATATGGAAGATTTAAATACATATGGCCAAAATTACATTAAACAAGTAAAAAAATAAAACGATGCTAAATATTTTAACTTTCAGTTGGTATTCCCTAATTGAAAAGAAATCCTTCCCTATTTACCTATCGTCAATAAGAGGTAAATGATAAAACCTGGAAGGATTGACAAAGCATACTAATATCTTTCCTAGGATTATGATAATTTTAAAAGTTTTTAAATGGAAGTTACAGGTAAAATAAAAGCATACTAACTTACATACCATTAAAAATATTTCTTCTTTTTTTTTTTCTTTTCTTTTTTTTTTTTTTTTGAGACGGAGTCTTGCTCTGTCGCCCAGGCTGGAGTTCAGTGGCGCGATCTCGGCTCACTGCAAGTTCCACCTCCAGGGTTCACGCCATTCCCCTGCCTCAGCCTGCCGAGTAGCTGGGACTACAGGCGCCTGCCACCGCACCTGGCTAATTTTTTTTTTTTTTTTTTTTGTATTTTTAGTAGAGACAGGGTTTCACCGTGTTAGCCAGGATGATCTTGATCTCCTGACCTTGTGATCCACCCGCCTCGTCCCCGCAAAGTGCTGGGATTACAGACGTGAGCCACAACATCCCGGCAAGATTTCTTCTTTAGCATAATTTTCAAATTTTCAGGTCATCAACCTCGACTATATCTTTCAGTTTATTCCTTAATGTTTTGTTCACATGTTAACTTTAAAACCATGAAGCTTTTGCCTTTTAGATTTTATTGCACCTAGAGTTAATGAGAGTTTTAGCACTATAGTGTTAAGCACTTTTACGTTTTGCATGTTCCTCTCCAACAGAGTTTGAATGCTAATTCTGTAAATCTTTTTTTTTTTTTTCTTTTTTTTTTTTTTGAGACAGAGTCTTGCTCTGTTGCACGGGCTGGAGTGCAGTGATGCGATCATGGCTCCCTGCAACTTCCGCCTCCCGGGTTCAAGCGATCTTCTCGCCTCAGCCTCCTGAGTAGCTGGGATTACAGGCACACAACACCATGCCCAGCTAATTTTTGTAATTTTAGTAGAGACGGGGTTTCACCATGTAGGCCAGGCTGGTCTCAAGCTCCTGACCTCAAGTGATCCTCCCGCTTCCGCCTCCCAAAGTGCTCGGATTACAGGCATGAGCCACCATGCCTGGCCAATGCTGTGAATCTTGATTCTGTCTCAACATCTGGAGACTGGTTCAAAATAGGTAAAATCCAAAATGAGCTTTGAAGTGTGTTGAATCATAGCTTGTCAGTAGACTGGCTCCAGGATGCCCTTCATTCTTGAGTTTTTAAGTTCCAGTGAAATTCAGGGGCCAATTTATGGAAAGGTCTATTCTTGATACCTATAGACATTCTAAGGGGAATTAGTCATTCTAGGACTGATATACTCTAAAATCATCTGAATTAACAACAAAACTGATTTTATTTCCTTAACATGCTTTTGGATTAGTACACAGACCTATAAGAAATGAGGGAAAGGCTGAGGTGGAAGGATCACTTGTGCCCAAGGGTTTGAGTTCAGCCTGGGCAATATAGTGAGTCCCTGTCTCTTAGAAGGAAAGAGAGAGAGAGAGTGAGTTAGTTTTTCAGTATAAACATTTTTTGGTAAACATTGTCTTATACAATATAATTCTATAAAACAAGTCCTAGAATTAATTATTGACCTCATGGTTGTTGCTGTAATAGCAACTTGAAAATATTTCAGAAATAAAAATTAGAAATTAATCAAGCATGGTATTGGTATAGAACTGCGCTGTCCAATATGATAGCTATTAGCTTTCCTGTGGCTATTTACACATGTGGCTATTTACATTTAAATTAATTAAAATCTAAAAATTCAGTTATTCAGCTGGGCACGGTGGCTTACGCCTGTAATCCCAGCACTTTGGGAGGCTGAGGTGGGTGGATCACTTGAGGTCAGGAGTTTGAGAACAGCCTGGCCAACATGGTGAAACTTGGTCTCTGCTAAAAATACAAAAATTAGCCAGGCATGGTGGCGGGCGCCTGTAGTCCCAGCTACTCTGGAGGCTGAGGCAAGAGAATTGCTTGAACCCAGCGGGGCGGGGCGCACAGGTTGCAGTGAGGTGAGATTGTGCCACTGCACTCCAGTCTGGGCGAAAGAGTGAGACGACTCAAAAAAAAAAATTCAGTTGTTCATTTTAACTATATTTAACTACATATTAGCCACATTTCAAGTGCTCAGTAGCCACATGTGGCTACCACAACGGACAGCGAAGATATAGAATATTTCCAGCATCATAGAAAGTTCTATTGGACAGTGCTGGGATAGGCTCTTAGAGGCTCTGGGTGGTACTAGCAAAGTGGGGGTTTTATTTGTTGAAGATGTCTTGATTCTGTAGGATCTGAACTGTTTTTGTGTTACAAGAAGTGATGAGCAGGCCAGGCATGGTGTCTCACGCCTGTAATCCCAGTACTTTGGGAGGCTGAGGTGGGTGGATTGCTTGAGCCCAGGAGTTCCAGACTATCCTGGGCAACATGGCGAATCCCCATCTTAAAAACAAATTTTTTTTTTTTTTTTAATTTTGAGGCTGAGGCTGCAGCAAGCTGTGGTCACACCACTGCACTCCAGTCTGGGCAACATGGCAAAACCCTGTCTCTACTAAAAATACAAAAATTAGCTGGACGTGGTGGCCCATATCTGTAGTCCCAGCTACTTAGGAGGCTGAGGTGGGAGGATCACCTGAGCCCAGGAGGTGGAGGTTGCAGTGAGCCAAGATCACGCCACTGCACTCCAGCCTGGGCGACAGAGTGAGACCCTGTCTCAAAAAAAAAAAAAAAAGTAATGAGCAGATGATGCTCGAGTTTAATGGAATGAGAAAATAAGATAAAGCTTTTCTGATTTAAGAATAAATGATTCCCGAGGCGGGCAGATCACATGAGGCCAGGAGTTCGAGACAAGCCTAGCCAACATGGTGAAATCCTGCCTCAAAAATACAAAAATTAGAAAGGCATGGTGGTGCACGTCTGTAATCCCAACTACACAGGAGCCTGAGGCACGAGAATCACTTGAACCTGCGAGGCGGAGGCTGCAGTGAGCTGAGATCGCACCACTGCACTCCAGCCTGGGCAATAGGGTGATAGAGCCAGCCTCTCTCAAAAACAACAACAAAAAAAGAATAACTGATTCCCAACTAAAATAAATGTGCAGAAAGTTGCATGTACATCCACGTGGAGCTAATAAAGATTGGTACATCCATGCAAGAATGAGGCAGATGTATATATGCTGATATATTTAAGATATACAGTTAAGTGAAAAGGACAAGGCATAAAATGATGTACCAAATATGATACTACTTGGGAGGAAAAAAAACAGGGATGTACACATATATATTTGTGTAGACTTAGATCATTCAGGAAAGATGAGAAATTAGCACTTGTTGCTCTGCAGCTGAGAAAGCTGCAAAATAAGATTGTCAAGTGTGTGAAGGAGAATTACTTTTCTCTCTATATCCTTTTGTTTTTTATTTTTACTTTATGTAAATACATATTGCAAAGTGAAACCCTAAGAAAGTTACAAAGCAGGGGCATAATAATCGCCAGATGTCAGAAAGAATAAATGTGCTTTTGGGTTGACTTAGGAAAGATGGAGTATGGGTTATTATTTTTTTCTTTTTGAGACAGGGTCTCACTTTGTCATCCAGGCTGGAGTGCAGTGGTGTGATCACAGCTCACTGCAGCATTGACCACCTGGGGTCAAGTGATCCTCCTGCCTCAGCTTCTTAAGTAGCTGAGACTATAGGCATGTGCCACCAAGCCTGGGTAATTTTTTCATTGTTTTGTTTTTGTTTTTGTTTTTTTTTTTTTGTAGAGATTAGGTCTCATTATGTTGCAAGGAAGGTCTCGAAATGCTGGGCTCAAATGATTCTTTTGCCTCAGCCTCCCAAAGTGCTGGGATTACATGCATGAGCCACCGAGCCTGGCCAGAGTATGGGGCTATCTTTGAAGTGGATTTGGCTGGAGTTAGGAAGACTTAGAGATAAGTGCTACGGCACCACTGCTTGTAATAGCGGCCATTTTCTGCAAAGAAGAAAGTGATCAGAGTTTGACAATCTATTATTTTTAAAGTTTGAATTAATATTGAAATATAATGTTTGCAGAAAAAAGGAATTCACTTTATGTCTTCAATTTGATGTATTCTGACAAATGTGTATTGTCTGTGTAACCACCACTCCTATCAAGATAGAGAACATTTTTATTATGTCAAAATGTTGTTCCCTTGCTGCTCTTCCCAGATAATACCCTCCACTTCCATCTCTGGCAACCACTGACCTAATGACACTGATATAATGACAATGTCATTATAAGCATGATCAGTTTTCCTGTTGTAGAATTTCATGTAAATGGAATCATACAGTATGTGCTCTTAGGTGTCTTTTTTCACCGTAATGTTGTGTGTATTAGTAGTTTATTCATTTTTATTGCTGAGTAGGTGGCAATCTGCTTCTGTGCTTAATTAACCAAATGTGGATTTTCTGCAGCAAATAGCCTGGAATTAATTACTTCTCTACTAGCCTATGCATTCCTCTCTAGCTATTCACCCCCTTGATATGCATTTTCGAGCTGCCCTGTAGGTTAGGGATCATAAGGTAATTTAACATCAGCTTAACTCATACAAAACCAACAGCTAAAATTTTGGTTTCTAAGCAGGAGACCTGTGTTGTAAATGTGGCTCAGCTGCTCACCTGGGGTAACTTCTGATCCTCT
This sequence comes from Homo sapiens, assembly GCF_000001405.40. Lineage (NCBI taxonomy): Eukaryota > Metazoa > Chordata > Mammalia > Primates > Hominidae > Homo > Homo sapiens. The sequence goes on along the minus strand of NC_000018.10, from coordinate 24,306,192 downwards.
AGGCCCCTGTATCAATGGGTTTAATCCTTGTTCTTGTGTGCTTTGTCCAGATAACTTGGGCAAAGTTAAAATACTGTTAAACTTTAGGTATTATAACATTGCTCATAGTGAGATTCCATTTATGTAGAATAAATAAATAGAAATTAAAACTTAAAAAGAGTCCCTGTATTAGTTCGTTCTCATGCTGCTAATAAAGACATACCCCAGACTGGGTAATTTATAAAGGAAAGAGGTTTAATTGATTCACAGTTCCACATGGCTGGAGAGGCCTCACAATCTTGGTGGAAGGTGAAGGAGGAGCAAAGGCATGTCTTACATGGCAGCAGGCAAGAGAGCTTTTGCAGGGGAACTCCCCTTTATAAAACCATCAGATCCTATGCGGCTTGTTCACTATCATGAGAACAGCACAGGAAAAGCCCACCCCCATGATTCAATTACCTCCCACCGGGTTCCTCCCACAAAACATGGGGATTATTGGAGCTATAATTCAAGGTGAGATTTGGGTGAGGACACAGCCAAATCATATCAGTTCCTGACATAATATCAATGGCATAGAAGTCAAAAATGAGAAACCATGTTGGACTCTGCAAAATATTAATAAGAATTAACTTTCATAAATTGATTTTTAGTTTTTCAAAATATAACTAGTAGCGACTAAGCAAATGGGAGACCATATTATGTTTTATTATATTAATAACCTCTTCTTTTTAGTATCTTTTAGTATCAGTTAAAAAGCACTAAGTTGTTTAGAACAGAAGACATACTTTGTACACAACTTAAAACAGTATGTGTAGATTGGATCTTCTCCAGCTGACCTGTTATGTACCCTTTAAAACAAGTAAATCGTCGATCAAGGAAACTTATTAATAACTGTTAGATGGAAATATGATTCAAGGGAAGATAAATGTGATTCATGTATTTGAAGATGATGCTATAGAAGGTGTTTCCTGCCTTTAATTATAACTTAGGAAAACTATCCTGTTTATTACAGATTCATAGTCTGCAATTGAAGCCATTGCTTACTTTTATGCCTCTAGCTTACTTTCATCATAGGAAGGATAAAACAGTATCATTGACTTGCACATAAGCAGAGTATTAAATATGTATAGAGCAAGAATGATGATTTTCTATTCATCATGAGTGATGCATTTGGTTGCAGTGCATGTTTTGGTGCCTCTAGATAAACTTTTTCCCTGCCCCTCAACCTGTATTCACAGGCTGTGTCTGGAAAAATTATCAGGCATATATGGTGTTTTAAATTGCATAGTGTAGGTATTCTCCCCCTGCTCTCCACCAAGTGAATGGTACGTAGGTGTTGTTAGAGCCCTCAAAACAAAGGAGAGTAATACAAATTTTGAAGAGAATATTGCCTGTCACTAATGTGATAACATGAATAATTCTACTGTGGTTGAGTTGAACTTTGTAAGCACTAAAAAATTTATAAGGTGAAATAGGAGAAAAGAGTATTTACCTATGCCACCTTGACATACTGATCTATAGTAAGTTTGATTTTGGGGGTGCAAAATGTTTTGTGATGGGCTAGCTGAGATTAGGAGTACAAAGTAGGGAAGTTTCATAAGGCTAAATATATTACTCTACCTAAAAGAATGTGATTCGATTGTTTATAAGGTCAAGATTCTCAGAATAAATATTTTCTATTTTGATAACCAAGCAAATTTACAATAATAATTTTCTTGCTTATTCTTCCCACCTCTTTAAAGGGAAATGATATATAAAACTGCCTTCAAAATGACATTTTTAATGTAATAAATGGATTTGACTGATCTTTCATTTTGGATTTCTAAATCTGCACTAAGATGGGATGTAACTTTCATCAAGAAATTCTATATTTATGTTTTTTTGCCTTTAGGGATCTAAAAATGTAGAACTTTCAAATTACAAGGAAGAATGCTTTCTATAATTGACTTTACCTTATTTTCAGAAGCTTTGACACACTAAGAAAATGTCCTTTTTGGTTTGATGATGTGGGGGCTGTATGCACTTAGATTGCTGAACGAGAATCAGCTTGTGGTTTCCAAATGTTAGGACCATCTGGATTTTTTTTTCTGAACAAAACAGTTTTTAAAATATATTTTTAAGGAATGCATTTTATAATTTCTTGATGAATTTCATGAGGCCTACTAAAAGTGCTAATAAATCAGAGAATTATAATTCCTCAGATACACATGGCATAATGAGATAGTAATAGTAATGGATGCAATTGTATGGTATCTACACAACAGATGTTGAATGTATTTAAACCTTTAAAATATTTATTTTTACTTTACACTTGATTAAATGTTATATTCAGTTTACAAGGAAATTTTCTCTCACCTTTTTCTTTTCTTTAAGGCATATGTCTCTGTTATGGTATATCAATCTATGTACTGAAAGTTTTGATAGAAACACTAAAGCATAAGTAATGTAAAATCTTTTATTACTTTGTTTTAATTTTGTCTTTTCTTTTTTTGCAGAAAGCACAGTCATGCCAACAGCGACTAGATAGGGAAATTTCCAACTTTCTCAAAATGATTAAGGAGTGTGACATGGCTAAAGGTAAAAAGACAAGCACTATCCCTACAATCACTCTTTAACACATAGATACTGACCTGTTGTAGTTTTGTTTGACTTCATTTTTAAACAGTTTTTGGTTTTGAATTAAGAGTTATATTTGATAAAACTATTTTGAAACTTTAAAAGGGCAATTTAAAGTTTCTACTCACAGAGGATGCTTGCTTTAGAGATTAATAATGTTTTTATCCTTTTAAAAAAAGAAAGATAAGTTTAAAGTTAATGTTTTTGGCCTGTAAATTAATTTTGGCTGCGGAATGAGAATTCTGCTTATGAATCCCAGAAGACTTGGGTTTTGGAGTCAGAATGTCTAAAGCTTGAGGCCTGGCGCAGTGGCTCATGCCTGTAATCCCAGTACTTTGTGAGGCCAAGGCATGTGGATCACTTGAGGTCAGGAGTTCGAGACTGGCCTTGCCAACATGGTGAAACCCTGTCTCTACTAAAAGTACAAAAATCAGCCGGGTGTGGTGGCACGTGCTTGTAATCCCAGCTACTCGGGAGGCTGAGGCAGGAGAATCGCTTGAACCTAGGAGACAGAGGTTGCAGTGAGCTGAGAATATGCCGGTGCACCCTAGCCTGGGCGACAGAGCAAGACTCTGTCTCTCTCTCACACACACAGACACACCCACACACACACACACACAAAGAATGTCTTAGGCTTGAATCCTTACTCTTCCACTTACCGGCTGTTACTTCGAACAACACTTTTAACTCTTGCGAGCTTCAGTGCCCTCATCCATAAAATAAAGAAGTTGGTTGTTTTAGGCCTTGGCCTTTTATGCTTCTATAAATGTATATATGATCTTGTCTAGCTAATTATTAATCTTCCTTTCAGTAATAACTTTTTATGTCTTCATTCTCTATTATGAGTTCTCAAGAGTTGACTATAAATAGCCTACAAGGCTGGGCGCTGTGGCTCACACCTGTAATCCTGGCACTTTGGGAGGCCGAGGCGGTGGATCACCTGAGGTCAGGAGTTCAAGACCAGCACGGTCAACATGGTGAAACCCCGTTTCTACTAAAGATACAAAAATTAGCTGGGCGTGGTGGCACGTGCCTGTAACCATCTACTCAAGAGGCTGAGGCAGGAGAGTTGCTTGAACCCGGAAGGCGGATATTGCAGTGACCCAAGATCGCGCCACTGCACTCCAGCCTGGGCAACAGAGGGAGACTCTGTCTCAAAAAAAAGAAAAATAAATAGCCTACAAATCAAACTTAAGTATTGAGAAAAAGGTGCCTATTCCTGTGTAAATTAAAAAATTATGTTTCTTAAACTCTTAACAGATGCTTAGACTTTAGCCATGATGCATATATAAATGACTTCACCAAAGTATAAATGATGTAGTTATTTGTGAGTTTATGATTAACTTTTTTTTTTTTTTTTTCTTGAGATGGAGTCTTGTTCTGCCTCCCAGGCTGGAGTGCAGTGGCGCGATCTTGGCTCACTGCAAGCTCCGCCTCCCGTGTTCATGCCATTCTCCTGCCTCAGCCTCCAGAGTAGCTGGGGACTACAAGTGCCCGCTACCATGCCCGGCTAATTTTTTTATTTTTATTTTTAGTAGAGACGGGGTTTCACCGTGTTAGCCAGGATGCTCTCGATCTCCTGACCTTGTGATCCACCCGCGTTGGCCTCTCAAAGTGCTGGGATTACAGGCGTGAGCCACCACGCCCGGCCATGATTAACTATTTTAATCACATGTTAGTTTCCTTTAGTCAACTCCAAGATTCAGTTTCTATATTTCCAGAGAATGTGAGGAAATGTTAATATTAGAGTAAATGGACCATAAGTATTCTGTATCTGTCCAAGTGTACCTATGGCATCTCTTTACTTCAGTTGAACAAACATATATTTTTATCAGCAGTTATAGCCTTGGGAAGGGCAGTGGTTAGGTTATTTTGATTATTAGTTGCAGGCTGGAGTATTATATTACTTAGCACTGTTCATTCTCAATAGACTTTAAGATAATAACGGTGTCATATTTGGTATAATTCACATAACAAAATTCACACATGTGAAGTGTACAATTCAGTGGTTTTACTCTATTCACAGAGTTATGCAACTATGACTGTCATTGAGCTTTTAAAACACGTCAAGAACTACCAAAAAGTAGGGAGATTTAAAAGATGTAGAAACATTTTAAAGATGTAGAAAAGCACATTTAAAAGATGTAGAAAAAGTCCAGTGATACGAAATATGAAGATTAATTCATTTAACCTGGACCACATCGATAAATTATATCAGAATTACAACCAAATTAAGTTTTAAAAAGAATCTTGAGTCAAATCTCTTGTTTCAGATTGCCTGTATGACATGTCATTCGTAATGATGGTATGTATATCTGTATTAGCAATGATTGAGCAGATAATTAATCCAACTTGGAGAAACTGAGAAGAAATCAACATTGTTTAGAGATATGCGTAATATTGATACTACAAAAGAGATAATTATGGACATTTTCTGAAAAATCAGTACAGATAAACTGCATTTTACATAAGTAATAATAGGGTTAAGATGATTTGATGAATGGAATTGGAGAGTTGAATGTAATTGAGCCTGCCCTTACTGTCAAGGGTTTGTACAGGATAGTCTTTTACCTGCCATGTGCTTTATTAAAGAAAACTGATATTAGCCAGGCGTGGTGGTACACACCTATAGTCCCGGGAGGGTGAGGCTGAGGTGAGAGGCTGACGTGGTAGGATGGCTTGAGCCCATGAGGCAGAGGTTGCAGTGAGTCAAGGTCATGTGATTGCACTGCAGCCTGGGTGGCAGAGCCAGACCCTGTATTGAGAGAGAGAGAGAGAGACAGACTGATAGATAGGTATTCTGCTCCAGACTTCTTACATAGTCTGCCAGTGACTTAAGATAAAAAACAAAAATGTTTGTAGACAGAATCCAGAGCTTATAGTTGTAATTGTTAGTTGACTTACATTTTAGTACAAAATTGCATTAACTTTAAGACCCAGATCACTTCCTTCTTATTCCAATTTCTGCCATACTTGTTGAGTTCTATATCCCCTCAAATCCAGATCACTGCAGCAGCCTGCCCTTTAGTCCCTGTCTCCTGGGACTCTCCCTGCATTCCATCCTTGAGGGTAGTTGAATCAGAAGCCTTTAAGGAACTCTTCTAACTCAGATTCTGTAAAGTACTGCATTATTGCTGCCAGATTAATTTTTTGTAAAGGTACTTTTTGGATCATAATTTTTTACATTGAAAATCTTTTATAAATCCTTGCAACTAGAGAATAAAATGCAGACTTATCTGGGCATTTAAAGATTTTCATAGTCTGGCCACAGCCTAATTTCCCAGCGTTATTTTCAGTTATTCTCTCCCATGACTCCTAGAAACACCCTTGACCAAACGTTGTGTCTTTGATCGGAAATGCTGTCTATTGAAATATACCTTTTATTTTCTTGAGTGGACCTTAAACCTAATTTTTGTCTGAATGAATATCAGAGTTTCTGTATATAGTGTTGAGAACACATAATTCAAGGTTCAAGAATGTAGTATTGAAATTTTTACTATTTTATCTTTATCAAAAGCCTGGTTGCAAAAACAAAATCACCTAAAGTAATGAAACTTTTGGAAGACTTCCTGAAGGCCATGTTATCAATCCATTCTTCCATACATCCTTAAATGTACCATTGTGTATCCAATTTTTGTCTAGTATAAATATATTGTGCATTTATATTTGATCACAGTAACTCAGGATTCTTAGGATGGGATTAGTGGGTGAAAATGTATGAATATTTTTGAGACTGTTGATACATATAGTTAAATTGCCGAAAAAGATATGTTATTTTACATGCCAACTTTTAATACATATACTATATTGCATGTTACTAAATGTGTATAGTGAATACTTGGTTAAATAAATTAGAAGGACTTCACTTATCTAAAATAAAAAATCCTTTATAAGTTACCTGATGCTCTTGTCTGACAGCTCTTAGAATTCTTTCCTTCATGTTGACTTTAGATAGCCTGATGATTAACAGTAGACTTCTTAGCAGAAACCTTATAAGCTGGAAGGGATTGGGGTCCTGTCTTTAACCTCCTTAGACAGAATAACTGTCAGTCAAACTTTTTTTTGTATCCAGAAAACTTTTTTTTTGTATCCAGAAAAACTAAGTTTGATAAATGAAGGAGAAATGAAGTCATTTTCAGACAAATAAACTCTACGTGAATTTGCTACTACCAAACCAGCACTACAAGAAATGCCAAAAGGAGTTCTAAATTGTGAAACAAAAGCTCAATATGTACCAAAATAGAACTGGTTGGAAGCATAAAACTCACAGGGCCTATAAAACAATAACACAATGAAAAAAAACAAAGTATCTAGGTATCGACTAACATGATGAATACAACAGTACCTCACATCTCAATATTAACATTGAACATAAATGTCCTAAGTGCTCTACTTAAAAGATACAAAATGGCAGCCAACAGATAAAAAAATCACAAACCAAATGTCTTCTGTCTTCAAGAGACTTGCCTAACACATAAGGATTCATATAAACTCAAGGTAAAGGGGTGGAAAAAGATATTCCATGCAAATGAAAGCCAAAAGCAGGCAGGAGTAGCTATTTTTACATCAGACAGACTTTAAAGCAATAACAGTTTAAAAAAGATAAAAAAGGTCATTACATAATGGTAAAAGGATCAATCCAAGAAGAAGATATTACAATCCTAAACTTTACATCCACCTAACACTGGAGCTCCCAGATTTATAAAACAATTACTACTAGACCTAAGAAATGAGATAGACAGCAACATGGTAATAGTGCGAACTTCAGTATTCCTCCACTGACAGCACTAGGCAGATCAAGACAGAAAGTCAACAAAGAAACAATGGCCTTAAACTACACTGTGGAACAATGGACTGAACAGATATTTAAAGAACATTCTGTTACAGGAAAGGGGTCCCAATCCAGACCCTAAGAGAGGGTTCTTGGATCTCATGCAAGAAAGATTTCAGGGCGGCCAGGCGCGGTGGCTCATGCCTGTAATCCCAGCACTTTGGGAGGCCGAGGTGGGTGGAACACGAGGTCCGGAGATCGAGACCATCCTGGCTAACACGGTGAAACCCCGTCTCTACTAAAAAGACAAAAAATTAGCCGGGCGTGGTGGCACACGCCTATAGTCCCAGCTACTGGGGGGCTGAGGCAGGAGAATCGCTTGAACCCGGGGGGTAGAGGTTGCAGTGAGCCAAGATCGCACCACTGCACTCCAGCCTGGGTGACAGAGCAAGAAAGAACTCAGGGCAAGTCCACAGTGCAAAATGAAAACAAGTTTATTAAGAAAGTAAAGGAATAAAAGAACAGCTACTCCATAGACAGAGCAGCCCTGAGGGCTGCTGGTTGCCCATTTTTATGGTTATTTCTTCATGATATGCTAAACAAGGGGTGGATTATTCATGCCTCCCCTTTTTAGACCATATAGGGTAACTTCCTAATGTTGCCATGATATGTGTAAACTGTCATGGCACTGTTGGGAGTGTAGCAGTGAGGATGACCAGAGGTCACTCTAGTCACCAGTTTGGTTTTGGTGGGTTTTGGCCGGCTCCTTTACTGCAACCTGTTTTATCAGCAAGGTCTTTATGACCTGTATTTTGTGCTGACCTCCTATCTTATCCTGTGATTTAGAATGCCTTAACCATCTGGGAATGCAGCCCAGTAGGTTTCAGCCTCATTTTACCCAGCTCCTGTTTAAGATGGAGTTGCTCTGGTTCACACATCTCTGACAACTCTACCCAACAACTGCAGAATATACATTCTTCTCATTAGCACGTGGAACTTCTCCAAGATAGAACACATGATAGGCTGTAAAATAAGTCTCAATAAATTTAAGAAAATTGAAGTAATATCAAATATCTTCTCAGACCACAGGGGAATAAAACTAGAAATCAACTCCAAAAGGAATGCTCAGAACTATACAATTACATGGAAATTAAATAATATGTTTATGAATGATTTTTGAGTTAACAAATCAAGATGGAAATTAAAAACTTCTTTGAAATGAATGATAGTAGTGACACAAGTTATCAAAACCTCTGGGATAGAGCAAAAGCAGTGCTAAGAGGAAAGTTCGTAGCGTTTAATGCCTGCATTAAAAAGTCGGAAAGAGCACAAATTGACAAGCTAGTGTCACAAAAAATACAAAAGATAAATGAAACAAAAAACTGGTTCTTTGAAAACATAAACAAAATTGATAGACCATTAGTGAGATTACTGAAGAAAAGATGAGAGAAGATCCAAATAAGCTTAATTCGAAATTAAACAGGAGACATTACAACCAAAACCATAGAAATACAAAAGATCATTTGAAACTATTATGAAAACCTTTACATGCACAAACTAAAAAATTAAGAGGAAATAGATAAATTCTTGGAAACACAATCCTCCCAGATTAAGCCAGGAAAAAACAGAAACCCTGAGCAGACCAGTAATAAGCAGTTAGATTGAATCAGTAATTTAAAAATTGCCAACAAAAAAAGCCCATGACCAGATGTATTCACAGCTGAATTCTACTGGAATTCAAAGAATTGGTAACAATCCTACTGAAACTATTCCAAAAGAAAGAGAAAGAAGGAATCCTCCCTAAATCATTTTATGAAGCCAGTATCACCCTAATACCAAAACCAGAGAAGGACACAACGAACAAGGAAAACTACAGACCAATATCCCTGATGAACATAGGTGCAAAAATCCTCAAAAAAATACTAGCTAATTGAATCCAACAGCATATCAGAAAGATAATACACCATGATCAGGTGGGTTTTGTTCCAGGGATGCAGGGATGCTTTAATATATGCAAGTCAATAAATATGATATATCACAAACAATTAAAAGTAAAAACCATGTGATCATCTCAGTAGATGCAGAAAAAGCATTTGATAAAATCCAGCATCCCTTTATGTTAAAAACTCTTAATAAACTAGGCATAGAAGGGACTTACCTCAAAATAATAAAAGCCATATATGACAAACCCATAGCCAACATCATACTGAATAGGGAAAAATTGAAAGCATTCCCTCTAAGAACTGAAATAAGAAAAGGATGCCCACTTTTACCACTTCCTATTCAACGTAGTACTGGAAGTCCTAGCCAGAGCAGTCAGTTAAGAGAAAGAAATAAAGGGCATCTATGTGGAAAAGAGGAAGTCAAACTAGTGTTGTTTGCCAGTGATATGATCACGCACCTAGAAAATCCTAAAGACTCATCCAAAAGACTCCTAGATCTCATAAACAAATTCAATAAAGTCTCAGGTTACAAAATCAATGTATACAAATCAGTAGCACAGCTGTACAGCAACAGCGACCAAGCTGAGAATCAAATCAAGAAGTCAATCCCTTTTACAACAGTTGCAAAAAAATAAAATATGTAGGAATGTGCTTAGCCAAGGAGGTGAAAGCTCTCTACAAGGAAAACTACAAAACACTGCTGAAAGAAATCATAGATGACACAAATAAATGGAAACATATCTCATGCTCATGGATGGGAAGAATCAATATTGTGAAAATGACCATACTGCCCAAAGCAATTTACAGATGCAATGCAATTCCCATCAAAATACCATCACAATTTTTCACAGAACTAGAAAAAAAATCTTAAAACTCATATGGAATCCCATAAGAACCTGAATAGCCAAAGTAATACTAAGAAAAAAGAACAAATCTGGAGGTATCACATTATTGGACTTTAAATTATACTGCAGAGCTCTAGTTACCAAAAACATCATGGTTACTGTTATGGAGAAAAAAAAAAAGGCTCTTAGACCAGTGAAACAGAATAGAGAACCCAGAAATAAAACCAAATATTATACAGCCAACTGATCTTTGACAAAGCATACAAAAACATAAATTGGGGAAAGGACGGCCTATTCAATTTATATATTTGAAAAAAACATAAATTGGGGAAAGGACAGCCTATTCAGTTTATATAGCTTTTCCCCAAAATAGGCTATCCTTTCCCCAGTCTATGTGCTGGGATAATTGGCAAGCCACATGTATAAGAATGAAACTGGATCCCCATCTCTGCCTTATATAAAAATCAACTCAAGATGGATCAAAGACTTAATTCTAAGACCAGAAAGCCTAACAATTCTAGAAGATAATATTGGAAAAACTCTTCTGGACATTGGCCTAGGCAAAAATTCATGACTAAGACCCCAACAGCAAGTACAACAAAAATAAATAAATGGAACCTAATTAAACTAAAAAGCTTCTGCACAGAAAAAGAAATAATCAGCAGAATAAATAGACAACCAGAGAATGGGAGAAAATATGCAAACTATGCATCCAACAAAGGACTAGTATCTGAAATCTGCAAGGCACTCAAACAAATCAGCAAGAAAAATACAAATAATCCCATCAAAAAGTGGGCAAAAGACATGAATAGATGTTTCTCAAAAGAAGATATACAGTTGACCAACAAACATATAAAAAAATGCTCAACAGCACTAATCATCATGGAAATGGAAATCCAAACCACAAGGAGATACCATCTTACTCCTACAAGAATGGCCATAATGAAAAAGTCAGAAAACAATAGATGTTGGTGTGGATGTGGTGAAAAGGGAACACTTTCACACTGCTGGTGGGAATGTAAATTAGTACAACCTCTATGGAGAACAGTATGGAGATTCCCTAAAGAACTAAAAGTAGATCTACTATTTGATCCAACAGTCCCACTACTGGTATCTACCCAAAGGAAAAGAAGTCATTATATGAAAAAGACACATGCACATCCATGTTCACAGCAGCACAATTCACAATTGCAAAAGATGTGGGACCAACCTAAGTGCCCATCAACCAATGAATGGATAAATAACGTGGTATTTATACAACATGGAATACTACTCAGCCACAAAAAGGAATGAAATAATGTCTTCTGCAGCAACTTGGATGGAGCTGGAGGCCATTATTCTAAGTGAATGGAATACTTAGAAACTCAGGAATGGAAAAACCAAAAACCATTTGTTCTCATTTATAAGTGGGAGCTAAGCTTTGAGGATGCAGAGACTTAGAGTGATATGGTCTTTATGGACTGGGAAGGAAAGAGTCTGGGGGAGAAATTAAAATCTACATATTGGACCGGGCACAGTGGCTCACGCCTGTAATCCCAGCACTTTGGGAGGCTGAGTCGGGCGGATCACCTGAGGTCAGGAGTTCGAGACCAGCCTGGCCAACATGGTGAAACCTCGTCTCTACTAAAAAAATACAAAAATTAGCTGGGCCTGGTGGCGGGTACCTGTAATCCCCGCTACTCAGGAGGCTGAGACAGAAGAATCGCTTGAACCCAGGAGGAGGAGGTTGCAGTGAGCCGAGATCGCGCCACTGCACTCCAGCCTGGGCAACAGAGCAAGACTCCATCTCAATAACAACACCACCACCAAAAAAAAAAACAACCACATATTGGATGTAGTGTACACTGCTCAGGTGATGGGTGCACTAAAATCTTAGACTTCTTCACTAAGGAACTTATGCATGTAACCAAACACCACCTATTCCCCCAAAACTATTGAAATATAAAAGCAAAATAGTCGAACTCAAGAAAATAAAACTGAAAAAAAAAATCTGAGAGGAAAAGCACTTCTATTTAGCCTACTTAAAACTGTTTCCTCAAAATCTGGGCTTTGAGTAAACAAACTTACCACTTTCTCTGTTGCCACCTGGTCCAAGCCACCATTGCCTCCCACGTGGACATCTGAAAACCTACTTGCTGTCCCCAGATTTCACCCTTCCCCCTACAGCTTCTGCCCCAAATCCTCCCAAAATGTCAGTGGATTGAGGTCCTTTGCTGGAAACATCCAGTGGCTTCCAGATCTTCTCACTTGGAGTGAGAGACAGAGTCATTCTAATGACCTGCAGAGCCTTCCAGCCCCTTCCACCCCTCAGCCCCCCACCTCCCAGTTCCCTTTCTGGCTCCTCTCCAGCCTCATTGGCCTGGCCTACGCCTGCCAGTGGCCTTTCGTGTGCTGTTCCCTCTTCTGGAAGGCTTTTCTCCTGAGTGGCGTAGTCACTCCCTTCCTTCCCTAGGTCTTTCTTCAAAAGGTGCCTGCACACAGAGGATTTTCCTGGCCTCCTGCGCTGGTTTGCTCCTCCTCGTCTGCTCTGCCCTGCTTTGTGTACTGCAGCCTCAGCCCTGGGGCTTCTTGGCCCTCGGACTTGTGATTGGATTCAGCAAATGGGAGGCTCTGTCGGGAGACCTGCGGAGGGACGGGAGAGGAAGTCGTTTCAGGGCTTTACCTTCATTCTCTCCAGCCGGACTGTGGTTCCGCAGTGCTGCCGGGTTCCTCTGCCTGGCCACTGGCCTGATCTAGACTCCAGCTCTTGCTGGGCTTAGCAATACTGTCCTCTCCCCTTTCCCCCTCTGTGCCAGGATGGTAACTGTGTCCCGCACGCCAGTCTCTGTTACTTCAACCCTCCTCACCTTTGTGAGCAATCTCTTTTTCAAATTCTTCTCAGTTAACGTTTTAATTTTTTCTTTTCTTTTCTTTTTTTTTTTTTTTTTTTTTTTTGAGACGGGAGTCCCTCTCTGTCGCCTGGGCTAGAGGCAGTGGTGCGATCTTGGCTCACTGCAACCTCCGCCCCCAGGTTCAAGCGATACTCCTGCCTCAGCCTCCTGAGTAGCTGGGACCACAGGCGCGAGCCACCACACCCGGCTAATTTTTATATTTTTAGTAGAGACGGAGTTTCTCCCTTTTGGGCAGGCTGGCCTTGAACTCCTGACCTCAAGTGATCCACCCACTTCAGCCTCCCAAAGTGCTGGGATTACAGGCGTGAGCCACTGTGCCCAGACCTCAGTTACCTTTGAGCAGGCCAGCTCTTCCCTGCTGAGACCCTTAGCTGGTACCTCATCCTCTGTGAAGTTCACCTCCCCTCAGCACTTGTTACCCCTCTACCTTACTGCAGTTTCTCTTTTGTTACTTATCAGACTTCCTATGAGTGTGTGTAGTTGATTGTCTGCCTTTCCCACCGTGGTATAAACTTCAGGGCAGGGATTTTTACCTGTTTGCCGATTATCTTTGGTACCTCAACAGAACTTGGCATGTGATGGGGGTCTCTCTCTCCTCTCTCTCGCCGTCTCTCTTTCTCTCTGTGTGTGATGAATGAGTGAGTGAAATGAATGACCTACTTATCTAGCTTAAATTTATACCTTATATCTCTCAAACTCAGGGAGAAACAATAAATTTCTGTCAAGTTAGTAAATTTAACGAGTGTACAAGTCAAAGAGACCTTTTAGAGACATGAAATAGGGAAGAAACCATCAGAACTGTGGCATATTTTGCATTCTTTTGCCAAGAGGGTTTCCACAGTTAATGCCACTGATTTTTATATCCTACTCCTCTCCCCTGAATTCTGTTTTATTTTCTGAGGCAAATCTTTGAGTAATTCTTTCATTGGGGGTCTGTGAGTAGAAGAATTTCTACCTTATCTAAATCTTTATTTCACCCTCACTGGGTTATAGTTATCTTCCACTAGCATTTTGAAGATGCAATTGCAATTTATTCTGACTTCTGATATTTTCTTTTTTCTTTTTGAGACAGAGTTTTGCTGTTGCTCAGGCTGGAGTACAGTGGCGCAATCTTGGCTCACTGCAACCTCTGCCTCCCAGGTTCAAGTGATTCTCCTGCCTCAGCCTCCTGAGTAGCTGGGATTACAGGTGCACCTGCCACCATGCCTGGCTAATTTTTTAAATTTTATTTTAATTTATTTTAATTTTTTATTTTTTAGTAGAGACAGGGTTTCACCACATTGGCCAGGCTGGTCTCGAACTCCTGACCTCAGGTGATCCACCTGCCTCAGTCTCCCAAAGTGCTGGAATTACAGGCAATCTCTCGTTTTTTTTTTTCCCTGTCCCCCAAGTCCCCTTTTGTTACTGCAAAGATTTTTCACTTTGTTTTTGGTATTCTGCAGTTTTATTCTGTCTCTGGGTTTGGATTTTGTTGTTCTATAGCTTGCTTGAAACTCTGTTCTTTAATTCAAGGACTCATTTATTATCTTTCTTTAAGTTAGAAAAGTTCTTAGCTATTATCTCTTCCAATTTTACTTCATCATTCTTTATATTCTCTCCTGCCAGAACTCTTAATAGACATATGTTGAGCCTTCTCGTTCTATCCTCCTACCTCATTTCTTATTCCATTTCTTTCTGTTGCATTCTGAGTACTTTTCTTAGTTCTATTTTCTAGCTTTAGTTTCTTTCTCAATTTAGTCAGTTTTTCTGCTTAATCTTTTGACTTTCTACTTTCTAATCTTAGTGACTGTATTTTATAATTCTAGAAATTTTAGTTGGTGGTTTTAAAAATTTGTTATTTTTCCCCATAGTGACATGTTCTTTTATATTACATGCATTTCTAATTTTATCTCTAATAACTTCAGACATATGAATTTAAAGCATTTTTTTCAGAATGTTTTTATACCTCAAGTTGTTGCACAGCTAAGTCTTTTGTTTCTTCTGCTGAATGTCCATCACAATGGATTGTAACTTTATGGACAGCTCATCTTCAGTAGAGCTTGTGGGTTTTTTTGTTTGTTGTGTTTTATTTTGTTTTTGTTTTTCCTGCTTCTTGGGTTTGGAGGTGTCCATATAGAGTAGTTTTGTGTGTGTCGCTGTTGAGGCTGTAAAGGTTTCTCTGCTTCTGGGCTACTAGTTTTAAATTTGGATTTCATATCTAGGCATGCTACAAGCTAGGGGCTTCAGTTTCTCAGGTTTCCCACCCAGAGCTTAGGCAAGAAAGTGTCCTTCTTCCCTGCATCCCTGAGCACAAGGGCAGTTTTCTACTCCCACTGTCACTAGGGGTCTGCCCCTTTACTAGACCTTACCCACTTGATTTGGGAGGCCAAAGCCACATACCTCCATTCATGTAGCTGTAAAGCCTCATCTATTTTGTTGTTGTTGTTGTGTTTTGTTTTATTTATTTATTATTTATTTATTTTTTGGAGACAGAGCCTCGCTCTGTTGCCCAGGCTGGAGTGCAGTGGCACCATCTCAGCTCACTGCAACCTCCGCCTGCCGGGTTCAAGCGATTCTCCTGTCTCAGCCTCCCAATTAGCTGGGACTACAAGCACACACTGCCACGTCTGGGTAATACTTTTGTATTTTTAGTAAAGACAGGGTTTTATCGTGTCGCCCAGGCTGGTTTTGAACTCCTGAGCTCAGGCAATCCACCTGCCTCAGCCTCCCAAAGTGCTGGGATTACAGGCGTGAGCCACTATGCCTGGCCAGGCTCATCTGTTAATCTTCTGGATGTATGTTCTGTCTGACACCCACCTCTATCCTTGACCTTCCTACCAGGCATCACTGGTTAGGCCTGTTGCATCAGCCTTGCCTTTTGTTTGTTTCTTTCTTTCTAGCATATCTGGGATTTTATTCTTTCAAACTCTGCACTACATTATTTTACTGTTTTATTCGGTGTCTTTATGGATTGTGATTGGAGAGATGGTCCCATCAGCCTAGTCTGCTAGGTACCACCAGTGTCCCATGCTCTTTCTAATATAAAACATGTCAATACTCTACAATTTATATTATCTAGTATAAAGCAAACACATATAGCCTTTTTTTGTACATTGTCCTGTGTATTTGACGTATAGATAGTCCCTAACTTACAATGGTTCAACTTATGATTTTTCAACTTTACAATAGTGTGAAAGTGACATTTTCAGTTTATGATGGGTTTATTGGGATATAACCATACTGTAAGTTGCGGAGCATCTATATTAACTTATTTGTGCCTGGTAACAGCCCTATGCAGTATATACAACTATTCTTTCCATTTTACAGGTAAGTTGACTGAGGCACAGGGAGCCTATATAACTTACTTAAGGTCACAGAGCTTGTAAAAACCAGAGTTAGCATTTGGCCCTGGGCAGCCTGGCTCCAGGGTGTGTTCTTAACCAATAAACAGGCTGGCATGGTGGCTCATGCCTGTAATCCGAGCACTTTGGGAGGCTGAGGCGGCAGATCACCTGAGGTCAGGAGTTCGAGACCAGCCTGCCCAACATGGCGAAACCCTGTCTCTACTAAAAAATACAAAAATTAGCCGAATGTTGTGGCGTGTGCCTGTAATCCCAGCTACTCGATCCTGAGGCAGGAGAATTGCTTGAACCCGGGAGGTGGGGGTTACAGTGAGCCAAGATCATGCCATTGCATTGCAGCCTGGGTGACAGAGCCCAACTCCATCTCAAAAAAAAAAAAAAAAAAAAACAGGAAAAAACAATAAACAGTCTGGAATGAATATCAAAAATTCAGTGTTGACCCCTGAACATTTGATCTAGGAATAGGAGGAACAGGAGAAGTTTTTCAGATTTATAACCAGATCTACAATGTAAGGTAGAATTTGTTGAGGACAATTACATTAGCTTGGCTGTTGTAGTTAAGATAGTGTTTAAATCTTCATTGTCTTCTACTCAGAAGTTCAAGGGTAGAGGGGGATTGATGTAGAGCAGGAGTTTCCTTTCCACAAAAAAGAAATCCCCCTTTTTTGCTGTTGTTCTTTTCCTTCTCTTTTCTTGTCCTCATTCTTTCTGTTCTTCATCCCTAAAAATACATCATCAATTCACTCAATTTCCCAAGACCAAACTTTGGAGTCATTGTTCTTCCTCTTTCTCCAAATATATTTTGTTGATCAGTTCTCCCATTCAAGTACTAACCAGGCTTGACTCTGCTTAGCTTCCGAGATTAGCTGAGATTGGGTGTGTTCAGGCTATAGATAGTCCTGTCTCTTAATATCACTTTACTTTGTTTCTCTTCCTATGTCCCCCTACCATTATGCTAAAATAGGCCATAGCCATCTTTCCCATTGATTACCACAACTTCTTGGCTGGACACACTGCCTCCACAATTTTTTTTTTTTTTTTTGAGACAGTCTTGCTCTGTCACCCAGGCTGGAGTGCAATGGCCGATCTCGGCTCACTGCAACCTCCGCCTTCCAGGTTTAAGTGATTCTCCTGCCCCAGCTTCCCAAGTAGCTGGGATTACAGGCGTGTGCCACCATGCCCAGCTAATTTTTGTATTTTTAGTAGAGACAGGGTTTCACCATGTTGGCCAGGCTAGTCTCGAACTTCTGACCTCAGGTGATCTGCCTGCCTTGGCCTCCCAAAGTGCTGGGATTACAGGCGTGAGCCACTGCACCCAGTCCTGCCTCCACTCTTATATTCCTTCATTTACCTCCATGGAATATTCCACAGAATAGTTAGATGCTTCTGAAACACCAATTGGAATGGTCACAGCCTTAACAGAAGCATTCAGTGCCTTAGGGTATAATCTAAACTCTAAGTTGACTGACTTTATGACCTGTGTGTCTACTCACTTCAGCTGCTTCCTCTCTTAACTATTCCTTCCTTCCTTCTACACTCTGTGCAGCAACAGTGACCTTTTCTCATGCATTTGGGTCTTAGCGTATGTTGTTTCCAAGGTATGAAATCGCTTTTTCTCATCTTTTACATGTAGTTTCCAGAAACTCCTCCTTGACTTCTCTAAGACTATGTTCTTATGTGTTTTCAGATCACCCTGCACTTTGTCTACCATAGCACTAGCCACTCTTTAATGTAATGCTTCCTGTTTCCATTTCTCTCTCTGGGCAGGCCCAGCCTCCTCAGGTGTTAGAAGGGACAGAAAGAGCAAGCAAAGGTACAGGCCACAACAGTTGCCCCTATTCAGGCCTGTCGTACAGGGCACTGGAGAGTGAGCTTCTGTCTTTGGTCCAAGCTTTCTTTCAGGCAGCAAGGTTGAAGAATCCAATAGGTGAGACAGTGTGGCTATGAGACTACGTGATTTATTGCTCACTTTTACTTCTGCCAAAGTCTATTTTATTTTATTTTATTTTATTTTATTTTATTTTATTTTATTTTTGAGACAGAGTCTCTCTCTGTTGCCCAGGCTGGAGTGCAGTGGCACGATCTCGGCTCACTACAACCTCTGCCTCCTGGTTCAAGCGATTCTCCTGCCTCAGCCTCCCGGGTAGCTGGGATTACAGGCAAGTACCACCTCGCCCAGCTAATTTTTGTATTTTTAGTAGAGACAGGGTTTCACCATGTTGGCCAGGTTGGTCTGGAACTCCTGATCTCAGGTGATCTGCCTGCCTTGGCCTCCCAAAGTGCTGGGATTGCAGGTGTGAGCCACCATGCCTGGCCTACTTCTGCCAAAGTCTAGAAGACAGGCAAGCATCATACCCTGAAGCTCTCTCAAGCACTCAGAATGGATAAACTCTCTTATGTCATCCAGTTCTGCACCTTATTCTTTGTGGCACAGACCTTTCCAAGACTCCTCTCTTGACCTTGGCCATAGGTGGCCCTTTCTAGATCATATGTGGCTCAACCCTAGTTACCATTTACTTCATTGACTCCGTTTTTCTCATAAGGACTTACCATAAGGTGGGGAACCCATTGGACAATTCAATCAGAAGTGATGCAAACCCAGTTATACCCTTTGATGAAGATTTCCTCAGTTTGATTAAAATTAACTTCCTTATTGCCTCACTTCATTCTCTTTTGCAAGAGAGTACAAAACACATTCTGTAGTTCTGCTGGCTTCTCTCCTGTTTTGTTTGACTCCAGGTCTTTGTGACTTGTACTCTTTTCTAAATTTTTAAATGTAATTCATTTTATTTTTTCCAAATAATAATATCCTTCTCCTCTTACTCTTCTAAAGTCTCCCTTTGATCAGTATTATTCTTTCAATAGTAATTGTTTTATTTTCCATTTTCCTTGCTAGACAGCAAGCTCTGTAAAAACAAAGACTGTCTGTCCAACTTACCCCTTTTTCTCCAGCACTTAGCTGGTGCCTGCCACGTGGCTGCCACTCCATAACTGGCAGATGAAAACCTCTCACCTTGCTAGAGTTCTCATTGATCATAATTCTGAAACTATCTTCCCTCAGGACTAGTATATTTGGCACTCTATTTTAGAAGTGCTTATTGGGTTTATATTTAGCAATACAAAAATGTTCCTTGTTCTTTAAGATCCAACTCAAGTGCAACATCTTTTCATCAAACTATGGATTATTCTAGTCCATAATGACAATGCTCTTCTCTGAAATTTTAATATTTTTTAAAAGTATGCACAACTTGCTAGTTATGTCTCACAACATCCCTGATATTATCTTTTTATTATTCATTTAATACATGCCACTTTGAGCTATATATTTTATATCCTCCAGTGCAATGAATATAAATTATATAGATGTAGATATATAGATTAAATGGTCAGAGGTACTTCTTCAGTGGATGATTGTATTCAAGGTAGTCATTTTAATTTGAACAAAAAATAGATTTCTATTTTTATGTCTTTCAGCATGACCTCTTTTGATATTTTTCAAGTTATAGTTTTATGGAGTAGTTTTTAGAAGGTTAGTTGATTTTTATGTGCAAACATTTTTTCCCTGTTTTGAAAAGAGAGTACTGATTTTCATTGAAGCATTTATATAATTCCAATCTGATATGAAAGTCCATTTTGTTTATTTATTTTTTGAGACAGAGTCTTGCTCTGTCACCCAGGCTGGAGTGCAGTGGCGCGATCTTGGCTCACTGCAGCCTCTGCCTCCTGGGTTCAAGTGATTCTCTTGCCTCAGCCTCCTGGGTAGCTGGGATTACAGGCACACGCCATGATGGCCGGCTAATTTTTGTATTTGTAGTGGAGATGGGGTTTCACCATGTTAGCCAGGCTGGTCTCGAATTCCTGACCTCAGGTGATCTGCACGCCTCGGCCTCCCAAAGTGCTGGGATTACAGGTATCAACCACCGCGCCCAGCCTTGAAAGTCCATTTTAAAATGGACTTCAATCATTTAGGTTAGATCAGGTCTTTCATGTATATAGTCATTATGTATTGCATTTTTTTACACCACAAAAGATAAATCATCCCATTTTGTTATTTTCTGTATTTTCTCTGATCTTTAGCTTTGTCACTAGATTTTGTAGTTTTTGGACTATTTAGTCTCTCTCCTGTTTGTGTTTAATTATTAAAAAAAGCCACATACATATTCAAGGTAGCACCATTACCAGAAGGGTAAGGATGGGGAAATAAAATGCCTTCATCCAGTTTTTTTCTTTTAAATACTTGTCCCAAATGATGGAAATATTTCAGTTAAATGTTGAAAAACAGGCAAAATATATTTTCTTGTGCCACAAGTAAAAAACAAAATGTAGTTAAAAATTACTTATTTCTCAATCTGCCCTAATCAACCAACCTATAGTAATATAAATGAAAAAGTTTTCATTTCACATTTTTAAACTAAAGGACCATAATTCTTTTAAGGTAAAATATAATAAGTGAAGCCATTTGGATTCAGATTATATTTTATATTAAAAGAATTATGGTAGCAAGATGTGGAATAAGATATTTTATTAGTTTCCTTATTCATTTAATAAATATTTGAGAGGTTTTATTTTGGCAAAGCTTGGTGTTTGGATGGGGGTAAGGAGGTTTAGAGTTTACAGAGGGTCACAGAGAGACAACATACATTCAATGCCTCATGCCCCTATAACAAGTGGGTGTGGCCGCTGTTGGAGTCCAGGAGCAGCTGCTGTCATGTCCCATGGTGATATTTTGTCGTCGTTGTTGTTTTTAGAGACAGGGTCTTTCTCTGTCGCACAGGCTGAAGTGCAGTGGTGTGGTCATAGCTCATTGCAACCTTGAACTCAAGTGATCCTCCTGCCTTGGCCTCCCAAAGTGTTGGCATTACAGGCATGAGCCACTGCACCCATTCTCCACAGTGATATTTAAGGAAGGCTTCCTGGGGGAGGATGGCATTTGAACTAGGCCTTGAAAGAAAATAGTTTTTTTTGTCAAGTAGGGAAACTTCTGAATATGGATAATTATTGTTTCCAATATTCAAGTAACATGTCAATATTCAGCATTCAACATCCAATATTCACCAATATTTTGAAGACTGTTTTTAGGTAAACAAACATTTCCAGGAGAACAATCTGGCTGAAACAAATTTAGTTTATTGAGCATCTTAAATGTTAGGCTAAGGAAATGTGGACTTTTTTTTTTTTACACTAGGATAACAGTGGAGGTTGTCTGTACAAGGGATTAATTTGTTCACATAAAGAAACAAGTGTTTTCCCACTATTTTAAAAACTTACCCAATTAAAAATTGTTCAGCGTAATCATGAAAAATGACAGATTGTGAGCTTTTTATGTCTCTAAAGTTAAGCTTTTCCAATATGATCTTCTCACAGCTTTCATGACTTTAAAAACGTTTTTAGTACGAAAAATAACTTTTTTCCTGAAAATCAACAGCATCAGATTCTTACAGCAGGCCAAATAAGGCAACATACTGGCCTTTTTGCGTTTATTCATGACAGTTTAGTCTCTAAATATTAACCAGCTAAAACGTATTTGCAGTGATTCCCAGTTGGTCACTTTTCTAGAAGCTTAGCAATTTTAATTTTTTTTTTATGTAACATTATGTAAACATAATTCTATAAGAAGCATGCCAGTGTGAGTTGAATGGACCCTGATGTGCTACACTGCAGTGTGGCATACGGCAAGGTTCGGCAATTCTTAAACTGTTCCGCTGTGGAAGTTCATTTCAAAAATCTTGTTTTAACATTAGCTTGTCAAAGAAATGAAGTAACATTTGACTCTTTTGGACAAAAGAATTCGACGCTCTCTCAATGGTGGATTCTTATGAAAACTTCTTTATATATATATATACACACACATATATATATATTTGGAATATTTTTTGAAACCTTGCAGAACCAGTATTTTCAAACACTTGTAAGTATTCCTAAGCATGTATTTGGACCATTAATGTTGCTTCATGGTAACAAGTATCTAAAGTTTATGAAATATCTAAAACAGACAAAAACAGGATGATTAAGCTTATGATGGTATTAATAAAAGAACTATATCTATGAATGGTTATGCTTCTATCTTCCTGCCATTTATGCCCTGAAAGTGGAAAATTACTAGATTACTCAGAAAATTTATGGAAGGGATAGGCTGTGTCTGTTTCTCCTGGTACATCTCCTCAGTCCTCGGTCCACAGTTCGTGTTGAGACATCTGTTCAGGCACTATTTAAGTCATATGGCACCTAGCATATGGTAGTCTCTTTTGCTATTTAGCAACTAAGTAGAGAATAAATCTTCACAATGTGTATCAGAGGTTCAAAATGAAAAATAAAGTCTGTAAAGTCAAATTTGTTTTAGAATATGGTAGTTTTCAATTAGTTGGGCTTTATTAAAGAAGCTAACAAGAGAAAACTATTCTGTAAGATGTATTTTGTAAGATGTAAACTGTGGTAAAATATAATTTGGCCTTCATATCCATATGTGTGTGTGTGTGTGTCTGTGTGTGTGTGTATATATATACATATATATATATATATATATATTTTTTTTTTTTTTTTTTGAGATGGAGTCTTGCTCTGTCTCCCAGGCTGGAGTGCTGTGGTGCCATCTCCGCTTACTGCAACCTCCACGTCCCAGGTTGAAGTGATTCTCCTGCCTCAGTCTCCCGAGTAGCTGGGATTACAGGCGCCAGCCACCATGCCCAGCTAATTTTTGTATTTTTAGTAGAGATGGGGTTTCACCATGTTGGCCATACTGGTCTTGAACAGTAGTATAGAAAACTTGAACTCCTGGGCTCAAGCAGTCCTCCTGCCTCAGCCTCCCAAGTAGCTGAGACTACAGGTGCACACCACCATGCCCAGCTAATTTTTAAATTTTTTGTAGAGATGAAGTCTTGCTTTTTTGCTCAGGCTGGTCTTGAACTCCTGGCCTCAAGTGATCCTTTTACCTTGGCCTCTCAAAGTGCGAGGATTACACACATAAGCCACCATGCCTCGCCCTAGCTGTAATCTTGTGTCTTTTAACAAATCTTGTTCTGTCCCGACCTTTTAGTTATTTTTTGATGAAAAGACTTCTTAAATGTTAAGATTTTTATTTGATGGAAGGGACAGATTTAAAGGATCTTAACGTCTAATTAACAAAATATCAGAAACCATTTCAACTAAGTGCATTTCTTTTGCATTAATCTGGACATAATATTTTACTTGTTTTTAAGTGATATATATGCACTTTGCACCTTCCTCTTGTCAATATTTTGTTTTTGTTTTTGTTTTTTATTTTTAATGAGTAAATGGGTTAAGATTTTCTTTAGAGGACCAGGGCAGATACTGATACTACCATTTCTTTATTGCCAACTTAAACATATACTCAATGGTACTGGACCTTCATAGGAACACATTTTTGAGAGTGAAAAGACCTACTTATGCCAAACAGTGGTCCAAATAGGAAGTAGAGTTAATGCTGTTTTCAGATATGTTAGCCACCATGATAACTACAGAATAATTTTTTTTATTACTTGCTTTTGAATAAAATTACTTATCTACAAAGGAAATTTTAATGTTTTATAAGGAGTGCTATCAGTCCTTCTTGTCAGCTGTTTTTCTTAAACATTACCCTGTTGTTTAATTCCTGTAAACTTTTTTTTTTGTCTTGGTGATTCTTGTAGGGCAGTGCTCCCCAACTTTTTTGGCACCAGGGACTGGTTTTGTGGAAGACAGTTTTTCCATGGACTCGGGGGTAGGGTTGGGAGTGGGGGGTGGGGAGATGGTTTCAGGCTCAAACTGTTCTACCTCAGATCATCAGGCATTAGATTCTCATAAGGAGCCCGCAACCTAAATCCCTCATATACACAGTTCGCAATAGGGTTCGTGCTCTCGTGAGAATCTAATGCTGCCACTGATCTGACACAAGGCAGAGCTCAGGTGGTAATGCTCACTCACCCTCCACTCACCTCTTGCTGTGTGGCCAGGTTCCTAACAGGACCACAGACCAGTACCAGTCTGCAGCCCGGGTCTGGGGACTCCTGTTGTAGGGTATAGACCTTTCTAGGAGAAGGCTCCATTCTTTCTTTTTCTGTACCAATTTATGTGCCCTAAATAAAGCGTGTGCTTAAATAATGATGCCCAAGAAACATGAGGCTGGGTGCAGTGGCTCACGCCTGTAATCCCAGCACTTTGCAAGGCCGAGGTGGGCGGATCACCTGAGGTCAGGAGTTTGAGACCAGCCTGGCCAACGTTGTGAAACCCCATCTCTACTGAAAATACAAAAAAAATTAGCCAGGCATGATAGCGTGTGCCTGTAGTCCCATCTACTCGGGAGGCTGAGGCAGGAAAATCTCTTGAACCCGGGAGGTGAAGGTTACAATAAGCCGAGATTACTCCACTGCACTCCAGCCTGGGCCACAGAGTGAGACTGTGTCTCAAAATAAAAAATAAAAAAAAAAAGCCGGGCGCGGTGACTCACGCCTGTAATCCCAGCACTTTGGGAGGCCAAGGTGGGCAGATCATGAGGTCAGGAGTTTGAGGCCAGCCTGGCCAATATGGTGAATCCCCGTCTCTACTAAAAATACAAAAATTAGCTGGGCGTGGTGGTGTGCGCCTGTAGTCCCAGCTACTTGGGAGGCTGAGGCAGAAGAATTGCTTGAATCTGGGAAGCAGAGGTTGCAGTGAGCCAAGATTGCACCACTGCACTCCAGCCTAGGCAACAGAGCAGACTCCGTCTCAAGAAAACAAAAAAAAAGAAAAGAAACATGATATGTTTTGCTTAAGATAGCTAGATGGAAAGATGAGGTTAATAGATATGAG
Organism: Homo sapiens; assembly: GCF_000001405.40. Lineage (NCBI taxonomy): Eukaryota > Metazoa > Chordata > Mammalia > Primates > Hominidae > Homo > Homo sapiens. Next base: position 24,281,022 of record NC_000018.10, on the reverse strand, counting down.
AGTATTTTTGTGGTCTTAGTTTACCTTAAGATTCCTTAAAATCCGACTCACTGTATTTATTTTTTTCTTTATAGAAATGCTTCCATCATTTCTTCAGAAAGTTGAAGTTGTCTCAGAAGCTTCTAGAGAAACTTGTGTAGCTTTGACTGATTGCCTTAATCTCTTCACCAAACAAGAAGGGGTAGGTAGTTCAGAATTGAATTTGTAAAATAATTGTTTGGATGTTGCATGCGTGGTTGTCCATGAAGTCATTGCTTTCAAATTGTTCAAAGGTAGGAAAAAATTAGTATTAACAAAGGAAAGCTTCATTTGTCACAAAAATTTAGAACTTATTTATTATTGATTAAGCAGGATGAAATAACTTGTGTTCATATCTTTTGAATTTGTTGATGTAGCCATATTTAATAAGTATACTTAAAATTGATCTACTCAGGATTGTTATGACACTTCAATAAGAGAGATGTGAAAATATTCTAGAAACAGAAGGTCTTTACATTAAAAATACTTTTATTTAGAAAATAGAGTACTATCATACTTATCTATGTAAACTAAGCCCAATGGATTAAATATTTTTTGTGTTCTTTCCCCTCACTCTCTTACCCTTCAACAGTTTGCCATTTGCTTTTCTAAATATGAGTAAGGGCTGAGCATGGTGGATCATGCCTGTAATTCCAGCATTTTGGGAGGCTGAGGCGGGCAGATCACCTGAAGTCAGGAGTTCGAAACCAGCCTGTCCAACATGCTGAAACCCCGTCTCTACCAAAAAATACAAAAATTAGGCCAGGCGTGGTGGCTCACGCCTATAATCCCAGCGCTTTGGGAGGCTAAGGTGGGCAATCACTTGAGGTCAGGAGTTCGAGACCAGTCTGGCCAACATGATGAAACCCCATCTCTACTAAAAATACAAAAATTAGCCAGGCGTGGTGGCGCACACCTGCAATCCAGCTACTTGGGAGGCTGAGGCAAGAGAATCACTTGAGCCTGGGAGGCAGAGGTTGCAGTAAGCCGATATTGCACCACTGCACTCCAGCCTGGGTGATGGAGTAGACTCTGTCTCAAAAAAAAATCAGCCAGAGAATCACTTGAACCCGGGAGGCAGAGGCTGCAGTGAGCCAAGATTGCACTACTGTACTCCAGCCTGAGTGACAGAGCGAGACCCTGTTTCCAAAAAAGAAAAGAAAAGAAAAGCAAACCAAATATGAGTAAGAGTGGTATGCTGAGCTATCAGTGATTCATTTTCAAAGGATTGAAAAGTTACAAAGATGTGTTTTGGTTGCCAGAATTAGGATTTTTCTTGTTTTGCTGTTTTTCCCCTAATTTTTATGATTTCAATGTAAGTCAAGGTCACTAGGCTTTCTTTTCCATTTTGTTAATTTATATATATATGTCTAATCTTCAATATTTTAGATTAAGATACCAAATTTCTTATTCTTGTTTTAGTTTACTTGTACCTTTTGGTTAGAGATTAGGTTTTGGTAAAAGAAGATAGATGAAATTGCTTTTATATATTTTCCTCTAATACGTAAAAATCTAACAATTTATTTTCTCATGACTAGAAAGGGATCCTTATGAATTCATATACAATTTTTTTTTTGAGACAGGGTCTCACTCTGTTGCCCAGGCTGGAGTACAGTAGCGCAGTCATGGCTCACTGCAGCCTCAGCCTCCTGGGCTCAAGTGATCCTCCCACCTCAGCCTCACAAGTAGCTGGGACTACTGGCATGCACCATGATGCCCAGCTAATTTTTGATTTTTTTTTTTTTTTTTTTTTTAAAGAAATGGGCCTTTGTATGTTGCCCAGGTTGGTCCTGAACTCCTAGATGCAAGCCATCTGCCCGACTCGGCCTCCCAAAGTGCTGGGATTACAGGCACGAGCCTCCATGGCGAGCATATACACATTTTTAAATGCTGTGTTTGCTATATGTAGCACCAATTCTACATATTAATTTATTTGGAGAATAAGACAAATATGGAAATAAAAATCATTTAAAACAAACTTACCAAAAGTCTTTTAATAGAATTATATTAACTATCACAGGAAAACATAATTGTTCATTAAACATTTCAAATGGTTGATTTTTTAATACTGTTTGAAAATATCCCTCCTCAGCACTTCTATTTTTGGTGGTTTGCAAATTTCATGTGTAAGTTTATTTAAATAACAGATGATTTAGTGTTCTAAATAAATCTGAACAGGATGATTGCATTCAGAATATCTTTGAAATTAATAAAATATGATGTCATAGGATTCATGAAATATTTAGTACCTTGTAAAACCGCATTTCACTCATGTCTCTTATGTGGTACCTGATGGATGTATCGATAGCTTTCTTGTTCCAGAGATATATGGTTTTAAGGCTGAACATTAGATTGGAAGTAACGTGTTATGTTGGTTCATGTTTAATTTCTGAAGCAATCAACCTATTCTAATTTTTAAACTATCTGCTTAAAAAATAACCTAATTCTTTAGGTTATTTAGATGTGCAAGAGTGTTAGCCTAAAGTTTAGGCTAATTGACCTCTTTTAGCCTCTTAAATTTATCATGAGGATTAAATAAGATAATGTAAGCAAAATACTTAGCATAGTACCAGACACATAGTAAGCCCTGAATAAAAGTTAACAGTTATTGTAAGATCTTAACTAATTAACATTTGTAGCCTCTCTTTTCTGATAGTATCTTGGAGCTTTTATGTGTGTAACAGTGGATTTATTTTGTTTTGGGAGGAAGTAGCATTGTCTAAAGAACTTTTATTTGACCACTATCATTGGAATGATCGTGTTGTGTTTCCATTCTTGTTGTTTAAATGACAAGGCTACTTCACTTCTCTGAACCTTGTTGTCTTCATCTTTTGAATAAGGGAAACCATATAGCAAGCTTTTAGAAGCACTGGTCTGAAAGTCTGGTGGACCCGTTTTTAATCTCAGTCTTTCTCTAACTTTTCTCCAACTGTGGGACAAGTTTCTGTAAAATGAAAATAAACACCTCAGAGTTGGGTGTGGGCATCAACTATATGTAGATGAATGTTACATATATAGAGTATGTTAGCATACTGCGTGGAACACAGTATTCTGTTTAGTAACTAGCATTTAATGTTTCAAACTTTTGGAATGTATTGAAGGTATCTTCTGAGTAATTATATGAAATTATCAACTCCATGAAACACTTAGAATCCATAGATTTCCTTCTCAACAATAAGATAAACAGTGAGAAGGCACTGCAAAATATTTGAAAGGTAAGTGGCATTTCTAAAGTTAGTCTTTCAAATGCATAAGGATTACAACATAGGAATTTAACAGCGTAATCGAGGTCAGAGTGGTGTAATTATGTGCTGTAATACCTTTTTTATCTGGCATTATAAATTACATGTCTATTATCTGGAAATTTTATTAAAAGAGCAGGCATAAAGCTTTGAAGACCTACAGACCTGGCTCTAATTCCTAGCTCTGCTATTTGCTCTCTTTGACTCAGTTTTAAAATACAATCTCCTATTTAAAATGGTGACCACCCAAAAGGGATTGTTTTAAAGAGTAAATGCGATCATATTGGTAAAACACCTCTGTAGGGACTGGCACGAAACAGGGATCCAGTAGATGTAAGTGACCCCAGCCCCCACAGCAGCAACGCTGTTTTTATTCTAGTCTTTTTTGATGGCAGTTATTCTAAATGTTCCACATTTACTTCTTAACCTAAAACTTTAAAACTTAATTTTATGTTTATTTCTTTTCTTTTTTTTTTACAAGCCCTTGTCAGACCATAATTTTATGTTTTCTAGGTGTCTCAAGATTGGCCTTTTGTATGTCAATAATTATTCTGTGCCTTAATACAGAGATGCCCTCAGGGGATAATGTTTATGTGAGTCTGTGTTTTTCTACCAAATGGCCTGGTCCTGCCAATGCTTTCTGGACTCTTGTTTGCTCTTTATAGGTTTTTAAAAATTACCTCTCTTGATTTTTCAAATTAACTGTGTACCTGCCTCTAGCAGTGGAATACTGATGCCTCTGATTTACTCTTTCTAATCTCCTGTTTATTAAAAAGAAAACTAGATAACCAAACTCCATAAAATTATGTCCAGTCAGAGTAAACTGGCTCTCTATGAGAATCTTGGGGGTTTACAGTGTGTGCAGGCTTTCATGCCTTCTATTTCTGTGGTATGTGGGTGTTTTTTGCTTATTTGAGGATGTACTGATATGATCTACATAATCGAGGTTTTCATAGGAGCTATAAATAAATGAGGCATTATTGTAGGAAGATTTTATTTGTAAATAAAACTGCTATGGCCTATGGCTCATGCCTGTAATCCCAGCACTTTGGGAGGCTGAGGGTGGGTGGGGGGTGGATCACCTGAGGTCAGGAGTTCGAGACCAGCCTGGCTAACATGGTGAAACCCCATTTCTACTAAAAATACAAAAAATTAGCCAGGTGTGGTGGCACATGCCTGTAATCCCAGCTACTCGAGAGGCTGAGTGAGGCAGGATAATCCATTGAACCCAGGAGGCGGAGGTTGCAGTGAGCCGAGATCAGGCCATTGGCACTCCAGCTTGGGAAACAAGAGCTCTGTCTCAAAAAAACAAAAAACAAACAAAAAAACTGCTTATGCTGTTGAGAAAATGGCAATATATAAAATACTTTGTAAAGTTGGTGGTTGATCTACTGAAGAAAAACCTAGATGCTGTTTTTAGGGTAGTTTTCTTGGAAACAGTATAACAGAATGTGAGTGCTGGGTCTTTTCTTAGCCTGGTCTGAGAGTTCCATTCAAAATGCCAGAAACTGGTTTCTGGAATTATATTTGTTTCTGTAGTTTTCCTTGCCAGAGGATGCCCTCCTCATTTTGTGTACTATCGAGCTTCCTTGATGTTAGTCATACCAATTTTTCCAAGGTAAGAACTGCCCATTTAAAGTCAGTAGAAGCTCACTTATCAAGTGTTTTATACATATTTCATGTTAAATCTCCTGACTGCTGAAAAGCTGTGACCCAACTGTATGACTGGAATGTCATACAGGCACGGTGGCTCATGCCTGTAATCCCAGCACTTTGGGAGGCTGAGGTGGTGGATCACCTGAGGTTAGGAGTTTGAGACCAATCTGTCCAACATGGTGAAACCTCGTCTCTACTAAAAATACAAAAAATTAGCCAGGCGTGGTGGCAGGCACTTGTAATCCCAGCTACTCGGGAGGCTGAGGCAGGAGAATCGCTTGAACCCAGGAGGCAGAGATTGCAGTAAGCGAGATTGCACCCTTGCCCTCCAGCCTGAGCAACGGAGTGAGACTCCGTCTCAAGAAAAAAAAAAAAAAAGAGAGTGGGACTAATTTTGTGGTATAATGGAAAGATTCAGACCCTACATTGGAACCGTCTGAAGGGTTGGAATTCTGTACTGCTTCTTTGGACTGGACACTGGTATCTTTGAAGAGAGATCATGTGTTCATGTGGACTTACAGCTCTACAAAGTCATGATCTCTTCCATTCATTTCATTTCCTTTGCTGTCGGGCAGTCCTGTAGTCATTTTGTGACCCTGATATCTTTTGTTCCCTAATGTTCTTCACAGCTCTTTTGGGCCTGCACCCGTCTCTGGCCTTCTGTCTCTGTAGTCCCCTCAGATCTCCTTCCACTCTGAGCAGAATTCCTTTGTTAAACATGAGGTAGTCACTGTATATGGCTCCACTCCCTACCACTCTTCACTCCAGTTTTTATCTGCATCTGCTCTTATACTTTCCTCTAGCCTTTTGCTGGAGGCATCTGTCTCCTTCCATTCTGCTTCTCTGGGGACCTTGCTTCAAAAAATAGCTCCTGTCTTTGGAATTCTCTACCCCCTTATTTATAGCTTTTGTCTATCTCCCTGCATCCTTTTCCAATTCCATTTTTGAAAATGTGATACTTTCTGTTTCTACTTCTTAATTTTCAGCAAGTCCACCGAAACTGTTCTTGCCAGTATTTCCTTATTGCTAAATCAAAGGACATTTAAAAATTGTCTTGCTTGTCCTCTGAAGGGCCTGGCATGTGACTACTTCCTGTTTTTTGGAATTGCGCTGTGGCTTCCACAGTGCCGCCTCTTTTGGCTTCTCCTTCCTTTGTAGCAGCTCCCCCTCAGTCACCTTCTTTTTTTTTTTTAATTTTGAGATGGAGTCTTACTCTGTTGCCCAGGCTGGAGTGCAGTGGTGCCATCTTGGCTCACTGCAACCTCAGCCTCCCGGGTTCAAGCGATTCTCCTGCCTCACCCTCCTGAGTAGCTGGGATTACAAGTGCACGCCACCACACCCAGCTAATTTTTTTGTATTTTAGTAGAGATGGGGTTTCACTGTGTTAACCAGGCTGGTCTCAAACTTCTGAACTGAAGTGATACACTCGCCTTGGCCTCCCAGAGTGCTGTGATTACAGGCTTCAGCCACCACGCCTGGCCTCAGCCACCTTCTAAAGCATTTTTTCATCTGCCTATGTATTAAATATTAGTATTACCTAGGTTTCTGCGAGTGACCTTCTCACTCCTCATATTCTCCCTGGATGATGTCACCCATTCTTTTAACTAGAATTCCCTGAGGACTCAGATGTCTCCACCTCAGACTTCTCCTGAGTTCTGATCTAATATATCCAGCTGCCTTTTGAACATTTACATATGCTTATATCAGAAGCATTTCAAAACCAACGTGTCTCAAACTGAGTTATCCATTCAACTCATAGACTTGCCACCCATTCAGTAATTCAGGCCAGGATCATGGGAACTGGCTTTGGTTCATCCTCCTTCTTCCTCCCTATCTTTAATCAAGTCCCGTCAATTTTTTTTTTTTTTTTTTTGTGAAGGAGTCTCGCTCTGTTGCCCAGGCTAGAGTACAGCGACACAGTCTTGGCTCACTGCAACCTCTGCCTCCTGGGTTCCAGCAATTCTCCTGCCTCAGCCTCCTGAGTAGCTGGGATTACAGGCACACACCACCATACCCTGCTAATTTTTGTATTTTTAGTAGAAACGGGGTTTTACCATGTTGGCCAGGCTGGTCTAGAACTCCTGACCTCAAGTGATCTGCCTGCCTCGGCCTCTCAATGTGCTGGGATTATAGGTGTGAGCCACCGTGCCCGGTTCAATTTGGTTTTTTAATATCTTGGTTGCCTATCTCCCTTTATTCTGTCTTCCCTGACTCCAGCATACAGTTCCCCATTGCTGTTCTGTGAGATAAATTCTCAAGGCTGCTCTGTTGGATGACTGTAACCATTTCCTCATACAGGCTCCACCCTTCAAAACTAGGTGAGGTGTCCCTGCTGCTCCATGAGTTCCTGGCTGTCATAGCATTTATCATATTGTATCATTATATATTCACAAACTGGAGCTTCCTAAGGAAGCAACTGTATCTTAGTTATTTTTGTAGCATGGTACTTGGCATGTGGTAGATGGTGAATAAATATTTGAATGAATGAATAATGAATGTACAAAGGAAAAAATTCAGGCTTTGGGATCAGACCAATCTGGATCTAAACTCTGCTACCTCGACCTTGAACAAATGAATATATGTTTAGGAATTCTGTTTCCACATCTGAAATTGAGCGCATATATGTGCTATTTTATGTGAGGTGCTTCAGTACAGTACCTGGCACATTTAGGAGCCATGTAGATTGCCTTTTAAAACAAGAAGGTAATTTGTTGTTCATTGTTTTGCTACCTAGCACTACTTTTATAAACTGAATTCATTCTCTAATTTTCAGGGCCTAGGGAGAGATTCTGTAGCAGGGACTCCTCTTTCCATACATGATTTTTCCAAGTACAGTAACAGTTATTATTCTGAGTGAAAAAAGTAAAAGAAATGAACTGACTTTTCAAAGATGCCATGAGGCTGGGCGTGGTGGCTCACGCCTGTAATCCCAGCACTTTGGGAGGCCAGGGCAGGTGGATCACTTGATGCCAGGAGTTGGAGACCAGCATGACCAACATAGCAAAACCCCCGTCTCTACTAAAAATACAAAAAATTAGCTGGGTTTGGTGGTGCAGGCCTGTAATCCCAGCTACTCAGGAAGCTGGGGCACGAGAATCACTTGAACCCAGGAGGTGGAGGTTGCAGTGAGCTGAGATTGTGCCACTACACTCCAGCCTGGGCGACAGAGCAAGACTCTGTCTCCAAATAAATAAATTAATTAATTAATACAATAAAATAACAATGAAAACAAAGATGCCATGAAACCTCACTGACATTCATTCCCAATTTTCCCAGCATGGCCTGGAATGGTCTTTAACACATTCTAGGTCTGTAGTGCAATTACAGCTACCACCAACTTCAATGGGACTTAAAGTACCTAGGATCTTGTGAAAGAAATATTTAATTTTGTTCATTTTTACTCTGAACTCACTAAAGTATGAGGACAGAGTTAAACACTTTAGTAAGGTGAAAGGTTTGAAACATGTTGAAACAAAAAGATTTCTTTCCCTCCATCAGAGTGTTACAGTTAACCATAAATTTCATTAACCTGAACATCCCACTTAAGTGTGGTATTTGGGTGGTGGGTTTTCCTGTCCTCTGAACCTTTGCCCTTCAAGCCTGGCTGGAATAATTTTACCTAAGTAGGTTTCACGGTAGTAGGATTAATACCGTTGTTTTCCTTGTTGCTCAGTGTCCCAACTAGGGTATAAACAATAAATATGTGAAGACTGCCTTTCAGTCTTGGTTTTGGAACCGTAAACGCGAACGCTTCAGCGTGAGCCGGAGTAAGTGACAGGCAGGACTGGAGAGAAGATTCCTTTGCTTTCCAGAGTTTCCCAAGGGGCGGGTTGGTTAAAAAAAAAAAAAAAGAAAAAAGAAAAAAAAAAAGTTGCCAGGGCCGGTGTCTCCAGGAGAGGGCCGAGCGCACAGCAGCTCTAGGACCTCGCAGGCGCCTCGGCGCGGCACTCACGTAGAGCCCAAGGAGCAGTCCCCGACCTCTCCTCGGAGGGCCGTGCAGGCTTCCCCGGCGGTCCCTACCTGCGCCTCCGCCCGCCAGCGGCGCTGGGGAAGGGGAGGAGCGGCCCGGACGCTGCCCGCCGCGCGCAGGGAGCCGCCCGCCGCAGGCCTTGCCGCCGCCCGCCCGCGCTCTCCCCGCGAGCCCCGGAGGGCGGGTCTGCGGCCGAGCCAGCGGCGGCGGAGGGGCAGCGCAGACCTCTGCGGCCCGGGCGGGCGCGGCGCGGGAGTCCTGGGCCGCTGGCGGGCAACGCCTCTGCCCGACCTCGCTGGGGAAGGCTGGCGCTGCTGCCCGGCCGGAGCCAGGGGCAGGCTGCGCAAAGGTGACTTAGGGAGACCTTGCGGGCCGCCCTGGGTCGCGCCTCCCGGATCGGCTCGCCTCGGCTCGACTGGAGGGGAGGAGGAGGAGCAGGCCGAGCGCATTCGCGCTGGAGCTTGCGAGGAGCGCAGGGTGGAGCGCGCCAGCCGGGGTCCTCGGATCTGGCCCAGGTAGGTGGGTGTATTTGCAGCTCGGTGGCTTTGCGGGGCAGCCTGGGGCCACGGAGGACGCCGGGGGACGGAGCGGGGAGGGCGGCCAGACTTGATCCAGGGATGTGAGTAGATCCAAGAATAGTTGGACGTGTGTGTGCAGAGTGGGGTGCAGCCGCGGGCGCGTGGGGAGGGGCGCACCAGCCGGGAGACCCTGCTCTCTTCCCAGTGCGGGTCTCCCTGCCGTGGGGTTCCTGCAGGAAGAGCCCCTGGGGAAAAAGCCCGTGGACTGATGTGTTTCTCAGTTGAATATTGGTATTAGGTCAAGAAGGGCTGGAGTGGGAGGAGTAAGACAGTGAAAGACATTATTGTCCTAAATAACCTTCCAAGTTAGTGATTTTTCGCATGGCTGTGCTCCGGCTGACATTGAGATGAACTTACCATCCGCTCTTCAGAGGCCGCTGAAATTCCAAGAATACGAGAAGTGCATGAGCGGATTAAGGAGAGAAAGGGAAATTCTATTTGTGTTGGGGAATGGGGAGGTGGCTTTTAACTTTAATGTTTTGATTAAGGATTTTTGATTACTCACAGGCTTTCTTTGTAGCCTAAACCAGCGGGGAATCACGTTTCCTAGCATTCAGAGCATGTGGCTAGTTGTTTTGTGCTTTCTGTTGTGCTGGATTTTTCTGGGTTTGGAGAGAGGGTGGTAAGGAGAGGAAGATGCCAGAGAAGAGCTTAGTACAGCTTTTCTGAGTTATTAAGGCTATTAAAAGTTTCTTAATTTTAATTAGGTTCAAAGACTGAATTAAGGCATTGCTTAGCAGGAATCTTTTTCGAGAGAGAAAAATGCTTGAAATGTGTGTTGGTGGAATAGTGTGTAGGCAGGAAAACGGGGTGGGGTGGGGGGTGTCTAAATACAAACTTGCTTTCCATTTTGAGGACACACCGAAGTTAATCTCCTCTCCAAATCAAATTTTTTAGTCCCTAAGCTGATGTCTTTGGCAAGGTAACTCAATTTCTGTTTAGTGGATATTTAATCTGAGCATAACTACCAGGGAGCTATTTCAGCCTCTGTCCCAGTGCTACTTTTGCCAGACTGGAGTTTTAAAGGAACTTGTATCAGCCTGAATATAGTTGCTGGACTCTAGTCTCCCCTCTTTAAAAACCCTTTAAAGGTTAAATTTAGGAGATTGTATTGACAGTGAAAGTGACCCGTATAATTTCTTTGCCCCCAGTTGTGAGCCCTGCATAATGGGGGGGAAGTAAAAGAGCCTGTTAGGTTTTCCATATTAAAGCAAAGGTCTTACTGATACTCAGGGTGGTTTATAAATAGTTTGAGCATGTTTAAATATTGTGCATAACTGAGAAAATAATTATGCAACATCATAATCTAAGCTCCATGTACAATTTTTGACATTTATCATTTACATTCTTTATAAAAAGGTTGGCTAAACTTACTACTTCTGGCATTCAAATATATGACTGTTTATCAGCTTTCTGAGAATTATAAGAAATATTTTAATTCCTCTAAAAATAGAAATTTAGAATTGTTATTCAGTCCACATTATTCAACATATATTCCTAAAATTTTCAGTTTATTTTATATATAGTCCAGAGATATAGCTACAAATTAATTTTGGAAGCAGCTAAGACATAAGTTATAAATAGAATGAAGTTTATGTAAACTGAAGCTGGATTTCATTGTGATAACTTTTGGGGAATTTTTGAACAAAATACATAAGGTTTTAATTAGCATGGTGTGTGTGTGTGTGTGTGTGTGTGTGTGTGTGTTAGGCTTGTCATGCTTGATGTGACTCAAGATCTATCCTGATAAGTTTTTGTATCTCACGATGGTACCAAGACTATAATCTGCATGTGACTGTGTTTGTCTTATTCCGTACCATATTCCCAATATAGAATGCAGTGCCTGGCTTGTACTCTGATTAATTTTGCATGAGTTATATAGGCAGACATAATTTTCCTTTCATTTTAACTTCAGAGTCTTAAGGGTGTAACCCCTATACATTTTTATAATGGTCCATTGAGGATTTGATGTCTGTTACTTTCTGTGACTTTTTTTTGAGTCATTTGATAAATATTTATAGATTGTTTACCTTATAAGAAACTGCTAGACCAGTCTGTCTTCATAAAATTAGATGACTAAAATCTATGTAGTCATCTGACTTATACCGGCGTCAGGTGACTAAATAAATTCTTACAGAAGGTGCAACATACCCAGAAGCAACAGAAGAGGGTAAATTTTAGCAAATCGTTAAGACCGGAATGGAAGGGAAAGAATAAAGAGAAAGTCCAGTCTAAAAGATAGAAGCGGGGTCCTTTTGAAGGACTTTGTAAAGTATGCTTATAGAGTTCGAAACTTATCTTGGGCAGTTAGAGTCACTGAAAGATTTTAATCAGATTTAATGAGATTTGCTCCTTATGAGAAGGATTAGAGAGGAGCACAGGCCTGCAAACAGGACGACCAGGTGCAGGAACTCAAGAGAGATAATCAGGGACTGAACCAAGTTAGTGACTGTGGAGAAGGAAAGGGGGATGCAGAGCAGAGATGCTTCAGAAACAAACGGCATGAATAGGAGCTGGTACTCCAGGGAATGTGGGGAATGAAGGTGGAGCCATAGGTGACACCCAGTTTTATGGCACAAGTCACACTGTATAGAGGTGATTAAGGTAGGGAATTGAGGGAATGTGGAAAGATGAGTTGCCTTTTGGACATGCTATTATGTTCAAGTAAGATTGTCCTTAGGTGTCTGATAAAAATTTGAGAATCATTAGCATTGGGAGTCACCTACGTCAACATGGTAATTGAGGTCAAAGGAACGAATAATGTTACCTAGGAGAAGACGCTTGAACAAGTTTGAAATCAAAAGATTGAATACTGATGCTTAAAAGACAAGTGAAAGAAAGGGAGCCAGTGGAGATGACTGAGAAAAGGCGACCAGAGAGGCAGGAGGAACTCTAGAACAGGGGAGATCAAGGGAGACAAGCTGCCCAGAGGACAGGTAAGAACTGAAGCATGTCCATTGTATTTGGTAGCCAGGTGGTCATTGGAATCTTTTTTTTCCTTTATTTTTTCTAAAAAACAAAAACAAAAAAAAATGGGGTACATGTGCAGAACATGCAGATTTGTTATATAGGTATATGTGTGCCATGGTGGTTGGTCATTGAAATCTTTGATTTTGGAAGTTTTAGAAGCTTCATATAGGGCCAGGTGCAGTGGCTCACACCTGTAATCGCAGCATTTTGGGAGGCTGAAGCAGGTGGATCCCCTGAGCTCAGGAATTTGAGACCAGCCTCAGCAGCATAGTGAAACCCTGTCTCTCCCAAAAAAAATATAAAAAATTAGCTGGGTGTGGTGGTGTGCACCTGTGGTCCCAGCTACTTGGGAGGCTGAGGTAGGAGGATCACTTGGGCCTGGGAAGGGGAGGTTGCAGTGAGCCGAGACTGCACCACTGCATTCCAACCTGGGTGACAGAGTGAGACCCTGTCTCAAAAATAAAAAATAAACAACAAAAAAAGGAAGCTTGACATAAGAGGAAGCCAGATTGCAGCATGCAAAGGAGTGAGTGTGAGGGAGGTGAGGAAACAAATGATGAAGATAGACTTTGTAGACATTCATAATCTGTGGATGATTGTAATTTTATTCCTTTTTTTCAATTCTTACACATTTCATTTCTTTTTGTAATTCTTCATTTACTGGCTAGGGCCTTCAGGACAATGTTGCATAGAAGCTGAGATGGTAGGATTCATGTTCATCCCTGATTTAAAAAAAAAAAAAAAGGCATACCTCTAACTTCTAATGATTCACTGTTAAGAATGGTATTTAACAAATACCATTTACCAGATTTAAAGAGTTTCCTTTCATATATTGTTGAAAATTTTTTTTATCATTAAAGGGTGTTGAGTTTTATCAGATGTTCTTTGGTGTCTATTAAAAGGGTTGTATGGTTTTTTTAAATCTGCTAAGCTGGTAAATGATATATTTGGACTGTTTCCAGTGCCAAGCCAGCCATCTTTGTGTACTTGGAATAAACCTAATTTGGTTATGATGTATTATCTTTAACATTGTTCTCAATTTGGTTTCCTTTGGATTTTAGTATCTATTTTAGTATGTATGTTTATAAGTAAGATTGACTTGTAATTTTCTTTTTTTGTTCTGTCCTCATCAGGGTTTAATATCAAGGTTATACTGACCTCATAAAGTGAGTTTAGGAGTATTCCCTCCTTTGCTGTTTTGTATAAAATTGAAATGGTCTGTTCCTTGAAAATTTAGAACTTTCTTATAAAACCACCTTATCTTTGTAAAGTTTTTTTTTTAACTAGTAACTACATATATTTAATGTTTCTAGGATTATTTTAGTTTTCTATTTCTTTTTGGGTCAGTTTTGACAAGTTATATATTTTTAGGAATTCTTTTAAGTTTTGAAATGTATTATAAAGGTATTCATAATTTTCTTTCTTTTTTTTTTTTAACTTAGGTTGGATCTGTAATTATATATCTTTCCTAAACTTTTTCCATTTTCTTTTTTCTAATACTGACTTGGATATCTCCAAATAAATTTCTTTTCAAATGAATCTCAGTCCCTCCCTATAAGTCTCATTAAAGCTTTTTTTGATTACTTTTCAAAGAACGGTCTTTAGTTTCTTATCTATTGCATCTTTTTTAAAATTAAATTTTACAATTATCTGTATCAGTTTTTTGAGTTTTATTTTTTTCTTTAGAACATTTATTATCCTCTGTCTTTTGAACCTGGATAATTCAAAGTTTTTCCTTTCTGGATTTCTAGTTGTATATTTCGTAGTTCTAGCATTTTTTGTAATTTCGTGAATGTATCACTGTTAGCTTTAGCCGTTGGTTTATTTTTTAGACTCTAATAATGTATTTTTGTAGACTCCATCTTTCCAGCCTGAAGACTGCTTATGAATGGAGTCTAGGTACTATCCCCCTAACATTTAAAAAGCCTAAAAGGTACAGAAGGTTTGGATGACTTCCAAGTTTTTTCTGTGAGCCACCTCGTCCTGTTTCCACTGCTTGGCATTTCTGTTTCTTTTGCTCACCTACTGCTCACCTTCTTCCTCTTTTTCCTTCATACTTTCTTTTCTATTCTTGAGTGGTAGAAGAATGACCCTCATCCCCTTGTTGCCTTTTCCACCTTTTTTCTTTCTCCCTTGTTTTCTCTCTCCTACACTTTGAGGATTTTTCCATCTGCTCAACATATTCATCTCCCCCTTTCCTTCTTCTCAGAACCTTGGCCCCAACACCAAAGAGGAACAAGCCAGGATAACCTGTGTCTGGTTTTCTTTAGATGCTCAAAGGCTCACCATTGTTTACCTCATGATCTGTGTTATTCTTTATGCAGACCAGCTGAAGACAGAGCCAGGGAGAGCGTGGGGAAAGCCAGGGAGGAAGGCATAAATGATAGAACTCAAACCTGCTATTATGTAGGGTCCCCAGGCATGGGTTTCAGTAACAGGGACCCTTTTCTTGCTCTTTGACTCTGGGCAACTTACTCCAAGGCTCACGTTCTTTTGTCTAACACGGAGTCGTTAACGCAGACCCTTTCTTTCTACATCACAGGTGGCTGTGACATTCAGATGCAATAAGGAGAAACCTGTCAGTTTCCATGTTTTATTCTCACGAAAATATCTTAAAAGGAACTTGTGCACAACTCAGGGAGAGAAAGGGAGCAAAACTGGTTTGTGGCATGGTGTGTTGGAGGAGAGAAACCCCGATGGGAAGCAGTAGGTGGTGATGGGAATAACAAGAAGCACAGTGGTTGTGCTCAGTGGTCAAGAGAGATGCAGGGGAGATGTCTTTCCCCTGGGAGAGGGGAGCTCATACCCACCCAGGCTGCAGACATGGACACACTGTTACACACAGTGGCAGGGGAGATGCTATGCTCCGGTGACAACATGCTACATGCTATGCTCTGGTGACGTCAGCTGTTCTTTTGCCTAATTATTTGCTACATTCAGGACACTGGGCCTTTTTGAGTTTACTTGAGAAATCAGCCCTCACTTATAATAATGTTTCTGTGAGGGAGATTTTTGTTGTTGTTTTTCTGGGTTCTGAACAGCTGGATTAGAAATGATTTGTGAGCATAATTCTTAGTAAATTTCTTTTTCTTTTTCTTTTTCTTTTTCCAAGATGGAGTATCACTCTGTCGCCCAGGCTGGAGTGCAGTAACGTGATCTCTGCTCACTGAAACCGCTGCCTCCCAGGTTCAAGCAATTCTCCTGTCTCAGCATCCCAAGTAGCTGGGACTACAGGCGCATGCCACCATGGCTGGTTAATTTTTATATTTTTAGTAGAGATGGGATTTCACCATCTTGGCCAGGCTGGTGACGAACTCCTGACCTCAGGTGATCCACCCACCTCGGCCTCCCAAAGTGCTGGGATTACAGGTGTGAGCCACTGTGCCTGGCCAAAATTTCTTACTTGTGTTAGAACTTATTTAATTTTGAATATTTTATTTATTTGTGGTATTTGTGTTAAGGACTAGTTGTTTAAAATCCCAAAGTCTCAGAATCGGTATTAGATTGTAGAACATCTGGTCTGATGGTCTTCAGAGGTTTTATTGGCAGTGGAGGCAGGATGTGGATGCCAGTATATAAGACCGATGAAAGTAAAAGCACCCATTCATCCACTGCGGTACCTCCATAGAAAAGTTTGAAAGTGATCTATTCTTTATTTTACAGAGGATGCTAGGGCCAGGAGGAGAGTGTCATTTACTTGCCCAAGCATATGCCGCTAGGAGCGGGCAAAACTTAGAACTAAATCCAGGATAACTGCCTCCAAATTTAATGCCAAAGAACAGCCCAACTATATCATACACGCCTAGACTTAGGAAAAGTCTTTAGACAGCCCAAGCGGATGTGGCCATCTATATAAGCTACTTTCTCAATTTGACCAAAGGATGCCACATTTAGAAATAAGATAAGCAGATGGCCAAGGGTATTGAAATATCTTCTGATTTTGCACAGAATACCTGTGTTCCAGGTTCTCAACAGGAAATTGCTGTCCATCTTTTTGTGAAGATTTGGCTTGGTAGAAGTCGCATTTTGGGAAAATATAGAAGTAGTCTATTTCCTAAGATTCCTTATCTTAATGTTAAACTGGCCTGTCAGAATGCTATAGCCTGGACTATGTTTTCTTGATTTTTCAGAAAAATGGCCCTCACTGAATTATAAGTTGGCGTTACACCCTTAATTTTTGTTGAAGGGCATTTCAAAAAATATTGGCCTTAACAACATGATTATTTTGCCCTCTAATACTCTTACTCCCCTTTATATAATCCTGGATGAGAAATTAGAGCTAAGGGCAAAGAGGGAGTTTCTTTTCTCCAAGGAACAGTTGGTGTTTTTTTTTTCCTGGTGGACAATTAAAAGGGCACAATTGATTGTATTTCTCTTTCTGTTTTGGCCTTAAGAGAATTCAAAGCCTGGTTTGTGGTTCATCCACAGTTTCTGTGTAGGCTTCATCACTGGTAGGTCCTGCGTCAATCCCTATTGGGAACTGTATTGTAATTTCATAGTCTTACAGTTTGGCAATCACTAGATTCCAACATTCTCTTGTGAATTAATTGAATATGGTTGTTCCCCAGGGTGCATTCACATATGCTGACTACATTTTGGGATTTTTTTCTGCAAGTAGTATTAAGTAAATAGTTGTTAAAATGTTAGGAATAGGCTGAACGTAGTGGCTCACACCTGTAATCCCAGCACTTTGGGAGGCAGAGGTGGGCGGATAGCTTGAGGTCAGGAGTTCGAGACCAGCCTGGCCAACATGGTGAAATTTTTTGCTACTAAAAATACAAAAAAATTAGCCAGGTGCAGTGACGCATGCCTGTAATCCCAGCTACTCGGGAGGCTGAGGCAGGAGAATCACTTGAACCCGGGAGGTGGAGGTTGCAGTGAGCCGAGATCGCGCCACTGCACTCCAGCCTGGGTGACAGAGTGCAACTCCGTTTCAAAAAAATGAAGTGTTGGGAATATATTTTTACCTTATGCTATGGTTTTGTGTCAAGAATATATACATTTTGATAGTGACTTTGTTATAGGTAATGTCAAGGACCCAAGTAAAAATACATGGCAAATATTGCAATCGCAGTGTTTTGGGGTTTTGTTGGTGTGTTAATATGAGTCATCCTAACTATATATTTTAGTCCAATATTTGGAGGAAAAAGTTTTATTGTTTTTTGTTTTTGGTAAAATATACATATGATTTACCATCGTAACCATTTTTAAGTGTGTTGTTCAGTGGCAAACCTCACAAGATTGTGGGTGGGGAGGATCATATGAGCTAGTACAGCACGTACTTAGCACAGCACCTGGTGTAAAGTAAATATACATACTGACAAAACTTGGGAAGCACTGCTTTAACATATTTGCAGTGTTTTCTTCAGATAGACATATAACCTCCTAAGTTGTGATTCCAGCACATTTAAATTTTTTACCTCAGTTTGAGAACTGTGAAAACACTTGTCAAAACAGAATAAAATATCAAAATTCTAAAAAAGCAAAGTGATTGTCCTTCTGGGCCTAACAATGTTTACCATATACAGAAAGCTATTTTCAGAGACAGAGCTGAAGGCATGTAAAAAGCGGAGCTGGAAATCATGGAATAAATGTACAGTGGAATAGTCCTTTGTAAAAAGGAAAGAACTGCGTATAGTTGCAAAAACATGGATGAATCTAAAGAACATTATACTAGTAAAAAAAGCTAGATACAAAAGAGTACACACCCTGCATGATTCCATTTATTTTAAGTTCAAAAACAGACAAACCTAAACCATGGTTATTGAAGTCAGAGCAGTGGTTGCCTGGGTAGGGGGTGGAGAGAAGGGGGACAGTGACCGTGAAAGGGGCACATGGGGGAGAGTGACCGTGAAAGGGGCACATGAGAACTTGGGGGAGAGAGGTAATGGAAATGTCCTGTATCTTGATGGTGGTGCTAGTTACATGGCGGCGTATATATTTGTAAAAGCTTACTGAATCATACACTTAACATAAAGGTATTGTATATGATTCAAATAAAGTTTATTTAAACAATTCATTGCTATGGTGTTACTTCTGTTACATATAACTGTTTCTAGTTATTTTCATCAGCAAAACTATCAATTGCAGAGCCCCTGAATAACTTCTGAAAACAAGATTTGTTTAGATTATGATTAAACTTCCCTACTTTTAAAAATGATTATTTACCTCTGGTGGCGTATCTCAAAAAAAAAAACTATTTATTTTGAGGATATGTAAAATATACAAATCTGTGGCTAGTGATTATGTAAGAGCAAGCTATTTTTAGGTCGAAGCTTTGCAACCATGATGAGACAGGAGTGTGCTTAAATTCTCAGATTGGGCTCCCATACCAGACATCTGAGAAAGTCATATGTTCTGCAGTATTTAAGAGGACCTTGCAAACATTGTTTTGCATCTGATGCATTGCCAATCTGATGCAAAATTTGATGATGCAATTATCAGTTCCTAAGTAGGCGTATTTTAAAATATTTCGCTAATTATAGAATTATGAGATATATATGGAAGATATACAGGAGTATACAGAAAGCTATTTTAGAGCTTATAGAGAAGAATATGAAAACCAGGTCCCAGCAACCACCAGCAGGATTTTGGTGTGTCTTAGCTTATACACATGAGTGTGCAAACACAAATACAATGCATCTTGCTGTTTAATATCTTACATCATTTTCAGTAATATCAGAGTGAGTATTTTTCTTTGAAAAACACCTATTCTTTGAAAAAATTTTTTATTTTTTGAGACAAAGTCTTGCTCTGTCGCCCAGGCTGGAGTGCAGTGGCATGATCTTGGCTCACTGCAGAGGTCTCAGCTCACTGCAGCCTTAACTTCCCTGGGTCAGATGATCGTCCCAAGTTAGCCTTCCTCATAGCTGGGACCACAGGCATGCACCACCACACCCGGCTCATTTTTGTATTTTTTATAGAGATGGGGTTTTGCCCTGTTGCCCAAGCTGGTCTCAAACCCCTGGGCTCAAGTAATCTGCCCGTCTCAGCCTCCCAGAGTGCTGGGATTACGGGTGTGAGCCATCATGTCCAGCCCAAAAATGTTTTTAAGGCTGCATATGAAATGTATTATTGTTTTAACTTCCATTGTCAATATATGAGTGGTTTTTTTACTATGCCCTTCCTATTGCTAAATGCTATCATTTTTATAGCTTTATTGACGTATAATTGATGTACAATAAACTCCACGTATTTAAACTGTTATTGAATGAGTTTTGACATGTGCTTGCACTAGTGAAACTGTCACCACAACAATCAAGATAAGGAATACTTCTATTCCTTCCAAAAGTTCCTTACTGCCTCTTTGTAATATCCCTTATTCTTTCTTCCACCCCCATCCACAGGCAAGTATTGATCAGCTTTTTATCACTAGACATTGGCAGGAATTTTCTAAAATTTTATAGTAATGGAATCATATCGTATGCACTTTTGGGGGCGGGTTCTGGCTTCTTTAACTCAGCATAGTTATTTTGAGGTTCATCCATGTCGCTGAATGTATCAATAGTTAACTCCTTTTTATTGCTAAATGATATTCCATTTTGTGGCTGTACCACAGTTTATCCATTCACATGTTGATGGATATTTAGGTTGTTTCCAGTTTGGGGATATTATAAATAAAGCTATGAATATTTGTATATACAAGTATTTATGTGGACATAAGCTTTTATTTTTCTTATGGAAATATCTAGTAGAATGGCCAGGTCATAGGTCATATGATAAATGCATGTTTGTCTTTTTTTTTTTTTTTTGAGTTCTTTTAAACTTTGGGGAAAAATGGGATAGAATTCACATAACATAAAATTCACTCTTTTGAGCATACAATTCAGTGGCATTAATACATTCACAGTGTGCAGTTATCACCTCTGTCTTATTCCAAAACATTTTCATCATTCCACAAGGAACCCTGTACCCATTAAATACTCCCTGTCTCTCTGGTACCCCATCCCCAGTCCCTGAAAACCACGAATCTGCTTCTTCTCTATGGATTTGCCTGTCTTGAACATTTCGTGTAAATGGAATTATACAATATGTGAGCTTCTGTGTCTGGCTTTCTCCCTTAGCCTAATGTTTTTGAGGTTCATGCGCATTGTAGCATGTATAAGCACTTTGCCTTTGATGGCTAAGAAGTATGGTATGTATATATCACATTGTATCTGTATATCCATTTATGGGCATTTGGGCTGTTTCTACCTTTTGGCTGTTGCAAATAGTAATGCTGTGAATGTTTTTGCAAGTATTTGAGCATTTGTATTCAATTCTTTTGGGTATATACCTAAAAGTAGGATTCCTGGGTTAGATGGTGTTTCTATGTTTAACATTTTAAAGAACCACCATACTGTTTTCCGCAGTGGCTGACGTTTTACATTCCCATCAGCAATATGCAAAGTTCCACTTTCCCCACATTCTTCTGAACACTTATTTTCTTTTTTTTAAAAAAAATTATAGCCATTCTAGTAGGTGTGAAGTGGTATCTCATTGTGTTTATGATTTGCATTCACCTGTTGAACTCATCTTTTCATGTGCTTACTGGCTGTCTTTTTTGGAGAAATGTCTGAGTCCTTTGCCCATTTTTTAATTGGATTGTTTGTCATCTTATTGCTGAGCGTAGAGTTCTGTACATGATTGTGTATATATTGTAGATACTAGACCCTTGTTAGATATATGATTTGCAAATACTTCCTTCCATTTCCTGGGTTGTCTTTTTACTTTGTTGATAGTGTTCCTTTATGCATCAAAGTTTTAAATTTTTGTTGTTTGTACTTTCGGTGTATTTTTTTTTAACTAAACTGAAATTTCTCTAAATTACTTTTTATCCAAAAGCCATATCAGAATAGCCTGTGGTGCTTTATAAAAACGTTACATGTATCAGTGTATTACCATCTAACAAGCAAAAAACCCCAAACCCAATAACATTAGCTTAAATTAGAGATTTATATTTCTTTCACTGTAAAGAAAATGAGAGGCGGGCAGTCTGGGCCTGTATGGCAGTTTCAGGTGTTAGGGGCTGTTCCTACTGTCAAATTTTCGTCAGCTGGAAGGAGGAAGGGGCAGAAAAAGGGGTATACCCTTCCCTTTAATTAGTTCTACTATCCTTTGCACAATATTTCCATTCTTCTTGGCCAGAACTTAGTCATTTGTCTATAGCTGACAGAGAGATGGAGAAGTATGGTCTGTTAGCTGGAGGGCAAAAGGTAAAACTTGGGGCTTACTAATGACAAAGGGGAGAAATAGCTATTGGGAGAAATTAGCAGTCTCTGTCATAGGCCTTGTTCATTCTTGGAAATCCTGATTAAGTAGAGCACGTTCCAGGGACCATTCCAGGTACTAGGATACAGTTGTGCACAAATATTTAATACGGAGTTAAAAAGATGTAATTTTAGGCCAGGCGTGGTGGCTCTCGCCTATAATCCCAGCACTTTGGGACGCCGAGGCAGGCGGATCACGAGGTCAGGAGATCGAGACCATGGTGAAACCCCGTCTCTACTAAAAATAAAAAAATTAGCTGGGCGTAGTCCCACTACTCGGGAGGCCAAGGCAGGAGAATGGCGTGAACCCGGAAAGTGGAGCTTACAGTGAGCCGAGATCCTGCCACTGCACTCCAGCCTGGCGACAGAGCGAGACTCCGTCTCAATTTAAAAAAAAAAAAAAAAAAAAAAAAAAGATGTAATTTTAAAAATAGACTTTAAAAAATTACAGAATTTCAGCAAGTAGGTTGATTTAGAATTTTACTATTTTTATATAGCTTACACAGATTTATTATATTACATTAAAATATATTGGCAATATATTTAATATCTACCACTATGAGGCAATTTAGCATTCTGTTTTTTAATTTTTAATTTTTGTGAGCACATAGATATAAGGGATACATGAGATATTTTGATGCAGGCATACAATGCGTAATAATCACATGGAAAATGGGATAGCCATTCCCTCAAGCATTTATCCTTTGTGCTATAAACAATCCAATTATAAAGTGTGCAATTAAATTATTTTGACTA
Organism: Homo sapiens; assembly: GCF_000001405.40. Lineage (NCBI taxonomy): Eukaryota > Metazoa > Chordata > Mammalia > Primates > Hominidae > Homo > Homo sapiens. Next base: position 24,258,584 of record NC_000018.10, on the reverse strand, counting down.
TAGTCACCCTGTTATGCTATCAAATATCAGGTATTATTCATTCTTTCTATTTTTTTATTTTGCATCCATTAACCATCTCCACATTCCCCCAACCCTGCCCCACTACCCTTCTCAACCTCTGGTAACTAGCCTTCTCCTCTCTATCTCCATGTGTTCAATTGTTTTGATTTGTAATTCCCACAAATAAGTGAGAACATGCAATGTTTGTCTTTCTGTGCCTGGCTTATTTCATTTAACATAATGACAACATCCAGTTCCATCCATGTTGTTGCAAATGATAGGATCTTGTTCTTTTTTTTATGGCTGAATGGTATTCCATTGTGTGTTAAGTACCACATTTTCTTTATCCATCTGTTGATGGACACGTAGGTTGCTTCCAAATCTTGGCTATTGTGAACAGTGCCACAGCAAACATGGGAGTGCAGATATCTCTTCCGTATACTGCTTTTCCTTTTTTTGGGAATATACCTAGCAGTGGGATTGCTGGGTCGTATGGGGTAGCTTTATGTTTAGTTTTTTGAGAAACCTCCAAACTGTTCTTCATAGTGGTTGCACTAATTTACATTCTCACCAACAGTGTTCCCCTTTCTCCACATCCTTGCCAGCATTTGTTACTGCCTGTCTTTTGGAGATAAGCCATTTTAACTGGGATGAGATGATACCTCATCGTAGTTTGATTTGCATTTCTCTAATCAGTGATGTTGAGCGCCTTTTCATATGCCTGTTTTCCATTTGTATGTCTTTTGAGAAATATCTGTTCAAATCTTTGACTCATGTTTTAATAGCATTATTGGATTTTTTTCCTGTGGAGTTGTTTGAGCTCCTTATATATTCTGTATATTCATCCCTTGTCAGATGGGTAGTTTGCAAATATTTTTTATAATTTTGTGGGTTGTCTCTTCATTTTGTTGATTGTATCCTTTGCTGTGCAGAAGCTTTTTAACTTGATGTGTTTCCATTTGTCCATTTTTTCTTTGGTTGTCTGTGCTTGTGGGGTATTACTAAGAAATATTTGCCCAGACCAATGTCCTGGAGAGTTTCCCTAGTGTTTCCTTGTAGTAGTTTCATAGTCTGAGGTCTTAGATTTAAGTCCTTAATCCATCTTGATTTGATTTTTGTATATGGCAAGAGATAGGGGTCTAGTTTCTTTCTTTTGCATATGGATATCCAGTTTTTCCAGTACAACTTATTGAAGAGACTGTCTTTTCTCCAATATATGTTCTTGGTACCTTTACTGAAAATTAGTTCACTGTGAGTGTGAGGATGTGTTTCTGGGTTCTGTATTCCGTTCCATTGGTCTATGTGTCTGTTTTTATGCCAGTACCATGCTGTTTTGGTTACTGTAGCTCTGTACTGTAATTTGAAGTCAGGTAATATGATTCCTCCAGTTTAGTTCTTTTTGCTCAGGATACTTTTGGCTATTTTGGGTCCCCTGTGGTTCCACATAAATTCTAAAATTGTTTTTTTCTATTTCTGTGAAGATTGTCACTGGCATTTTGATAGGGATAGCATTGAATCTGTTGATTGCTTTGAATAGTATGGACATTTTAACAGTACTCATTTTCCCAGTCCATGAACATGGAATATCTTTCCTTTTTTTTTTTTTTTTTTTTTTTTTTTGCATCCTCTTCAGTTCTTTCATCAGCGTTTTATAGTTTTCACCATAGAGATCTTTCACTTCTTTGGTTAACTTAATTCCTAGGTATTTAATTTTATGTGTGGCTATTGTAAATGGGATTACTTTTTAAGTTTCTTTTTCAGATATTCACTTTTGGCATGTAGAAATGCTACTGATTTTTGTATGTTGATCTTGTATCCTGCAACTTTACTGAATTTATCAGCTCTAATAGTTTTTTGGTGTAGTCTCTAGGTTTTTCCAAACAAAAGTTCATATCATCTGCAAACAAGGATAATTTGACTTCTTCCTTTCCAATTTGGATACCTTTATTTCTTTCTATTGTCTGATTGCTCTAGCTAGGACTAACAGTACCATGTTGTATAATAGTGGTGAAAGTGAACGTTTGTTGTGTTCCATATCTTAAAGGAAAGTCTTTCAGTTTTTCCTCATTTAGTATGATACTAGCTGTGGGTCTTTCATGGCTTTTATTATGTTGAGGTGTGTTCCTTTTATACCAGTTTTTTGAGGGTTTTTGTCATAAAGGGATGTTGAATTTTATCAAATACATTTTCAGCATCAGTTGAAATGGTCATATGGTTTTTTTCATCAGCTCTGTTGATATGATGTATGACACTGGTTGATTTGCATATGTTGTACCATCCCTGGGATAAATCCCACTTGTTTATGATGAATGATCTTTTTAACATATTGTTGAATTCAGTTTGCTAGTATTTTGTCAAGGATTTATGCATCAGTATTCATCAGAGAATGAATATTGGCCTGTAGTTTTCTTTTTGTGATGTGTCTTTGGTTTTGATATCAACATGTGGATTCAAAAATCTGAGACAGGTCTCAGTTAATTTAGAAAGTTTTACCAGGCATGGTAGCTCACGCCTGTAATCTCAGCACTTTGGGAGGCTGAGGCGGGCGGGTCACTTGAGGCTAGGAGTTCGAGACCAGCCTGGCCAACATGGCAAAACCCCGTCTCTACTAAAAATACAAAAATCAGCCAGGTGTGGTGGCGCACGCCTGTAATCCCAACTACTTGGGGGGCTGAGGCAGGAGAATCACTTGAACCCAACTACTTGGGGAGTTGGGGAATCACTCCCAACTACTTGGGAGGCAGAAGCTGCAGTGAGCAGAGAGCGCACCACTGCACTCCAGCCTGGGCGAGAGAGCGAGACTCCATCTCAAAAAAAAAAAAAAAAAATTAGAAAGTTTATTTTGACAAATTTGAGGATGTGCCTCAGGAAGTTCTGACAACATGTGTCTGAAGGTGGTCAGAGCACAGTTTGGTTTTATACATTTTAGGGAGACTTGAGACATCAATCAACATATGTAAGATGAACATTGGTTCGGTCTGGAAAGGTGGGAAGACTGGAAGGAGGGAAGAGGCTTCCAGGTCATAGGTAGATAAGAGACAAATGGTTTCATTCTTTTGAGTTTGTGATTAGCCTCTCCAAAGGAGACAATCAATTATGCATTTATCTTAGTGAGGAGAGGGGACACTTTGAATAGAGTGGGAGGCAGGCTGGCCCTAAGCAGTTCCCAGCTTGACTTTTCCCCTTAGTTTAGTAATTTGGGGGCCCCAAGATTTATTTTCCTTTCACGGCTGTAATGCAATAAGTTTGGAAGTATTCCCTTCTCTATTTTGTAGAATAGTTTGAGTACGATTGATATTAGTTCTCCTTTAAATGTTTGGTAGAATTCAGCAGTGAAGCCTTCAGGTCCCAGGCTTTTCTTTACTGGGAGACTTTTTGTTATGGCTTTTATCTAGATACTTGTTATTGATCTATTCAGGTTTTCAGTTTCTTCATGGTTCAATCTTGGTGTAGGTTTATGTGTCTTAAGAATTTATCCATTTCCTCTAGATTTTCCAATTTATTGCCACATAGTTTCTCATAGTAGCCACTAATGATCCTTTGGATTTCTGTGGTATCTGTTGTAATGTTTCCATTTTCATCCCTGATTTTATTTATTTAGGTTTTCCCCCGTTTTTTCTTTGTTAGTCTGGCTAAAGGTTTGTCAATTTTGTTTATCTTTTCAAAAAACCATCTTTTTGTTTCATTGATCTTTCTATTTTCCTCACTTCAGTTTCATTTATTTCTGCTCTGATCTTTATTATTTCTTCTGTTGATTTATTCTACTGATTTATTATTTCTTCAACTGATTTGTTTTGCTCTTGCTTTTCTAGTTCTTTAAGGTGAATCATTAGGTTATTTGTTTGAAGTTTTCCTTTTTTTTTGATGTAGGCACTTAGAGCTGTAAATTTCTCTCTTAGTACTGCTTTCGCTGTATCTCATAGGTTTTGGTGTGTTGTGTTTCTCTTATCATTTGTTTCAAGAAATTTTTCAATTTCTTAATTTCCTCATTGACCCACTGGTCATTCAGGAGCATATTGTTTGTTTGTATAGTTTCCAAAATTCCTCGCGTCATTGATTTCTAGTTTTATTCCATTGTGATCAGAAGATACTTGATATTATTCTCTTTTTCTGTATGCTTTAAGACTTGTTTTGTGGCCTAACATATGGTCTATCTTTGAGAATGATACATGTACTGAGGAAAAGAATGTGTATTCTGTAGCCATTGGATGAAATGTTTGGTAAATATCTATTAGGTCTGTTTGTTCTATAGTGCAGATTAAGTCTGATGTTTCTTTGTTGATTTTCTGTCTGGGGGATCTGTCCAATGCTGAAAATGGGGTGTTGTGACCTCCGGCAATTATTATATTGAGGTCTAGCTCTATCTTTAGCTCTAATAATATTTGCTTTATATATCTGGTGCTCCAGCATTTGGTGCATATATATTTACAATAGAAACTGCCTTTGCAAAATTATAACTGAGGAAATTATGACAGTAAAATAAGACCTAACCAACTCCATCTTGCTTCTAACATTTAAGCTGTGCTTATTCATTCCTGGGCATAGGTCAGACTAACTTTGGGAAGGAATTCAGCTCATGGCTTGATTCTGAAACAAAACTGACAAAGCCTTTTCCCAAAAAGACCCCCTTTTTGCCTTGGGACCAGTCTGCCCTTGCAAGACTAACAAATTAGCTACAAGATTAGAAATTACAGTTTAGGGGTCATGCAGCCTCTGGCTCCAAGAGTCTGAACCTCCCTAAATTCCTCCTGGGGATAACATCAGCATTGTAAAACCTAAGGTCAGTGCTTGAGATATTTTGTAGACCCTATGTTGGATGGATCAGCTGACACCAAGGAGACCAGTAATCTGGCTCAACCAGTTCTGCCATCCCACCCAGGAAAAGACAGCAAGAAAACCTCACTTGAACCCACTATGATTCCATCTTCAACCTGACCAGTCAGCACTCCCCACTTCCCAAGTCCTTACCAGCCAAATTATCCTTAAAATCTCTGATCTGCAAATGCTAGAGAGACTGATTTGAGTAATAATAAAACTCTGGTCTCCCACACAGCCAGCTCTGTGTGAATTATTCCTTCTCCATTGCAGTTCCCCTGTTTTGATAAATCGGTTCTGTCTAGGCAGCAGGCAAGGTGAGCCCATTGGGCGGTTACACAATTATTATATCCTGCTGCTGGATTTACTTCTTTATCATTATATAATGACCTTCTTTGTCTCTTGTTACAGTTTGTCTTGGAATCTGTTTTGTCTGATATAATTATAGCTACTCCTACTCTTTTTTGGTTTCCATGGACATGGAAATGTCTTTTTCTATCCCTTCGTTTTCACTCTATGTGTACCTTTGTAGGTGAAATGCATTTCCTGTAGGCAACAGATTGTGGGGTCTTGTTTTTTTCATCCATTCAGCGCCCCCCCCCGCCATGTCTTTTCATTGGAGAGTTTAGTCCATTTACATTCAATGTTATTATTGATAAGTAGGGACTCCTGTCGTTTTGTTACTTGTTTTCTAATTGTTTTGCAGCCTTCTCTTCCTTCCTTCTTTCCTTCCTGTCTTCCTTTTAGTGAAGTTGCTTTTCTCTGGTGGTATGATTTAATTTCTTGCTTTTTATTTTTTGTGTATTGTATGTTTTTCGATTTGAGGCTACTGTGAGGCTTGCAAATACTGTCTTATAACCCATTATTTTAAACTGATGACAACGCTGATTGCATAAACAAACATGCAAAAAGAAAACTAATCAAAACTCTACACTTTACTTCATTCTCCCGGCTTTTTACCTTCTTTTGTTCCTTTTTATGTCTTATACTGTCTATGTCTTGAAAAGTTGTTGTTATTATTTTTGATTAGTTCATCATTTAGCCTTTCTAGCTAGGTGTAGTTTACACACCACAATTATAATGTTTTGATATTCCGTGTTTTTCTGTGTGCTTACTATTACCAGCAAGTTTTGTACCTTCAGATGACTTTGTACTGCTTGTTAATGTCCTTTTTCAGATTAAAGACCTCCTCTCAGCATTTCTTGTAGGACACGTCTGGTGTTGATGAAATCCCTCAGCATTTTTTTTTTTCCTGGGAAGGCCTTTATTTCTCCTTTATGTTTGAAGGATATTTTTTGCAAGATATACTATTCTAGGGTAAGAGTTTTTTTCCTTCAGCACTTTAAATATATCACACCACTCTCTTCTGGCTGGTAAGATTTCCACTGAAAAGCCTGCTGCCAGACGTATTGGAGCTCCACTGAATGTTATTTGTTTCTTTTCTCTTGCTGCTTTTGGGATTCTTTCTTTATACTTGACCTTTGGGAGTTTGATTCTTAGATGCCATGAGGTCGTCTTCTTTGGGTTAAATCTGCTTGGTGTCCTATAAACTTCTTGTACTTGAATGTTGATCTCTTTCTTAAGGTTTGGGAAGTTCTCTGATATTATCCATTTGCATAAACTTTCTACCCCTCTTTCTCTACCTCCTCTTTAGGGCCAGTAACACTGAGATTTTCCCTTTTGAGGCTGTTTCCTAGATCTTGTAGGCATGCTTCATCATTTTTTGTTCTTTTTTGTCTCCTCTGACTGTATTTTTAAGTAGCCTGTCTTCAGGCTCACTAATTCTTTCTTCTACTTGTTCCATTCTGCTGTTAAGTGATTCTGATGCATTTCTCAGTATGTGAGTTGCATTTTTCAACTCTAGAATTTCTGCTTGATTCTTTTTAATTATTTCAATCTCTTGGTTAAATTTATCTGATAGACTTCTGAGTTCTTTCTCTGTGTTATTTTGAATTTTTTGAGTTTCCTCAAAATGACTATTTTGAATTCACTCTGAAATGTCACATGTCCCTCTTTCTCCAGGATCGGCCCCTGCTGCCTTATTTAGTTCATTTGGTGAAGTCATGTTTTCCTGGATGACCTTGATGCTTGCCGATGTTCTTTGGTGTCTGGGCATTGAAGAGTTAGGTATTTATTGTAGTTTTCACAGTCTAGGCTTGTTTGTGCCTGTCCTTCTTGAGAAGGCTTTCCAGGTATTCGAAGAGACTTGGGTCCCAAGCCCAATAATGATGTGGTTTCTCCATATTTGCAGAGGTACTGCCTTGGTGGTCTTGGATAAGATCTGGAAGAATTCTCTGGGTTACCAGGCAGAGACTCTTGTTCTTTTTCCTTATTTTCTCCCAAACAAATAGAGTCTCTCTCTCTCTTTGCTCGGCCACCTGGAACTGGGTGTATGGTGATGCAAACACCCATGTGGCCACCACTAAGACTGTTCTAGGTTAGACCTGAAGCCAGCACCACAATGGGTCTTAAGGCCCACTGTAACCACTACCTGTCTACCACTTATGGTCACTCAAGACCTCAGGGATCTACGTAGTCACCAGGTGGCAAAGCCAGCCAGGTTTTGTTCTTCCTTTCAGGGTGACAAGTTTCCCCAGGCCCCAAATAGGTCCAGAGATGTTTTCTGGGAGTCAGGGATTGGAATCAAAAACCTTAGAAATTTGCCTGATGTCCTATTCTACTGTGGCTAAGCTGACACTCAAACCCCAATATAAAGTCCTTCCCGCTCTTCCCTCCCCTTTCCACAGGCACAGGAGCCTCTCCCTGTGAGCACCACTACCACTGGCCCATGGGGGAGCTCTGCCAGGCCACTGCTGATGTTCACTTAAAGCCCAAGGGCTCTTTCATCAGCTTATGGTGAATGCTACTAGGCCTGGGACTCACCCTTCAGGGCAGTGGGCTCCCCTGTGGCCCAGGGCAGGTCCAGAATTGTTGTCCATGAGCCTAGGCCTGGACTCCATGACACTAAGAGCCTGCTTATTGCTCTGTCCCACTGTGGCCAAGCTGGTACTTAAGGTGCAAGACAAAGTCCCTTTACCTTTCCCTCTGCTTTTTTCAAAGAGGAGTCTTTGACCATAGCCACCACAGCTGGTAATGTGTTGGGTGTCACCTGAAGCCAGCAAGTCTCTGAGGCTCACCCAAGGCCCTCAGTGTAGTACCTGGTATCACTGCTGGTTATTCAGGGCCCAAAGGCTCTTCAGTTAGCAGGTGATAAATGCTGCCAGGACTGGGTCCTTTCCTTCTAGGCAGCAGGTTCCCTTCTGGCCCAGGATGTGTCTAGAAATGTCGTCAGGAGGCTGGGTGCAGTGGCTCACGCCTGTAATCCCAGGACTTTGGGAGGCTGAGGCGGGTGGATCACATGAGGTCAGGAGTTCGAGACCAGCCTGGCCAACATGGCAAAACCCCGTCTCTACTAAAATTATAAAACTAGCTGGGCGTGGTAGCGTGCACCTGTAATTCCAGCTACTCGGGAGGCTAAGGCATGAGAATTGCTCAAACCCAGGAAAGAGAGGTTGCAGTGAGCCAAGATCACACTACTGCTCTCCAGTCTGGGCGACGGAGTGAGACTCCATGTCAAAAAAAACAAACAAACAAACAAACAAACAAACAAACAAAAACACACAAACGCCTTCTGGGAGCTAAGGCCTGGAATGGGGGCCCCACAATTCTGCCCAGCATCCTATCTTGCTATGGCTGGCTGAACTGGTATCCTAGATGCATGACAAAGTCCTCTCTACTCTTCGCCCTCTTCTCCTTAAGCAGAAGGAAAGAGACACTTTCATTGCTGTCTGCTGTGCTGCCTGGGGTTGGGGGAGGGATGGTGCAATCACTCCTTTAGCCACCTTGGCCAGTGACTTCCTAGGTCAGGTGCCACCTAGTCCTCTGGCTGTCAGCCCAGCCCAGCATTAGAAGTTGCCTAGGAATTGCAGTCCGTGTGTCCTAGACCACCTTTCAAATTTACCTAGGACCCCCCAGAGGACTTTGGCCGCGGGTGACGAAGCTTGCCAACAAACTCGAGTTCTGACCACTGAGATGGGTGATTCTCTGGCTAGGGCTGGTCCAAATGCTCCTGTGTGTGTGGGTGCTGGGTGAGCCCAGCCTGGCTTTGCTCGCCACTATGACAGGGGAGCAATGAGTTCAATGTAATGTCCCCCAGTTGGTGTACTCTGCAAGTGCAGATACTCTCCATGCTGTACAGCTGTTGCCAGGGGATAGGGGAGGGTTGGTGTTGGTGATTCAAGACTGTCTGTTGGACCCTCCTCAATACCTTTTTCAGAGATATGAAATCAGGTGCTGTGATTGCTCACCTGATTTTTGGTTCTTGTGATGGTGCTTTTCTGTGTGCAGATACTTGTTACAATTTGGTGTTCCTGTGAGGGGTACAAAGGATGTAAGCTTCTATTCCGCCATCTTGCTCTGCCAACATTGTTTTTTAATTTACATGATGATACATAAAACCCTTTTGAAATTTTAAATACATTATACCATAATCTGAAAAAATTTGGAAATGACACATGGACGTGCATAGTACTTTTAGGAATATAATCCTCTAAGTGCGACTTCTGGATTGTAAACTGTACATGGTAATGGAAATTTTAAATTTCTGTGGAAGTTCCTCATATGAGAGTTATAACCAGCATTAAGTAGTTCAACTTTGCAGTTGAAGAGCAAACTGTTGTGAGACTTGCATCAAATTATTTTAAATGCCAGAGCCATTAACAAAGCATTGGAGTAAATGTGTATTGAATCCACTATTGGTAGCATACCGTGGGAGTGAACACGACTTTTGTTTCAGAAGACGCGTTCATCTTATCTGCTTTGTAAAAGACATGTAAAAACTAAAACGTATTTGTTAAATTGTCATTTGTGTATAGTGCTAGTCTTCCATTGATTTTATGGGAAGTTATTTTTAAATCATTCTGACAAAAATAAGTGTCAAATATTCTGGGTTTATATTGATTCTTCCAAGTATCATTATCACCTTGCTTATAAAATGCCCTATTTATTTACCAAGTCTTTCTTCTGTTCCCCCAAGTATTTAGGGGCTCTGTCCTAGATTTGGGGTTATCTCCAAATTCTACCCTGATTTAAATGTCTGAAGGTACAGTTTGGAAGTAATCGATCTAACAGATTGTTAGCAGAAAGTGATGTTGAACAAGCTTCATTGAGGCCATTCTATTTTTAGCATGGTCAGTACGTCAAAAACCAGACAAGTTCTTATCTTCTTTCCCATGGAGGAGCTTGAGTGAAGAGATATGCAGAGGTCATTCTGAGTGGCATTTCCTTTTCTTTGCTTGAACCAGGTTGAAGAAGATGGCAATGCCTGTAAGAAAGGGGCATTTTTAGTGGTGCCACAGGCCAATCACAGTCAGCTATAACCAATGGGAAAATGTGTTGGGCTGATCAAGTTAGTGCTCATGAGGCTTTGTAGGGCCTTGAGACTCGTTTCATTTCTAATCTCAGGATGAACTTATGTATAATGTCAAGAGACTAGAGGCTTCTTACTTCATCACCTGTTGGAATCAATTAGGTTGAGGACATCTTTGTCTGTTTCTTATTCTCTGTATTCCTTATATGCTCTGAGATAGCAGAAGCAATTAGAAGAAAACTTGGTTACACGTACTCATCTATCTGAATCTGTGCACCATACTCACTGCATTTCTCCTGCAACTAAGGATGGACTGTCTGAGCCTTTAGCAAAGGCCAGCTGTATACTAGTGGATTAGATCTCCTCCCTTTTTGACAAAGTCAAGAACATTATTCCAGCAATTCTCCCCTCTCACTTCTGCAAACATAATCCCATCTCAGTTGAACCTTTTCTATCCATGTAAAAGCAACCCGGGTTGTCTTCCATAATGAAAACTTCATTGACCCCACAACCCCTTCCAGCAACTGCCCTACCTTTCTCCTCCTTTTTTGAGCAGAAATTATTTTTTTAAAAGAATTTTATTCTTTTTTTAGTTTTTAAAATAACCTCTGTAACCAGCGTCCTCTTGTAGGCTAGGCGTGATGTGGCTCTGCCTGTAATCCCAGCACTTTGGGAGGCCAAGGTGGGTGGATTGTTTGAGTCCCGGGAGTTCAAGACCAGCCGGGGCAACATGGCAAAACCCTGTCCCTATTAAAAAAAATTACAAAAAAAATTAGCCAGCCATGGTGATGTGCTCCTGTAGTCCCAGCTCCTTGGGAGGCTGAGGTGGGAGGATCACTTGAGCCCAGGAGGCAGAGGTTGCAGTGAGCTGAGATCACACTGCCTTCTAGCCTGGGTGACAGAGTAAGATCCTGTCTCAAACAAACAAACACCTCTTGTCCAACAAAAACCTTCTTAAGAACAGGTTGTACTCACTCTCTCTTATCTCTCTTGACCCATAGGGCATCGCCTCCAGCATCCTCACAACACTTCACTGAAGCTGCCCTTGTCAAGTTCACTCTTGACCTTCACATCGCCAGTACAGTGGTCTTGTCTTAGTTCTTGAAGCAGTTGATCTCTCATCAGTGTTTGACAGTTAATCACTTTTTCCTCCTTGAAATACCTCTTTGAGGCTTCCAAGACACCACACACAACTGGTTTACCTCTCTCTGTCTCTCTCTTTTTTGTTTCCTTTGCTGACTCTTTCTCAGCATTTCTGCTAGGGTTCAGTCCATGGCTTCCTTCACATTTCTGTCTCACTTTCTCCCTTAATGTTGCTATCTAGTCTTTTAATTTTATTTATTTCTAGTTTTAAAATTTAATTTTAAAAACTTAATTTTATTTAATTTTTGAGACACAGTCCTTGTAGTTGCCCAAGCCAAAACATGGAGTCGTCCTTGATTTCCTTTTTTTCTTATATCACATAGTCAGTCTGTCAGCAAATCATTTGAGCCTTCAAAATATATCCAGAATCTGACCACTTCTCATCATTTCTCTTGCTATCTCTTACCCATCTCTTGTTCTAGTTATTGAAGTACTTCTTAAGGGATTTTTTTTTTTTTTTTTTTTTGGGAGACAGAGTCTCACTCTGTTACCCAGGATGGAGTGCAGTGGTGCCATCTTGGCTCACTGCAACCTCCGCCTCCCGGGTTCAAGTGATTCTCCTGCCTCAGCCTCCCGACTAGCTGGGATTACAGGCATGTACCACCATGCTTGGCTAATTTTTGTATTTTTAGTAGAGACGGGGTTTCACCATGTTGGTCAGACTGGTCTCGAACTCCTGGCCTCCGGTGATCCGCCCACCTCTGCCTGCTAAAGTGCTGGGATTACAGGTATGAGCCACTGCACCCACCTGGGATCTTCTTTTATTCTACTCTTGGCTCCTCCATCCCCTTTTCAGCATTATAACCATGGGGATCATAGTAAAAAGTAAATAAAATAATGTTACTTCTTCCCCTCCTCCACTGGCTTCCCATTTCACTCAGAGTCAAAACCAGAGTTTCAGCTGTGGTTTGCAAGCCCTGTGCACATCCCTTACTCATTTCAGTTTCCTCCCATCAGGTAAATCTGCCTCGGTCCCTTAGGTGGCTTTATTCTTAGTTCTTAATTTAGTCTTTATTCTTACATATTTATTTATTTATTTATTTTTCAAGACGGGGTTTCGCTCTTGTTGCCCAGGCTGGAGTGCAGTGGTGTGATCTTGGCTCACTACAACCTCTGCCTCCCAGGTTCAAGCAATTCTCCTGCCTCAGTCTCCCAAGTAGCTGGGATTACAGGCTCCTGCCACCACGCCTGCCTAATTTTTGTATATTTTTAGTAGAGATGGGGTTTTGCCATGTTGGTCAGGCTGGTCTTGAACTCCTGACCTCGGGTGATCCACCTGCCTCCACCTCCCAAAGTGCTGGGATTACAGATGTGAGCCACTGTGCCCAGCCCCTAAATTTTTATTCTTAAATGAGTGTCATTGTTTAGTGCTAGGAAGGACTGAAAAAGGTTTCAGGAGCATAGGGAAATCAATTGCATTTGAAAAGGCAGTGATGAGATGAGATGGAAGGAGGACATTAGAGAGTCAATGAAAACTCTGAAATTGAATGTGAGCAAAGGTATTTTGTAAATCTATAAAACAAAGCAAGAGTATACTATACTATAATGAAGACACATGTCCATCCTGCCTGAGACAGGAGGTCAAAGCTTCACTTCCCTGGACCCTGGAGGTGAGAGAGTAATTCAGCCTGGCCATGGTTTCAGAAGTAACATTGACCATTTGCATCCACATGGGAGCTCCATCCTCCTCTACCTTAACAATATAATAGTCAGACTTGTGTGCAGAAGAGCTCTTACTAGCTGTAATCATCAGACCCATACTTTTTATCAGCTGTGTGTCAACAGCAGGGAGTCACCTAAAAGCACATACCGTGAAAAAAGTTTTGAAGTGAGAACATTGTTGGTCCTCTAGCCACAGCAATAAGCATCAGCCAGGTGCAGTGGCTCACACCTAGTCTCAGCACTTTGGGAGGCAGAGGTAGGAGGATCACTTGAGGCTAGGAGTTTGAGTCTAGCCTGGGCAACGTAGGGAGACCCGTCTCTGCCGAAAAAAAAATTAGCTAGGCATGGTGGTGCATGCCTTTAGTTCTAACTACTCGGGAGGCCAAGGCAGGAGGATCGCTTGAGTCAAGAGGATTGTTTGAGGCTGCAGCGAGCCATGATGGAGCCTGCACTCCAGCGTGGTTGACAGAGCGAGACCTTGTCTCAGAAAAAAAAAAAATTCTAATATTTCAGTCTCTAATACATTTTGTTAATTGTAGCCATCCATGCACTAGCGAAGAGGAAAGAGTAAGGCTTATCCTGTTGAACTGACCAGAGTGTGGCCAGTTGGAAGACTGATCATCAAGGTCAGAATTGTACCTATCTTATAACTGGCTGATTGCACACAGTGTTCTGTGAATAATAATCACTTATTCCCCACTTAGTGCTGTGTCTTTGCCAGATTGAATTACTCTGCCTTATGTAACCCCTGTGAAACACAGGTAAGTAACGGGGCACTTTCTAGAATGAGAGCGTAGGTGAATGTGTCGTAGCTGGCTAGCACATGACTGTTTTCAAAACTCTGCATTCTCTTGCTGGCGCCCATTCACTTTGGAAATAGCCACTATGGATTTTGCCTTCTGGCCTGAAAGGGAGTGAAATGAGAGACTGCCATATTGAAGTGGTTTGAGGAGACAGATTACTGGAAAGGCTTACATTTGTATTTTAAGGGGCTACAGACACAGATCAATGCGTATGTTTACTGTTAAGCGTATGGTGGTTCAGTCCTTAAGCTTTTCTTAATAAAAAGTGCAACATTTTTGTTAACTTGAATGTATGTTGATTTTTGTCATGGGAAAGTCATTGGACTGAGGGTGTATATTCCATATGCGAATTTGAAAGGTAAAATTTCAGCCTTATTCTAGAAAAGTTCTAATGTATAAACACATATACAATTATAATCTAATAATTATAAACATATCTGTTGGGACCCACTAGTTCTGTGAAGGAAGTTATTTATTCTTTTAGTAATAACTAGGGTGATGATTATTGTTTGAGAATTTAAAAAATCTAGTAATCAATATTCACATATTGATACATAATAGAAGTGAAGCCTTGTGCCTGGAATTACAAAGACATTAAGAGATTGCGCAGAAGGCACTGTTTCTGTTACACCATAGTTTCTAAGCTTGCAACTAAGAATTTGGAAACAGTTCAAAAGTAAGGTGAATATTTTATGAAGTTGCACTTTGCATATCTTTTTTAGCAGTTCTACACCAATTTTTTAGTGCAGGATTTCCCCTAGGTGTTCTGAAATGTGGAGACTGTAGAGGATCTGGAATTACATCGTTTCAGTGATCCTTCTGACCAAAAAGTACTAATGGCACTTAAGCATGCTTTCAGATGTTTCTCTAAAGTATCAAGAAAACTCATTACCAGTGCATTTTCTGTGATGTGTAGTTACTCTCTCATATACATCACTTACATGACAGGAGAAATTGCCATTTTGTGGCTATTTTATAAGAAGGTATCTTCAGTGCAGAAAATCCTGTTAGGCTTGAAACTAATAAAAGTACACTCAGATCAATTGAAAGATGAAAACAAAGTAAGAAATAGAATGTGGCTAGAGCCTCAGTCTCTTCCTGTCCTGTTTCCAACCCCTTTTACTGTCTCTCAAGAACAAGTGAGAACAGATGTGAATGCGGTAGCAGCTAAGTGGTGCTTATTTTAGGTGGGTAACGGGTAGATTGCATTTTGAATAAGATTTTTTTGAGGGGACTGGATATTTATGGGCCTCTATCATTTATCTTGCTACTTTGCTGAAATCTAGATGAATTTAGGTATTAAAATGTATGTACTCGTTAAATAGGATACTTTAGTTAATTCTTATATTTAAAGATATGGTGTCAACAGCAAATTTACATTTTGATATTGGAAAAGCTAAAAAGGGGAAAGAGATGGGGTAGGCAGGGGTGAAGAATTTGGATTTTCTTGCAGTGTTGATTTTAGAATCTACAAATATAACAGTGCTGAGAGATCTTTTCAAAGAAAGGATCATTTTGGACATTGCTCAATTTTGTAGTCCTTGTTTATTTTTTATTTTTTATGTTTTTGAGACAGAATCTCGCCTGTTGCTCAGGCTGGAGTGCGACGGCGTGATCTCAGCTCACTGCAACCTCCACCTCAGGGTTCAAGCGATTCTTCTGCCTCAGCCTTCTGCAGTTGAGATTACAGTCTCCTGCCACTGCGCCTGGCTTATTTTGTATTTTCAGTAGAGATGGGGTTTCGCTGTGTTGGCCAGGCTGGTCTCGAAGTCAAGTGATCTGCCCGCCTCATGTAGTCCTTGTTTATATAATAGAGAAATGAAGTGTTTAACCCATCTGATGGAAGTAGGACAGCTTTTTATTTATTTTTTTAAGTTGACTCTAGCCTTAGTATGCTTATTTCCTCTTCTGGAGATACAATTTAGATTATAGGAATATTTGCAAGTATTTTTCAGATTTTCTAAAAATTGTAATTACATGAGTAATTTGTTTTTCAATTTTTCATGTCTCTTCTGATCTTGATTGCTTACCATTTATTGCGATTTTTATTTCATTATCACAGCTGTAATAATAATAATCTGCCTGCTGTATTGATAAACACTAAAGTGCCTGAGGACTGGAACTTGGGTTTAACCTTGTTTCTGCTATAAACTTAACATTTCAGTAAAACTGTATCTTAAGCTATGTCTAAGACCTTAGAGTGTTGTACCTGATGTGCAGCTGGCAGGAACTCAGGGCCACAGAACAGAGAAGAGCCTTCATCCTTGGGGGCTGTGGGGAGGAGCATGGGAGAGGGAGTGTCAAGAGGTAAAAGGGTTAGATTTGGCAGTGAGTAATGCAGGATTTGTGAGAGGGGCCACAGTTCCCAAAACCTCAAGATGGAAAGTGTGACCTAGAGGAGGTTTTGGATGTCACTCCATCCAGTGCTTTTCTTTTCTTTCTTTCTTTTTTTTTTTTAACCCCCTAACTGAATCTTTTTTGTTTGTTTGTTTGTTTGTTTTAATTATACTTAAAGTTCTGGGATATATATGCAGAACATGCAGTGTTCTGCATATATATATATGTGCCATGGTATACATGTGCCATGGTGGTTTGCTGCACCCATCAACCTGTCATCTGCGTTAGGAATTTTCTCCTAATGCTCTCCCTCTCCTTGCCCCCCACCCCCCAACAGGCCCCAGTGTGTGATGTTCCCCTCCATGTGTCCATATGTTCTCATTGTTCAACTCCCACTTAAGAGTGAGAACATTCGGTGTTTGATTTTCTATTCCTGTGTTAGTTTGCTGAGAATGATGATTTCCAGCTTCATCCATGTTCCTGCAAAGGACATGAACTCATTCTTTTTTATGGCTGTGTAGTATTCCATGGTGTATATGTGCCACATTTTCTTAATCCAGTCTATCATTGATGGGCATTTGGGTTGGTTCCAAGTCTTTGCTATTGTGAATAGTGCTGCAATAAACATATGTGTGCATGTGTCTTTATAGGAGAATGATTTATACTCCTTTGGGTATATACCCAGTAATGGGATTGCTGGGTCAGATGGTATTTCTGGTTCTAGATCCTTGAGGAATCGCCACACTGTCTTCCACAATGGTTGAACTAGTTTACACTCCCACCAACAGAGTAAAAGCGTTCCTATTTCTCCACATCCTCTCTAGCATCTGTTGTTTTCTGACTCTTTAATAATCGCCATTCTAACTGGCGTAAGATGGTATCTCATTGTGGTTTTGATTTGCATTTCTCTGATTACCAGTGATGATGAGCTTTTTTTCATGTTTGTTGGCTGCATAAACGCCTTCTTTTGAGAAGTGTCTCTTCATATCCTTCACCCAGTTTTTGATGGGGTTGTTTGTTTTTTTCTTGTAAATTTGTTTAAGTTCATTGTAGATTCTGGATATTAGCCCTTTGTCAGATGGATAGATTGCAAAAATTTTCTCCCATTCTGTAGGTTGCCTCTTCACTCTGACGGTAAGTTTCTTTTGCTGTGCAGAAGCTCTTTAGTTTAATTAGATCCCATTTGTCCATTTTGGCTTTTGTTGCCATTGCTTTTGGTATTTTAGACATGAAGTCCTTGCCCATGCCTATGTCCTGAATGGTATTGCCTAGGTTTTCTTCTAGGGTTTTTATGGTTTTAGGTCTTACATTTCAGTCTTTAATCCATCTTGAGTCAATTTTTGTATAAGGTGTAAGGAAGGGGTCCAGTTTCAGTTTTCTGCATATGGCTAGCCAGTTTTCCCAACACTATTTATTAAATAGGGAATCCTTTCCCCATTGCTTGTTTTTGTCAGGTTTGTCAAAGATCAGATGGTGGTAGACGTGTGGTGTTATTTCTCAGGCCTCTGTTGTGTTCCATTGGTCTGTGTATCTGTTTTGGTACCACTACCATGTGTTTTTCAAACTGTTGGGATACCACCTGGGTTTGGGCCCTAGAGGGGACCTCTGGGAGGGAAGGGAAAGTGAAAGGAGTGTGGCTTCTGCTTCATTCAGTGTCACCCAGTGCACAACTGCTTTCGAAAACATCTATTTTATATGTTGGGATTACAGTTGAGAAATAGGTTCCGCTGCTAAAGTAGAAAAAAAAAGTAGTTTGAAGACCACTATGTTGAAGACTTCTGATTAGATTATTAGGTGATAGCAGAAACCTCTTATAGGAGAGGAAACTAACGAACAAGAGACTTCTGAGAAGACGCTGCTGCTACCTACCAGTGGATCCCTGCTTTTCTGCCTCCTGTCTGTCTATAGTGCACATTGGCTCCAGAAATCCAGCAAGATTAAGGCATAGTAGTGATTTCCGGACTACTGATATGAAAATAGGCAAAACTGTCCCTATCAAATCCAGTACATGCTATTTTATAAGGATTAGGTGACTTGAATTGTAGAGGGTTTTGGTCAACCAAAAGGTTCAGATACTGCTGCATTAGACAGGAGGAATAGATTGTAACTTCAAACAGTAAAAAAATCAAACCAGGCTTTGCCTTTTTGATAATCTTTTGACTTTTTTAGTATACTAAGTTAAAGGTAAAATGTGGAGTTGAAACCAAAATATGGAATTGGAAAATGAAAAATAGGCCAGGCATGGTGGCTCAGGCCTGTAATCCCAGCACTTTGGGAGGCCCAGGCGGGCAGATCACTTGAGGGGCTGAGTTCAAGACCAGCCTGGCCAACATGGTGAAACCCCATCTCTACTAAAAATACCAAAATTAGCCAGGTGTGGTGGTGCACAACTGTAATCCCAGCTACTCAGGAGGCAGAGGCATGAGAATAGCTTGAACCCAAGAGGCGGAGGTTTCAGAGTCGAGATCGCACCACTGCACTCCAGCTTAGGCGACAAAATGAGGCTCCATCTCAAAAAAAAAAAAAAAAAAGAGAAAAATGAAAAATAGAATGTTTGTAGTCATTACCAGGCAACCTGTTTCCCTTCATTTGATATACCAACTATTACCAACTATTTTGGGAGTAAACTGAGGGATTATATTTTATGCTTTGATGTAGTTTGCTTTTTAATATTTAGAATTTTTTTAAAATTTTTGTTCCAAGACTTGCTGAAACTGTTTTTTTTAACTGTGTACTTAATGTTGAGAGAGAAATATTCTTTATGTTTAAAAAGAATTGTATGATTTCTGAATTGACTGATGTTCTTATGCCAGGATCCTGATCATTTGAGCTGAATTTATTTGCTAGTTCTGAATCTATTTTCATTAGCTAAGCTGTTGCCAGAAAAGGCCCCATGGGAAGAACAAAATTAGTTTAATAATTTTGCTCATTCATCCATGCACATGTGACACGACTGTTTTCATTTCTGATATTGCAGTTGAACTGGATCAAAAGCAATTAATTTTCACATCCTCTGAGTACGTCTGTGTCTCCTGTCACTCTGAAGTCTTTTCTGTATATCTGTTTTCTTCTAGGTGAGGAATTTTAAATTGGAACAAGAGCAAGAAAAAAACAAAATCTTGTCAGAAGCACTGGAGACGCTGGCCACTGAACATCATGAATTAGAGCAGTCTCTGGTGAAAGGCTCTCCACCCGCCAGCATCCTTAGCGAGGACGAGTTCTATGATGCGCTGTCAGGTAACTCTGGGATCCTTCCCTCTGCATTGTTGGTGATTTAGAGTCCACCACCTAAATGAGCAATGTCCCCTTGAGTCCACCACCTTAGAGCAGAGGTCACCTAGAGTTTCCTGGAATAAACAGATAGCGATGTATTGGTATAGCTCCCCAGATTTTTTGTGTGTCATGTTATTAAGGCTGGTGTCTGAAAGTGTGGAATGAAATTCATCACAGTCTCTGCCTATACTGAAGATGTATTCTAGGCTAGGTTAGAGTGCTGTTAAAACTGCCCACATTTGATTTGTCCTTTACTGGGTGACCATTTCCTAGTGCCAGGCATTAGCACATATTGTAAGGAGAGACAGACAGACAGTTTCTGTCTTCAAAGAGGTCTTTATATAAAGAATACAGGTAACGAAGCGCAAGTGCTTGGTGATAGCACAGTATGCTAAGTGCCACAGTAGAGGTGAGACCACCATGTGTCTGGAGCAGAGAAGAGGAGGTGTTTAACTTTGCCTCAGAAACACACACTAAAGGGCGGCATAGCATTTCTGCAAGGAGCATGGACTCCAGAGCTTCTGTCACTAGCCAGCTGTGTGACCTGGGGCGTGTTCCATGACCTCTCTCTTCATAGTTTCCGCATATTTAAAATGGGATAATTATAGTGTCCATTTCAATAGGTCGTGTGATGACTAAATGAGTTTCTCTGTTTAGATAGTGGTTAGAACAGTGCCTGGTGATACTCAGTGCTAAAAAAATGGGGAATGCACGTGGAGATTGGAGGATGAGAGGAGGTACTGCTAAGTAGTTTTGACCTTTTTGGAATTTACTTTCAAATTTTTTGAGGCAGGTGTGTGTGGGAGAAGGGAAAGGAACATGGAAGGGGGTGGTTGGAGATCAGTGGGACTGAGAAAAATTAATTGTTGTATGGGAGAAAATGAAATGCATATATAATAGGTGAGCATATACAGTTACTGAGTTTCACAACACTTGATCACAGATGCAAGAAATCTTGGTGTATTGGAAGTGAAGGATCAAATTCATAACAGGACAGGAAAGAGAGGAAGCATGGTGAGAGGTAGGAGAGATGAGAACTGAAGATTAGGTTAAGGAAGTTAAAGAAAATGGTATGGTAATACAGTACATGGAAAATGATGTTGGTAGAATGTAGATTGACGGGGAAGTGATTGATTGATTAAGACAAATAGGAACATTATTAATAGAGGTTTGATAGAAGTAAAAGAAAGGGAAGAAGTAATTTTCATAGCCAGATTTGGGAACAATTGGACAAAGAAGATTATAATGATGACGGGTTGTCAATTAAATAAGGGATTTGTGAACAGAGTGACTCACGTTGGGAAGAGAAGGTAGGATTTGAGATCGATGGAATGAGTGACAAGGCAAGGGAAGTATTTAGCCTGTCTGAGGGAGGTCGGAGGGAGAATGAGTGACTGCTGACATTTATTACACGTCCACCTTGTGCCAGGTCCAGTGGCGCTTCTTCTATGGGGAGCATCCAAAAAGGAAAATTACAAGAGGGATGCTAGGTCTAAATGCATAGAGCTTGGAATATAAAAGAGCCCAGATACTTCAGTTGCTCATGTTATATATTCTTTTTTAAAAATAAAACTTTATGACCAGGCATGGTGGCTGAGCACTTGTAATCCTAGCACTTTGGGAGGCCAAGGCAGGAGGACATCTTGAGCCCAGAAGTTCGAGACCAGCCTGGGCAACATGGTGAAACCCCGTCTCTACTGAAAATACAAAAATTAGCCAGGCGTGATGGTGCATGCCTGTAATCCCAGCTGCTCAGAAGGCTGCGGTGGGAGGATCGCTTAAGCCCAGGAAGTAGAGGTTGCAGTGAGCTGTAATGGTGCCATTGCATTCCAGCCTGGGGGCAACAGAATGAGACCCTGTCTCAAACAAAAAAAAACCTTTAAAAAATTTTATTTAAGAACCCCATGTTTGTTCTAAATAATTCCATATAAAAGTATGTGAGAACCCAGTGAAATTCTCTTCACCTGTTATCCCAGTTAATCATGCACTCCTTCTCCTCCTCAGAGGTTCTGATTAACAGCCGGATATACTCTCTTACAGACCTTTTTTGAGCATCACATATATATGTGCTTGTGTATATATATAGATTTTTTTTTTAAGTCATGAATGGAAGGAGCAGTGTAATTGCCCTGGACTTGCTTTTTCCTGACAACTTGTCTTAGAAATCTTTACTGTCAGTGTTATAAGCTCTAGCCCACTCTTTTTCAAGGTTGCATGAAAGTCCATGATATAATTATGTCACAGTTTCCTTAATCCTTCTCTTCTTGATAGACGTCTAGCAGCCACTATCTTTCTGTTTCTCAGTAATATTTTAATAGTCGTCTCCTCCGGGAGGAAGAGAGAAAAAGAACCATAGTCCCTAGATCAGGATTGGCAAATACATTTCATCTCAAGTGCCAGTTCAGATTGTTTTGCCGTATCTGCTGCTTTGTGGATTGCTGTGTTGAGAACGATCCTGAGGCTCAGTCCAAACGCCTAGGCTCATCAGCACATCCTGCCATGGCTATAGGAAGTGGAGCAAGGGTCAGGTGCCAAGCATATTCTCCTTGCCTTGAATAGCACACCTGAGTTTTGTTACACTTGCATGAACACAGTAGCCCTTCTGTGGCTACTCCTATTTCCTACTAAAAATCTTGGAATAATTTGGCACAGTGTAGAAACTGCATTAAAATGAAGAGTCAGATGCCCTGTCAAGTGCTGACTTGCTGTTGACCTAGCCACCCAATTCATTGAAATCATCAAAGCCATCATATGGGAATGACTTCATCTTCCCTCTGTAGTCTCTACACACCAGCCTCTGTCCCCATTTCCTCCTTCACTCTATTACAAGGGAACAAATGGTCCCCCCTCATTAAGGCCATCTCTTCCTCATTTGTTCTGGTACCTGTCTCCTTGTGACTTCTCAAGGAGACTTTTGTTTAGTTATTGCTTCCTTCACCTACACTTTCAATATTGTATAACTAAATACTAACTTGAAATTCCTGTATTAGTCTGCTATTGCTACTGCAATAGATCACCACAAACTTAGTGGCTTAGTAGACAATGCAAATATATTCTGTTACAGTTGGTGGTCAGAAGTTCCAACATCAAGGTGTCCACAGGGCTGTGTTTCTTCTAAAGGCTCTAGAAGAGACTGTTGCCTTGCCTTTTCTAGCTTCTAGGGACCTGCCTGCATTCCCTGGCTCAAGGCCCCATCCTCCATCTGGAAGTCTCTCTCTGACTGCCCGTGACTCTGGCCTTGCTCCTTCCCTTTTATAAAGACCTATGGCATTACGTTGGACCTACTCAGATGATCCAGTATAATCTCCCCATCTCAATATACGTAACTTAATCATATCTGCAAAGTCCCTTTTATTAATGAAAGGTAACATATTCACAGGTTCCAGAGATAAGGACATGGACGTCTTGGGGAAGCCCTTGTGCTGACTGCCACAGTCCCCAAATTTATATCTCCAGCCTTGATCTCTTGCTAGAGACTTACATATTCAGCTGTCAGCTTTATGTATAAAAAACAAATGCTTGCTCTTCCTCCCAGATACTATTTCTCCTGGAATTGGCCTCATTTTTGTAAATGGCACCTCTTCATCTCCTAAAGCCAGAAACTAGGAGTGATTCGTGACATTTCCATGAGACATAGAATCGAGGCCTGGCCATTCTGCCTTCAAATCATATCTTGAATTCATCTGTGTTTTACTAATGGAGGGTAGCAGTTAAAAGTATAGGTACTCAAGCTGAAGGCTCTTGCTTAGTCAAAGCTCTACCATTCCCCTACTCTTGGGAAAGTTACTTCACTTTCCTCTGCCTCATTTCTTCATCTGCAAATGGGTCATAGGATCATTGCAAAGAATTAACTAATACATATTTGTAATGTACTTAAAACAGTGCCAGGCACACTAAGGGGCTAGCAGATATTAGCTCTCATTATGGTGACCCGCACTGCACCTACTTTCCTCTAGCCTCTTAACTGATCTTGGTGCTTCCAGCCTTGGCCTGCTGACGTTCATCCCGTACACACCATCCATGGTGATCCTTTGTTGACAATCACATCATCGCATTCCCTCACCTAGAATTTTTCAGTGGTTTCTCATTGCACTTAAAATGAAACTCAGATGCCTTCACGGACCTTCAAGGCTCTCGACATGATCCAGACCCTACTGCCTCTTCACACTCACTTTGTCCCCTTGTTCCCTCCACTTACTATACCAGTGCCTCCTCCAGGCCTCAGATGCAGTAGTGATGTCAGGCAGTTGGATGCACAGTTAGTAAAGAGCAATGAAAAGTATACAAACCTCCACTTCATTTGAAGCTTAATTTTAACAACTAAATCATGACGATAGATGAAATCAAGCCTATCCTGATATTGAGAAGGTATGAAAAAAAAAGATTTTTCAACTTACTCTTCTTAAAAGATTTAAAAAATATTTTCACTAAATGTTTAATCTTTTAAAAAGTTGTTAACTCGTGTTACTTTAAAATAAAGGGATAACTTCATTAGATCTAAAGTCCATGTGGTTTCCTGTTTCCCTTTATCATATCCCTTTAAGCTTTTTCAGATAAGCAAGATCAATGGAAATCTACTCATAAGGTGGGTGAAGCAAGCCTTGGTGCAGAGCCAGCAGTGTAAGAGAGGAATTTTTCCAGCCCCCTGGCGTCCCCCCTGGGATCGCTTGAGAAAATTATTTTTCCAGTAAGCTCAGTGACGAAACATTTCATAAAACTCCATAAAGCACACAGATTTTTTTCCCCACAAATTTGATTAAATTCCATTGTGTAAACTTATTTAAAAGGAGATAAATTTAATGAAGCCTCACATTTTGTCCTCATTGCGTGTGTGGGTGTGGGAGTGGGTGTGTTTAAGGAATGAAATGGTTATGTCAAGTGAAATTTCGGATATAGCTGTAAGGGAACACTTCCTGGGAAAAGGGCTAGACATTCATGCGCATTGAAACAAAAAGATATCATGAGAAACCACTGTGGATAAAGTATTCTTCAAATAAGCTTATAGAAATGCTTTATAGAAGAAGAAAGTGGTTCTTCATATATATTCATATATATTTCTACCCTATCAGTGTTGTTTTTTCTTTTTGCTACTTTGTCCACCAAGGCTCTCAAATACCTCTTCTCCTGGGTAGCCTTTCCTGACTCCTCCGGGCAGAATTAGTTTCTTTTTTTGTGTTTCCTTCAGTTTACATCTCTTTTATAGCCTCCTTGTGTTTTGTTTGTAAGATAATAGGACCCCGCAGAGGCTCACACCTGTAATTCCAGCACTTTGGGAGGCCAAGGCGAGTGGATCACTTGAGGCCAGGAGTTTTGAGACCAGCCTGGCCAACATTGTGAAACCCTGCCTCTACTAAAAATACAAAAGACTTTATCCGGGCATGGTGGCACATGCTTGTAATCCCAGCTACTTGGGAGGCTGAGGCAGGAGAATAGCTTGAACCTGGGAGGCGGAGGTTGCAGTGAGCCGAGATCGCGCCATTGCACTCCATCCTGGGCAACAGAGCGAGACTCTGTCTGAAAGAAAGAAAGAGAGAGAGAGAGAAAGAGAGAAAGAAAGAAAGAAAAATATAATAGGGACCATATCTGTTTACATCCCTGAAGTACGTAGCACAGAATCAGAGTTCTCTAAATGCTTGTCGAATGCAGGTTGTTGAAGAAATGTCATTGATGTTTCTGTCCTCCCTAAAAATATATTGTTATTCAATAATGAGCCTAAGATAATCAGGAATGCATGGTGATTTTATGCATCTATATTCACCACTTTGGATTCTGCAGGGGAGAGTAGGGATGGGTAGCAAAGGAGGAAGGAGGGATGAGATAGTATTGATATTAGAAAATGACATTTGTTCCCAAGGGGTTTACAGTAAAGTTGGAGATAGGATACTGCTACCAGGGAGGGGGCAGATGAAAATTAGTTAAAGGAGAGAAAACTAAAGGTACATGACTTTAGGAATCTCTCATAATCTTCTAAGGAGTTGTTTTTGAAACACTTATTACTGGTTAAATAACTAATTTCATGGTGGTTTTTCTTTAGTAACTAGTCTGAGAGCAGTTTCACGGAAAATTCCTGCTCTTTGAATATTGTAGGTTCAGAACGCATTACTTTTCTTACTGTGTGTTCATTTTCCTTTTGAGAAACATGTTGAGATCAGTTGCTCTAGAAAGGCTTTCTTGCTAAGCGTTCCCCTTAATGCTATTTTGGTTGAAATGTGCATGAATAATGCATAAAATCCGATAGCGTAGATGGGCAAAACCAATAGATAGTTATATCATGAAACTGAAACCAGTTTTAGCATTTCTCAGCAGATGTAAGAGTACATCTTTTAAATCTTGAACACTTGGAGGGCACCAGCCATATCATTCATCTTTCCAAACTGCTTCAGCAACTTGCACTTTACCTGATGTGTGGTAGGTACTTAGTAAATGTTGACTTATTACATCGAAGTCACATGAAAATACTTTGTTTTCTAACTATGGATTATTCTGCAACTGGCCTTTAGTTCTAGAATTGTTTTCTTTGTAGAGTTAATGCATAATGTGACCTTCCTAAAAATAATGTTGAGAAACAAGACAAATTGGGAAGCTCTGGATTTGGTAGCCCAAAATAGATCCACGTAAGATTTCCAGTAGCCCACACACTACGGTTTGTATAACTCCTCATGTTCCATTACATGTGCAGATGTTACAAATTGTAGAAAACAGTAGTAGATTTAGTTGCTTGGGGATGAGCCGGTACTTTTAAGAAACTCTGTCACAAGCAATACCCTACCATTTGGCTAATTTTGACCTTGGACATCATTCAGAGAGGATCTGTCTAGAATGTCTCCGACTCTTGTTGCTTGCTGCCAAGAATCTGTTTCAAGCTTTTGTCACTTCCTTAGTAAATTATTGCAGCAGTCTCTTGGCAGCCCCCTCTGGACTCATCCCGGTTTTCAGTTTATGATTCACTTTAAATATGTTAGGTTGTGTTTACTTTCTTTGTGTTCTTCATATTTACTGTGCTATTTCTGAGTTTATGCAGTTGTACCTCAAGGCTAAATAAAAATTTGGCACTGATATTTTAAGCTGTACCTTGGGTTGCTTTGGACATTTTCAGAACATGCCTGGTACGTGGGAAACCGTAAACAATAAAGGTATTAAATTAAGCATGTGTGCGTTTCCTGGCTGTTTTCTGTTACCTTCAGTAACAGGAGGAAGGGTGACTTGGACATTATCCACAGTTCTTCCCCATCTTGCTGCTTTGTGTACTATTTGTTCTCAGGCTGGTTTCCAAAGGTCAGGATAAAAAAGTGCTTATCAGGATAACTTACAAGAATTGTTGGCATGTTTATATTGTGAACTTTATGGCCTCTTCTTTCAGCCTTTTAATAGTAGGAAAAATTAACAAATCAACTCTTGGAAAGTTCTCTCACTCAATTACAAAAAGGAGCATAGCGGTCAGGATCTTAATTCTAGAGTAAAGTTAAAGTCACCATAAGCCGGCAATAGCCATTCATTGGCTTCCATGCTATTTTGATGAGAAAGGAGACTGTGTTCAATCTGAATGTGTTTAAAATAATTCTGAGTTCTAACATGGACAGAACTTTAAAGATCTTAAAGCAGGTGCAGTGGCTTACACCTGTAATCCTAGCACTTTGAGGCCAAAGTGGGTGGATCACTTGAGGTCCGGAGTTCAAGACCAGCCTGGCCAACATGGTGAAACCCCATCTCTACTAAAATACAAAAATGCTGGGCGTGGTGGTGGGCGCCTGTAATCCCAGCTACTAGGGAGGCTGAGGCAGGAGAGTTGCTTGAATCCAGGAGGCGGAGGTTGCAGTGAACTGAGATCACGCCACTGCACTCCAGACTGGGTGCCAGAGCAAGAGTCTGTTTCAAAACAAACAAACAAAAAGAACTTTAAAGATCTGGGCCATTGTCGACCCATAACATTAAAGCAAACTTTGTGAGATTTTACATTTTAATTCTATTAATACTGCTGTTTTAATTGAGGAACTAATCAGGTAAAGATTCTGTCCACCTTCAATGCTTCTGTAAACTAGAGCATTTTATCTTGTAAAATATATGTTTTTCAAGGTGTTATTCTGACACTTCTTAATGTTTTTGAGAGACAGGGTCTCGCTCTGTTGCCCAGTCTCAAACTCCTGGGCTTAAGTGATCCTCCACCTCAGCCTGCCGAGCAGCTGTGACTACAGGTGCACACCACTGCACGTGGCTTGATGGTTTCCCTATAAAATATAATCATCGACTGAGTCACCTGAATCCTTTTGGAACTAGATGGGAGTAAACACACCCACAAATAAGTGCTTATCAAGAGTATTCCATTTCCCGTCATTACTCAGGGCTGCACAGATTTTCCTAAGTGCTCATCAAAAGTTCAGTAAATAATGTAGGGCTATTTCATAAATCTTTTATGCTGTTTTTCAGGGGTCAGAAGTTTCCTAAAATTTTTGAGTGGTTTTGCCTGTTATAGAAACGTATATGTTTATTAAGGAGAAAATGGAGTGGGAAATAAAAAGAATAACGACAGGCTGCCATTGTCTGAAGTCTAGCTATGTATATTGTAAAAATACCTTCCTTCTGCTGCATTAAAAAAATATGGCTCTAGAAAAATCAACCAGTTTTCCTGGCAATGAGGTAAGAGTTAACCAGACCAGAATATAGTCCATGCATCCAACATGATAGCTAGCTCATTGGCTTTTAGGGACAGGTTTTTGTGTGTTTGCCTGGTTTTTGTTTGTTTGTTGTTGTTTTTATTGTAAAATATACATAACATAAACTTTCCAACGTGACCCTTTTTGAGTGTACAATGCAGTGGGATTAAGAACCTTTACTTTCCTATGCAACCATCACCACCATCTCTCTCCAGAACTTTTTTGTCATCCCAAACTGAAACTCCATCCCCATTAACTACCAACTCCCCATTCCTCCCTCCTCCCTCTCCTTGTTTGTCCTGAAAGCCTGAGTGTCGTGGCCTAACCCTACTGCAAGAGAGCACTGCAACCAGCACATGGGAGGCAGGATGCACCTCTTCCCTTCATGCTTTCTACTAAGGCATTAATATATTACCCACTAACATTTTGATGTTTATATGTGGGGGAACATTGAAGAACCCAGAATTTTATGATTGAATTATTGGTGGGGCGTGGTGGCCCATGCCTGTAATCCCAGCACTTTGGGAGGCCGAGGTGGGCGGATCACCTGAGGCCAGGAGTTCAAGACCAGCCTGGCCAACATGGTGAAACCTGTCACTACTAAAAATACAAAAATTAGCCGGGCATGGTGGCGCGCGCTTATAGTCCCAGGTACTTGGGAGGCTGGGGCACAAGAATCACTTGCGTGAGGGAGGCAGAGGTTGCAGTGAGCCGAGATCGTGCCACTGCACTCCAGCCTGGGTGACAGAGCGAGGCTTCGTCTCAAAAAAAAGCCAAAAAAAAAAAAAGATTGATTTATCACTTCATAGATACCAAGATGTAGCACTGATTTGTTTTACAGGGAGACTTGAAAATAACTTCTATGGATAGGCTTTGACTTTCATCAGCAACCTCCACAGTGGCTATGCCCTCTTTGGTATTGAGCTAAACATGTTTAAACTGAAATATCTATAGAACCATGAGTCTCCACATGAAACGATGCTGTACTAGCGATAGATTGGTGTGACCAAGGCTTTGAAGGTATAATCTCTCAAGAATGGTTCTCTGTTACTGACAGAGTAAGCCCAAACTATTTCACACAGTATACATTCCACATCTCTCTATTCATTGCACTAGAAATCACTGAGCTTTGGCTTTTAAGCAACTAGTTTTTATTTCACAGGCACTGTAAATCATGTAATTGATGTTTACTTCTTTGCCTTTGAAACTACAAAGCTCAGAGTTTATGATTCCTCTCTAGTGAGTATACAGAACCTCATGACATGTATCGGGAGACTACCTCATCCCTAGCTTCATTTTATATTTCTTCCCGCTACCTACCTTTTTCTTTTGAGACAGAGTCTCGCTGTCTCTCCCAGGCTGGAGTACAGTGGTTCAATCTTAGCTCACTGCAACCTCCACCTCCTGGGTTCAAGCAGTTCTTCCTGCCTCAGCCTTCCGAGTAACTGGGATTGCAGGGGAGTGCCACTATGCCGGGCTAATTTTTGTATTTTTGGTAGAGATAGGGTTTCATCATGTTGGCCAGTCTGGTCTTGAACTCCTGACCTCAAGTGATACACCCACCTCAGCCTCCCCAAGTGCTGGGATTACAGGTGTGAGCCACCGCGCCCAGCCTGTGTTTGCTTTTTATTTATCCTATGTAGTCAGCTTTAAGACTGACTCACAGTCTCATGTCTGCCCGTTCTGTGCCTTCCACTGCCATCTCACTGCACAGTGCATTCCTCGCTGTGTTGGCCATGGTGTTCTTATTGCTTGGGACAGCTCCTGTATTGTAACTGTCCTCATCCCCACTCTTACTCCTTGTCAGCGAACGCAGCTCAATCATCAGCCACAGTTCTTTCCTGATACAACATTCTCCACTCTGTAAAGTTGACTGATGCCTCCTTTGTAGCCCGCTGCCCCCATTCAGACTCCTGTGATCACCTAGAGAAATCTACTGAACTCGTTTGTTCACAAAACACTTCCCCGCTGCTGGGCCATGCGCAGGGACCAGATCTTATGCTTCCTTCACTTCACAGGCCTTGCAAGATATGAGGAAGGGAGGAATGAATTCAGCAGCATCAGATGTGGTGGATGAGTCAAAATAAGAATTGAAAAATGACCATTGTACTTTGCAATGTGGAAGTAATTAGCGACCTTTCTTAGAGCCCTTTAGGGGAAGGGTGGGGATAGCCTGACTATATTATAGCGAGAGGTTTGAGAGCAAAGTATAGAGGAGGAGTAAGGAGGGGGGTGAGGGGAGGGGGAAGAAAGAGGTGGAGGCACAGGGAGACAGGGAGAAGAGTAAGGACAAAGAGGGGGCACAGAGGGGGTGAGTCGGGCTGCTAATCACAGAGGACAGGGTCTGCACTGTCATCTGATGGAGCATCCCTAGGGGTCAGTGCAGTGGTCCCACGCAGGGGTTCTCAGTGTGACTGATGAGTTTGTGGGTCGTAGATCTTTATGTAGTCACTGAGTTGAAATCTTGTTCTGCGAAGTCCGTCTTTGCTTCATAGAAGCTCTTACTGTTCCGTGTTTAATGTTTATGTCTGCTTTTGCTAAAAAAAATTCTTTTTAGGTGGGTAAGTCCCTGCCTTATGATTGATGTCTCTTAAATTGCAAACACACAATCCTGTGCATAAATGCTTGAGGTATTTTGCTTCATTGCTTTATGATTTTCATGACTTCTAAATCATAAACTAATACTGTGTCTTAAATAATACCAGTACAGACGAAATTATTTTGATTTTTTACATTTTTTTTCTCAAGTGAAACAAACTTCAAAATGTTGGAGTGGAACCACCCCCACCCCAAGATGGCTGTTATCATCCCTGATGCAGGTCTTGTTCCTGCCGCCTCCTGGAGCACCTCTCTCACCTCCGCCCGAGCACCAATTCCACTGTTTCAAAATTTGCCGTTGTGCCATCTCTCCTTTGCAGCCTTTCCTGACAACCCTGTGCCTACTCCAGAAAACTAACTGATCTCTTTCCACACGTGCCCTAAACAAACTTCTGTCATTGTATTGCTCCCATGTTTTCAGACATCTGTTTACCTGAACCAGACTGGCCTTTCTTCAATGCAGAGAAATTATTTCTTTACTTGTATTTTAGAGTTGCAAAGCATTATCCTGGGTTTTTTTTGTCTTAGCATTATGTATGTTAAAAACAATCTTTTATTTCATTAAGTTGTTCTTGTAAACATAATGTTAATAACTTATTTCATCTGACAGGCAACTGTCCCCCTCTTATTGACTATTTAGGTTGTTTTTAATTTTTTTTCAATGATAGTTTGTTTCCTTCTGCCAAAATTGACAAAGAAAAATAAATGTCTCTTTAAATGTATTATTAAAATGTCCGTTTCTGGCCAGGCGCAGTGGCTCATGCCTGTAATCCCAGCACTTTGGGAGGCTGAGGTGGGCAGATCACCTGAGGTTAGGAGTCTGAGACCAGCCTGGCCAACATGGTGAAACCCCGTCTTTACTAAAAATACAAAAAATTAGCTGAGCATGGTGGCGCATGCCTGTAGTCCCAGCTACTCGGGAGGTTGAGGCAGGAGAATTGCTTGAACTTGGGAGGCAGAGGTTGCAGTGAGCCGAGATTGCACCACTGCACTCCAGCCTGGGTGACAGAGTGGGACTCCATCTCAAAAAAAAAAAAAAAAAAAAAATCTGTTTCTTTGTTATGAGGTATAGGACAGAACAAAACTATATTTTCAGAAATTTTACTAAAGTTATATTTACAGAAAACAAAACTTTCCCAACATTAAAAGCCTTTCTGCAGGTAACTTAGATCATTTATAGGGTCCAGCGTTGAGAGCCAAAGGTGCATTATCTAACCTGCACTTGGGCTGGTCCAACCGTCGTTCTCCTAAGTCAGCCTAATGTGGTAACAGTAAGGTTCTGTGATTTTTGCTGAATTATGTAATGCAGTAGTGGAAAAAGAAAGCACTAAAACGTTGTTATTTCCTGACCAGTTTAGCTATAATACAAATTTAGCAGATTGTTGATAAATTTATTGAAATAGGAAGTTTGCTGGAATGTGTATCAGAGCCTTTCTTAGAGCTGAGGATGAGGGAATGGCTTGTCCTCTGCTTAAGATGGGAAGTTGGAGGTCGTCGTGAATTTCCATTTTAATGAAAAACTCAGGCACCATTTAAAGTTTGATGGAGACTGAGTGACTGCTGTTTTGAGCCAAAATACATAAAACATTAAACAAGGAGTCAGAAAACCTGGGTTCAAATCCTGTCTTGCCCACTCACAAGCCATGAGAGACCATTAGCATGCTTGTTAATAACCACATTGTCCTACCTCACCTCCACTAAAGCATCCTTTTGATGCTCAAAAGAGATGAAGAATGTGAAATGCCTGAAAACGCTACTGTCGTGTACAAAAATGCGTTGTCTTCTTCCCAAACTGGCAGATGGCACCACTCTGAATATATAGCCAATTGGAAATGTGACCTTTCCATCCTAAGAATGCCTGCCTGACAATTACTATAGGGTTGCTTCGGGCTTTTGTCCTTGAGAATTTAAATATTATCATCCTGGAAAAAGTATTTTTAAAAGTATTTTATTTATTTTTGTATAGAGACAGGGTCTCACTCTGCCCAGGCTGGAGTGCAGTGGTGTGATCATAGCTCACTGCAGTCTCTCAACTCCTGTCCTCAAGTGATCTTCCTGCCTCAGCCTCCCCAGTAGCTGGGACTACAGGTGCACACCACCATACCTGGCTGTTATTTTTTTGTTTTGAAACTTTTTGTAGAGATGAGGTCTTGCTGTCTTGCCCAGGCTGGTCTTGAACTCCTGTCCTCAATCAGTCCTCCCATCCCAGCCTCCCATAGTACTGGGATTACAGGTGTGAGCCACTGACCCGACCTTTTTAAAGTATTTTTAAATTACTTTACTTTTATGTCTACAGTATTGGATGTAATTTAAACTTCTCATAAGGACAGCTAGCTACTACAGCTTTTTCATTATACATGAGTTTTAAAAATTAAAATTTTTTTGGAAGTTATACTTAAGATGCTTTGTGAGGGAAGAAAGAGGTGGAAATTTTGGGGGCAACCACTGAATATGATTTCGTAAAGAACTGAGTAATCTTTGGAGATGTCTTTTACTATGTGAGATCTGTTTACTTGTAAGCTTATGTAAGTGTACCTCTGTTTGATAAATCCACTTCAGCCTTATATTAGGTGCAGGTTCTGTGAAATCCCTGAGGAGGTAGTTAACAGATGGATTGTTGAGGGACAAAGTAGGCTGCTTAGGTTTCAAAGCCTGAGGCATGAAGGGAGGGATCCATTGTTACGGAAGCCTCACACCCAAGTTCAATTCATTAACTATGAACCTGCTCTGCCACAGATTCCGAGTCCGAAAGGTCCCTGAGTAGATTGGAAGCAGTGACAGCACGCTCCTTTGAAGAGGAAGGAGAGCATTTGGGCAGTAGAAAACACAGAATGTCCGAAGAAAAAGACTGTGGTGGCGGAGATGCTCTCTCCAATGGCATCAAGAAACACAGGTAGGATCGCCTCTGACAGTTGTCACTGCTGCGTTTTTACGATAAAGTACATTTGGATTCATAAAGAAATATATGTCTTGTCTTCATTTTTCCCCGTGTAGGGGATTTATATTGCTATATCACCTCAAAGAAAGCATTTAACTTAAGCACTTTTTCCTCTGTCCATTTAAGAGAATCATCTATAATTGTAGGAACAGAGCACATGGGCTTAGCAATCATGTTCTTAGAGGGGCACATAAATCCTTTAGTTGGTGATTTAGAAAGGTTATTCAGAACTACCTGTTAAAACTGATCCTATGTGCCCTTTCTCATCATACATCTTTTATGACTCTGCCTTCCATTGCTATTTTAGTTTCTGGCCATTTGATCTTCTAGTTGGTTTTATTAAGAATGAGTGGCAATGTTGCCAGTCTGTTGATGCAATTTAGTTAAATTTAAACAAAGACTTTTATTAAGACCCAGGACTTGCTGAACATACCCATTTTATACTGTCTAATAACATTAGTATGTTTTTATCCCCTTAATGGCTTGGTCCTAGAGATTGTCCCGAATTAATGAGACGTAATAGATACCCACAGTTCTCTGATTTCAGCCCAAGTTTAGAGAGACAGTGGTGTATATGCATGCTAGTGTTCATATAGTAAAATATTTTATAAAATGATCAGTGAAGGATGTATTCTGTTGTCATTATAAAAATTACTTTTTGGGTAAGGAGTTATTAATGGTAATTGCTGGAAAATAATTTTTTGTTTAATATTTGTAGGTTGTGTAACTCTAATTCCATTTCTGTACTATGATTCTGGCCACAATGGTTTTGACTACTGTTCTAGAAAAAAAAAGTGTGCATCACTTCTCTGGCTTATGTGTATTTTCCCTTTGTTAACAAAAAATGTCTCAGTTTGTATTTATTTTTAAAAGATTAGTGAGTTTTAGGTAACCAACTAGATAAAAACAGTTTTCTTCTGTTGGGTTAGAGGTTGTCCTCCAAACATGCTTATAATTGCAAATTATGTGTCCAGCAGTGAGTGTCTTTCCCGATTCCCTCTGTAGTTACTATCAGTTTCTTTGGAGTGCAGTACAAAATTCTATTTAAGACATGAAATACTTAACAGTAAACTTGGCAGACCTACCAATCTCTAAAGAGAAGACAGTCTTTAACTATTTAACACATACACCATGCCAGTCTGATGAGAACACAGGTGAAATCTTTGGAAAGTTCAAAGAAGCATGCAGATATTCAGTATTATTAATATCAGAAAAAGCATTGTGCTTAGATGCTGTCCTCTGCTGTAGCTACAGGGGATTTCTTTATTGCTTGTCAGGACTCAGTAGTTCTTTCGTATGTGTGCTATAATCATGACAGTAGTTATTTTGCATTTGACAGAATTATATTATACCATATTCATACATTCTGTGTTCTAAAGTCAAACCCAGAATGGTACAAATGTGAAAGTTAAGATGAGATTAAACTTTCAAAAACAAATGCAGTCAGGACAGGTCACTAAGGAAGAATACAAAGAAATGCAAGCAGGTGACCTAACCAGAAAAGTGTAACTGATAAATGAGATGCAACTTACTAAACCTATAAATGTAGTATGACGTTCTTCAGTTGTTCAAAGTGAAAGAGGAAAACTTAGGAAATTGTCAGCAGTGTAATATGTGGGAATACGTAATTCCTATTTTTAAAAAGTAGCTTTCACAGGAGTTTTTTAAAACCCTTTTTTCATAAAGTTCTTCTCTAATCAAATAGATAGAGCATATGCCACAGATAATTTAAAAGTTTAATTTTAGAATAGGAAACAAGAGTATTCAGTGCTATCACATCCCTCTTGCCTGCACCCTACATTGCATAATAAATAATCTATGATTATAATAGTTTTTATATTGATATCAAGAATAATTTGTATTCATAGTAGTTTGGGTTGTGTTTTAGAAAAACAGGCATATGTTGCTACATGACCTGGGGGATCAGCCTGAAGTGACCAAAAAATTTATTTGAAGTCTTGTGTTTTATCTTTAAAATTCATGTGAAAATTGTATTTGACCTCGTCGTAGATTTCTGTTTTCCTTACTATTAAAAAAAAATCATTTACTTATGATTTATTTAACTTTCCCATAGGAACCTTGCATTTCTCCCTCACCCCATACCACCAGTAGTACCCCCTGGGAAATACATAAATTTAGGGAGACATGGGAAACATACGGATTATAAACTATTTTTTAAAGAGAGACTGTGTATTTTTTAAAATGAGAAAAGAGAATATTATAAATTGTAGTTCACATAGAAAGTATTAAATCCCAGCTTAACTTTTGCTTGTAAAATAGAACAAGCGTTTTCAACCTTTAATTTCTTTTTTAGCCATGGAACTATTTGTGCAACAGAAGTTTAATGTGGAAGCTGTTAAAATCTCACCACCTTCATTTCTGTGGTACTTTTTTTCCAGAAAATATCAAGTTGCTTTGTGGAAAATTAGTGGACACCGTAGTGTAGTCAGGTTTATATTTACAGAGCTTATTGCCATCTTGGCCACATTCCGTGGGAGCAATTCTCAAAGCTTGGACCTAATTTATTATGTTTATTTTGAGCTCTAATCTTCTAACTTGTTAGCAATATTACCCAACTTATTATATTTGGTAAAGATACTGATATTTACTTCAACCTTGCCGCCAAATACAGGGTAGATGATACTAACAGAAAGCAAATTAGTCAGAATCTGAAACTGTTGGATCCATGTTATGATTCTGTAAATGTTATTCATTATATTAACATGAATAGATTAAAGGAGTAAACCATATGGTCAACCTAATAGATTTTAAACATTTCAACAAAATTAAACAGTTATTCAAAATGATCAATACATACATTAGCAAATCACAAATAGAAGAAAACTTCATCTGGTTAAAACTTAAACTACTTGATAATAACATATTAAAACAGTTCTTATCAGGAATAAGATGCCTGCTGTCATCTTTTTTATTCAGTATTATTTGGAGGCCACACCCAAACACACACACATAAAACTTAGAAATAAAAAATATGATGACATCGTCGCCGTAGAAAACTTGTAGAAGTTATTAGAGTAAGAAAGTTTGGCTAGGCTGCCATATACAAAATCAGCCAATTAAATTTCCGTGGACCATTAACAGACAGAAACTACAATTAAAACTGAGGGAGAAGATATTTACAGTAGCTTTAAAAAAGTCACATACCTAGGAATAAGTCTTGGGAAAAAAAGGGTGTAATAATGAAACTTTCTGAAAGAGATAAAACTTACTGAAAATGAAAATTCATTGTCCTGGTATATGTAATAGAGCTAGCATAGCAGATTAGTGAGGGAAAGAATAGATGGTTTGGTAAATTGTGCTTGGATAATCATTTAATATGGAAGAAAAAAAGAAAATGGGTCTCTTTCATAAATGTAAATACGAATTCTAGATGAATCAAACACTTAAATGTGGAAGTTCGAAACTTAAATACTTTGGAAGAAAATGTACAATATCTTTACAAGTTTAAGATAGGGAAGGATTTTTTATAACAGAAATATGATAGGGACTTTTTTTCTGTCTGATTCTAATTACTTGCACTTGATTAGCTTGAATAAAGCCTTCTGTAATAAATGTGGCTAAGAACCTGAGAGGTTTATTTTGCTGAAGTGGTAGATTAGGACCCCAGGTGATTGCTTAGTTTATTCACCCTTCTGATTGCTTTAGATTCTAGTTCTTAGCCGCAGGAAAGAGGAGTGTAACATAACAGTTGTCACTGCACATGAAGCATTTACACAAGGAATGCACCCACGAATTGAAGGTAAACAAAGAGGCTGAAAACGTAAGCTAAGAAAATACCTTCCAGGAAGTAAGATTATATTGAGAAAATGTTGTTAGTGGTAAATAAAAATTATTTAACATGAATACATTTAATCACTAGAATAAAACTACCTTGGTTTTAAAACCTCATTCCCTAGGCCAGGCACGGTGGCTCATGCTTGTAATACTAGTACTTTGGGAGGCTGAGGCGGGTGGATCACTTGAGGCCAGGAGTTCAAGACCAGCCTGGCCAATGTGGCGAAACCCCGTTTCTACTACAAACACAAAAATTAGCTGAGCGTGGTGGCACACGCCTGTAGTCCCAGCTGCTTAGGAGGCTGAGGTTGCAGTGAGCCAAGATCATGGCATTATACACCAGCCTGGGTGACAAAGCGAGACTCTGTCTCAAAAAAAAAAACCAAAACAAAACAAAATCTCACTTCCTAAAGATACGGGATAGATGATCTGGGCTCAGACGTCATTAGATCAGGGAATAGAGTTAGCAGCAAGTCACCCCACCCAGAGATCCTCTGGTGCCCTGGGTAGAAAAATACTCTGTCTATCAGGAAATATTTGGGGTAATTCCTCATCATGTAGTGACCAGGAGCACTTAAGCTACACCTTTGATTTTCAGAGAACCCAGGAGCAGTGAGCAGTAAGGAAAAGAGCAAGAGCCCTGCCCAGAATGAGCCAGATTTGTGGTGAGGGCTGGGGGCTGGAGGGAACAGTGGTTCCCCAAGACAATGGGAGCCTGTGCTCTCCTTTTATCTCCCGGCTCCCTGCCTAGAGTACTTGTCCTGGAAAGTAGAGGGTTGCAATAAAAAGAATGAGTAGCATCACTAGAAGCACAAGCAGCTCTGCTGTGAAGCCCACCTCTTTCACAAGCTGGACACAAGCCTATCTCAACTCTCCCAAGCGAGAAAAGAGAACTAGGGACCAAGGAGCAGGCAATGAGAAGCTTTCAGAGGAATAGTAAAGGAAGAAGATGCTTGGTATTCTAAAAGGCATGTAGGTCAGACGAGGGCACCACTGTGCTGTGGTGTAGGCGGACTGTTGGCAGTCCTGCCACGGCAGGTGTCTGTCATCAGAGGCCAGTGGAGATTGGACACCTGGAACAGATTGGCAAGTTGAATGGCAGC
The DNA here is from genome assembly GCF_000001405.40 of Homo sapiens. Classification (NCBI taxonomy): domain Eukaryota; kingdom Metazoa; phylum Chordata; class Mammalia; order Primates; family Hominidae; genus Homo; species Homo sapiens. The sequence goes on along the minus strand of NC_000018.10, from coordinate 24,220,098 downwards.
AGCTGAAGCAGAGGACTAAAAGCCAGCAGGCCACTCATTACGTGTGACATCCATCTCTCCCACAAAAGTGCATTTGGAGACATAATAAATGAGAGGGAGTGCCAGCCTGGCAGGAGGAGACTAGAGTGGTTATCCAGCGAATAGGGCTCCAATTTGAAAACCTCATCCAGGACTAACAAGCTGCTAGGCCATGGGGTCACTTCAAGTATACTAGGAAGAAGAAACAAGGCAGCCTGAGTCTAGATTCATGAGAATTACCTTCACAAACCCAAGTTGAGTTGCCCAGCTTATTGCCAGGAATTACTCTGGGAAAACTGTGAGGCATCTTTCCTCAGGCCATTGACCTCATCCTGCCCTAGTTTAAAGAGCAGATAGGAGTTGCTCTTTTGGAGACGGGCTGAGACTCTTTAGAACTGCTTCCAGTTCTAGCATTTTCTAAGCAAATGATGGTGAGACATACTTTCACCAGACTCCAAGCGCTTGTTCTCATCTAGTCTAGATGAGTGATTATTGTAGGTAAATCAGAGCAGTTTTCTAGGGCAGCCATAATCTGTAAGGCTATGCTTAAATCAACCAAATAGCAAAGAGCTAAGAAACTTATGTACGAAGAGAAATAAAAAATATTTTCAGATGAATAATCCCATTTCTAAAACTTTTTATTATGGAAATTTTCAAGCATGCCTACAAGTAGAATAATATAATGAACCCTTGATTCCCATCATTCACCCTCAACATTTACCATGTGCCCAACTTGGTTTCATCTATAAACCACCACATCAATGTTCTGATTTATTTTTATTTGTTGTGAGACAGGGTCTCACCCCATTGCCCAGGCTGGAGTGCAGTGGTGTGATTATAGCTTACTGCAGCCTCAACCTCCTTGGTCTCAGGTGATCCTCCCACCTCAGCCTCTTGAGTAGCTGTGACTACAGGAGTCACTAGCATGCCTAGCTAATTAATTTTTTTTTTCCAGATATGAGGCCTTGCTATGTTACCCAGGCTGGTCTTGAACCCCTAGCCTCAAGACATCCTCCCACCTTGACCTCCCAAAGTGCTGGGATTACAGGCATGAGCCACTGCGCTCGGCCTCCTATTTTTAAAGCAAATCCAAGCTATACCATTTTATCTTTATTTTTTTTAGGGACATAGCTTTTTAACTAACAAAAATTGTATATTTGTAGTGTACAACATGGTGTTTTGAAATATATATACCGCACATTGTGTAATGGATGAATCGAGCTAATATATGCATACCTCACATGCTTATTTTTTATGGTGAGAACACTTTAAACTATACTCTCTAGTGATTTTCAAGTATATAATACATTGTTAGTAACTATAGTCACCATGTTGGGCCAGGCGCAGTGGCTCACGCCTATAATCCCAGCACTTTGGGAGACCGAGGTGGGTGGATCACCTGAGGTCAGGAGTTCGAGACCAGCCTGGCCAACATAGTGAAACCCCCGTCTCTACCAAAAAATACAAAAATTAGCCAGGCGCAGTAGTGCATGCCTGTAATCCCAGCTACTCAGAAGGCTGAGGTGGGAGAATCGCTTGAACCTGGGAGGCAGAGGTTGCAGTGAGCCGAAAGCACCCCACTGCTCTCCAGCCTGGGTGACGGAGCGAGACTCCATCTCAAAAAAAACAAAACAAAAACCATGTTGTACAGTAGATTACTTGAACTGATTTCTACAAAAAATATGGGACACTTCATGAATTTGCATGTCATCCTTGTTCAGGGGTCATGCTAATCTTCGTATCATTTCAATGTTTAGTATATGTGTTGCCAAAGCAGGCACTCATTTCATCTTTTAAATAACTCAGTATGTATCTCTAAAACAGTGGGAGTCTTTTTTGCTTCTAAACCACAGTACTATTATCATGTATAATAATAATTTCTTAATTATCATCAAGTATTTAGTTAGTATTCACATTTTCTTGATTGTCTTGTAAATGTCATTTAGTAATTGGATCCAAAATGGTATTTAGTAATAGGATCCCAAAGTTCTACATACTGCCTTTGGTTTCTATGTCTCTTAAGTCATTTTACTCCAGGTTTCCTCTTCCCTCCCCCATTTTTTCTTGCCATTTATTTTTCAAGAAACCTGGTCGTTTGTTCTGTAGAGTATTCTACCATCTGGATATTGCTGGTTGTATTCCTGGGGTATCATTCCACATGTTCTTTTACTCCTGAATTTCCTGTGGACTGATGGTTATTTACAAAGGTGTGGCCAGATTTATGTTTCAGTTTTTTAGCACAAAATTCATAGGTACACAAACCATAGGTACTTCCTATGACATCAATCAGAGAGCATTTGCTCTCTGATTCTCTTCTTTCTGTAATGGTGAGATTGATTCTTGGGTTTAGTCATTGACAATCTGACACATCCATGATAAAGTTGCCTGACAGTCTTTCACCTAATGATTTAGTGGTTGATCATTGTCTTCATCTTTATTTCTTTAGGTGCTGCAAAACAGTAGTCTTTCAATTCTGTCACTCCTTCTACATTTATTAGCTGAAAATCTATAAAGAAGAGCTTCTGACAGGGTGCAGAGGTTCACACCTGTAATCCCAGCACTTTGGGAGGCAGAGGCAAGTGTATCACTTGAGGCCAGGAGTTCAAGACCAGTTGGCCAACATGGTGAAACTCTGTCTCTGCTAAAAATACAAAAATTAGCTGGGCGTGGTGGCGGGTGCCTGTAATCTCAACTACACGGGAGACTGAGGCAGGAGAATCGCTTAAACTCGGGAAGTGGAGGTTGCTATGAGCTGAGATCACACCACTGCACTCCAGCCTGAGTGACAGAGCAAGACTCTGTCTCAAAAAAAAAAAAAAAAAGAGCAAAACTTGTCTCAAAAAATAAAGAAGAGCTTCCTAACACCTCCTTATAAAATGATCTATATATTGGTTCCCTAGCATCCTACAAAGGTAATATATGAGCCCATGGGTTGGATTTGTTTAAATCTATTACAGTATCTTTCCCCCTCTTTGGTCAGAGTAAGCCCCTCTGGGTCAGCTTCTGTGTCCCTCTGACAGGACCCTCATTGGTTTCTCTGGTAATTTTTTTTATAGATATTTGTAGGCAATAACTCCATTGTCTTTGATAGCTGCCTTGCTTTCTGATAAGAAAAAAGTGTTTCAGGCTTACATCATTTGTTTCCTGCCCCAGACATAGAGTCAGCTATTTCTCTAAGGAGCCATATTTCATTTTAGTGGGAAATAATATTTAGAAATAACAATCTGAGTGGTAAGGATGTTCATTGCTACTGCATTGACCGTTGTTTGTAGTCTTATTCCTCGGAGACAGCTGAAACCTTTCCTCCCCTTTAAAAAAAAAAATAACCGATGAACCCTAAACAAAAACAGGTAAATAAAATTGTTTTTGTCCTTCTTTTTAATTTATATGAAAAGATGTTTGAGTTTTGGAAGTTTGTATTGTCCTTTGAAACTGGAATTTAAGAAAGAGGTAGCTGAAAAGAAAGTACTGATCTTAGAATAACATTGTTTTCTATTGGTAAATGTGAAATAAGAAAAATTGCCCATATATTTAAAATCTATGAACATGGTTTTCCTTTTTCTTTTTTCTTCTGGAGACACAGTCTCGCTCTGTCGCCAAGGCTGGAGTGCAGTGGCACTATCTCGGCTCACTGCAACCCCTGCCTCCCGGGTTCAAGCAATTCTCCTGCCTCAGCCTCCCAGGTAGCTGGGACTGCAGGCACACGCTGCCACGCCCAGCTAATTTTTTTGTATTTTAGTACAGACAGGGTTTCACTGTGTTGCCCAGGCTGGTCTCAAACTCCTGAGCTCGGGCAATCCACCCGCCTTGGCCTCCCAAAGTGCTGGGATTACAGGTGTGAGCCACTGCGCTTGGCCAGTTTTTCATTTTATTGAGAATACAAAGGCGTGTCTGGTCTCTACAAAGCTGGTTGTAAAGTTACATTGTCAAATGTAAACAAGAGGTGACGAGAGGCTGTAAGCTCTGTTATTTGTACCTGGGTCCCTTGATACTACTTTCCCCATTCAGAGGTCTCGTTATTTTCTCCTTTTGATCCCTGGACTTTTTCAATATCTTAGGTAAATATCCAATTTCTATTTCAAGTTTACTTTACAAACACTTATAATCCCCAGGATGTCAACAGAAAGAAGCAGTTAAATATTTATTAAAACGTATATTCTTGCTTGGCATCTCGATCTATTTATCCAAAGATGTACCCTCTTCCCCCAACCCTCCCATTCCCAACACACGTGAACACAAGATTTTGAGTGCCTAGGAAATATCTTTCACAGTAACAGCCTTTTAATGGTCTGCCTTAACCTGTTTCTTCTGCCCACATCTTCTAATAAATCATAGATTGGGTATCTTGACTTCTGGTGACTTAAGGGATTTGGTCTCTACAAATACACTGAAGTGTCTGTTTTCCTTTGGAGCTGTGCCAATCTAAATTTTGCCTAAAGGAGAAAATCGCCTCAGGGGACACGGAGTTCTTTGGCCTTATTTGCTTTGCTTGGTAGCTTAGGAGGAATTTTCCTTTTTCAGAAAACACCATATATAATAATAAAAAAATTGCAAGGTAAATAAATTAAGGAAGTGATTGTTTTAAAAACCACATAGATCCTTAACAGGTTGGTTGGTTGGTTGGTTTGCCTTGTGTTTTAGAATCCTCAGAAAAATTTGGTTTATACACAGCTCTTTTCAAAACACATTGATTGCATAAAATGTGATATGTTCTCATTGTCTGGGCTATGACCTGCTGTTGTATCATGTTGATACAGCACAGTGTTCAGCCAGGATTTGAAATTTAGCATAAAGTATCCATTTTACCATAGTAAATTTCAGATCTGATTGTGTGTTTTAGGACATTGTGTAATCTTTCTCAGCAGAAAAAAAACCTGCTTTAGGAAAGGGGAAGGATGCAGTCCTTTGCAGGACAGGTATTTTACTATGCTCAGAGCAATCCAAAAGGAAACAGAAGGGAAAATAACATACGTGTCAGAGAACCCTGGAGATATTATGTGTTATGTATCACAGAGCAGGAAGGAACCAGAAACTCAACTCCCTTCCTAGAAATTCTATCCCTCTGATGGTAAGCAATCAAAAGCATCTCAGATCATTTATAAACAGAGTTAAATCAGGCTGTGGAAGTAGCTAAAGCAAAGCACAAACAAATTGTTATATTTATTCTGAAAAAGTAGGTGTGGTTTGAAGGGAAGTTAGTCTGGAAAGTTCAGAGCCATGAAAAGCAACACAGTCATATTTGCAGAAGGGCACTTCTGTTATTCAGTCCATCTCTGCTTCGTTTTTTGTCTTCTCTTGTTGTGAAGTATTTTTTGCACAGTTTTCCCCAAACCCTTGTTTTGGTGATCAGAAATCCTTGTCTGCAGTGTTCCAGATAACATACAGCCTATTAAAAACAGCCTTGCTCCAGAGTTACATTCAACGATCAACAATTTTTATCAAGAGTTCAAACCTACATTCTAGTAGAGAACTCCAGGTCTCACCAAACAGCCTACTGCTACCATCAGCCTCCTAATCCAACTGGAGGTGTTCAAGTTCTGAGACATGACCTTTCTCGATAGAGAGCCCAAGAGATTTCTATGATAGTCAAGAAGGGCTTCTTTCCCCTCCCCAACCAACAAAATTACCAGTAATAAGACAGCTTTGGATCCTTTTTGGAATGTGGAGAGATGTTAGTAGATGTGTGCTCACCACCTTGAAGCCTCTCTGCTCCTTAGAGAGCTCCACACTGCAGGAGACCTAGTTAATCCTTTAGGGATGACGGTAGTTAGCTCTGATCTGTGCAGCATTCACCATGCATTGCATTAATCTCTCTGTTGTTCAGACCGTTTCCTTTAGGTCCTAACGACCGTGATCTACTCTCACTTTTCACTTAATTTCAATGACTTTACATCCGTCTGTTCCAGCACCTGTTGTATGAAATCTAAGTTATTCTTAGAGATAAAGGTGAGCAAAGAATAGTGACCTTGTCCCTAGGTTAAGGTCTGCCTTCCTGTTTCATCTTTCCTTCCCCAGGACTGTGCTGAACTCTGTGAAGCAGGCCTATAGTAAGGGAATCCAGCTGCCTAAAATGACATCTTCTTAGTAAACTAAAAGCCTGATTCAGAGATATTTTTTCATCATTTCCTTTTTGCTTTCAAATGTGAAGATTCTGTAAGCATTCCTGTTAATCCAGTTATGGTGATAAACTGAGAAATAAAAAGAAAATGTACTGTGTTCTTGAAGCTTGACAACAAATTCTAAATTTTAGAAATCCATTGTGAAAATCAGTTTAAAATTGTGTACATACAATTTTAACTTATTAAAGTCAAAACAAGTAAAACCTCTTGTAAAACAAGACCACCCTAACCTTTTTATTGTGTAGAGCCAGATTTGTTAAGTGGCAATCATAGACTATAGATAAGTAATTTAAAACATCAAAAATGAAAAATAATTTTAAGTTATGGAAATATTAGCAAAATTAAATAGTAATATCAGATAATTACATCAGATTTTATTATTATTATTATCATTTTGAGACAGTCCTACTCTATCATCCAGCCTGGAGGGCAGTGGTGTAATCTTGGCTCACTGCAACCTCTGCCTCCTGGGTTCAAGCAGTAGAACTTCTGAGTAGCTGGGATTGCTGGGATTACAGGCCTGCGCCACCACACCTGGCTAATTTTTTATATTTTTAGTAGAGACAGGATTTCACTATGTTGCCCAGGCTGGTCTCGAACTCCTGAGCTCAAGTGATCCGCCTGCCTCGGCCTCCCAAAGTGCTAGGATTACAGGCGTGAGCCACTGTGCCTGGCCACATCAAATTATTAAACTTAAAATAGGAAACCAAGTCATTGGATTTTTTTTAAAGATTCATAACTAAAAAAGGTATATGACTAGCCTTAGAGCTCTTGTCTGAGACTTGTACTGACCTGCTTCTAAGACGCTACGCTAATTTTAGTTGGAGAGGTCTAACAGCAGGTTAAATACCCAGCTGTTGAGTCACCCTCGTCTCTGACTAAGTTGTAAGATATGGTGCTCATTTATACTAGGCTTCAGAATGGCATTCTGGATATACAGAGAGAACTTTGTGATGACTGTATTTGTCTGAATTCGAACCTGAAACTAGGTACAGGGTACATTATAATAACAGTCATGCAGGAAGAGTTTTAAGTGATTGGCTTCTTTAAGACCAGCCTAAATTCTGCTTCTGTTGAAATGGGGATGGGCAAATTTCAGGAATTTAATTGTATCGGTAAATTTTAGACACTTTGTGTTGATTTCTGTATATTAAACTTGCCAAGTATTTCATATATAACTTTGAAGATCTTGAATCTTCATGTACATTACAACTAAAGTTTTAATTAATAGTACACAACTGAGAAAAATAGTATTTTTATGACCGTGGAATACATCTTATCACCTTTGGAGGGCAAACATTTTCCCTTGTTTGAGGGCATCATTTTCATTGTGATAAAATCAAATTATATCAACTTAAGGTGAGATTCTGTGAGTTGTGTGACTAAAAACCAGTATTTACTCTCAGATTTAAATGTTAAGAGAATATGAAAAATCATATCGAACTTTTAGGCAGTCAGGTGAACTACTAAAGATGAGTATGTTGGTTGAAATTTTTGAATTCTGTCTTATTAAAATAAGGTTATATTTGTTTCAGACTATCTTATTTATTTCAAATATTTTTAAGCCCACTTAGTGGAAGTGCCAGAGTTTTAAAGTTTTTGAAGGCCGGGCGTGGTGTCTCACACCCGTAATCCCAGCTCTTTGGGAGGCTGAGGCGGGTGGATCACGAGGTCAGGAGATCGAGACCATCCTGGCCAACATTCTACTAAAATTAAAAAAAAAAAAATTAGCCAGGTGTGGTGGTGTGCGCCTTTAGTCCTAGCTACTCAGGAGGCTGAGGCAGGGGAATCGCTTGAACCTGGGAGGCAGAGGTTGCAGTGAGCCAAGATCACACCACTGTACTCCAGCCTGGCAAGAGAGCGAGACTATCTCTCAAAAAAAAAAAAAGTTTCTGAAGCAGATTCCAGAAATGAAATAACATTTTGAAACAGAATTATCTCAATTGTAAATATTCCTCGACATTTTATTTATCCAGCTTCCTAATATCCTCAAAACCTTAGAGTAGTTGAAATGTAGTTAATATTTGTTGAATGCATTGATTTTTTTTTTTTTGAGATGGAGTTTCGCTCTGTTGCCCAGGCTGGAGTGCAATGGTGCAATCTCCCGAGTAGCTGGGATTACAAGCACATGCCACCACACCCAGCTAATTTGTGTATTTTAGTAGAGACAAAGTTTCACCATATTGGCCAGGCTGGCCTCGAACTCCTGACCTCAAGTGATCTACCCACCTCGGCCTCCTGAAGTGCTAGGATTACAGGCATGAGACACTGCGCCTGGCCGAATTTTTTTTTTTTTTTAACTGCCTTGTTCCAAAGTTTCTTAAATCTGCACTGGGAAAAAGGAAAGTCCTTCTGCTGTCTATGCCAGTGGTTCTAGAAAGTAGAGATTTTGGACTCTTGTGGTGGGGAGTAGGGGTCCTCAAGGCCCTTTCAGGGGACAAAAAAGTTACAACAGTTTTCATTATATTACTAAAAATGTGCCTTTTTCCTATCATTCACTTAAATGTTTACAATAAAGTTTCTAGACTACTTGATGTAAGAAATCGCAGATTGAATGCATAAACAGTTATGAGAATCCAGTTATCCTTTCTTAATCCTGACATTTAAAAGATTGCAATAATGTAAAACAGTGCTACTCTTCTAACTGTTTTTGTTTTGGAAAATACAGTCTTTTTCTATAAAAATGTTATTTAGGGCTGGGTGCGGTGGCTTATGCCCGTAAATCCCAGCACTTTGGGAGGCCGAGGCAGGTGGATTGCCTGAGGTCAGGAGTTCGAGACCAGCCTGGCCAACCTGGTGAAACCCTGTCTCTACTAAAAATACAAAAAATTAGCTGGGCGTGGTGGTGGGCACCTGTAATCCTAACTATTCGGGAGGCTGAGGCAGGAGAATCACTTGAACCCGGGAGGCAGAGGTTGCAGGGAGCCAAGATCATGCCGTGGCATTCCAGCGTGGGTGACAGAGCGAGACTCCGTCTCAAAAACAAACAAACAAAAAAAAAAAGTTATTTGGGTTAACATATCACTTTTACTTTTATTAAATGAATTAATAAGTCAAGAAATTATTTTCAGCTTTTTAAAAATTTGATAAATAGCAATAGATAAAATCCACATTAAAAGAAAACTATACCAGATACGATGGCTCACACCTGTAATCTCAGCACTTTGGGAGGCCAAGGTGGGAGGATCACTTGAGTCCAGGAGTTTGAGACCATCCTGGGTAACATAGGGAGACCCCATTGCTAAAAAAAGAAAGAAAAAATAGGTGAGTATGGTGGCACTTGCCTGTGGTCCCAGCTACTTGGGAGGCTGAAGCAGGAGGATTGCCTGAGCCTGGGAGGTCAAGGCTGCAAGTGAGTCATGATCGTGCCACCGTATTCCAGCCTGGATGACAAAGTAAGACCCTATCTCAAGAAAAAAAAAAAAAGAAAAAGAAAAGGAGAGATAAATGAAAGGGAAAGAAAAACTAACTCTTTTGGGGTCTTCAATAAGGGTTTTTTTTGTTTTTTGTTTTGTTTTGTTTTTGAGATGGAGTCTCACTCCATCACCCAGGCTGGAGTGCAGTAGCACAATTTTAGCTCACTACTCACGATTTTGGCAACCTCCACCTCCCAGATTCAAGTGATTCTCCTGCCTCAGCCTCCCAAGTAGTTGGGATTACAGGCCCCCACCACCACGCCTGGCTAATTTTTGTATTTTTAGTAGAGACGGGGTTTCAACATGTTGGCCAGGCTGGTCTTGAACTCCTGACCTCATGATCCACCTGCCTCGGCCTCCCAAAGTGCTAGGATTACAGGCGTGAGCCACTGCACCTGGCCCTGGGGTCTTCAGTAATTTTTAAGAGTTTAATTGATCTTAAGACCAAAAGTTTGAGAAATGCTAATCTATAGCAACAAGTTACATTACATTATAGTTTCTTTTTGTTTGTTTCGTGGTTGCAGTATAATTTTTATATAGTGAAAGTAACAGATCTTACATATAAATTTGGTGAGTTTTGTCAGGTGCATGGACCCATGTAACTAACATCCCATTCAAGATGTGGAACATTTCCATCACTCCAGGATGTTCTCCCTGACTCCTTTCAGTCGATCCCCCACTCTCCGTAGACAGCCACTGCTCTGATTTCTGCCACTATGGATTAGTCTTATCTTGAACTGCATTATAAATGAATCACAGTGCGTGTGCTCCTTGAATGTGGCGTTAGTCACTCAACACCGTGTCTTGACTTCCATTCCTATTGTATATATCGTTGCTCTTTCCTTTTTATTGGTGAATGCTCTGTTAGTTTGAATATCCCACAGTTTGGCTTATCTGTACTCCTGTTGATGGAATTTGTTTTTTTTCCAGTTTGGAGTTATGAACAAAAAAGCTTTTATAAATGTTCTTCTAGATACCATTCTGCAGACATGTTTCATTCTCTTCACTATGTAGGAGTAGAACTTTTGGGTCATCGGGGAGATGTGTGTTTAGCTTTGTAAGATGTTACTGTACTGTTTCCTGAATATGTACCATTTTGCACTGCAGTCTGAAATACGTAAGAATTTTAGTTGCTCCACATCCTCACCAACATTTGATGTTTTGTAGGTATGACATGGTACCTTGTTCTGTGGTTTTAATTTATATTTTCTTATTGATTTTGAATGCTTTTGCATGTTTTCCTTAGCCATTGTTTTTGTGACGTGTCTGGGAGTTTTGCCCATTTTAAATTTGTTTGTATGTCTTTGTATTATTGATTTGTAGTAATTCTTTATGTATTCTGGATACTAATCCTCTATCAAATACACGTATCATGAGTATTTTCTCTTAGTTGGTAGCTTGCCCTTTCATTTCTTTAATAATGAACAGAAGTCTTTAATTTCTTCTTTGTTTGAACAGAGTCTTTAATTTTAATGAAGTCCACTTTGTAATTTTTCTATTATGTTAGTGCTCTCTTGGGGGTTCTAAGTAATTGTTGCCTACCCCAAACTTTCAGCCACTGCCCTGGTGCTCTCTGGTGTATCACCAGTGGTGTGTTCTTGAAGTTAACTTGGTCAGTGTCTTTTGAAGAGAATGACAGAAGAATGAAAGGTATTTAGAGCACATCAGAAATTCAGTGATGCAACATTTTAATTCCTCAGAGTAAACAATGGCCTTTTGTTGTTGATACTATGGAATAATTGTTTCTCATTGTAAATGTGCGCGGGACAGTTTACTCATTCTAGATCCCTAATTAATAGAAAATCATCTGGCATAAAGTTGATCTCAGCAATGTGTGCTAAGTACCTATATTACAGGTTCTATGCCATTCACTGCAGGTTCAACAGGGCTTGGAATCTAATGGTAATAAGAGTTTAATTAAGTAAGTAAATCTGCCACAGCAACTTTACATGTTCTTAAGAAATTGGTGGTAGGTGAGTAACAGTGTTTGTAGGAACTTTTAGCCTTTCAAATGGAGAGAATGTGTTGCATTCTCTGTGGTTCCTTATGCCCCAACCAGGACAAAGAAGGAGTAGAGAGATGAGTGTTAAATTTCTAACAATGGAATTTGGTACTTTTCAAATGACTTGTAAGTCAGAATGTATTTATCCAGTGGTGAGATTGCTAGGCTTTTCTGCTCATCATTTGTTTTCAACCATTGTTTAAAGAATAGACTTGTGAGCTGTATCCCAGATGAACTATGTAAAGATTTTTTTCAAGCAAGATTATGCATCATTTGTGAAAATGAAGTGAGACTTTTTAATTACTACAGTAATTTACTCTCTAACATAATTTTAAAATCTAATTACTTTTGTGAATTCAAGTTTATTTTATAGTTTAGCTCTAATGACTTCCTAATTTGGAAGACTATTTTGCTTTGAGTGTTTAGTAAACTTCAGCAGAGCAATAGAAATTAAAGATACAAGCTGTGTCATTAAATTATATTTAAATTGGGACTTGTAGGCAGGGCGCGGTGGTTCATGCCTGTAATCCCAGCACTTTGGGAGGCTGAGGTGAGTGGATAGCTTGAGGCCAGGAGTTTGAGACCAGCCTGGGTAACATGGCAAAACCTTGTCTCTGCTAAAAATACGAAACGTAGCCAGTGTTGTAACACACGCTTGTAGTGCCAGCTACTCCGGAGGCTGAGGCATGAGAATCGCTTGAACCCAGGAGGCAGAGGATGCAGTGAGCCAAGACTGTGCCACTGCATTCCAGCCTGGGTGACAGAGGAAGGATTTGGAGGAAACGATAAGAAGTCTGATAGTTGAGAAGAGAGGTGATAAGTATCTAATAGCTGTAAATAGTTATACACACACAAGTGCAAAACACACGTATAACAGTATACATGTATACATACAGATTGTCAATGTTGTAGTTACAGATGTGTTGAAATCTGTTTCTCTGTGGAATAGTTTTCTTAGATTTTTAGTTCATTCTTTAATCTGGAATCAGAGGTAAGAATTAAGTTGTTTCTCACTTTTCTAAATATACAGATCAATATTCTGCTACCTAAAATTATGATTCCTACATAATACTTAATAAAAAATACTTATTTGTTAAGTGCAAGTGAAAATGTGTGTTAAATAAGTTGGTTTTGAAAATATTCTTTTAAGTGACATAAGAGGCTGAGCGCAGTGGCTTACGCCTGTAATCCCAACACTTTGGGAGGCCAAGGCAGGCAGATCACCTGAGGTCAGGAGTTCGAGACCAGCCTGGCCAATATGGTGAAACCCCATCTCTACTAAAAATACAAAAATTAGCCAGGCATGATGGTGGGTGCCTGTAATCCCAGCTACTCGGGAGGCTGAGGCAGGAGAATCGCTTGAACCTGGGAGGCGGAGGTTGCCATGAGCCAAGATCGCACCGCTGCACTCCAGCCTGGGTGACAGAGCAAGACGGAAAATGATTGTTGTGTTCTTCATACCTCATTGCTTACTTATCCATATCATTTTTTCACCGTTTTTCTTTCTTTGGCTCCATCGTAACTTGAGACATTAGGTAAAATCATTTATTTTAAAACTTTGAGCACCTGTCATATGCAAAATATTCTGTACCCTGAAGGACACAGAGGAGAATAAGACATAGTCTCTAATCTCAGAGTCTCAGAGCGGAGGGGGATTACACTCTGAGTGGCAGATATGTAAAAAACAGCAGAGGGAATGAATGAAGGTAGGGAAAATAAAGAATTGTGAAATTTAAGCTGAGCACGGAACTAGCCAATTTCATTGTTCTAAATTAGAACCTTTGAGTTGCTTTCAAAATCCCATTGCTGACATCGTGGCTGACTTTGAGATCATTCCCCAAGGCTGGGTGCAGAAGAGAAGCCTGAATGGAGGAGCATGCTCGAAGTCTCCCAGAGATAGATTGGGAGAGGACGTAACCCTCGGATCTGGATGGGAATGAGTTTTAATACCATCTAATCATGTCAATGGAATGTTTAAGGCGCAGTAAAATTGTTTGGGATTTATTAGTATGTTCTTTCGTCATTTTAATTAAATGAAAAATGTTAATTGGACGGAATTGTCCCAGCACTTTCACTCTGGTCATATGACATTAAAACAAAGAATACCAATGAATTATTAAATGGCAGAAAAGAAAGGGACATTTCCAAGTCAGAGTCCCTCCTGAGTTGCTTCATTATGTCTTAACCACAGTCTCTGCTTAAAGATTCTTTGTTTAGCATTCTGCAGCCTCCTAACCAGAAGCTCTTAGAAGGGATAGTTCATTAATTTGAAAAATCTCTTCCATTTGTACCTGTATCTGGTCCCAGGTGACAGCCATTGGCTGGCATTCACCATCCAGGTATAAAGCCTTCCATCCAGGTGTGGTGGCTCACACCTGTAATCCCAGCACTTTGGGAGGCCAAGGTGCGAGGACAATCTGAGGTCAGGAGTTCGAGACCAGCCTGGCCAACATGGTGCAACCCCATCTCTACTAAAAGTACAAAAATTAGCCGGGCACGGTGGCACATGCCTGTAGTCCCAGCTACTTGGGAGGCTGAGGCAGGAGAATCACTTGAACCCCAGAGGCGGAGGTTGCAGTGAGCCGAGATCACACCACTACACTCCAGCCTGGGTGACAGATCGAGACTCTGTCTCAAAACAACAACAATAAAAAAGGCTTCCTAGGGGAAAAGAAGCACAAGTGGTGAAAACCATTTCATTTTCTGCTTTTCTCCAGGGCAATAGAAACAATTTCATTCCTCTTTCTCTGTGAAAACCTTAATGTAGTTATGAAAATTGTTTAATAAATAACCATTTTTAGATCATCTTTTGAAACTGTAATTAGTAAATTTTTCATCCAAAAAGTAATAGTAGTTTTAAATCTTTAACAACTCAGGCAGGAAGATGAAAATTTTCCCTGAAATTATTGATAATAACAATAATATCAATCTCTACTTCATGTTGAAGGTTTTCTACCTACCAGGCACTGGGCTGAATGTTTTATATCACTGACCAATTTCCATATTTAAAATAAAATTAAATTTGACCACATAATGCACACATATGGGGTGAATGTGTATTGTTGGGACAGAATTTTCATTAACAATACCTACCCTTGCCAGATGAGTTTGATTTCATTTTTTAAAATGCTGGTTATATTACCATTAAATTGAGTCTATAGATCAGAATGAATGGGGCCTAAAGTTTTAAAAACACTCTCTGTATGCATTGTTTCATGGGAACTCCACCACGGCCATATGAAACACTAGTATTGTCATTTTCTAAGAAAAACCGAGGTTTGGAATAGGTTAGTTACATGTTCAAGTTCACACAGTCAGTAAGTGGCAGAGTTCTGAAAGCCAGGAGTGACGGCTGTGGAGTTAAAGAATCCATTCTACTAATTCAATATATGACCATGGACAAGTTATTTAATACCAGTGCTTAATAAGATTACTTTGAGGATTAAATGAGGTGATACACATTAAGTGATTAACACAGTCTAAACTGGAGCAAACTCTCACTAAATGCTAGCCATTAGTATTCATCCACTTCATCTTAGTAGAACTCTTTAAAGCTAGCCTGGGGATATTTTGATTTCACAGCATTTGTGAAAGTGTTGCTTTTTTAAAAACGCCTGAACTTTTTCTGTCTTCCCTGAAACATACAAATCAATGATCAAGGGTCTTTTGAACCGAGATAGAAGCTGGAATGAAGCTAAATAAAAATATAGACTATTAAGATTCCTGGAATTGCGAGTAAGAGAAGTGTTGGAGAGAGAGCTCCTCTGTCTTAGGAGAAAGGGAATAGGGCCACTGCACAGACCCTGTTTGTGAAAGGCATAGAGGGCACGAGAATCTTAGTCTCAAGTGGCCCCAGATGAGCAAACAAGGACATACCCCTTAAAGAGACCTAGCTATCTTTATGTAGAGTTATGGACTTGAGAGAGAAGAAATATATATATATCATTTAGAGAATGGGAACATCATGTTTAAAAAAAAAAAAAAAGAAACAGCTTTAGGGTGGGAGAAGCCTTCACCAAGATAGAAAACACAGAAGCTAGTTTTAAAAAGGAGACATACTTGTTTGTAAAAGTTTTTTGTTAACCTGCAGATGGTACCATGTACAATCTAGGTGACAAAAGATTAATAGCTATCACATACAAAAAAAATTCTTACTAAATAACAAAAAAATCCAGCGGTATAGATGTTATAAATAGGCAGTTGACCATCTGTGAATTCAGATGGTCATTAAGCATATGAAAAATGTTCTAACTCACTAGTAGTCAAGGAAAAACAAAGTAAAATAACAAGGTAGCATCATTACCGCAGTCAGACCCAAAACCTAAAAGGACAAGAACACCTGTTAACACCAACTCTTTCTGGTGGGAAGAGAGTGCTCATAGACTGCTGGTGAGATACGAAATTGTTAAAAGCTTCTCCAAAAGCAGTCTGGCCGCATCTGTGGATATGTGAAATAGAGATACTCCTTGACCCAGCAGTTTTAACCCCGGTGCTCTGCCCCATTAAAATGAAGGCATCAGATTTAAATAAGAATACATCATATATCGAAATATTTTTGTTGCATTGTTTCTTTTGGCAAAAGAATGAAATGGTAAATGCCTTTCATGGAGAATGACAAAATGTATTTTGAGATATAGTATTCTTATGGCATATTATACATTCCTTAAAATAATTAGTATACCATTTGACATCAACAAATTTGCGTGCAGTATTGACAAGCAGACCATAGAGAAGTGTGTATAATTAGTACCCTAATTTGGAATATGAAGGGCAGCACACCCCTTTGTGTGTGCACACATGCATGCTCTACATGTGGCTCTTTGGGAACATGTGGAAAAGCACAGAAAAATAGATGCCAGCTTCTTAACATGGATTATAGGGTGGTAGAGTGGTGGTGGAGATGGAGGAGTGGGGTGGCAAGCAAAAAGAACAAAGCGGGGAAAGACTACATTAAAAATAAAACCAGCGTGTGTGAGATGCTACCTACATACGTGTACATGTGCCTAAAGGTATTACAAAGAAAGATATACCTGTGTCTGTCGATGTGAAGGGGAGTGTCCTTGATATTTCGTGAAAAAGCAATGTGACCTATAGGGTAATATTTCAATTTAAAAAATGCACATACCTGTATACCCTTGTTTGTGTGAAGAGGGGGTGTGGAAAGGAGCACTTGTGCTGTTACTGTTGGTATTGGAGAGTGCAGGAGGAGAGGTCTAGCTTGTCCTTTATCTGTAGATCATTTCCTTTGTTATATAATAATATATTTTGGCCAAGCACGGTGGCTCATGCCTGTAATCCCGGCACTTTGGGAGGCCACGGAGGGTGGATCACCTGCGGTCAGGAGTTCGAGACCAGCCTGGCTAACATGGTGAAACCCCATCTCTACTAAAAATACAAAATGAGCCAGACATGGTGGCGCATGCCTGTAGTCCCAGCTACTCGGATGGCTGAAGCAGGAGAATCGCTTGAACCCAGGAGGTGGAGGTTGCAGTGAGCCAAGATTGCGCCGTTGCATTGCAGCCTGGGCAAAAAGAGCGAAACTCTGTCTCCAAAAAAAGTAATTATTTTTTAATTTGAAAAATAACCACATACTCCATCCCCCTCTAATTTAGTTGTATTTACTACCATTTGGCATATGCCCGAGAAGATTGTTTTAATTATGTGTGTTGTTTTGGTTTTGACATAGAACTTGAATTCCTAAAAATTTAAGGTCAAGATTACCAAGCGTTGTGAATTAAGAAATTTACCTTTTGTTCTGGAGTACCTGTTAATAATGAATTGCTTTTTTCTTGTCCGTTGGAAAAATACCAAATGTTGTGAATTAAGAAATTTACCTTTTGTTCTGGAATACCTGTTAATAATGAATTGTTTTTATTTTGTTCATTGGGAAAATACTGAATGATAGCTGTTTATGTTTCACATGTAGATTATGATAATAACATATGTAGCCTTCCCAGGTAGGTAGATTTGGTTTAGCAAATCATACCGTAAACAGAATCACATGACCAATGTTAGACTTGGGATAAGTTATCTGTAATGCAGGTGGTGAATGAAATATCTGTAATACACAAAGAGCTCCTACGTAGTGAGAAGATAATTTAGTGGACAGATGATGTCACCACTGACAATGAGTGTTTTTATCTTAGTATGTTTGTACTTTATAAAAATAACAATTTAAAAAATTCTTAAAAACTGACATGTAGGTAAGAAGTTGAACCTTCATTTCTGAGAAGCCTTAATTGTCCTAGGCATTTTCCTTAGTGCAGATCTAGCTGCCAGCAGAAGGAGAATTGTACAGCTGTGTAGCTTCGACTTGCAAGATTTGCCCCAGGTTACGCAGCTGGGTGGTAGCAAGAGTTTGCACTGTAGCTCTGGTTTCCATTCCACGGTTCTTTTATAGCCTCCATGAAAGAGATGACACCTCCCCGACCTCCTGCCAAGTATAAGGATGTCTCAGTAAATATATGCATGCACACACACAAGACCCAGAAGAGCTCATGTGTGTCTCATGAAAATCAGGAGGCAAACCTGGAAAGCATGAAACGCCTGGCAGCCAATTCCAGATGAAGCTTAATTTTGCCTACCTTTGTGTTATCATCTTGTTCTTTTTTTCAGAGGGCCTCTATGAGCAAACAGTGTTGAGTGTCTAGCCTAGCAATCCACAGAGCAGATGCAGGAGGTGGGCTCAGTGTCCAGCGGGTAGATAAAGGAGATCTGTGCAGTTAGGTAAATTTGTGAGGCTCAGCTTCCAAATAACATACAATTTCTTTCTTTTTTTTTTTTAATGGACTCTTGGTCTGTTGCCCAGGTGGGAGTGCAGTGGCACAGCCTCAGCTCACTGCAACCTCTGCCTCCTGGGTTCAAGTGATTCTCCTGCCTCAGCCTCCCGAGTAGCTGGGACTGCAGGCATGTGCCACCACGCTCAGCTAATTTTTGTATTTTTAGTAGAGACGGGGTTTCACCATGTTGGCCAGGCTGGTCTCAAACTCCTGACCTCAAGTGATCTGTCTGCCTCGGCCTCCCAAAGTGCTGGGATTACAGGCATGAGCCACTGTGCCGGGCCCAAATAACAGGTAATTTCTGCCATCCAAATAACGTTTAAAGATTTTGGAGATCGTGATCTCTTGACCTTCACAACTTTCAGAACAAGGGGGATTCAAGCACAGCATTTGTTAGTCAACACTTCTTTAATGAATTTGGTTCTTTGGGGTCTGCCTACAATGCTGTGTAGCAGGGAAATAATGGTGTGCTAGCAGGCGGAGCCGTTTGCATCACATAGATGAAACCACTGTGAGACTCTTCATTTAAAAACCAGTTATTGTGCTGTTGTCTAGATAGTCGTAATGTCATCTGTATGGTTGAAAATAGAACCAGGACATATCACTGCCAGTCCCTGGTACAGGGTGTGTTCTCTCTGTATGAAGAGAAAAAGGAAGCATAGAATGCAAGATAATGACCCTCAGATAAACTCCACCGAGAGAGAATCACTGAGCTGTGCTTTCAGCCTGAAAATTCTGATTGCTGCTCTCGTCTGTTCTTATTTCTGCCTGGAGTAACACTGCCATCCAACACCATTCGGGAATTCTCTCTTCTTTTTTTCCTGGCAGAGAGAGTGAAATTTTTAAATATGGAAACACATCCTTTTCAACACAAATTATTTTTTTTAACTGAATCTCCTACCTAATTTTTTTTTAAAATTTCTCTACTCCCTCTGCTTCTTCAAATAACACTGCAGAAGATTTAGCATTTTCTTGATGATTAGACTGTGGACTATTTTTTGTCTGTTCTTGACTTTAGAGTCATAAAATTTTTGTTCCCCACGCTATTCTTGAAACAATACAACCCTTTTGTTTTCAGAAGTAATCACAGAGATCCATTCTGTCCAGTACAGTTGCCACTAGCCACGTGTGGCTTTTGGGCCCTTGAAATCTGGGTAGTACGACTGAGAAACTGATTTTTTTACTTTTTTTTTTTTTTTTTTTGACACGGAGTCTCACTCTGTCACCCAGGCTGGAGTGCAGTGACGCAATCTCAGCTCACTGCAACCTCCGCTTCCCAGGTTCAAGTGATTCTCCTGCCTCAGCCTCCCAAGTAGTTGGGATTACAGGCACCCACCACTGCACCTGCTAATTTTTGTATTTTTTAGTAGAGACAGGGTTTCACCATCTTGGCCAGGCTGGTCTCGAACTCCAGACCTTGTGATCCACCCGCCTCAGCCTCCCAAAGTGTTGGGATTACAGGCGTGAGCCATGGCGCCCGGCCTGATTTTTTACTTAATTTTAATTAACATCAGTTGTAAAATGAAGCAGAAACTGTTCTTCCATTAAAAACGACTGTTAAGACTAGATTTCATGTTAACTGTTTAGTAGCTTAATTGAGATATGCTCTAAAAGTGTAGGATACACACTGGATTTCAAAGACAATATGGAAAAAAGTATAACATCATTTTTTGTATGTATTTATATGTTGAAATGCTAATATTTTGGATATACTGGGTTAAATAAAATAAATTACTAAAATTAGTTTTGATTTTTTAAAATGTGGCTACTACAGAATTTGAGATTATACATGAAGCTCTCATTGTATTTCTCTGGCTGGATTTCTTGACCCTGGCACTGCTGACGTTGTAGGTGGGTAATTCTTTGTTGTGGAGCCTGTCTTGTTCCTGGCATGATGTTTAGCAGCATCCTTGGTCGAGCTGGGGTGCCTTTCTGTGCCCTGACTGGTGGAATCCTCCAGCCTCTGTCTGAAACCCTTCCTTAAGAGGCCTCTCTCATCTCCTATTTTTAGAATTCATTGTGACACAGGTCTTTATATTAGCCACCCTAATATAAGCATTCACCTGCAGTAATAGTCCTTCTCTCTTGAGTAGCACAGAATAAACTAAATTCTTTACAAAAGAGGTAATGTCTAATAGGTCGTATACATTCCAAAGCTTCTGCCACAAATACTTAAACTCCCAGTTGGTGCTAGCCATTGTCCTAGGCAACAGGGCCACAGCAGTAGACAGAATATGAGTTCTCATGGAGTTTACATACTGTTTGGGGGTAGGAGGTCATCAACACATCAGCAAGAGAGTGTACCTTATGTCACGTCAATCAGTGCTGTGGAGGGGGAAGATGAAGCAGGCTGAAGTGCATAGCAGCTGGGGGAGCCGGGGGAGCTGGGGGCAAGGATGTTATTACTCCTGCCATCTCAGGCCCTCTCTCCGATATTCCAAGACCCCCCTTGTGCCCACTGTTCGCCACACCCCCAGCTTTTGTTTCTCTAGCTTTGCACGTCCCTTAGCACTGCTTGTAAGAGATGTTTTCCAGACACCTTTGCCTCGCCTCGGATCAGTCCTCCTGCGTGGCGGTCTTCCAATTTCTTTTAAAAGTGGCACCTGGGCCAGGTGTGGTGGCTCACACCTGTAATACCAGCACTGTGGGAGGCTGAGGTGGGTGGATCACTGCATGTAAGGAGTTCGAGACCAGCCTGGCCAACATGGTGAAACCCTATCTTTACTAAAGATAACAAAAATTAGCCAGGCATGGTGGCGGGTACCTGTAGTCCCAGCTACTCGGGAGGCTGAGGCAGAAGAATCGTTTGAACCCGGGAGGTGGAGGTTGCAGTGAGTCGAGATCATACCACTGCACTCCAGCCTGGGTAACAGAGTGTGACTCTCTCTCAAAAAAAAAAAACAACAAAAAAAAACACCAAAACAACAGTGACACCTGAGCCTGAGTCCCAGCTCAGGTTGCCCTCGGGAACGCTCTGCCTGCTGCCCCATTGTGGCAGTCTGAGATTGCACCTGTCTTCTTGGCAGCCTCGTCATGCTATGGGCTTAGACTGTGGTCAGCAACTGAGAGGTCATTTACTAAGCCATGGCTTGTGTGCTGCGTGGGTGTCTCGTGGGCCGGTGTTTCTCTTGCTGCTTCCCATCAGTTTATTGCACAAAGTGTGGTCTCAGTGAGGCAAGGCTCTTGGCTCTGCGTGTCCTACGGAAGAAAATAACATGGGCTCTGTAACGGCTGTTTACCTTTCAAAACCCCTTCCCCTCTGCTTTCTGGTTATGTTCTGAATAGGTAATGAATGTTGCAGATAATCTGACTTCCTTATAAATGAGTAATGATTACATTCTCATAAAATCACAGAAAGTTTTGTGCATAAAAATGAGTATAGGATATTCCCAGGTGGGACTCTTGGCTGACAGTCCTCTGACAATTTCTAAACTGAGGATAATTACAAAGCTCGAATGTCTCTCATCTTCTGCCTCCAAGATATTTGTTGTTCTTGCCTTTCTGCTATTCTTGCCTTTAGTTAGAATGGTAGCACACGGTCTATACATTTAATGTCAGCGTTTGTTGGGGGTGAATGACAGCCCTCATTCCCTCTTCACAAGCTTCTTTCAAGCTCATAACTCTCTAGGTATGCTACACTTTGGATGGACTTTTCCAAGACAGTAGAAGGAAAATTTGGCTGGGCGCGGTAGCTCACGCCTGTAATCCCAGCACTTTGGGAGGCCGAGGCAGGTAGATCACCTGAGGTCAGGAGTTCAAGACCAACCTGGCCAACATGGTGAAACCCCGTCTCTACTAAAAATACAAAAAATTAGCCGGGCATGGTGGCAGGCACCTGAAATCCCAGCTACTCGGGAGGCTGACACAGGAGAATCGCTTGAACCCGGGAGGCAGGGTTGCAGTGAGCTGAGATCACACCACTGCACTCCAGCCTCGGCAACAAGAACGAAAGTCCATCTCAAAAAAAAAAAAAAAAAAGAAAAGAAAAGAACAAAATAGATGGAAAATTTAATTTACATACATCTCTAAAACTATATTATACATGCAAAGCATAGATAATGGCAGGGATTCTTATTCCTGGTATCTATTATTCGTGTCACAGAGATTGATAGTCTTGGATAGTGGGGAATGTGATTTAAATACCATCTGTGGCCACTTATCCAGCAGATTGGTTAGATGGCATATCTGCCAAATGAGCAGTGTGTGTTCCTAAAAAAGAAAAAGAAACTAGAAGAATTCCACCATGGATTATTGACTTAAAAATGTAAATTGTATTAACTTCTATAATCCAAATTAATTAGTTTAATTTAGAGGTTCTTCAGAAGATAATTTTTAAAATATCTAATATTTTAGCTACATGGATGTATTTCAGAAGGCAACTGGAAAACCTTTTATTATTTTATTATTTTTTAGTTTTTGAGACAGAATCTCGCTCTGTTGCCCAGGCTGGAGTGCAATGGCGTGACCTCGGCTCACTGCAACCTCCGCCTCACGTGTTCAAGTGATTCTCCTGTCTCAGCCTCCTGAGTAGCTGGGATTACAGGCGTGCACTACCACACGTGGCTGATTTTTGTATTTTTAGTGGAGATGGGTTTCACTATGTTGCCCAGGCTGGTCTTAAACTCCTGAGCTCCAGTGATCTGCCCACCTTGGACTCCCAATGTGCTGGGATTACAGGTGTGAACCACCACACCCGGCCAGCAACTGGAAAACTTTCATAATAGTGTTCTGGAAAGTTGGCCTGGGCACCTCTTGCACCACCCCTCATTCCTGATGGTGCTGCCATTCTGATCTGTGGAAATGGGGTGGCTCCCTGCCCACCAGGCCTGACTCTGATGTGCTGCTTATCCAAGCCACAGACCTTCAGCCCCAGGCAGCCGTCATCCCTTGGCTACTTTCGAACACCTACAGAGGCTTCGAAGATGCTCTTTCTGTAGAGGTTAATTTGTTTTCCAGTCTACCCAGAATTGCTAAATTTTGTTAGTGTTAGTCTCCTTGGGGAAGTACTGATGTATGTTACAGGGCCTAAATACTTTTTACTTTTTATTTATTTTTACTTTGGCTTTTACTTTTTAAAAATACTTTGGCTTTTATGAAAGTTTTCTATTTTCCATTTCATTTCTTAAAAACCTGTATCTAAGCTTTGTGATGGCATTTTGTTTACATCATTTAGCGGCTAGAGAATGATAATGTATTAAGTATCAGAACATGGTAGGTGTGCCATAAATCCAACAACAGGGTCAGATGTGCCATAACGTGAAAGCATAGTGGATCTCTGAGGTGGTCCAAACAGCTGGATCCCAAGGACTGGGAGGACTGAGTTCAGATCAGAGCAATGCTGAAGACAGAGGAGCAGTTGATTGCTACAGAATCTTTCAGGGGCCAAAGTAGGTATAGGTGAACAGGTGCAACCCTAGATTAGCCCTGCTTAGCCCTGTCTGTGATGACACACATTTTTAAAGGGTCTTTCTGTGCCTGCAGCTCTCATGTGAATGAAAGCAGTTCTTCCCTCCTGCTGACAATGGCATTAGAATGAACTTTATGTTTTTCTTTTCTTTTTTCAGAACAAGTTTGCCTTCTCCTATGTTTTCCAGAAATGACTTCAGTATCTGGAGCATCCTCAGAAAATGTATTGGAATGGTAAATTAATGGTTTTGTCATATGATATTAAGCAGATATGTTTAATCGCATATTCTTTAGAAAGGAACCTAAAAGTTTGCATTAAAGTGGTGCACGACAACGTTTATGGGAACGTACGAGAATCATAAATTGTGAAAAGTCGTAGGTGACTTTTTTCTGACAAGAATTTGAGCTGCTCTAATGGCTTTAGTGTGCATTTTTGATGTAAAAAAAAAAACAAACAGAAACTGAAAATGCCGTGTTTCTGTTGACACAGCACATTTATATTGCCCCATAGACTTACCTAGAAACTCTCAGAAAGAACAGACAACCCCACAGTGGAGAACAGAATTTCACTTACACTTCTGTGCACAGAGCAAGTTTTCGTATTTGGAATTTGTAAGTGTGGTATATTAAATATTTGGAATATGTCTCTGCTTAGTTATCTGTGCAGGTGGATCTGATGTGGGGGGAGGTAGGGAGATGGCAGCATTTCCTTTCATAGAAATCCTTGGATTCCCTTGAAGGTAGTAGTCAACACCACCACCCTGATGTCAGTCAGGCTAGGATTCTGGGTAAAGTTCTCATAACTCTTCCTAGTGTGACCTTGGACCACCGAACATGTAAGTCATGTGGCACAAAAGAATCTGCCTGGACATTACCTTTTAACATTTTGCAATTGAATGTGTACCCTGGGAGCACTCCAGAACTTTCCCTGTGCTGGGAAGTACAGTCACCTCATGCACACTTCATTCTGTGGCTTGAAATCCTGTCCGCTGCAGAGATACCCACTTTGGCATTTTTCTTTTCATTTTCTTTCTTTTTTCATTTCATTTCTTTTCATTTTTTTGAGACAGGGGCTCATTACCCAGACTGGAGTGAAGTGGTGCCCTCATGGCTCACTGTAGCCTCAACCTCCCCAGCTCAATTTATCCGCCCACCTCAGCCTCCTGAGTAGCTGGGACCACAGGCGCGTCGTGCCACACCTGGCTAATTTTTTTGTATTTTTAGTAGAGAAGGAGTGTTGCTATGTTTCCCAGGCTGGTCTCGAACTCCTGGGCTCAAGCAGTCCTCCCACCTCAGCCTTCCAAAGTGTTGGGATTACAGGCCTTAGCCACCATGCCTGGCCTCTGGCATTTTTCCAATGTCTCTCTTCTCTGAGTGGATAATGAAATCTGAAACTTCCTAAATGTAATTTCCAAGGAACAAATTTCATAAACATTAATTTTAAACAAATATTTTTTGACTCCTGCATGGAGAGTAATTCATCTAAATTTCGGAGCCTGATAATGTGGGATCTAATCCCCGCTCTCCCGCTTCCTGGCTGTGAGACCCCAAGCAAGTTGCAGTTCCTACGTGAGTAGCATTCCATCCAGTGTAGAACTAGCATCATAATTTGTACCTTAGAGGTAGGTGTATTGAGCGATAAATAATTTATGTAAAATGCCTGGAACTATTCCTGGTTTAACGTTGCGCTCAATAAATAATAGTTCATATTATCATTAATCACAGCTGAGAATGAGACTTGAGCTCTAATTTTATTTCAATTCTATTAGGATTCAACAGGACAAAGCAAATGTATATAGACAGATGACAGTAACACACGTTTGTCTCTTTGGAACTGAAAATTTCAAGATAAAAATTAGTATTTATTTGTATTCTGCAGAGTCAGTATTTTTCAAACCCTTAGTTAAATATGTTTACCTTTATGATCCAGTATGCAAATATGTATATATGCATGTCCTTAAAATTAAAATCAGTTTCACAAAAGAATGCTCATCATTACTACAAATTGTATTTTCTATTATATTAAAGTAACATTGATTCCAGCTCGTTACATTTATTTTACAACTTGTTAATGAACCAGACCCACCATTTGAAAAACACTGCTCTGAGTTACTATAGAATTTGTACTGTATCTTTGTAAGGTTATTTGGTCAAAGGAGTTTGTATGAACATTTCAGATATGGTTTAGTCTTTTTGGCCACTTTAGAATATACAGTTTTCTGTATTTCTGTTGACTGATTCCTTTCTCCTGCTCTCTCCTGTTTCACTGGGTGTCAGCTGTAGTGTTGGTGTTATGAATTTGTTCATGAAGGTGACTAGCAATCTGTCTAGTTTACGTCCAAATCGAGACTAACCATTCTTTTAAAAGATAGGAGATGATGTTATGTTGGATTGCACCTGCTATGTTCTGAAAGATACTCTGTTTCTCTAGAATGCGGTTTTACTTTTATGTTTAGGCACATAACTTCTTGTACAAGTAAATGCTTATGCTGAATCATAAATAAAATACAACAAATAAACATAGAGCTGTTTGGGTTGAAAGGGTTCCATAGAATGTTCTGAATCATATCTCTAGAACTTACTGATTCAAAGCATAGAGAGAGAGCTTCAGGGGAAGTCGTGTTTTTGGAAACTTCTTTCTGCTGAGGTTCATAGGAGACAAATGTTCTGAAAGAACATTTTTATTAATGTGGATTGAAAGGAGATCACCTAGCTTTTGGAAATATTGTTCTTTGGGCACTGTCTGCTGTAGGACCTTCTCTCTTAGGCAGCAGACACAATCAAGGTATAAGCACTAAGCGACAGTAAAGATTAAAAATGAGGAGTCTTGAGAGAGAAATACAAATATTACCACTTTTTTTTTTTTTTTTTGAGTCGGAGTCTCACTTTGTTGCCCAGGCTGGAATGCAGTGGTGCAGTCTCGGCTCACTGCAGTCTCCACCTCCCGGGTTCAAGTGATTCTCCTGCCTCAGCCTCCCGAGTAGCTGGGACTACAGGTGCATGCCACCATGCCCAGCTAATTTTTTGTACTTTTAGCAGAGATGGGGTTTCACCATGTTGGCCAGACTGGTCTCGAACTCATGACCTCAGTTGATCCACCCACCCTGGCTTCCAAAAGTGCTGGGATTACAGGCATGAGCCACCGCGCCCAGCCTGCATGTTTCTGATTCTATCACATTAATCCAAATACTTCACTTCGTGTCCTTTTTGTGGGGGTGAAACTGAGTTCTAGAAGCCATGTGTATACCTTCAGCTATCATCTCTCTTCCCTTACCTCCATTTACCCAGCTTCTTAATTTGTTAATAAGTCCTAAGAGTGGAAGAGGAAATTTGATACTGAGCCTTAGCTCTTCCTGCTCTCTGTTGTTGTGAGGAGCGTGCCAGGACAGAGTGCGGGGTGTAAGCATCCTGCGGGTGACAGCCCCACAATTCCACACTCAACCAGAGTCCTCATCCCATTTTTTCCGTAACAATTAATGCCCCAGATTTGTATGCTATGATGATATCATTTTATGGTGTAATGCTATTATTATTCAAAATATGTGGCTTTTCTAAATTCACAGTACATATTCTTATCTGCCAGATATGGTCTAGGTCTCACTCTGTCTTAGGAAGGAAAGGAAGAGGTTCTTCTCCATGCATTTGTCATCTTGGCCCCCCGTGTCTGCAGCCCCATCCCCAGCCGGGCTCACTCTGCCCCATCTCCTCCACTCCCATGCACCTGCACGTTGTACTTTACCTTTTTCCAAATAGCATTTAGCCACTTTGATTTCCAATACTGATGACATCCTTCTTTTCTTCTCCCAGTCTGTTTTGAGCAGGATTATGTTATCAAAATGTCAGATTATACAATGTGAAATGAATACTTTACCTAACTGGAATTCAACCCTAAATCTGTTTGTGGTTGAAGCTTTTACCAAACAAACAAATCTCCGGCTCCTGAGAACTAATCCTGACACTGCTTAGTCATTTGAAGCCTTTGCTTATTTCTTTCTGCTTGTTTCCCCTTTGTCACAGGACTCTTTAATCCGAAAGCCTCATGTCCTGTGTGTACCCTGTTTCCGTCCTCCTCTTCTCCTCCATCCCTTTGCTCCAGTGGCTTTCTCAGCAGGGCTCAGCCAGAGGTTAGGTCGTTGGTGTTCATGCTCAGTGACTTAGGCAACCAGCCCCAGGACCTCAGCACAAAATTTGAGGAGGTACTTGAGCTCAAGGCCATGTGCGTGCTGCCCTTGTGTGTGTTCAAATGTCTTGGAGTAATAGAATAGTCCTGGATTATTGCAAGAGGTGACAAAGGTCTGGTACATCAGGAATACCGACTACTTAAAGTGAAAGAAAAGTGTTGTATCATTCTTTTAAAGGTAGCTAGTGGAATCCACATACCATCGAGTTTTGATTGCCACTGTCATTCTGTTAAATAAATACATGAGCAAGCTATTCTTCAGTCATTGAAAAGCTTATACTTCTATGTCTCCTTTAATTTGTATTTCCATTTTATCCTTCCTATAGGATAACTCAGTTAACTTCGTGTCCTTTTTGTAGGGGTGAAACTGAGTTCCAGAAGCCATGTGCATACCTTCAGCTATCATCTCTCTTCCATTAGCTCCATTTACCGAGTTAACTCAATTGTTTTAATCTCTGAGGGTCTTTTATCGATTACTTCATCATACTTCATTACTGCAGAAATATGTATAAAAATTAAAATTTAAAAAGCTATATTCTATAAGACTTTAGTACTAAAGGTTTCTTTGCATTGTTATAAATGTTAGTATTTGATTACAATTGTAAACATTATAAAATTTATGAAAATATTAACAAAGGTAAAATGTTATGAGTGAAAATTTTTTTCAATTGGTTTTAGATATCTGAGATGAATATCACTTGCTGCTAGAATGAGACAGGATCTTCAGTAACAGTTATGTTCTTGTTTTTGAATAGATGCCAGGATTGAGAGCTTTGCTCATATTAATAGACAGATGGGAGTAGGAGTTTTTTGGGTTTTTAAAAAAATGTCCAGTAATGTCATTCAGTTCTTTGACCCCCTTCTCCACTAGATGCCAAAAGTCAGATTATATTACAGAATTTTTGTGTGTGTGATTTATAAGCTAACAACTCAATTAGGACTCCCTTCAGTGTTACTAAAAACACAACTTTGAAAAACTCTAACTTGCACAAGGTTTTGTTACCTTTCATTAGTCATTGGCTTCTTGGCCTCTGGGAAATACACCAGAGAAGCTTTTCCCAAGCTCTCCGATCTCAATTCATTGAACTGTTTTTATCACTCAGTTGTACCTTGCAATACTGAGAAAGGGTTGAGAAAATTGGAATAATTTTCACTGAAGTAAACCTTTGCCAGTATGTTTTTGATAAAATGCTTTTATCTCACCATGAATCTTAAGATGTTTCCCACAAACTGAAGGTTTAGCTCATTCATTCCAGTACAGAATGTCTGCTACATAGCCATAGGGCCAGACCTCATGCCCAGACATATCACTGGGTCAGAGTAACTGTCAGAAGGGATGAGATATTATTTCTGGAATCAGATAAACATGTGATACCCTATATGCCACCATGACAACAGTGCTATTCTTGCATTCCAACTCTAAGATAGATGCGGAGCTAGATAAGGTTTGGAGCTTTGCCAAATCTGGCATGTTATAAATACCAACTAGAGCGACAGAGGATAGAAGGAGCAAGATAGTTAAACAAAATTTGGTATCTCTACCCCCACACTCTACAGTGGTCTAAGATCAGAATGTTTCAACCTGGGGAGAAATGGCTTGAAGACCCTATTTCTCATGTCGTGTCTTTCTCTTAACTGAAACAGGACGTCAAGGAGCCCTAATGTAAGTTAATGGTTCTTGAGTAAAAGAGGCTTTGCTGGTAACAGTACTGTATCTAAACTTCCCTCTCTGGTGCCCTGGAGGTTTTCACATTTCCAGGTATAAATACTATGCCAAGATTCAGCATGGTAGGAGATTAAGTACTTTTTTTTTTTTTTTTTTTTTTTTTTTTCAGTAGCAGAGGGCAACTGTGAATGGGGAAATGAGCAAAGAGGAGCAGCACGGTCCCTCCAGTGCAGGTGCCATCTGAGACTTGCCAGTTTCTAGGAAAAAATGCATGTGGAAGTAGATTCCCTTAAAGCCACAAATGCCGAGTGATCCAGGGCAAGCTTGCAGCCCATGCTTCCATTGTTTCTCCACATTCCTGTGTAGGTGTTGTCCAGCCTTTATGAAGTCCCCTAGCAGGAGGGTTCACGCCACCTCTCAGCTCTGAAGCTCTTCAGCTCCTAAGCAGGAAGAATAGGAAAGGAATATCATTATGTTCATTAGCATTTTCCTTAGAGCTTTTCTTACCTTCTTCTCCACGTTTTCTCATTGGTTGCACTGAGGTGCCCACACTGTGGTTCAGTAAACACATGATGAACACACCGCCTTTTCCCACTCCGTGGCGCCTTCCTTTCTGCCTGCGTGTCTTTCACTCTGGCCCCTGTTGTCCCCCATGGCTGGCCTGTGAGGACTGAGGACAGAAGGCACGAGGGCAGCAGGCTCTTTTTCAAACTGCCCATCCAGAGCGGCCGCAGGCAGCTATCCCGGGACACCTTAGAGTAACTCATCTGCGTGTAATCGGTGGTATTCAGATGGCAAGAACCTCATGCAGTGATAAACTAATAGATGAGATGCTAGGCATCGTGTGGAGCGGGGGGAACTGAGCAGCATGAGATGGGGAAAGAAAGACATTTGGCCCTGCGATGCCCTCAAATGTAAGCACAATGAATTTTTTCATTATCGGTAGCTGTGGGAGGTAGAGGTGTCATAGAGGAAACATCCAGTGCCATCTTCATCTTGCAGGAGGCACGGCTCTGTCCAGGGGACAGCTGACTGCCGCCAGCCCCCGGCTGTCAGTGGAGCGAGCCCTGGGGACCCACCAGGGCTTAGGTCACACACGCGGGGGAGCACCCTGCCCACAAGCTGCTGTCTGGGCAACAGAGCAGACACACCTAGCCTAGCACTTGAGGGAATTTTTCTCTCTATAACCCAGGTCTAAAGTAGTTGCACTTCTACCCTGTTACAGTGGTTGACTTTACATTTATACAATATTTTCAATTTCAGATGAGCTCAAACTTGGCCTTGCTCTCAGGTTTCTCTAGTGCTCAAGTGAAAACACAGCCTTCTCTCCTTCTTCTCAGTTTGTCAGCCAATGAGCAGTTGCAGTTAGGAGTTTCTGCAGTTTCATCATAGGTTGCTATTAATTTGCATGGATAAATTTAAACTTTGCTATTAGCTGGAATTGCTTGGCATAAATGTTTAACTTTTCCAGCTGCCTGAAGCTCTCAATGATAGAAGTTTCTAGGCAGTGTTTCTTCCTGAAGCTTGGTCTTCATAATGTGAATTGTTGTTTTTCTTGTTATTGGAATATACACACATATTGGTTGTATACATTATCTAGAGAATGCAGCACCAGACTTCATTGGATTGGAAGTGAAAATGATGTATCAGTGAATTTTCAAGAGGTCTAAGAGGGAAGGAAATAAAATACACCTTGTGTCAGCGAGTTTTTCACTACCTCTCTAGGGAACTGTAGGTTTTAGCAATTGAAATAATTGTAAGATTATTTAAAAATAATTACAGATGATGGAGGCAATACAATTGCAAGTAAGTTGCTATATTTTAAAATAGCATGTTACACTCTTCCAAGGTCCAGGTTGTTTTTATGGCAGTCTGGGTTCTGCCTCTCCTTCCCTCTCTGTTATTTGACCCAGCCGTGTGCCTTTCCATTTTCTTGAATGCGTTCATTCTGAGTTACTAAAAGAAATGGAAAGCTGTTTAAATTATTATAGATTACAACATTTTATTAAAAGAGGCTTGTAGAATTTTAGCAGCTTTTCAAATGATTAAAAAATAAATCTACTTATTGAATTGATGATAAACCCACATCCTTTGTGCCTTGGTCTCCAGAGTTCACACCACCCTCTTTGTCATTGGCTTCAAGCCCCTGGAAAGCCCGGTGGCTGGTGTTGAGGAGCCCGTGGCTGTGGACAGCTGCCTGCCCCATCCTGCCGTGCTGTGTTTTCCCACGGAGCTGGATGTGGAGAAATGGCAGTGCACGCAGCATTGCTTTAGAGTTGCAAGATTGCATCCCTAGGCCAGTATTCCTGAGAAAACAAAGCAGAATCTCTTTGAGGGAAGAACTCCTGTCTTATAAATACTAAAATGTCATCCCTGGTCCATCTATTCCTTCCTCAATGAGTATGTGATAGTCCTTAAGAGTGTTTTTCAGGAAAAACAAATTCAAAATCAGACTTACAGGTAAAGCTCTTCCTTTCTTTAATGAATAAACTTTTAAAGTTTCTTTATGATCAATCCCACCCTGCTGTTGTGTACAATAAAGGGAAATGGAGAAAACAGGAAGGGAGCTGAGCCAGAAATGGCATAGCCTGTGTCACCTACTGGCTGTCACTGGTTGCCACTGCAGTGAACCCCTGCCATCCTGGTGTTTGGATCCCTCCTGGCCCAGGCTTCAGGAAGGGCAGCACCCTGTCCCTCACTGCCTCACCTTTTAAGCCCAGGTCCCTATGCCATGCTGCTTCTGTAGCTTCTCTGCAGCTCAGCTGCCCCTGGGTCAGGGCAAAGTATCCCAGCCATTGAGTCGTACTTGCTTTCCTGCAACCTTGGAGGACTTGGAGATCTTGTCTGCATTATTAATAACAGTGATAATAGCTAGCATCTATTGCTCACTTAACAGATGCCTGGCACTATTCTGAGTGCTTTATATGAATGAATTCATCTCATCTTTACAAGCCTGGTGAGGTATGTAATGAAATTGTCCCCACTATGGGGAGAGGTTAGGGACTTGCTGGCTGCCACGCAAGCAGTAGGTAGTACAGCTAGGATTTGAATGCAGGAAGTTTGATCTCAGAGCTCATTTTTTTCCCCTTGGTTTTACAATTATGGCAAAATATATATAACAAAAAAGGCACCACCTTCACCATTTTTAAGTATAAAGTTCAGTGGCATCAGTACACTCGCACTGCTGTGCTACCATCACCACTGTCCATCCACAGAACTCTCTTCAGCTTGCAAAACTGAAACCGTCCCCTCGAAACACCAACTTCCCTACTTCCCCTTCATCAGCCCGGCAACCACCATTCTACTCTCTGTTCAGAGCCCTTTCTTATTTATTTATCTGTAGCAACCTTACCCAAGAAGTAGGAACCTCTTCTTTTAATTTCCTGTCTCTGGAACTTAGGAGTGGACTAATCTGAATGTATTTTGTTGCTCTTCTTTTTCCATTGTATTACTTCTACGCCAATTTTTCCTTATCCATTTTATGACTAGCATCAGTGCAAATGTGTGTATTGTAAGGTGGACCAGCTGCTGCGGTATGAGGCTGTTAGTTTCCCTGGCCTTTCCTTTTGCCTGTCTGAATTTTTTTTTTTTTTTTTTTTTTTTTTTTTTGAGACAGAGTCTTGTTCTGTCGCCCAGGCTGGAATGCAGTGGCGTGATCTTGGCTCACTGCAACCTCTGCCTCCCAGGTTCAAGCAATCCTCCTGCCTCAGCCTCCCGAGTAGCTAGGATTACAAGCACACACCACCATGCCCAGCTAATTTTTGTATTTTTAGTAGAGACAGGGTTTCACCATGTTGGCCAGGCTGGTCTCGAACTCCTGACCTCGTGATCCACCCACCTTGTCTTCCCAAAGTGCTGGGATTACAGGCCTGAGCCACCTTAGGTTTTAAAGTAACATCTCATTTTACCCTTGATTAGAAGAGCAGTACATGTTCATTTTAGGAAATCTGGAAAATACAGAAAAGCAGATGGAAGGTTATTAGGATTCCATATGCCCCCAACTCCTAGAGATACCCACTATTAACTTTTTGATGTTACTATCTTCTAGCATTTGTTTCTATGTTTATAAAAACATATTTAACAAGATTAGAATATTTTTGAACATGTTGCTTTATAACCTGTTTTTTTCAGATTTTAAGGTGAATATTTATTTAGAATGAGGAAAAATCATCACAAGTTTTGAAGTGTAAATATCACTATTACCACAGTAACATTGTTTGTGTCTAGTACCACAAACAATATACATCCAAAATCATTACAAACTCTTTAATTGCCTTAACATTCTTCTGTACTTTTTTTGCTACTCTTTTTTGGCTTTACATTCTCTTTTATCACATGTGACTGCGACTATGATATTTTCTGTAGCAGGACTAGAAAGATAATTTGATCTTTCCTAAAGTATGATTCATCAAAATTCATTTTCTTAAAATTTTATTTTATTTTTTAAGACAGGGTCTTGCTGTGTCACCCAGGCTGGAATGCAGTGGCACGAACATGATTCACTATAGCCTTGATCTCCTGAGCTCAAGCAAGCCTTCTGCCTCGGCCTCCCAAGAAGCTGGGACTACAGATGCACGCCCCCACACTTAGCTAGTTTTCTAAATTTTTTGTAGAGATACTCACTTTGCTGCCCAGGCGGGTCTCGAATTCCTGGGCTCAAGTGATCCTCGTGCCTTGGTCCCCAAAGTGGTGAGATTACACATGTGAGCCACCATGCTTGGCCTAATTTTATTTTTCAAAAGACTTTTATTTTATAAAGTAATTTTCAGTTTACAGCAAAATTGAGAGGAAGGTGCAGAGAGTTCCCACACACTCCCTGGCCCCACACGTGCATAGCCTCCCTATTGTCAGCATCCCTCACCAGGGCGGCCCATTTGTTACAATCGGTGAACCTGGATGGGTGCAGTGGCTCATGCCTGTAATCTCAGCACTTTGGGAGGCCGAGGTGGGCGGATCACGAGGTCAGGAGTTCAAGACCAGCCTTGCCAACGTGGTGAAACCTCGTCTCTACTAAAGATACAAAAAATTAGCTGGGCGTGGTAGCACGTGCCTGTAGTCCCAGCTCCTTGGGAGGCTGAGGCAGGAGAATTGCTCGAACCCAGGAGGCGGAGGTTGCAGTGAGCCGCCATTGCACTCCAGCCTGGGCCACAGGGCGAGACTCAGTCTCAAAAAAAAAAAAAAAAAGAAAAAAGAATTGGTGAACCTGCGATACATCATCACCCCAAGTTCATAGTTTATACTAGGGCTCACTCTTGGTGTTCCGTGTTCATGTAATGACATGTATCCAACATTGTAGTACCACACCGAGTGTTTTCACGCCTTAAAAATCCCCTTTGCTCTGTCTTTTCATTCCTCCCCCTTACCCTGGGCAACCACTGACCTTTTTACTGTCTCCATAGTTTCGTCTTATCCAGAATGTCATACAGTTGGAATCATATCGACTTTTTTTCCCTTAGTAATAGGCATCTAAGTTTCCTCCATGTCTTTCCATGACTTGATAGCTCATTTCTTTTTAGCACTGAATAATATTCCAAAAGTAACCAATTTTTTTTACTCAGCATTTAGCTGTGTTAACCGCATGCATTATTAAGCAAGACCTTTGTCTTCAAAGAGCTCTCCATTGAAGGAGGCGGGAAGTGCAGTGTGTGACAAATGCCTGAAAAGGGAAAGCTCACAGGGCAGTGAGAATGCAGGGTGGGGGCAATGAGAATGCAGGGTGGGGGCAGTGAGAATGCAGGGTGCATCTGGGGCAGGGCACACCTGCAGTGTTCCCCTCTCTCTGTGAGGTGATGGGGGCATGTAGATGGGGTATAAGATAGTGTCCGTTTCCCAAGGAATTGTATTACTATACATGTAGCAAGATAAGCTGGTTACCACCCATACTATAACAGTAGGTAATAGAATCTAATCTCTGATCAAATTCTCGGTTGTGAGCAGTACATTTTGGTACTCTAGCAGTTGGAAAGAGTAGGAAATCAGTGAGTGCTACAAAACTTGAGGAGGAAAGACTTGAACTGGGCCTTAAAATCTGGGTAGGACATAGAGGAATAAAGGGAAGAGAGAGCAGGGCATTCCAGGTTAAGTGGTTGTAATGGGGCTTTTACTGCAGTACCTGGCACATAGTAGGTGTTCAGTTAAATACGTGTTTAATGAAAGCATAAACATGACAGAAGGAACAAATTGGGAATAATACACCTCTTTTAGCATCAGAGATGTTGACTGTCATGCAGCATTGGTGGCAGTATAAATTGGTTAAGGTGTTTTGGAAAGCATTCAGCTTGGTAGTATCTAAAAAAATAAATTAATTAATTAAATGAGCATGCTCTTGACCCAGAAACTCCACTTTAGAGAAATCTACTTGAAATCCCTATTTGCCTATATTCTTAAAGATATATGATTAAATAGTTCATGGTATGTCCATATATGGACTTTGTTTTAAATTTAACAAGCACACATATAGCATTACCAATGTGCCCAGAATTATGCTTTATGATAGATACTATTATATTAGTACTTAGTACTTATTGATGAGGGAACTGGCACAGGGTTTAACTTGGTCAAAGCTACACGGCTAGTAAAGGTGAACCCAGCAGTGGAACTCAATCTGGTTCAGTGGTCTTTAGCATTCTACTATCCTGTGATTAGAAAGAACTGGAAAGACTCGATGTATGTACTTTACATGTGTATAACACCCCGCTAAAAGATCCCCAAAACACAGTGAAGGTGTAATGAGTCAATACACAGAGCTGACATCATGCATTAAAACAAACAAATCTGGGCTGGGCACGGTGGCTCACGCCTGTAATCCCAGCACTTTGGGAGGCTGAGGCGGGTGGATCACCTGAGGTCAGGAGTTCAAGACCAGCCTGGCCAACATGGTGAAACCCCGTCTCTACTAAAAATAAAAAAAAAATTAGCCAGGCATGGTGCTGCACGCCTGTAGTTCCAGCTACTCAGGAGGCTGAGGCATGAGAATCGCTTGAACCTGGGAAGTGGAGGTTTCAGTGAGCCGAGATCGCGCCTTTGCACTCCAGCCTGGGCGACAAGAGCAAAACTCCGCCTCAAAAAAAAAAAAAAGAAAAAGAAAAAGAAAAATCTCTCTGTGTGTGAATATAAATCAGGAGTATGTATGCATATGTGTGTAAATACATAGGTATGTATCCCAAAGTGTTGCTGTTGTTTTGTCTCTGGGAAGAGGAGTGGGAAAGGGAAGTAAAGAGACATTTTCATGTTTTTATTTCAATATTATTATATTTTATACTAAGACAGTTATGTATTTCCCAGTTAGTTTTTTTAATAGAAAAAAACAATAACGATAGTTTTATTGAAAAATAGAAGGCCAGGTGCCATGGCTCACACCTGTAATCGCAGCCTTTTGGGAGGCTGAGGTGGGAGGATCGGATCCCTTGAGGTCAGGAGTTCGAGACCAGCCTGACCAACATGGTGAAACCCTGTCTCTACTAAAAAAATACAAAAATTATCCAGGTCTGGTGGTGCACATCTGTAATCCCAGCTACTCCGGAGGCTGAGGCAGGAGAATTGCGTGAACCTGGGAGCCAGAGGTTACAGTGAGCCAAGATTGTGCCACTGTACTCCAGCCTGGGTGACAGAGTGAGACTCCATCTCAAAAAAAAAAAGAAAAATAGAAGAAAGAGAGCCTGGGACACTTCAATTAAGACAAGCCTTAGCAGTCACAGTTTTTCTGACTTGTCCCCAGTAGTGAATCTCTGGGTTTAATGAGCTCTTAGAGTGTATGTAGTTGAGCCTTTTATTTCTCTATATACATTCCTGTTTTCCCTCATCTCCCCAGTGATGCAGCAGTAAATTTACCATTTCTTTTCATCAGGCTGAGCTGTTACATGTCTGTTTTCTGCAGTATTTTATGGTAATGAATGAGCTTATTTTCTTTGATTGCGCTCCAGTTTCAGTTCTTTGCAGGTTGCATTATTTTTAATTGAAAATCTCAGTGGGAATATGGATATTTAGGGGGAAAAGTCAGAGGTAAGTCAGGTGGCATTCAGCCTGACTACGCACCTCAGGACTGTTCACCCGCCCACGCAACCAGCCAGCAGGCCTCATGAAAGACCTGATTCCCAAGGGAATGGTCGATAGAAGTTTGGGAAGATTGTCAGAATATTCCGGTAAATACCAAGATAAGTGTGTTACTTAATGAATTTTGTAAAGGTCTCACCAGAATATTGCTTGCTGGTGGCACATGGTAAACAGAATTGAACAGTTGCAGTTGAGGTCAGAAACTTCCTAATTGTTAAATTATTTTTGAGAGTCGCTTGTGATGGAGGCATTCTGGCAGACAGAATTTAAAATCTATTCTGTAAAATATGCAGTAGCCTGCTAGTACCCTAGACCATAATTTATACTAGATTGGTGTGCTCAGATAAGCTCGGTGTTGTCATATCATTTCATTTCATTTCATTGTCATTTCAAAAGCTGTGAAATTTCTTTTGGAAAATTACTCACAAAAATGGTATGTGTGGTTAATCCTTAGCCCGTTGTTACAAGACAAATGTAGACATATTGAAGTTTTAACACATATATTTGAACAGACAGCAATTCATGACTTGAACAGCCCCAGACCTGAAGCTGTTCCACACTCCACTGAGAAGGCAGCACACTCCACTGAGAAGGCAGGAAGGGGAGCTTTTACTTTTATAAGGTGTTCTTTGAGGGAGCCAGACAAAGAAAGTGCATTCATTTGGGGAAAGTGTAACATTCCTAGATAGAGGTTAGTTTGGCAGTTTCTGATTGGTGAGGCTTAAGTTAACAGGGGAGAGGGTTTCAGCGGTTTGCTTATGAAGGAACTCAAGGCACTGGAGCCATCTCCAGTAATTAATGGCCCTGCAGTTAATTATTTTAACACCACTATGAAGAATTTTGTTCTGTCTCCATTGCCTTTGTCTCCCATTTCCTAATTCTGATGTAAGGCAGACTGATGAAGAGTCATCTGCTCATGCTCACCAGCAGGTAGTGAGCTCCCTGGAGCCAAGGAGAATGTTTGGGCAGTCTTTGTATTTCCTCCTTCAAGGCCTAGAAGGATATACTCCATGGTATTAGGTGCTCTGGAAAGAATTTGTGAAATTGAACCAATATTGATGAAATTTCATGGGTTGCTAGTTTCTGTTCTGTCCTTTCCAGGAGGATGTTATGTAAAGATAACAATAGGTTTGTTTGTTATGTATATGGGACATAACACTTTCAATTTTCTGGTTAAATAGGAACTATCCAAGATCACGATGCCAGTTATATTTAATGAGCCTCTGAGCTTCCTACAGCGCCTAACTGAATACATGGAGCATACTTACCTCATCCACAAGGCCAGTTCACTCTCTGATCCTGTGGAAAGGATGCAGGTATGAGCCAAGGGAGGAAAAGGTCTAACTCTTAGAGACCTTGCTACCAACCCAGCCCCGAACACACACACGTTCACACAATTAGTGTTAAATTCAATGTGAGGTTGGGCAATTTTATCAAAGCTCAGTCCGCATGTCTGGACTGTCCTCTGGTTAGGGTGACACCATTGTGCAGAGACCGATGAGTATTGCAGGAGAAGCAGGAGGTGGCCCATTAAGCAAACCTAGATATTAGTGGGTTTTGCTAAATCCTTTTTTGTGTGTGTGTGAGACAGAGTCTCGCTCTGTCGCCCAGGCTGGAGTGCAGTGGTGCAATCTCGGCTCACGGCAAGCTCCGCCTCCCAGGTTCCCGCCATTCTCCTGCCTCAGCCTCCCAAGTAGCTGGGACTACAGGCACCCGCCACTATGCCTGGCTAATTTTTTGTATTTTTTTAGTAGAGACGGGTTTTCACCTGTGTTAGCCAGGATGGTCTCGATCTCCTGACCTCGTGATCCACCCGCCTGGGCCTCCCAAAGTGCTGGGATTACAGGCATGAGCCACCGTGCCCGGCTGGCTTTTGCTAAATCTTTAGTTGAGAAAGTAGCGTTGTGTTAGGGGAAGAATTCAACCTTTCTTCTTTCAGACTTTCTCGGGGTGTTTCCAAGAAGAAGTTAACACATACACACACACACACACACACACAAAATAGAAAAATATGTTTGTGCTTACTTGTGTATATAAATATATATACATTGCTATATGTTAAAAGACGGCAAGGAATTGCACTTTTTAATGTTTTAGATGGAAGATTGTATATGTTGTACATGGATGGACTAGTTAGAGGTAGAGTATAGTGGACACATTGTTCTCCTTCAACAAAGCAATAGCATTCTAAACTGAGTCTTTCTGTCCTTTCATCTATATAAGTCAGCATTTTCCAACCTCAGTGGACTTAACACCAATTAAGTTGTGGAGTTTTATATCTCTTTCCCCAATCCTGGAGTGTCATACTTTTAAAAATTTTTAAATGAATTAAAAGTAACTTTGGACTTGAGGGTTTTTTAAAAGTCCTTGAGAGAATTTGTAGCACTGTTAGAGTGTGATGAAAACCATGGTTGGGAATAACACTGTAGGAAGCAACTGAAAGTAATTTTCATTCTGAATATCCAAGTTTCCATGTCCCACTGCTAGAGCCATATTAAAACTCCAAAGTAATGAAACTCCTCAAAATAATTCTGTAAATTACTGTCTTCAGCAAAATTTCAGTTCCTAAAAGAATGCGGAGCGAGCTCGGCTATTTTTGACTTGTTCTCATGCTCTGTCCCACAGTGTGTAGCTGCGTTTGCTGTATCTGCTGTTGCTTCTCAGTGGGAACGGACTGGAAAACCTTTCAACCCAC
This sequence comes from Homo sapiens, assembly GCF_000001405.40. NCBI lineage: Eukaryota > Metazoa > Chordata > Mammalia > Primates > Hominidae > Homo > Homo sapiens. The sequence continues at coordinate 24,179,765 of NC_000018.10, read as the reverse complement.
TGCTGGGAGAGACTTATGAATTAGTGCGGTGAGGCCTTTCACTTGCATGCTTTATACAGCGTTGCAGATGAAGAGGAGAAATACATACATATTGGTCATCACGAATAACAATTATATAGGACTGGAGCAAGTTAACAATTTTGATGTTTGTTTCTAGGATAGCTATTATTTTAGAGACTGTCAAAAATACTGAAACATATATAAAAGGTACCATTATAAGAAATAATTGCAAAGATTTTTGTATTCCTGATCACATGGGATTAATCACCCTCCTTTTTTCCTTATGTAGATCATGAGACATGATCGAGTTTTGTTTTGTTTTTTTTTTTTACTTTAAGTTTTAGGGTACATGTGCACAATGTGCAGGTTAGTTACATATCTATACATGTGCCATGTTGGTGTGCTGCACCCATTAACTCGTCATTTAACCTCAGGTATATCTCCTAAAAATAATCATTTAAAGTTTATTAGCTGGGTTGTGGTGGCACAGGCCTATAGTCCCAGCTACTTGAGAGGCTGAGGCAGCAGGATCTCTTGAGCCCAGGAGCTCTGGGCTGTAGTGCACTATGCTGGCCAGGTGTCTGCACTAAGTTTGGCATGAATATGGTGACCTCCCAGGAGAGGGAGGTCAGAAATGGACGCAGGTCAAAACTCCTGTGCTGGTCAGTGGTGGGCTTGCACCCATCATTAGCCACTGCGCTCCAGCCTGGGCAACAGTGAGGCCCTCTTATAAAAATATCTCTTTATTAAAAAATATAAATAAAATATATTAGCATAAGTATATATTGTTTGCATGAAGCCAATGACTGCATCTGTAAGTGCAGTTCTGTTTGCTTGAGCTAGCCTGTGTCTTGTTTATATATGATTAAGGGACTTTATTTGGCTTTAGTTTTTCTATGCGTTCCTCCTCTTCTCTGCACAAGTTTTGATCTCATTTATTCCCTAGATGTTTGAAAGTGGACACACTAGATTTCTCTAATGTAAAAGGAATGATGTGTTTTAAATTTACATGACTAATATTTTTTCATGCAAATCATTCAAATTCATCTGGGTGTTCTTTGTTTTAATTTGTTCAAGTAGCTAGCATTACAACATTGGATTTGGTGGTTTGGGTTGCATTTGTATAATTTCTCATATATGAAGTTGTTTCATTGCAATGAGAATAAAGAATTGTTGGCCGGGCATGGTGGCTCATGCCTGTAATCCCAGCACTTTGGGAGGCTGAGGTGGGTTGATCACGAGGTCAGGAGTTCGAAACCAACCTGGCCAACATGATGAAACCCCCGTCTCTACTAAAAATACAAAAATTAGCCAGGTGTGGTGGTGCATGCCTGTAATCCCAATTAGTCGAGAGGCTGAGGGAGGAGAAGTGCTTGAACCTGGGAGGCAGGGGTTGCAGTGAGCCAAGATCACGCCACTGCTCCAGCCTGAGCGACAGAGCAAGATTTTGTCTCAACAACAACAACAAAAGAATTGTTTACTTTGAAAGGGCAATTATGTACATGTTTAATGATAGAGTTAATTATAATGTTGCTTTTTTTTTTCTTTTTTTTTTTTTTTAAATCTTAAGAGATGACCTTGGATTTAGACTCATCTCCGAACAGGTCAGCCATCACCCACCAATCAGTGCATTTCATGCTGAAGGATTAAACAATGACTTCATCTTTCATGGCTCTATCTATCCCAAACTGAAATTCTGGGGGAAGAGTGTAGAAGCAGAACCCAAAGGAACCATCACCTTGGAGCTCCTTGAGTGAGTTCTGATCAAGCCATTACACTCTTTTCATGTAGACCTGCCTGTAAGTGTAGACATGCACACTCAGCTGACCTTACTGTTCAAAAGCTGGAGAAAAAGAAACAGCTTTCATACAGTGCAAACTGTCTACGTCTATGTAAAAGAATTTGAGAAACATGGCAGTAGCCATTGCTAATTAATCTGGGTATGTGTAAATAGTTTAACTTGATTTTTGACTCTGGTGTTTGGATCTATTTTAAGATCGATGGAGTTAATTGCTTCATGACAGTTCTTATGAAACATGCTTTTTTATATCCTTGTGCCAATGTTTTGTTTACAGATCTTTCAAAATGAATTCACTCTGAGAAATAATGAAATGACAATTGTGTGGCACATGTTAGGCGTTAGATAAATTGGGAGTTCTCTTCTTTTGTAAGATTAGCTTTAAATCCACAATTAATTCCAGTTAGGAGAGAATAAGCATACGATACCCTATCTCTTTAACACTGATTACAACTAGATACCCCGGACAGAAGACAAAGCAACAACCCAAAGACTCTGAAAAGTAGATAGTAGCAGGCAGACTGGGGAGAGAAATCAAAACCTGAACACCAATATGGCAGTGAGTTTACTGGTTTTATATATTTCTCCCAAATCTGGCTCAGAATCAGAGCAGCAAATTGCAGAACTGGGGATTAGAGGCCGACCGAAAAAGTTCTGAGAGTAATTCTTTCTTTCTAATTAAAGGACCTAGAAAGATACCCTTGCAGGAAGTAGAGAATAGGGGAAATCCTGTTTTAATTTTGTCTCACAGCCTTGCCCCAAAGCAAGCACTAGGGTCTGTAGCTACACTCCTGCTGCGATGGTGGCTGTGGCAATCACACACGTACCTCAGAGTCCTTCTCTTTGGCCAGAGAAACTGAGTAAAGGAACCCCTGGGGTTCAAAGAGTGTGAGAGAATTCCTGTTACTTGTTTTTCTTTCTTTTCTTTTACCCCTTTGCCCCAGAAGAAGACCTAGTTGTGGGAGATACAAGACAGAGCAGAGAGGCTCAAACCCCAGCTTGCCAGCCGGAGGGGAGAGAAAGCGCCCCCTGGTGTCTAAGAGTGTTGGGGAAACCACAAAGAGGAGGGAGCTCAAGAAAGGGGTCCCCTGAAGCTGCATTATGAGTTCCTACGCTCATCCCTACACACATGCATTGAAATGACCCAGAAGGGTACACAAGGGCCTCAGGATCTGAAATGCTGTGTGGCCTGAGAGCCAGGTCCCTGGATGGCTATTGAGGGGTGGATCTGAGCAGCACTACAGAGGCTTTGAAAATTAAACTGACACTGGAATGAAAGCTCACAGGAGGAGAGTCAGGACTTCTGGCCTGAAACTCTGTTAATTGCCTACTAAAAAAAATTTTTATCAGTATTCTCCAGAAGAGGTTAAGAGGACAGAGTCTTACAATATTCAGGTGTGCAGAATACAATCCAAAATCATTCAGCATACCAAGCAACAGGAAAATCTCAACAAACTAAAATAGAAAAAGACATTTTAGCCAAAAAAAAAAAATAGAAGTATTTTTGGAAATTTTAGTACTAAAAATATAGTAATAGAATATAATAACTGGGATAGGCTCAATGGCAGAATGCAAATGTCAAAATATGTAAAGGATGTGTATGTTGAAAACTACAAGATACTGTTGAAAGTAATCAAGAATTACCTCAGTAATGCAGAGACACACTGTCTCGATATATTTGGAAGCCTCAATTATAGTTAAGATGTCAGTTCACCCCTCACTGATCTATAAGCAGTCTGTATGAGCACAGTCCAAATCAAAATCCCAAGATGATTTTTAATAGATACAGAGAAGTTGATTCTAACTTACGAATTCTAAGTTTGTATGGAAAGGCAAATGACAGAACAGCCAAAATAATTTTGAAAAGGAAGAACAGAATTGATGGACTCCCACTACCCAATTTTAAGGCTTAATGCTAAAGCTGTTGTAATCAAGACAGTGTGGTGGTGGCCAAACTATAGACAAAGTATAGATTAATGCGACGGGGAAGGGAATCCAGAAATTGACCCGCAGAAATGTGGTCAGTTGATTTTTGACAAAGCTGCAAAGGCAATACAGCTAAGAAGAATAGTCCTTTCCACAGACAACCATCTGTGCTATGGAGACAGTTGGACATCTATATGTTAAAAAATGAACCTCAAACTAGACCTCACGCCTTTTACAAAAATCAGCTCAAAATAGATCATTTACGTAAAATGTAAAACTAAGGGTTTTGGAAGAAAACATAGGAGAAACTCTTACAACTTTGGATTAGGCAAAGAACTCTTATGGATATGATACCAAAATTATAACCCATAAAAGACAAAAAGTGATAAATTAGATGTTATTAAATTAAAAACCTTATATCGAAAGATACTGTTCAGAGAATGAAAAGATAAACTATAGAATAGTAAAAATTATTTGCAAATCATATAGCCAACAAAGGACTTGTAGCCACAATATATAAAGAATTCTTAAAACTCAACAGTAAGAAATGATAAGGTCAGGCGCAGTGACTCATGCCTGTAATCCCAGCACTTTGGGAGGCTGAAGTGGGAGGATCACTTGAGCCCAGGAGTTAGAGACCAGCCTGGGCAACATAGTGGGATCCTTGTCTCTAGTAAAAGATTTTAAAAATAGCCAGGTTTGGTGACATGCACCTATAGTCCCAGTTGCTTGGGAGGCTCAGGTGGGAGGATCTCTCAAGCCCAGGAGTTCGAGGCTGCAGTGAGCCATGATTGCGCCATTGTATTCCAGCCTGGGCAACAGAGTGAAACCCTGTCTCTGGAACAACAACAACAAAAAAGAACAATAAAAAATGAATAGATACTTCATATATATATATATATGTGTATATATATATATATATATATATATATACATACACATGGCAAATAAGCACATGAAGTCAGCTGATTGCAGTGGCTCACACCTATAATTCCAGTTACTTAGGAGGCTGAGGCAGGAGGATTGCTTGAGGCCAAGAGTTCAAGACCAGCCTAGGCAACATAGTGAAAATCCGTCTCTAAAAAAATAAAGTAAAATAAATTTAGCCAGGCATGGGGACACATGCCTGTAGTCATAGCTACTAGGGAAGCTAAGGCAGGAGGGTCACTTGAGCCGAGGAGTTCGAGGCTGCAGTGAGCTATGATCCACCACTGCACTCCATCCTAGGTAGTAGAATAAGACCTCATCTCTAAAAAAAAATAAATAAAAATTTAAAAAGATGTTCAACAGCATCAGTTATTAGAGAACTGCAGAGTTAAAACCACAATGAGCTATCCTATTTATACCTATTACAATTTATATTTATACCTATTACAATGTCTAAAATCAAAATAATTGTAAACATTGACAATACCAAGTGCTGACAAGGATGTGGAGGAGCTAGAAATCTCATACAGGTTGAGTATCCGTTTTTTAAAATATACCAAAAGTGTTTTGGATTTTGAATATTTTCAGATTTTGTAATATTTGCAATATACCTACTGGTTTAGCATCTCAAATCCAAAATTCCAAAATCTGAAATACTCCAGTGACCATTTCCTTTGAGTGTCATGTCAGTGCTCAAAAAGTTTCAGACTTTGGAGCATTTCAGATGTCCAAGTTTTGAATTTGGAATGCTCAACCTGTGTATTGTTGGTGTTGGAATGTAAAATGGTAGAGCCACCCTGGAGAACAGTTTGGCAGTTTCTCATCCAGTTAACCTTATGTTTACCACATGACTCAGCAATATCACACCTAGGTATTTGCCTTAGAGAAATGGAAACTTACGTTCATCCCAAAACCTGTATACAAATGTTTACAGTAGCATTATTCATCATCACCAAAAACTGAAAACAGCCCACATGCCCTTCAGTGGGTGAATGGTCACACAAACTGTGGCATATCCATACAGCGGAATCCTACTCAGCACAAAGACTGATACGTAGAACAACACAGATGAATTTCAGGTGCATTATACAAATTGAAGATGCTAATCTCAAAAGGTAATCTACATTTATATGACGTCTGGAAAAGGAAAAACTATTGCAATGGAGAACAGATCAGTTGTTGGGGATAAGGAGTGAGTTGGAGATCCAGGGATTAGGAGTGGAGAAAGGTTTGACTACCAGGAGAAGTATGAACAAAGTGTTTGTGGGTGGAGGAGTTGTTTAGGATCCTGATTGTGTTGGTGGTGGTTACACAGATCTGTGCAAGCATAAACCTGAGTACCAACAAAAATGAATTTTACCTTATGTAAATTAAAAGACACATATCTAAGGACAAATATATGAAGGTGCAGCGGTGGCTCACGCCTGTAATCCCAGCACTTTGGGAGGCCAAGGCGGGTGGATCACCTGAGGTCAGGAGTTCGAGACCAGCCTGGCCAATATGGCAAAAACCCATCTCTACTAAAAATACAAAAATTAGCCGGGCATGGTGGCACGTGCCTGTAGTCCCAGCTCCTCGGGAGGCTGAGGCCCGAGAATCACTTGAACCCGGGAGGTGAAGGTTGCAATGAGCCGAGATCACGCCACTGCATTCCAGCCTGGGTGACACAGCGAGACTCTGTCTCAAAAAAAATAAAAAGTAAAATAAAACTTTTTTTTTAACTTTTATTTTAGGTTTGGGGGTACATGTGCAGGTTTGTTCTGTTGGTAAACTGTTGTCATGCGGGTTTGTTTCGTCACCCAGGTACTAAGCGTAGTACCCAATACTTATTTTTTCTGATCCTCTCCCTCCTCCAAACCTCCATCCTGAGGTAGGCCCCAGTGTCTATTCATCCCTTCTTTGTGTTCATGAGTTCACATCATTCAGCTCCCACTTATAAATGAGAACATGTGGTATTTGGTTTTCTGTTCCTGCGTTAGTTTGCTAAGAATAATGGACTCCAGCTCCTCCATATTCCCAGAAAAGACATGATCTTGTTCTTTTTTATGGCTTCATAGTATTCCATGGTGTATGTGTGCCACGTTTGCTTTATCCAATCTATCATTGATGGGCATTTAGGTTGATTCCATGTCTTTGCTGTTGTGAACAGTGCTGCAGTGAACATTCCCGTGCATGTATCTTTATGGTAGAATGATTTCTATTCCTCTGGATATATAGGATTATAAAATCAGAGTTTATTCACATAGATGAGTTTTTTTCCTTTGGTGAGCTGGAGGGTACTTTCTCTAGAAAGTGCTAAATAGACTTTTTATTTTGTGTCTCTACTTTAGCTTTTTTTAATGTTTCATGACACTTTTGAATGCTTAAAATGATTATGTACGTAGTTTATTTGGAGTTTGGTGGAAGTATAGAATTTTTTCTTAAGCTGTTACTCCCTTTTAAGAAACAAGAATGGGCAAATGATCCCAATTTTATGGTGAGTTAACATCAATAGAATTTTTAAAGGCTTAGAACGTAGTTATCTCAAGCAGCCTGGTTTGTTATTCTGAGTAATGGCATTTGGAACAAGTGTACTTTTTAAACAAAGTGATACCTCTCACTTATGCTTCTGGGTTTGGTTTTGTTTTTTAGACACAATGAGGCATATACATGGACAAATCCCACCTGCTGTGTGCATAATATCATTGTGGGTAAACTGTGGATCGAACAGTATGGCAATGTGGAAATTATAAACCACAAGTAAGGCACCTTGGGTACTTCGTCCATTCCTTCAGTTTTCATCAAGCAGTTTTAGTGGACATCAGTTTTTTTGTTTTGTTTGTTTTTAAAGAAAAGCTCTAGAACAGGCTGATGAAAATTTAAGAATCATGCAATATATCTGGGCGCGGTGGCTCACGCCTGTAATCCTAGCACTTTGGGAGGCCGAGGCGGGTGGATCACGAGGTCAGGAGTTCGAGACCAGCCTGGCCAAGATGGTGAAACCCCGTCTCTACTAAAAATACAAAAATTAGCCGGGCACGGTGGCGGGTGCCTGTAATCCCAGCTACTCAGGAGGCTGAGGCAGGAGAATTGCTTGAACCCAGGAGGCGGAGGTTGCAGTGAGCCGAGATAGCGCCACTGCACTTTAGCCTGGATGACAGAGCAAGACTCCATCTCAAAAAAAAAAAAAAAGGATCAGGCAATATAACTAACTCTTGAATGACTAGAAGCCCATTTATTTAATAAAGAGGGTTCATTAAAGTCTCTGATTAAGGAAGACTGGGTGAACCCAGCTTACCCAGCTTCTGTGAACCTTAATTCCAATCTCAGCTCATTTTGCTTCCTTTGTTTAGTGGGGGCCAGGGAGACAGGGCATAGGAGTTACTAGAAAGAGCTGGGCTCCCATTCTACTTTGTGACCTTAGGCAAGTCATGTATTCTTTCTGCCCCTCACATACCTTTTCTTTATGGTGGGAAGATTACCAATTGAGGATTAATCATTATCACTTTAGTATGGAGCCTGGCACACAGAGAAAATCCATAAACAGTAGCTGCTGCTAGAAAAGTGATCACAGTTATTTTTCTCTACTGCTGCTTTGCTAATAAATGATAATCTGAACTTAGTATTTTCTTTATAGGACTGGGGACAAATGTGTGTTGAATTTTAAGCCATGTGGCCTTTTTGGTAAGGAATTACACAAAGTTGAAGGCTACATTCAAGATAAAAGGTAAAATTTCTCTTTTAAATGTTGAATAGTATAGATTTTGTTCACTAGATAAAATGTCGGTATTAAAATACATTGTCGGCTGGGCACAGTGGCTCACACCTATAATCCCAGCACTTTGGGAGGCTGAGGTGGGCAGATCACGAGGTCAGGTTCAAGACCAGCCTGGCCAACATAGTAAAACCCCATCTCTACTAAAAATACAAAAAAATTAGCCAGGCATGGTGGTGGACACCTGTAATCCCAGCCATTGGGAGGCTGAGGCAGGAGAATTGCTTGAACCTGGGAGGCGGAGGTTGCAGTGAGCCGAGATCGCACCACCACACTCCAGCCCAGGTGACAGCGAGACTCCATCTAAAAAAAAAAAAACAAAAAAAATTGCCATAACCTAGGAAACAAGCATTCTAATAAGTTGAAGAATCTTTCTTCTACAAGGAAGTTTATTTCATTAAAGAACCTGATTTGGTTGAGCACAGTGGCTCACGCCTGTATTCCCAGCACTTTGGGAGGCTGAGTGGGGAGGATTGCTTGCAGCCAGTTCGAGACCAGCCTGGATAACATAGTGAGATCCTGTCTCTACAAAAAAACTTCTTTTTAATTAGGCAGGCGTAGTGGCGCATGCCTGTGTACCCAGTTACTCTGGAGGCTGAGGTGGGAGGAACCCTTGAGCCCAGGAGGTTGAGGCTACAGTGAGCCATGATTATACCTCTGTACTCCAGCCTGAGTAACAGAGTGAGACTCTGTGAGTCGTACACACCTTTATAGTAATATTCAATTGCAGCAAAACAGTCTATGGCGATGCCACCCTGAACACGCCTGATCTCATCTGCTCTTGGAAGCTAAGCAGGGTCAGGCCTGGTTAGTACTCGGATGGGAGACCGCCTGGGAATACCAGGTGCTGTCGGCTTTAAAAAAACAAACACTGGTTTGTTAACTAAACATCAGTTTTTCTTGACAGCAAAAAGAAGCTCTGTGCCCTCTATGGGAAGTGGACTGAATGTTTATACAGTGTTGACCCTGCCACGTTTGACGCTTACAAAAAAAATGATAAGAAAAATACAGAAGAGAAGAAGAACAGCAAACAGGTGAACATCCTGTAAGGTGGTATCGAAGGAATAACTGGATTCTTCAATGTGTACTAATCCTTTTGGAGGTGGCCTGTTCTAGGGTCACAGTTTAACTTTCTTCTTCCTTGTTGCTAATGCATGTCACTTTTCTCTTTTTAATGATCAGACATTTGCTTTAACAAGTACTCGGCATAGCCTTGTATAGGATGTGGACACCTATCAGTTTTTTAACTGTGGAGCAGTTATATGTGGAGCTTTGCTTTAATTCACATAGCTTTGGAATGTTGGAGTTCATCTTAATGAAACATTTTCTTTTCCTCCTGTTTATGTGCATTGAAAGTTGAAATTGTTGAAGATTTAAAATTTCCTCCAAAAGTCTCTCTGACATTTTCATGCTTATCATCAGTTTTGTTGCCTTGTTCCTTATCGTGAAATTACCGAAGTTAAGATGGTCGTAGTTAAAGGAGTCATCCCTGGGCTGCTTTCCTCTTACTAAACTTTCTTCTTTGTGGGATAGTTAAATCCCAGTAGGGGAGGCACATACGTGGCTTCTTGTCGCGTGGTCCCAAACAGGCTCCAGTGGTTAGCAAACTCCTGCCCCTTCCCTCCTGGCATAAATGCTCGAGGACTGCACCTCTTTGGACAGGAAATATTTGAGGACGGATTCCTTTCCAGTAACCAAGACAATGGTTCCGAGCACAAACTCTGGGTTAGAATCTTAGCCCCACCGGTGATGAGCAGTACAAGCCGAGATTTCTCATCTCTCTGCCTCACTGCCTCCATTTGTAACACGGGCACTATAATAGCACCTACTTGTTAAATGAGTTAACAAACATAATGGGCTCAGAATAGTATCTGCTCATAGTAAAGACTGATAAAGTCATTTCTGCCAAAAGTACTTCCTCGGACTGGCATCTTGAGCATCATCTGCGAGCTCATTAGAAATGCAGGCGGCCCAGCTTCACCTCAGACCTACCGAAGACCAGTCTCTGGGGCTCTTTAGCGTTTCTTATGCATGTGAAAGTTCAGGAAGCCCTAAGATCCCTCAAAAGCAGAAGGTGTATTTATGAGTGACTTTCTTTGTAGACGGAGTTAGCCTTGCTCCCAAAGTGAAAAGAGGTTTATTAAACGGCCGGAGCATTCTGCTTTCCTGTGGCTGGGACTGTTTCTTTCTTTCTTTGTTTCCCTTTAGCTGTGTGTGCACAGTTCTGCTTCCCTCTTTATATCCCATGTTCCTGCCCACGGGAACTGTGCACCAACTGTGCTCTACAGCCAGCAGGAAACTGATGGGGCTGAGAAGGGCATGTCCAGGATTCTGGGACCCCCGGCACAAACTCCTTGGCGGCAGCTCCTGCTAATAGGAGGCACCTTGACAAAGACGATCTCCCCAACATGCTTGCCTTCCAACCTCTTCACAGAGTGCGGATGGCTGAGAATGTTGCTGAAATTCCAGAGAACATTCCTTATATTCCCTAAATTCCCAGTCAGTCTGTGAAAAGTATTTTTTTTTCCCATTGGAGAGAGCAGGTATTCTCACACATCCACTGCTTTTCTGGTCTCTCTCATTCCTGTGTTCCTGTCATCTGCCTACCATGGATTTCTGACGTTCCTGAACACAGACGCTGCGGGAAGTTTGTGTCATTAGCGTTGTCACCTCTGTGCTATTTTGTAAACTGTATATTCACTGAATGTGTCTCAGCCAGTAGTTCTAGATTTGTTCACTGTGTGATGCTGGGACTATGACTTACCCTTCCAAAGCCTTCATTCCATATGTCTAAAAAGCGGTCGTGACCTCTCCTCGAGGGATTGCTGCATAAAGACTGCATACATACAGCACTAGCATAGCTGGGCCGCGGAGAGGGGAGCCCGAGGAAATGCTGGCTCCCTGTATTTCATCTAATGAAAAATTCTCTTTTCATCAGATGCATTCAGGATCCCTCCTGGTTTTGTGGCATCGATACATTTAGTTGACTTCCCCAAGAATGTAACCTTTTGTTGTTCTCAGATTGTTCCTCTCTGGTGTGTGAGCTCCACGAAAGTCAGGTAGTGATGGTGCTTCTCTAGCACCCCAGTTGCTGGGCCTCCAGTAGTTCCTTAGTAGATACTCAAATGATGCTTTGGGAGGCTGAGGCAGGAGGATTGCTTGAACCCAGGAGTTTGAGGTTACAGTGAGCTGTGATTGCACCACTGTACTTCAGCCTGGGCAACAGAGCAAGACCCTATCTCAAAAATATTAAAAATAAATACTCAAATGAATTATTTTGTCTTTAAGAAGGAAACAGCCTTAAAAACATAAAACCCTATAGGAACGAGTGATGATGATAATGACTTAAATGTGGATAACACTAAGTGGCACAACACACGAAGCTTGTGAGACTCTTAGCACCCACTCGGGCATTCAGCAGGTATCCGTTGGCTTCCCACACTGTGTTCAAAGTAAGGATATAAGAATTAGAAAGTCACAGTGTCCCTGCCCTCATGTAGTTTACATTCTAGTGGTGTGCAATAAACGATGATTTACAATTTGTAAGTGTATATGTATTTTCCTAAGGACAGGGATATGTTCTAAGAAATCATTAGGTGATTTCATCATTGCGCGAACCTCATACAGTGTACTTACACAAACTAAGATCGTGTATGTATTTTTATGTATATCTCTTTTTTCATGTGGAAAGCCAAAAGTCCTAACACCGTTACTGAGTATCGGTCATTTCCCTTACTTGATCCACAGTGCCAATATCAAATGCCATATAGCAGATTTCTATACATGCTCCGCTATAACCTTAGGGGACTGCCATCATATTTACAGTCTGTTGTTGACTGAAAATGTCATTATGTGGTGCTTGACTGTATCTTAAAACTTTCTACTTAAATTTTGTTCATTGATTGGTTTTTCTAGATGAGCACCTCTGAGGAGTTGGATGAAATGCCAGTGCCGGATTCTGAAAGTGTATTCATTATCCCTGGAAGCGTTCTTCTATGGCGAATAGCCCCACGGCCTCCAAATTCTGCCCAGGTGAGACTGGGCTTGCTGGCTGTGGCCTCACTGTCTGTGTTTAGCATTGTGGCGCTCTTTCCTGGCACGTGTAGGGTCGGCCCAGGCAGCATGGAGACAGGCAGGTTGGCATCCTGAGCCCCCACTGGCTCCCGGGTGCTCCCTTCTTGCCTGAGCTCAGCGCGTCGTAAGTGCATCATGCTGTCCATCCCTCTGGCATCTGGCTGGGAGGATGTGTTGGGTTAGGACTTCACTGGGGCTTCTTTAGTAGCTACTTAGCGGTAAAACTGGTCCTTATTAAATATAAGCTGGTGCAGCCTAGTCAGTACCAGCCCTCCAGACCCAGCAAGGAATGATTTTAATGAAGATAAAAGAATGTTGATTTTTGCTTAGAGTTCTATTTAAAGTTGATCATGATAGAGGATATTTATTCTGCAAAGCCTGCTTTGAGATTTTTTTGAGAGATACCCACAGATGGTGCAGATTTTGGTGAAAACATTTAGATACGTGTGATCTGAGAAAGACTGACCATTGTTACCATGAAAGGGAGGGGGTCATTGTCAAGTCAACCCTCTTCTACTTTCAGGATGTTTCATTTTGCATTATGCCTTGGCATATTTTAATTTCTTCCTTTTGCTTCTTTTCAGATGTATAATTTTACTAGTTTTGCAATGGTTTTGAATGAAGTAGACAAAGACATGGAGAGTGTGATTCCCAAGACAGACTGCAGGTTACGGCCTGACATCAGAGCCATGGAAAATGGAGAGATAGGTAACTAGCATCCGCCAAAGCCACCAGTGAAGACTCATTTCTCGGGGGATGATGCTTTGTTTATTCCTGGTGATTGTTAGCATCATTGGGGTACTAGCGTTTTTAGTCTCTCTTAGAGATTAAGTTTGAGTTAACATTCAATTTAAATTCAGTAACTTTTATTTTAAATTTGGAAATCTGCGCAGACCTTATTAGCTCATATTATTGTGGTAATACTCCCCTGAGAATTTAATATACTGGAGATGGCCAGAGGCATATTCCGACTAATAAAGTCACTGTCTACTTCAGAATTTACATAGCACCTTGTCAGCCTCAGAGGAGAGTGTGGCCTCCCCTTGGTTAAGTATAACTTACATGTTTTTGTGTGTTGGTATAAGTAGGTGTATATACTTATGTAGTATGTGGGATATTTTGATACAGGCATGTAATATGTAATAATCACATCAGGGTAAATGGGGTATTACAACATTTTTTTCTTTTTTTATACAGAGTCTTGCTCTGTCTCCCAGGCTGGAGTGCAGTGGCGCAATCTCGGCTCACTGCAACCTCCACCTCCTGGGTTCGAGCTATTCTTGTGCCTCAGTCTCCTGAGTAACTGGGACTACAGGCACGTGCCACCACACCCGGCTAATTTTTGTATTTTTCGTGGAAATGGGGTTTCACCCTGTTGGCCAGGTTGGTCTTGGACCTTCTGACCTCAGGTGATCCGCCCACCTCAGACTCCCAAAGTGCTGGGATTACAGGCTGAGCCACTGTACCCAGCCCATTTTTATCTTATAGTGTTAAATTTCTTCCAACTCAGTGGTTCTCAAAAGGGGGGCATTTTTCCCCCCAAGGAGACATGTAGCAAAGTCTGAAGACTTTGGTTGTCACTTTTTAGGAGGGACTGCTGGCGTCTGCAGGCCATGGATGCTGCTAATCATCCTCTCCCACACTAGGCAGCCTCTTATGATAGAGCCAGCACATCTAACATGTTATAGTGCCACAGTGGAGAAAAAGTGAGACACAGCAACAGTATTTTGGAAGACAGTTTAAATTCCTTAAGAATGGCATCTGAAGAAGCTCCGTGAGGTCTCCTAAGAATTCAGAATAATTTCACATTTATTTAGTTTTTGCACCCAAGTTTTCATTGAAGAATTTTAACACAGTTGTTTTGGCCTTAAGAATAAACACGTTGTTCTTGGCCAGGTTGTTAAGAGCATAGGCTGTGAAAGAGATGCTGCGTCTGTGATACCAGCTCTGCCTCTTACTAGCCCAGGTATCTGTTAAAATTTTTGCTTGATATTTGATTCTGGTATTTGTGTTCTAATAAAAGGGAGATAACATGTAGATATGGTTCTTTTGTGAAGTTCTTGTGCTTAATACTGTGCCTGGCATCCTCTGTGTAGAGTGTTAATGGTTTGTGTTGATGTTCTTATTTTAGATCAAGCTAGTGAAGAAAAAAAACGACTTGAGGAAAAACAAAGAGCAGCCCGCAAAAACAGGTCCAAGTCAGAAGAGGACTGGAAGACGAGGTGCGTGCCTGAGTCAGGGGGTGTGGCTGAGCCCTCAGGCAGGCTGCTGTGTGCAGACGAGGCAGGGATGCCAGACACTGTGACCCCAGAGCAAGGGCCTATCTAACACAAACCCTGCCGAGTTGTCCCAGGCCTGAAAAAAAGTTATTTCCACTGACTTTTATCCATTCATCCATTGATGGACACAGGTTGATTCCGTATCTTTGTTATTGTGAATTGTGCTGTCATAAACGTGGGGATGCAGGTATCCCTTTGATACATTGACTTCCTTTCCTTTGGATACCCAGTAGTGGGAGTGCCGGATCCTATGGTAGTTAAGTTTTTTTAAGAAATCTCTGGCGGGGTGCAGTGGCTCACGTCTGTAATCCCAGCACTTTGGGAGGCCGAGGCGGGCGGATCATGAGGTCAGGAGATCCAGACCATCCTGGCTAACATGGTGAAACCCCGTCTCTACTAAAAATACAAAAAATTAGCTGGGCGTGGTGGCGGGCGCCTGTAGTCCCAGATATTCAGGAGGCTGAGGCAGGAGAATGGCGTGAACCCGGGAGGCAGAGCTTGCAGTGAGCTGAGATTGCGCCACTGCACTCCAGCCTGGGCGACAGAGCGAGACTCCGTCTCAAAAAAAAAAAAAAAAAAAAAAAAAACCAAAAATCTCCATACTGTTTTCCATAATGGCTGTACTAATTTATATTTTCACTACGAGTGTATGAGCTTGCTTTTTTTGCATCCTTGCCAGCATGTTTTTCTTTTTAATAATTGCCATCCTAACTGGTGTAAGACGATAATCTTGTGGGTTTTATTCACGTTTCCCTCATAATTAGTGATGTTGAACATTTTCTCGTATCCTGTTGCCTATTTGTATGTCTTCAGAAATGTCTATTCATGTCTTTTGGATTATGTGTAGCATGGTGTATTAGAAAAATCATGGTCTTTAACCTTAAACCTAAATTTGCCATCAGTTACTAGGTTGGGCAAGTTATTTAACTGCTTGGACATTCAGCTTCTCATCTGTAAAATGGAAGTTTAAGAGTTTGAGGCCAGGTGCGGTGGCTCACACCTGTAATCCCAGCACTTTGGGAGGCCGAGGTGGGCAGATCATGAGGTCAGGAGTTCGAGACCAGCCTGACCAACATGGAGAAACCCTGTCTCTACTAAAAATACAAAATTAGCTGGGTGTGGTGGTGCATGCCTGTAATCCCAGCTACTCGGGAGGCTGAGGCAGGAGAATCGCTTTCACCCGGGAGGCAGAGGTTGCAGTGAGCTGAGAGTGCACCATCGCACTCCAGCCTGGGCAACAAGAGCAAAACTGCTTCTCAAAGAAAAAAAAAAAAAGGAGTTTGAAGGGCATTTACACTGAACCAGGTGCCTTACATACTGCTGTGGGTATGCTGTAAATGTTAATTTCCTTATCCTAATTTATTCCCAACTACTTAAAAAAATGCCTTGTGGAAAATAAGACCCAGGCTAGAGGGTAAACCCGTTAGACAAATACATTGTTTCGAGCCAACCTATTAGAAGACCCTGCTTCTGTCAAGTAGCTTGCTAGATCCTGGTGGGAAATCCATATGCCTTTTGCATGGTATCATTACCCCTTTTGGAATATTATTCCACAGACCTGTTCCCTACCTAAGCAGAAATACAGCATCACTTCAGCATCTCTTTAGAACTATCCCTCACTCACAGAATGAGTTGCTGCAATAGAATAATACTGCAAACTAGTGAAGAAACAGCCTGTGATTTTCCATAGTTTCCCCTGTAAGTCTTGTCCTTTTTCTTTTAACAGGTGGTTCCATCAAGGTCCTAATCCCTACAATGGAGCACAGGACTGGATTTACTCTGGCAGCTACTGGGACAGAAATTACTTCAATTTGCCTGACATTTATTAAAATGCATACAAGTCAGGGTGTTTGGCTAATCTACAAATAAGTCTTAAACCTATGTTTTTAAATTTTTTTCCCTTGGTTTCTACTTATCTTTTAAAAAAAAAAATGAAAAAACACTCATGAGATAACTGCATTTCACCCAACAAAAGCAGGGTATAAGGCGATATTGGTGATGAAAGTCTTAGGAAAAATGCATAATTTTGCTATAAAATGTACTTATTTGGAATACTATTTTATATAGAGGTAAGAGAACACTGCTGGGGAATATGCTTTTTATGGTTGCTGTTGCCATATTTACTGAAGGTTTATACCTAAATGTAACTTTAGCTTTATGGAACTATATAGTAATCCCAAATCAAGTTATTTTGAATATTTTTATGCTGTCATGCTTGAATGTTTTAGATGTAACCTTTGACATATTTAGAACTCTCCTCCTATACAATGTTTATTCTCAGATATAGAGGTTATGTCATTTTATAAAGACTTCATTGATAAGATGGCTTTTATTCATACTAATCCTCCCAATGTTACCCCTTCCATCTTCCAAGAAGAAAAAAAATGCCTGAATATTCAGAATAGATATTTCTGATTTGAAAATTCTAAAGAATTAAACTGGAAAAGTATTTCATTTACTTAGTGCTCTGAATTTACTTTTACAGTTTTCTGCAGTCAGTATCATTAAAATGGTTAAGTTTACATTTGAACTGAAAATATGTATAAAATCTAGCAATTCACAAAAATGCCCTAGAAATATAGATTTTAATCACCATTACATAATGACAAACCTTGTTAAATGCTTCCACTTCCAGTGGCAAATGCCACTAGGGAAAGTAAGTTGCACTCATGTAAGTATCAAACTATATAAAAGGAGGCCTTGTGCATTTCAAGTTTGCAAAGTACCTGTGTACTTAAAATATGTGTGGAGACCTACTGTACAGTAGTTTTGCCCCTTTAATTGGGGCACATTCATCTTAAATCTTATAGTATTTATCCACCCAAACCCCAGACTGAGATACTGCTCCCAGGGGCCTAGGTAGCTGCCAGTCCGTGATTTTAATTGCTGTCTTGAAGTTAACAAGTGTTATAATGAAATAATCTACCTGATGCTAAATAAAGGCTTTAGAATGTTCCCCAAAAGTGTGGTTTCTTTTAAAATTTCAAATATACTAATGTTGCCACTTAATACTATCCTAAATTGTTAGACGTGTCCTACGAAAGAAGTCCTTGTGGTACCATAGCTCCCAGGGTCAAGGAGATGATAACCAGTTACCTGGCATGCATAGTGGTAAGTAGGCATTTATCTATCCAGAGATTAACTGAATGCTAGATAGATACAGCATAGAGAGGTGCTACCGTATTCATTCGGTGTGAATCTCAAATGCAGAATCAAGTGGAACTACCTGGTTAGAAAATTTGTTACTAGATCTGTTAGAGTGGGAATAGTTTAAAAAAGTATACACATAGGAGTTGGAAAATGCTATTGCTTTATAAGTCTGAAAAGATAGATGATTGATAGGCCTTTTGTGTTTGGTTGGTTGGTTGTAGTCCTCCTAAATTACAAAAAAAAGCAATACAAAATTGTATGCTTGCATGAAGTTTATTGATACATTACACTGGTGGCAGACTCCTCCCTGAAATGTTGACCCAGACAGCGTCATTTCTGGATCTGTTAGGAATAATGCAAACATTGAATTGTTTAAAGTTAAACATGAAACCGAACATGTGAAATGAGCAGAAGATTAGAAATGCAAGGTCTACCCTCCTGCTCTGTTACTAAGCTTAACTAGTTACCTATGGGCTTTTGCACTGAAATATCCCAGCAATTTCATGCTGAAAACAGCCATTTTGGCAATTCCACCAGAAGTCCATAAAGAGGTTGAAGAAGTACATGTAGCCCTAAGATAAGATAATTTTGTCTTTCCTTAAATATAGTAACTGGTCCTTGAGCCTGCTTATGAATGAAATCTAGCTTTTGTCGATCTCTCAGATGCTCAACTTAAAATTCCCACTAATTATTTTAAGTAACTAATTGGTGTATAACACTTCTGTACTTTCAACTCATCTCCCTACTTCCTCTGTTGACCTCCCCCTTACTGCTAATCTGTTTTCCACATAGCAGCCTGAGTGATCTAATAAAAACAGCAATCAGTCATTCTTCTGCTTAAAACACTTGTGCTGGCTTCCCATTGAACTTTTCAATCAAAATCTTTCTTCATTTTATATAATCTCCCCATTTCCCCCCAGCCAGTCTCACTGTGGCCTACTTCGCTGTCTCTGGAACCCCCGTGTTCTTTTCTGCCCTAGGACACAGCCTGGGCGCACCCTGCAAAGCTGGCTTCTTCTCATACTCAGGTGTCAGTTTACATCTGAGCCTGAACACCCTACCTAATAGTGACAATTAAAGGTAGGCCTGTGTCAGCACCCTGTTTTCTCCATAATACTTTACATGTTGTAATACACTTTTTTGTCTGTCTCCCCAACTAAGATGTAGGTCCCATGTTTTTGCTCACGCTACTGTCCACACATAGGGGAGGAGGGCTAGCATAAGGTTTGGCATTAAGTATGAATGAAAAATTAAAAAATGATTTGTGAGTGATCAAACTGTCTCATCCACAGTTAATCTCAGCTGTTGTTTAGCTCTTTACTCTGCCTCTCACCTCTCCATCTACTGCCTCTTACCACGTGGATTAAGTGTTCTGTTACATAATCAAGACTTTCTCTCTTACCTTGCTCTTCAGTTGTTCCCAGCTCCTCCCTACTCCCTAAACATGCCAACTAAATTGTCCTGTTTTAAAAATCCATCCCCTTTTCGCATCTACCACTGTGTTTGTTAGACAATGGACTAGGTATTCAAAGGTGACTGAGTTCATTAGTTTCATGTATCGGGCATCAAATCCTTGGCATGAGTCATTGTGGTACAGTGCACCTGCTGTGCATTTATTAGTAACTGGTGTTTAGGAAGTTGGAGACAGTAACCCCAGGAAGTTAGAGTATACCCCAACTTATTATCTCAAATTGTTTTTAAATATCTAAATCTCCAGGTCAAGAAATCAAAATGCTTAAAACGCGCGTGTGTTAAGGCCTAAATATTATGGTAGGAAAGTGTACCTACCAGTTTTCAGTTTCTGCTTTGCGACGTTTGTGAGCAGTAGTCACGGTTACCTCCCCAGCAATACCGTAACTTCCAAAGGGAGCACATTTGTCACCAGATCCTGAACTTTTTTTAGCTACATCTTCTACTGGGAAAGCAACAGAAAGGAAAACAGGGCTTTTTGGCCTGGGGACATCTTGTCCACTTGGAGGATTAGCATTCTGGGGACTTAGGGTATGTTTCTGGTATTTCTCATCTGCAGGAACAGCAATGGGCACTTGCATTGCAACATATCTCAAGACATCTGACTGTGAAACGACAGCATGTCCAGGAAGAGGTTTCCATCCCTGTGCTTCCTGAACATTTGAGCCTACTAAGATAAAAGGTGGGGCACTGGTCTTCTTGGTGTCGCCCATCACATAAGTTGGAAAAGTGACTTTTGGTGGATGCTGCTGAAACTGTGGATCCTTAGGATTAGGTAAATAGAGGGTTGCTTGGGGAAAAGGCCCAGGTGCAGGTGGCGGTGATGGGTGACCTTGTTGATTCTTATCAGTTAGACAATAAAGGGTCCACATGTTAGAACATGGTGGTGGTTGTCCTCGTTCACTTGTTGCCATTGCTATAAAAAAAAATTTTGCAGGAATTAAAGTTTTGGTCTCTGTATCAGGCACTATGCATAGTAATGTCTTTGTAAGTCTCTTTTACATATAAAACAGCTGTAGTGATATGTACCGTAGAGCATGCTATAGAGAGGGCTGCATAATCGTGTTTGACAGGTGAAAGAGATTCTCTACAGTTGAAAAAGGAGAACAGTGTTGTGGTGGCAAGTGGCAGGGACACTACAGTTGTGGCTGAAGAAGCAATCTTATTCTAAGTTGCAGTTTCCAGCTACTTCAACTTTAGACGTGGCTTCTATAGGCTCCTCGCAGACGAAACTGGTCAACACAACCTTTAGCTTTACCCAAAAGTCAATTGAAGAGTGTGTTAAGCCATTAAAGGAAGCGTTAGTGCATCTGCATAGTGTTTATTTCCTAAAGAAGTTAGCACTAGGTGTCATCTTCACATAATCAAAATCTCTCTGGCCCTTCAGAGGCACCATTATCTCCCATTAATTTGTTACCACACATAAAACGTCACATAATCTAGGATTGAGAACCCCAGAGAGCACCCCTTTTAGGCAAGACTTGAAATCATAGATCCTAGGTGGCAGTAAAAGGCTGGCTGGTCCCACAGGGATTCTTTGGGTTGAGAAAAAGAGGTTTAGGAGTGCCATCTATAATGCAAGTGTGACCTGCCTCTTGAAGACAGTACTGTCTTGGGAGAACCAAGTCCCAGAAGATGGGCCCTCGGACAAAAGGTTCCCAATAGAGGAGTTTCACTTTGCCCAAATGTGCCGAGTTTACCTTTTGAACGCTGGGCCATCTATCCCCGGTGCAGCCTTTTTTCTTCCCCTGAAAAGAAAATAACACTACGGGCCGGGCGCAGTGGCTCACGCCTGTAATCCCAGCACTTTGGGAGGCCGAGGAGGGTGGATCACCTGAGGTCGGGAGTTCGAGACCAGCCTGACCAACATGGAGAAACTCCATCTCTACTAAAAATACAAAATTAGCCGGGCATGGTGGCGCATGCCTGTAATCCCAGCTACTCGGAAGGCTGAGGCAGGAGAATCACTTGAACCCAGGAGGCGGAGGTTGTGGTGAGCCAAGATCACGCCACTGCACTCCAGCCTGGGCAACAAGAGCAAAACTCCGTCTCAAAAAAAAAAAAAAAGAAATAATACTACGCACATGATTAAGTGGCCATTTTTCCAACAGCTTCAGATACTTTCAAGTAATCTTTTTTTTTAAGCTTGTTGAAAAATATGTACAAGCCAGGTCTTCAGCTGTCTCACAGGGAGAGAGGTTTTGATAATCTGAATTTGTGGTTAGTATCCTCTTAGTGTTGTGGACAACTCTGTTTTCCTTTAGAAATAGTTAAGCATTTGAAAACAGTGACTTGGTCTGGATATGCTGCTTAAGCCACAAATATAGTGCCAGTCCCACACGCTCCACTCCCAGCGCTGCCCTCTGCCTTTCCAGCTGTGCAGAATCCCTGTCACACTGCCAGACAAAATGTGATCTTTTCTAAACACCTGCTTTGCTAACACTTTTTGAATCACTCTGGCTCAGTTAAGAGTCAGGATTGAAAGAGTTTTTGCAAAAGGAATGGGGGGTTGGCTCATGCACGTCCCTTCTGTCCCTAAAAAGAGAAGGGCCCCTGCAATTATCCATAAGGCAGGAAGGTGAGCAGACCAAATGCCATAATTAGATGGAGATGAAGGTCACATCATGTCTATGTCATAGGAAAACATGGTGATAGTTCAACAGCCAAGAAAGCAGCTTGATTTTGGCACTTGCCAGGAAGAGGGAGCTGATCAAAGGAAGCCAATTACGTGAACTGCATCTATTGCTGTTCAAGTGCCGCAAGTGCCGGGCCGTCCTTTCTGCTGCTGATACCTCCCGGCTCCCCTGACCTTTCCCCTCTCCATCTAGCTATGAAACTGCTCCTTCAGCTGCAGGAAGCTCCCAGGCAGAACACAAACGCATGGCCCAGCACCCCAAACCTGGTTACAGAGCTCTCCTGACTCAGTGTGAAAGCAGTCAAACACACCACCATTTTTTCACTTTTTAAAATGCCATAGCCTATGTAAATGCATTGCTGTAGTTTAATTTTTAGATTCACAAGAGGAAAATTTCAAACCAACACCCTCTAATTACAGTTTTGCAATCAGCATATTCAGATCACATGAATATATTTTGTACCTGACAACAGGCTATACTGTTGTTGACTACATAATATGTCCAAAAGAATAACGCAAAAGTGCTAGATGACCAAACTCTGAGGCCAGGCTTTGGGGACATCACTTTAAAATCACTCCTCTCATAGTAGTAGAATCTCAAATACAACAAAGTCTTTAAATGGCTTTGGCATTTAAAAAAAGTCTATTGAAAATAAAGACTGACCAATCTGCAGGGAGCCGACAGAGATGGCTACCTGAAATACAGATGTCACCTGAAATGCAATTTGTAATGGAAATACCTGATTTTCTTACCTGGCTTCATCAAACCTTATTCAGCTGTTGATTCCCCTTCTGGTTCAATTTCTGGTGCAGTAAGGCCTTCTGGAGCAGGAGGGAAGGGGCCACTAGATGACTTTACAGATGTACCTGAGTGCACTGCTTCTGCAGCTTCCCCAGAGAGCACAGGTTTGCCTTCCATCTCCTGGGGTACAGAGTTTTCCCCAGACTCCTCCTGCCCAGTATTGTCAGAGACTATTGAAGTGATCTCCACTTCAAGGTGCAGAGATTTTTCAGAGCCTATTTTGATAGCACCTTCTGCATCCAGGAGTTGTGCAGGTACCTCAGGCTGACCTTTCAAAGATGTGTCAGAGAGCAGAGCTGTTGCTTCTGCCTCCATATATACTGAGGAATATTTTGCATTCTCCTCCAACTGTGCAAGTTTTACAGACTCTACAGATTTTTTAGACATGCCAGAGGTGGTCTTTTCTACTACAGATTTGGGACTAACTCGTGGTGACTGCTCATTTTCTTTTGACTGCTCATTTTCTTTAAGACAAGCAACTTGATCAGTAAAAGGGATAACTATTTGTTCTGGCAGTTGCTCGATATAAACAACTCCTTCAGTCACAGGCACATCGTTATAGACAGATGATATATGAACAGTTGACATAACCTCAATATCAGCCTGCAAAGTGACCTCAGGAGCTTGATCATAAGCAGGAGGTTCTTGTTCATCCTGCAAGGGGACTGAGGAAGCCGTTGATGGTTCAGCCTCATTTTCTTTAGGTTGAGAACCCAAATCTACATGGACAGATGTTTGGTTCACAACCTGCACTTCTAGCACCTTTCCAGAACACACAAGAGGAGCAGCCACCATGACATCTTCAGCAGCCTCTGAGCTTGGCACCTCCTTGATAACAACAGGCATACTGGTTGCCACATCCACCATTAACACATCAGATTGATCAGAATGAATAGATGAAACTTTACCTAACATCTGAGCAGCAAGCTGAGCTGGGTCAGCTGGGACGTAGGCAAACTCTGGTGAGACAGCTGTTGGAGGTGGTGATGAGGGTGGGGTAGTAGTCTTAGGGGTGGCTGGTTTGGAAGAAAGACCACCAACTGCTTCCGTTTGCTCAGTGCCTGGCACAGCATAAACTGATGGAAACTGGGTGGTTTTGTCACTATATTCTGTTCTGGTTACATTGTCCTCGTCTGTGTCTGTAGATTTTTCCATCTGGGTAGGTACTTTAGATTCTACAGATGTTTTTCCTGGTTCTTTTAAACATTCTAATTTCTTCTGTGGTGTCGTTCCTTCTGACCATTTCTCTACTGAAAAACAACAACCAGATGGGTTAATTAACATCTAAAAAGATTTTTAGAGAAGAAAAGATTTTTAAAGAAGGCAATAATAGGGATGTAGTGGCTCATGCCTGTAATCCCAGGACTTTGGAAGGCTGAGGCAGGAGGATCGCTTGAGCCCAGGAGTTCAAGACCAGCCTGGGCAACAGTGAGACCCCATCTCTACCCACCACCACCAAAAAAAAAAGCAATAATGGGTTAAGCATTCAGATGTCAGTATAGACACAAATTAAAAGAGTTTTCAGCTTTGTTTTCCAACATCTGTAGTGTGGGTAATAAAACATTCCTGTCCTTATCCTGTCCAAGACCCTCAATTCATTTCCTTAGAAATAAGTGACACTTAATAGCGCAGTAGCAAGACTAATAATCAGATATCATCCTAAGGTGGTCAGCATCAGGGAAAGATCATAACTTTGTGCCTAGAACTAAGGAAGCTGAAAACCTCCATGGAAAAAGCTCCTGATCAAACTTCCACACAAAACTGGGGAAAAAGGTTGGGTGGGGGGGAGACCAACTTGGGCAATAAATTATTTCATCTTTGTTGGTATAGTAATTTAGTAATGACATAGATGCTGCATATTAATAAAGGCATTCCTCCATTTAAGAAAATTGGTATATAAAGTTTAACTTAATGAATTGATAAGCTAGAGGACTATAGGATTTTTTTTACTTTAAGAAAGTCACATATTCTAACCTAAAAATGGTAGCACCTGCTAATAATGTGTGATCATGCAGCCAAAGTCAGACTGACCCAGCCAAGAGGAAAAGAAAGATATCTCTGGATCTGAAAGTGTAGCCTTAAGTGAATCCTCAGGCATGAGGAAAATTCTCATGGGTTGGAAGGTCACAACAGCTGATGACATATACAAAATCCTAGAGTTGGAAAACTGCTGTAATATTTTATGTGCATCACCCACACACCTAACTACCTTAGTCATTAACTCATCAAAAGTTTTCACATCTGTTTGCTGAGAATTTTCCTTTGGGAAGCATTTCTCTAATGAAATTTATAAGAAAAGCAGAATTTGCTTCATAAGAATATATTTGGCTCAAGTCAAAACTTTGGAGACATGTTTTCAATAGGTTCAGCTGCATTCTGAAAAATAGTGTCCTGCAGTGTCTCCTTTGACATTGGCTGCTGATGTTTTATAAATTCAATTAAGATTTCTAATTCGGGACATGGACATTATACCAAATGCTCACATGCAGAGAAAGATTCAAAAAGAGAGAAAGCCACATCTATCATTACCTCCCTCTGCTTAGAACAATAACCTCATTTTCCTAACCATTCACCTCTTCAGGACTTTCCCATCCAGTTTTTAGGAAAGCCCTTTTATCCACCAGCACATCTGACTGAGTGCTTGTGCTACATACTACATGTAAGAATGGTCTAGGCACTGTTGAGGATAGAAAGACTATTAAGACGAGACCTCAATATAGCTTACATTTAATAGGAGAAATAAGATAGACAAATATAGGTTAAAAAGTACAAATACCTAATTGGAACTAATAAAGATCTTGGAGTTCTGAGGAGGGGAAAAATTTTTTTTTTTTTTTTTTTTTTTTTTGAGATGGAGTCTTGCTCTGTTGCCCAGGCTAGAGTGCAGTGGTGCCATCTTGGCTCACTGCAACCTCTACCTCCCGGGTTCAAACAATGCTCCTGCCTCAGCCTCCTGAGTAGCTGGGACTATGGGCACCTGCCACCATGCCCGGCTAATTTTTGTATTTTTAGTAGAGACAGGGTTTCACCATGTTGGCCAAGCTAGTCTTGAACTCCTGATCTTGTGATCCACCTGCCTCGGCCTTCCAAAGTGCTGGGATTACAGGGGTTGAGCCACCGCACCCAGCCGAAAAATCTTATTTAAGCCTGACCTTGGGAGAGTTACTCTTATGCTTAGGATATAGAAAGCTACAAAATACATTGTTTCCATCATAACAACAGGAAAAAGCCAGATAGATAAGCCACAAAAACATAACTTTTCTTGAGTCCAGCAGAGAGCTGAAGTCAAAAGGTAACCAAGTAATCAAGTAATCTGATTTCAAAAGAGGAACCAGCCCCTCCAGGGAGAAAAGGGACATAAGAACAGTCTCAGCTGTAGCAGGGCCCAGAAAGAATAGGCTGCCATCACACCAGCTGGTAAGAATGTACCAGCTATAATCTTAACGTACTGGTAAAGGCCAAAGGTGCACTAGATGTCAGTCTGGAATTACCTGGGACTCCAGACCCAAGGAGAATTCGCACTCATTAGCAAACACTTTTCCACGTGCCTCACATGAAAGATGGAGGCAGGGCTGAAGGCCAGAGAGAGCGCTCCTATTATCAAGACAGAGACAGGAGACACTGGCTCAAGACTGACCACAGAGAGAAGGCAGAGTTTGGCTACCACATGACGGAGGGCAGGAACACCGAGAAAGCCCCGTGTCCAAAGCCCAGGTGCACAAGTCCAGCCTAGGCCTAAGGCAGGCCCAGAACAACAGGGAACCTCCTGTACTGCTAACCAGCCCAAGGCTAAGAAACAAGAGACAGCAGGCTGCCACCAGGAGAGGGGGGCAAGAATTTGGAGAGAGATGCCCTTTGTGGGGCATGCTGGCAGAGAAGGCTGAAAGCTGAGGGGGAAGCACAGATGCTGAGAAATACCCTCTGGCACCCCAGCCCCACCCTCAGGCAAAAGGTCTTGGCAGCCTTCTAGAAGGTTTTGAGGCCTGTAGTACAGTGAAGGTAATGAAAGCAACAATAAAACCCAAGTCCAACTCCTAACCAGACTGACCTCCCCATACCCACACCAATTCAAGGCCTCCCTATTTTCCCCCATTAGGTCTTAAATTCTCCAACCACTGATTTACTTACCATGAGCGTTTATCAAGAATGCAGCCAATCTAGGGATTGGATTACTGCAATCCCTAGACTGCCTGCACGGGACCTGACAGGTTGCTTGTGGTATGACTTAGGCAACTCTGGAAAGGACCACTTGCTCTTTTAATTAAAAGTGTCTCCCTCACAGGTTCATGGTACCTGAAATTACGTCTAGAAGATTAAAATGTAATTAATTTTTTAAATGTTAAAAAAGCTCAATATTTTTGTCTCTGGAAGTCCCCTGCTAAACAAAAACATCCCTTATAACCACCATTCTGGAAAGGTAAAGCATTTATAATTATGAATCCTTAACAATTTACCAGGGAATGTATGATATTGTTTTCTTCCCTGCAACTTTCTCATAGTAAAAAAGTTAATGAGAAAACCTAGGTTCTAGTCCTGGTTCTGAGATTTAATAGCTGCATGACCAAGTCAACTGTTCCAAGCTTCAGGCCTCCTCACTTGCAAAATGGGGATTATAACTCTGACTTCATGGAGTTTCTGTGGACACTAAGTGAAATAATGCATCTGAAAGCACTGAATAAACTCTAAATCACATATAAATGGGGAAGGAGTGAATCAGTACCCATTTAAAAAGTGATACAGAAAAGTTTTGAAAATGTGATATCAAATTAAAAATATAAATCTCAAATATCTTTAATTCAGCTTTGATTAAAATTAAATTGGCTATTTCCTAAACTGGGTGGTAAAATACAGGATGTTTTTTCTTTATATGTGTGTGTTATATACTTATGGACTTTTTCATAATTAAAAACTGAGACCAGATGCCTTAAACTTTTATAGTGTTTTTGCAAATGCAAACACTAGGTCAGGCACGATGGCTCATGCGTATAATCCCAGCACTTTGGGAGGCTGAGGCAGGCAGATCACTTGAGGCCAGGAGTTCGAGACCAGCCCAGCCAACATAGTGAAATTCTGTCTCTACTAAAAATACAAAAATAAGCCAGACACAGTGGCACATGCCTGTAATCCCAGGTACTCAGGAAGCTGAGGCAGGAGAATTGCTTGAGCCCGGGAGGTAGAGGTTGCAGTGAGCTGAGATTGTGCCACTGCACTCCAGCTTGGGCAACAAAGCTAGACTCTGTCTTTAAAAAAAAAAAAAAAAAAAGCCAACACTAGATCAACCATTTGGCTTTGTTTGGAATACATGAAAGAATGCTGGCAAATATATACTTACTAGTTACTATACACATATAATGTAAATCTATATTGAGTTCATGTCATTATCTGTTTATTAAGAAGGGTAAAAAGCTTTTCTCTAATGTTTTAAGGTTAGCTTTAAATACTTACAACAGTCGCTGACTTGTAACCTTGAGATTATGTCGGTTGTATAAGACAGAATTTCTTCAAGTTGCAAACTAGGTTTGCTAAAGGTTGATCTTTCAACCTTATGAAGATTAACCCACTATGACTTTGGTGATCTGGTTCTACTTAAGCTGACAAAACTATACACACTGAGAATTAGGAACATAACTAAAGGCATTCCTTCTTGTAAAAAAGTTCCTTTTTAAGTATAATAAAATGACTCAAATTGGCTAACTTTAAAATTCATTGCAGAATCCTGATTTTCCATGAAACCAGTAAGATAAAGAGATAAATTCCAAGCATATGGTATTTTTTTAAATAGGCACAACTCATGGAGATTCAGGGTACTGAAGTACATAACTGCCCAAGAAGCATAAGGAAAAGGACATATTCTGGCATGGAATGGGAAATCTGAAAGGTATCAAAGACCACAAGTGTATAAGCAGCAGGGCCTAACAAGAGATACGAGAGGCTGTATAAGAATTGGAGGTGGGCCATCCTGGCTAACACGGTGAAACCCTGTCTCTACTAAAAATACAAAAAATTAGCCGGGCGTGGTGGCGGGCGCCTGTAGTCCCAGCTATTCGGGAGGCTGAGGCAGGAGAATGGCGTGAACCCGGGAGGCGGAGCTTGCAGTGAGCTGAGATCTCACTACTGCACTCCAGCCTGGGGCCAGAGTGAGACTCCGTCTCAAAAAAAAAAAAAAACAAAAAACAAAAAAACAAAAAAACTGGAGGTGGGAGGTGGGAAGCTCAAAGAGAGTGCTTAAAGTCAGGAATATGTATGGTACGTAATCTTTTAAGAATTTAAAACAAAAGATTCCAACTAGTCTGTATTGAACTGATTGGAATGAGAATACCAGAGACTATAAAGTAGGTGGTTTAGTTTCTCCCCTCTTCCTCCTTGCCCTTCCATCCATTCTTTCTTCATTCAACAAACATTAGTTGCACCATCTATCAAAGAGGAATAAGACTTCCTAAAGATCTCATTCTGATTAAGGATACAGGCAGATGATTGATTATATGACAATGTAGTCAGCACAGTGACTGAAATATGTATGGGGTACAGTGGCTTTTAGGTAATTTTGGTTAAGCTTTAGAAATAAGGAAAACGTGTGAAAGTGGCTAGTAATTTGGACTGTAGGAGGTGGAAAGCAAAAGAGGGCATGGCCAGTTTGAGGGAGAACAGCCATTCAGCCTATCCTAGGTAATCTCTCCCACGCCATGCCCCTTTGCCTTGCTTCTCCTCTTGGTTCTCCAGCACTGCCATCAAACTTCTCTGGGCCACAGTGAGCAACACCAAATGCAGTTTGGCATCTCTTTGGCTTTGTCCTTCCCTCTTCTCTTCCGGGTCTATTTCTGTCTCCCTCACCCCATTGAGAAGTGACAGCGTGCTGCAGTCCTCAGAGCCCTTGCTCGCTCTTGGCGCCTCCTCTGCCTGGGCTCCCACTTTGGCGGCACTTGAGCCCTTCAGCCCACCGCTGCACTGTGGGAGCCCCTTTCTGGGCTGGCCAAGGCCAGAGCCGGCTCCCTCAGCTTGCAGGCAGGTGTGGAGGGAGAGGCGCCAGCGGGAACCGGGGCTGCGCGCCGCGCTTGCGGGCCAGCTGGAGTTCCGAGTGGGCATGGGCTTGGCGGGCCCCGCATTCCGAGCAGCGGGCCGGCCCTGCCAGCCCCGGGCAATGAGGGGCTTAGCACCCAGGCCAGTGGCTGCATAGGGTGTACTGGGTCCCCCAGCAGTGCCAGCCCACCGGCGCTGTGCTTGATTTCTCGCCGGGCCTTAGCTGCCTTCCTGCGGGGCAGGGCTCGGGACCTGCAGCCCGCCATGCCTGAGCCTCCCACCCACTCCGTGGACTCCTGTGCGGCCCGAGCCTCCCCGATGAGCACCGCCCCCTGCTCCACAGCACCCAGTCCCATCGACCACCCAAGGGCTGAGGAGTGCAGGCGCACGGCACCAGGACTGGCAGGCAGCTCCACCTGCAGTCCCCAGTGCAGGATCCACTGGGTGAAGCCAGCTGGACTCCTGAGTCTGGTGGGGACGTGGAGAACCTTTATGTCTAGCCCAGGGATTGTAAGTACACCAATCGGCACTCTCTATCTAGCTCAAGGTTTGTAAACACCAATCAGCACCCTGTGTCTAGCTCAGGGTCTGTGAATGCACCAATCAACACTCTGTATCTAGATACTCTGGTGGGGCCGTAGAGAACCTTTATGTCTAGCTCAGGGATTGTAAATACACCAATCGGCACTCTGTATCTAGCTCAAGGTTTGTAAACGCACCAATCAGCACCCTGTGTCTAGCTCAGGGTTTGTGAATGCACCAATCGACACTCTGTATCTAGCTACTCTGGTGGGGCCTTGGAGAACCTTTGTGTCCACACTCTGTATCTATCTAATCTGGTGGGGACATGGAGAACCTTTATGTCTAGCTCAGGGATTGTAAACGCACCAATCAGCACCCTGTCAAAACAGACTACTCCGCTCTACCAATCAGCAGGATGTGGGTGGGGCCAGATAAGACAATAAAAGCAGGCTGTTCGAGCCAGCAGTGGCAACCCGCTCAAGTCCCCTTCCACACTGTGGAAGCTTTGTTTTTCCTCTTTGCAATAAATTTTGCCACTGCTCACTCTTTGGGTCCACACTGCTTTTATGAGCTGTAACACTCACCTCGAAGGTCTGCAGCTTCACTCCTGAAGCCAGCAAGACCACGAGCCCACCGGGAGGAACAAACAACTCCAGACGTGCTGCCTTAAGAGCTGTAACACTCACCATGAAGGTCTGCAGCTTCACTCCTGAGCCAGCGAGACCACGAACCCACCAGAAGGAAGAAACTCCGAACACATCCGAACGTCAGAAGGAGCAAACTCCAGACGTGCCACCTTAGGAGCTGTAACTCACCGTGAGGGTCCGCGGCTTCATTCTTAAAGTCAGTGAGACCAAGAACCCACCAATTCCAGACACACCATCACTCCCAACACATCCTCCCTCCCCACATTTTTACCAAACCTCATCTCTCCCAACTTCACTTAAGGGCAAAGAATTAAAGCAGGGTGGGTGGAATAGCAGACATTCCCTCCCTTATTCTTCGCTAAGATAATCTTAGCTAGATTAGTGGCAGCAATGTACCCAGCCCCAGGTGATAAACCACTAATGGCACACTGGTTCTCAAGGGGTAGTAGTATCCCCCTTCCACTGAGAGTATTCGTAGATGTAGAGGGGACATTTTTATTTATTTCAATACCTGGGAGGCATTAGTATTTTAGGAGGCAGGATCAGGGATGCTAGATGTCCTGCAATGCATGGGACAATTCTGATCTCCCTTACCATAAATTGTATCAGCCTCCTTTGGCCTGTGGGACAGAAGCGGAAATCTGCTGGAAAACTTGCAAAAGTGTTCCTTTCTTAATCAAAGGAACAAATGTCACCACTGCCACCACTTTCTCCTCCTTCCTGATGTAAACACAGGCATAACACCTGGAGCAGTAGCATGAGGGGACATGTAAAACATCCTAAGAATGACACAGCAGAGTGCCTAGATATGTGATACTTATTATTAAATTATATTAGGAGCAGAATGAACACCTTTTCAGATATGTTGTTTTCTTAAAGTTACTCTTAATTGATTTGCTGTTACTTGCAGCTGAAAGCTTTCCTAACTGATATGAGGCATAAATTAGAAGTCGTAAAGAAACATGACAGAGGGGGATTGTGTTAAATGCTGCTCTTTAGATACCATATCTGTTTTTTATTCTATGACATCCATAATACCCATTTTCTCTCTGGGTACTTGTTGAATTCATTATCTTAAGATTTACAGCTACTAGATAATGTATCTGTACTTTTTTAAACCTTCTGCCCATAAACATCTGGGCTGTGTCCCATATACCCTCTCCTCTATAGAATAAAGCTGATTAAAAAGAAGTGGATTATTTTCGATTTCCTACATCATAGTCATGTCATCTGTGAATAGTTTTATTTCTTAATATGCCTTTCCTTTTTTAAAAAAATTTGTTTGCCTTATGGCACTGATTAGAACCTACAGTACAAAGCTAAATAGAAATCGTAACATTGGAGATCTTTGTCCTGGTCCCAATCTTGAGGGGAAGGCATTCAATATTCACCATTGGGTACAATGGGTCAATTGGATCATCTGTAAGTTTTTGTGTGTGTACCCATTCCTAGATTTAGGAAGTTCCCTTGTATTCCTCACTTGCCTATAGGCTTTTTTTTTTTTTTTTTTTTGAGACATGGTTTTGCACTGTCACCTAGGCTGAAGTGCAGTGGTGTGATCACAGCTTCAGCCTCCTGAATATCCACGACTACAGGTGTGTGCCACCATGCCCAGCTAATTTTTAAAAAATGTTCTGTAGAGACAAGGTCTCACTGTGTTGCTGAGGCTGGTCTCAAACTCGTGGCCTCAAGTGATCCTCCCACCTCAGCCTCCCAAAGCACTTGGATTGCAGGCATGAACCACCATGCCCCTGCTTATAAACTTCTTTAAAAGCATTTCTTGTAGAGTAGGCAATGCATTCTTCTCAGTTTTTGTCTGCCTGAGAATGTCTTTATTTTGCATTCGTTTTTTAAAGGATATATTCCCTGGGTATATATTAATTCTAGGCTGGCATTCTAGGTCACTTTATGTCATTCCATTGTCTTTTGGCTTCTATGGTTTCTATTAAGAAATCACCTATTTGTCTTATTATTGTTCCCCTGAAAAGTAAAGTGCCCTTTTACCCCTCCGCCTGCTCTCAAGATTTTGTCTTTTTCAGCAGTTTAGCTGTGATGTACCTGTGTGTCATTTTCTTTGTATTTATCCTGCCATGGGTTCATTAGACTTCTTGAACCTGTAAACTTGTCTTTCAGAGTGGGAAAATTCTCAGCCATTTCAAATACTACTACTTTTCCACTCTTTTCCTGTGACTGCAATGACATAGACCTTTTTTTTTTTTAGACAGTCTTGCTCTGTCACCTAGGCTTTAGTGCAGTGGTGCAATCTTGGGTCACTGAAACCTCTGCCTCCCAGGTTCAAGCGGTTCTCGTGCCTCAGCCTCCTGAGTAGCTGAGACTACAGGTGGACACAGACCTTTTGACAATGTTCCATATACATCTCTTACATTGTTTTCTATTTTTCTCTTTGCCTTAATTTGGTTGTTGTCTGTTGGCTCGTTTTTTAGTTTCCTAATTCTGTCTTCTAATAAAGCCATATAATTTTATAGTTTGCAGTTATGGAATAAATGTTTCTTATTTTGTAGTTTCTAACTCTGTTGAAGTTCTGCATCTTTTCATCTATTTTCCATCTTTTCAAAATATCAATCATGGTTATTTTCTATCCACCTCATGTAGTAATTCCAGTATCAGGATATTCTATGGGTCTGTTTCTAGTGAGTGTGTTGTTTTAGCCTTTATTAGTCACTTCTTCCTGCTTCTTTGAATGTCTAGTAGTTTTTAACTGTATGCTGGAAACTGTAAATGACACGTTGTAAAGGCTCTGATTGTTAATTTTCTTCTAAATGGTACTGATTTTGTTCTAATGGCAAATCAATTTGATCCTCTTGAGATTTGATTCTAAATTCTGTTGAAGTGGGCATACTTCAGCTTTGTTCTTACTCCTAGCACATTCAGAGTGTATGACCTTTCTTCCTAGTGTATGATAGTGCACTACGTATACCTCAAAGTACACTTTATTCATAGTTTATGACCTTTCTGAGGTCTCAACTGAATTGCCACGGTTTCACAAAAATCTCTTATTTTTGGCTGGGCCCAACCTGCAAAGCCTCTCCCAACACTAAACGGTTCTGATCTCTCGACTTAGCTTTCAGTCTCCCAATAGCTCTTTTCTGCTAAACCTCCTCAAGCTTTACTCCACACATGAGGAGCTTAGGAGTTGGACAAAAACCCAAGGGAAATTTTTGTGCAAACTTTTGGAGGTCCTTCTCTGAAAATGCCTCCTTTCTGGTACTGTCACTCACATCCCAGCCACACTGAAGACTCAAATTCTGCTCCTCTGTCACCTCTCCCTAGATTTCACTCACTGCTTGGGCTATATTTCCCTGCACAAGAATTTGAAAGTGTCCTCAGGAAGAAAGCCTCTGTGAATATGGGCTGAATTTCTAGAAGTCCTTTCTCCCAAGAATCTAGGTGCTGGA
This sequence comes from Homo sapiens, assembly GCF_000001405.40. Taxonomy (NCBI): domain Eukaryota; kingdom Metazoa; phylum Chordata; class Mammalia; order Primates; family Hominidae; genus Homo; species Homo sapiens. The sequence goes on along the minus strand of NC_000018.10, from coordinate 24,145,348 downwards.
CTTCGTTTTATATAATTTATACAGCTTTTATGTCTGTTTATGATAGGAGGATAAGTCCAATACTGGCTTCTCTATCATAGCTGAAATGAAAAATCTCTCCCTCTCTGCTGAATTTCACCTAGCACAGCATCTGGAAATTGTCAGGAATTTAAATATTTGTTAAATGAAATTATGGATTGGACTTCAAGGATATGTAGGATTTAAAAGGTAGAAAAAGGAGTTGAAAGGAACTCCTGGAGGGAGAAGGAACATAAGCCCAAATCAAATGATTTGAAATTTCACATTTCAGGAGATGACAGATTGTCTTAAATATATGGCACATGAGGTCTATGAAATGAGATGATTGCAATGATTACAAAGGTAGGACAGACTGAAATCATAGAAAGCTTTGGATGCCATGCTGTTGTAAAGGGGTCAAAATTTACACACTGTGACTTAGATATGCCAGAAAAGTATTACTTTCTCTAACTGATCTCATCTTGCATTAAAATGCTTGTTTCCCAATAGCAGTTCTTGATCTTGGTTTAAAAATCTGTCCCTTCTAGTTTAAAAGTCTTTTGGTTAATTAGTGAGTCTTTTGGGCTATTGCTCCTTTATTAAAGATTCTCCTCCTTCTAAAGAGGGGTAAGCTGAGTCTGGGGTAAGCTCTGTCTCTGATCCACATGTCCTTTTATGCTGCTCTCCATTACCTCTGGTAGAGGCATAACTGGTCTCTGGGTGTTTTTGTTTTCTTTTGTTTGTTTGTTTAGAGATGGGGGTCTCACTATTTTGCCTAGGCTGGTCTTGGACTCCGGGGCTCAAGTGATCCTCCTCCCGCCTCAGCCTCCAAAAGGCTGGAATTACAGGCATGAGCCATCACGCCCTGCCCTCTAGGTGTTGGTCTCTGACATCGCTGCATTCATTGCTTAAAATGTTTCCATTTTGTGGAAAGTGTTACCTGTTTATCTCACTCAAGGATTGGCAGATCTCCTTCCTTTTAGTACTCTGTAGCATCTAAGGCCTAGTGGCCAATTTTTATTTTATTCTCTGCTTGGATGTATATACTATAGCTCTCTGCTCATGTGAGCTTTTCCCATCCTGATTCCTTGCTCATCATCACTCTCACTGGGATAATCCAAAAATATCAAGACTCACTAATAACCATACACAGCAGTTGGGCACAGTGGCTCATAGGTATAATCCCAGCACTTTGGGAGGTTGAGGCAGGCAGATCACCTGAGGTCAGGAGTTCGAGACCAGCCTAGCCAAGACGGCAAAACCCCATCTCTACTAAACATACAAAAGTTAGCCAGGCATGCTGGTGGGCGCCTGGAGTCCCAACTACTCGGGAGGCTGAGGCAGGAGAATCGTTTGAACCCGGGAGGCAGAGGTTGCAGTGAGCCAAGATCACGCCACTGCACTCCAGCCTGGGCAACAGAGTGAGACTCCATTGCAAAGGAAAAAAAAAAAACCTTCCAACAAAGTATTTATACAACTTTCCTCAGTAATCTCATAATTTGAGTCTTTATAACTATGAAATCCAATTCTCCTCATGCCGGTAATCCCAACACTGTGGGAGGCTGTGGCAGGAAGATCACTTGCATCCAGGAGTTCAAGTCTAGCCTGGGCAACGAGGCAAGACCCCATCACTATCAAAAATTTATAAAAAATTAGTTGGACATGGTGACTTACAACTGCAGTCCAAGCTACTTGGGAGGCTAAGACAGGAGGATCCCTTGAGCCCAGGCTGCAGTGAGCTATGACGGCGCCGCTGCACTCCAGCCTGGGTGACAGAGCATGTCTCTAAAAATATATATATATATATTTTAAAAAGGAACAATGTGATTAAACATAAAATAATTTGTGGGCACCATTCTTAAGTTTGAATATATGCTAGTCATGATGCAATAATTAATAAACATCATTATTAAAACTATTACTACTTGTGGTACTTACCTTTAATCTGATGAAATTGTTTAACCAGATCTTTTATATCCATAGTAGTATTCCCTGAAGGAATCAATACAGGAAATCAAATACAGATACATGAAATTCCTAACTTAAAATGTTTTCTTTTTCAAAGCAGCAAATATATAAAGGAATAACAAACCTCTATACATAGTAAGTTCTTGAAAATAAGCTGCTGCAAACTGGTTGATGTTTGATGGGTTGGTTTTGAGAACAGCTCTGCTAATTCCCTCGAGCAGAGTCTTGAGGCCATAGGGTACGACAAGTCTGGGCTTTGAAGAAATCATTTTGGCAGGATGTCTGTAACTCAACTAGAATGAAGAAAAAGTCTTAGAAGTAATTAGTTTTACTAAAATAGGTTTTTTTTTTTTTTTTTTTTGAGACTCTGTCACCCAGGCTGGAGTGCAGTGGCGTGATCTCAGCTCACTGCAACCTCCGCCTCCCAGGTTCAAGCGATTCTCCAGCCTCAGCGTCCTGAGTAGCTGGGACTACAGGCACATGGCACCACACCCCGCTAATTTTTTGTATTTTTTAGTAGAGCCAGGGTTTCACCGTGTTAGCCAGGATGGTCTCGATCTCCTGACCTCATGATCTGCCCGCCTCGGCCTCCCAAAGTGACTAAAATAGTCCTTATGAGTTAACTATAGTTTCCAAGAATAAACTATCTCCTATTAAAATTATCAGCTTTAGTTCTAATATGTAGGTATTCATTTTAGTAAAATGGGCTAATTCTTGATGGTAGTTTAAAAAAAAAAAACACACAACCCTACTAACAATAGCCTACTATGTGCAGATGAGCAATCTAGTACCATGATAGAAATCCATAGGAAAAGCCCTGCCAAGACCCTGAGGACATTAAAAACAAAGAACAAAAAACAAGACCTGCCTCTGTAAAATTCAGTGAATATTTTGTGCAGTTAACATTTCATGTATCTGTTTCTAAACAAGTCCTTCCAAACCACACAGGCACTGGCCCTTCTGTACATATATTCATCAAACAGTTACAAGATAAGTTTTTTTCTATAAGAAAATGTTTTTCCTTATTTTTCTAAATATATTCTCAGACATGCTGCTTTTTTTTTTGAGATGGAGTCTCGCTCTGCCACCCAGGCTGGAGTGCAGTGGCGTGATCTCAGCTAACTGCAACCTCCCCTTCCTGGGTTCAAGCAATTCTCTGCCTCAGCCTCCCGAGTAGCTGGGATTACAGGTACTGGCCACCACGCCCGGCTAATTTTTGTATTTTTAGTAGAGACAGGGTTTCACCATCTTGGCCAGGCTGGTCTTGAACTCCTGACCTTGTGATCCACCCACAGGCTCCCAAAGTGTTGGGATTACAGGCATGAGCCACCGTGCCCGACCATTGCTCATGTTTAAGTGTGCATTTTTTAGCTTTAAATTTTGGGGTTTTTTCAGCCTGCTTTGTACCTGCAGGAATAACTTTGTTTTTAACATTAATCAGTGTGAGTATAATTTATTTGTGGTATTATTATACCACCCACTGTCATTTGTACCTTTCGTTTCTCATATCTCCCTTACCCTCTTCCCAAATTTTCCCTTATGTTTCCCCTTCTGCCTTTCTGCCTTTTAAGTGGTATCAGAGATACTGCACAGACCAACCTGTAATTCTCAGAGTTGCAGAGGCTGCCACCTGAAACTGTGTCAGGGTGTATGTATTCTGACTCCTAAAAAATCACCTAAGGCTTCTAAAGAACAAAATTAAATATTTAAGAAAATCCCTAGGAAAACTAAGATAGGAAAAACAAGGTGAAGCTACAGGTAAAGTTAGCACTCCAATGCATGCCATAGCTCCTTCACTTTGATAAAGATGGGCATCAAATCGGCCCCTAAGCTACCAAGCAGCCATCACAAAATAGGAGATAGGTGGTTAAATGATTCAGGTTTCTTGAGGTGAAAAACACATCAGTTGTATGGGAGAACCACAGCTATTCTGGATACTGAAACCCAGGAGAAATTTCTCCCCCAAGTCCTTATAAAGCAAATAGTGTGATATAATGAACCATGTCCTCAACAACATCCCTACAGTAAATAATGAGTTTCACGGGGTTAAGTGGCATAGTTCAGTTACAACAATTATAGAAGGGCACAGCTTCTATTATAAAGTAACGAATATCTCATAGCAAAATGTTCAATACTTAAAAACACATCTCATCTTCCCAAAGGTCAGGACAAAATGAATCTGTACTGGCCAAAGCAAATCCTTTCAGTATATAATTAAGTATAATTGAATCCCTTAATGAAAACTTCCTTTTACGATATCATTCAACAGATTTACTGAATTAAACCATCTTTAAAAAACCAGAAGTGATCCAGCAATCCCACTGCTGGGTATATACCCAAATGGAAATCAGTATACAGAAGAGATATCTGCACTCCCATGTTTGTTCCAGCACTGTTGACAATAGCTAAGATTTGGAAGCAACCTAAGCGTCTATCAACAGATGAATGGATAAAGAAAATGTGGTACATACATACAATGGAGTACTATTCAGCCATTAAAAAAGAATGAGATCCTGTCATTTGCAACAAAGTGGATGGAACTGGAGATTATTATGTTAAATGAAGTAAGTGAGGCACAGAAAGGAAAACATTGCATGGTCTCTTATTTGTGAGAGCTAAAAATTGAAACAATTGAACCCACGGACATAGAGAAGGATGGTTACCAGAAGCTGGGAAAGGTAATGGGGCCTGGGTGGGGGAGGGGGAAAGTGGGGCTGGTTAATGGGTATAAAAAATGAATAAAACCTACTACTTGAAAGCACAACAGGGTGTCTATAGTCAATAATTGTACATTTTAAAATAACAGAAAGAGTATAACTGGATTGTTTGTAACACAAAGGATAAATGTTTGAGGGGATAGATGCCCCATTCCCAATGTGATTAACATTGTATGTCTGAATCAAAACATCTCATGTGCCCCATAAATATATACACCTACTGTGTACTCACAAAAAAAGAATTTTTTAAAAAATCAGAAGTGGGGATTCCGCAGTCCCACATGCTAAATGCTAAGGGGCATAGGCAGCATGACATGTTTGATACATACATACTATTTGATACATATATATATTTGATACATACTCATATATATCATATGTCTAATTTTCTTTAAGTACCCAAAGTGAGTAGATAGACCGTTTTGAAAGTGGCTCCCAGAGGCCGGGCGCGGTGGCTCACGCCTGTAATCCCAGCACTTTGGGAGGCCGAGTCGGGCGGATCACGAGGCGAGGTCAGGAGATGGAGACCATCCTGGCTAACACGGTGAAACCCCGTCTCTACTAAAACAAAAAATCAGCCGGGCGTGGTGGCGGGTGCCTGTAGTCCCAGCTACTCGGGAGGCTGAGGCAGGAGAATGGCGTGAATCCGGGAGGCGGAGCTGACAGCCGAGATCGCGCCACTGCACTCCAGCCTGGGTGACACAGCTAGAGTCCGTCTCAAAAAAAAAAAAAAAGAATAAAAAAGAAAGTGGCTCCCAGAAACCATGATGGCGCCAACAACCTTTCAGGAGGCAGTTAGCAGTTGGTGCTACCAAAGGTGGGGACAGCGGCCATGCACTCCATGATCCCCCGTCCCACTAGTTCTCACCCCGACTTTGGGAACGTGTGGGGCCAGGGACGCTAAACGTCCTACAGTTCAGTTCCCCACAAAGAACTGTCCTAAGCAAGCTGAGAAAAGTCAACGGGTAAAATTGTCACAAACACTATTAGGGTTATTTAAAAGCGACAGCTTAATAATTCTTCCCAGATCTCTCCTATCACCAATACTGGTCCACCACTGGCGGAATTTAAATCCTGCCCCGCCCAACTGTAAACGTCCATGCGCCCACTACCACAAGGGTAACGCCTTAAGCGAGAAATACGATGCCTTTCAGGATGCCAGCGGGGACTTCGGAGCCATAGGTAACCGCACTCCCCGACCTCTCCCTAAAGAACCTCCGGGATGTGGGCCCCCGCTGTGTCAGTGCTCGTTTTGCGCTAGGTCTGTTTGGGAGAGACGGGAGTGAAATGTAGGAGGCTGGGCGTGCTCACATCGCCTGGACTTGTCCAAGAGAGGCGGGCGACGGACCCACCGAGGCCTCAGATTCGGCAGCTGGCCGTCTGGTCGCCGCACTCCCCGGTGTGGGCCGGGGCCGCCCCACAGGCCCCCCACCCCCGACTCTGAGGACCCTCCGCCTGCCCCGACGACCTCTCCCACTGCGAGAGACTCCCTGAGACATAATGGTCTCCGAGGCCGCAGGGTGCGCCTTTTCTCCAGATTCTCCCCACCTGCTTTCCGGCCGCGCTCTTAAGAGCTTCCTCGTTGCCCCCTTGCCGGCGGCTCCTGAGGAGACTTGGCGCTTGCGAGCGTTTTTATAGCCCCGCAGGCATCGGGGCGTGCATCACGAAGCTCCGCATCACAAAGCTCCGCACCACTCAAGGAGGCGGGGCCACAGCGGCCGCAGCCAATGGGGAGCCGAAAGCGACAAAGGCCATGATTTGGCCGGCGAGGGAGACTTATTTCCCCTTTTCTGGCTAAATCTGAACGGATTTAGGTGATTTCCCAACAAATAGCCAGGAGTAGCTCAAAGCGACTGCCTCTCCGTCTTTGGTCGTTGAGCTTAAAATTAGAGCTCGTTTGGAAAGAAAGTAAGAGATTTATGGCAGTGCTGTCTTGTCACTGCCTCGCCATTCCACACATTGCTCCTGGCCCCATAAACTATAGCTCTCTTCGGTCACCTTTAGGAATAATAATTTCTGCCACGTTGTAGACACACAGTGAATAATTGTATGCAACAGAGCACTTTTTCTTTTGTGAAACTCGCCTGTGGAATGGGAGTTCAGCATGAATCCAGAAACTTCCTGTTTCTCCACAGTTGAGATCAGACACCAACTATCCCCACAAAGCACACCGTCAGCAACAAGTCAAGGTGTTACTGTGTGTAACTTCAGCTCAATTTTACCAAACTAAAGGAATACTGCTTCATTTAAAAACGCCCACTCTGCCGGGCACGGTGGCTCACGCCTGTAATCCCAGCACTTTCGGAGGCCGAGGCGGGTGGATCACGAGGTCAGGAGTTCAAGACCAGCCTGGCCAAGATGGTGAAACCCTGTCTCTACTAAAAATACAAAATATTAGCCGGTCGTGGTGGTGGGTGCCTGTAATCCCAGCTACTCTGGAGGTTGAGGCAGAGAATTGCTTGAACCTGGGAGGCGGAGGTTGCAGTGAGCCCAGATCACACCACTGCACTCCAGCCTGGGCTACTGAGCGAGACTCCGTCTCAAAAAAACAAAAAACAAAACAAAAAAAACAAAAAAACGCCCACTCTCTGCTCTTTCACTCATTTAGGCTCAGGTATTTGGGCTGGGCTCTAAATAACACCATAATCATGATTATCAGAGTACAAGCAGCCTTAATTTTGATCCATCTTCAAATGTTTAAAAAGCAACTACTTTAAACCAAAGAGCATCGCCAGGGCAGATATCTGACCAAAAACAAAACAAAACAAAACAAAAACCAAACCAAAATAAAACAAAACCCTATTTTTTAATTCAGAAAAAATTAGGGCTTCCAGAGCACTTTGCAATAAAAGCAATGTTAAGGCCTCAGTCAGCATTATCTGGTGCCATTCATTAATCCACTTAATAATTATTTTACTGAGTGCCAGGAAAGCTCCCTCTTCTCGGGAAGTTTACATACTTAAAAAGGGAGAATTAGCGAGACTCCGTCTCACAAAACAAAACAAAAAAAAGGGAGAAATGCTTTTAGACTGAGTATGTTGGTGGGTCTGCAGATATTTTTCATCCTTCATCACTTGCCTCCAGCACCACTTTGGTAATGTAAATAAAAGTGAGATGAGGCTGTCATGATTTCTGATAGCTTGGTTTATAACACATTTAGGTGTCAGAGACATAATGAACTGAGCTACTGAAAATCCTAAGTACCTCATCTATGGTGTCTTTTGGAATTGGAGACATTTATGGTTTTTTTAACGTAACCTTGGTGGGTCATCTCAAACATCTATTAGGTGTAAGGTATTATGCAGAAATACCTGTAACTCAAAAAACAAGATTTTACTCTCCATTTCTTCAGTGACTGTTTGGCTGAGTCATTCTGAAATGCAAATTGTTACAATGTAAACATCTAACCAAGAATTTTCAAACCACTGCCCATCGCTGCTTTGATTTCTTGAACTCTTAATGATTTGATGTGGTTTCACAATCTTGGCTTGTGTTCATCTCCCTTTCAATCACCAGTATGTTATTTTTTGGTCACCAATGATTTAAAACGCAAATGTACCTTCCACTGCCCCTCTCCCACACCCCAAATCCTTACCCTATGGAAGTCCATGGTTGTGGGTGTGGCCTCTGCATACCTCTCGTATTTCATGTCTCACCATGTGATTCCCACTTGACCCTCCAGAGTCTTGAACACACATGTCGCTTATCACCTCTGTGCTTTTGCTCATTAGGTCCAAGGCCTTGGATGCTGCTCCAGCAAGTGTTTTCACCTGACTGCATCCTGCTTCTCCTTTAGAACTCATCTCAGAAATCTCCTACTTTAGGAAGCCAGTGGGTTAGAAGCATTTTCTCAGTGGCCCCATGATGTATGCTCTATGACTTATCCTTGCTATATAATTCTATATAATTCTGCTTGTGTTTGACTCTTCTCCCAGATTTACCAAATCCTTAACAAAAGATGAATAGGGCAATGTTTCTCTAATCCACATCACCTGCATAAGAAATCATCCCAGGAGCTTGTTAAAAATGCCTTCCCAAGCCCTACCTAGAACCTACCAAACCAGAATCTCTATGTAAAACACGGAAATTGACAACCACTGGCCTCTGGGAGGAGGAATTAGGCATTACATAGAGGTCACCTGGGTTTCAAGTGTGTTGCTTCTATTTCATACCCAAGTCAACTAGGTGACAGAGATCAGCCCCCTTGCTAGCTTTCACAAGAAAGCCAGTTAAATTGTGCTCTTGGTGATTTCTGCATACTTTACTGAAAAAGGAGCATTATCTGTTATGGACCAACTTTCTCTTGCTCCCCTTATCCTTCTCTCTTTCTGCATTTCCTCTTCTAGCTTCTAAAGTATCTGCCTCGACTATGTATCTTCTTGGATGATCTCGATTTAACAATTTTCTTTCTACAAAATATACCATCTGCAGAAACCAAAACAGTACATCATGATTTTGTGAATGTGTATCTTCATAGTGAAAACCGTATTTGAATACTTGCCACCATGATTTGCTTAAGGAAGAAATCCACTGGAAAAGTTTACACAGCAAAGGTGTGTGTCTGCGTGTGTGTGTGTGTGTGTGTGCATGCCTGTGCATGTGCTCATTTTAAAAATCAGATATGACTTGTCCTTTAACTTTAGTTGGCAGAGACAGAAAAGTGCAAATTCAGTAAATAATTGACTTACACAATATGTGACAATAAATACTCTAATTTTCTGTGACATCTAAAAGTTATAATTCTTTACTCAGTAGAAGACAGCTATCAGGTGCTAAAATAAAAAAAAGATACCTAACCCAATAAAGGCAAAATCTTAGTTATATTAACCAGCAAGGTACATATTACATTATTATTACTAGACCATGCCTCCAAGTGTGTCAAATTATAAAAATGTGTTCAGCATACATAAAATATACATTAAAGATTTCTCTCATCATAGGCACAATCTAATACAAAAATATATTTGACATTTATAAGTTAGAAGATCCATTGAGAGCCTCCAAAATAGGACAGGGGAAGGAATGAGTGATGACAACATAAAAAAAGAAGCACACATAGATGCAAATAGTTCCACTTATATGATTATTTTCTTCATCAGCAAAGGGTTAAGAGCAGTTTACACCAAACCAAGTTACCAAGCAGATCACAATCAGTTCACAGGTTGGATAAGTCACGGCACGCAGGCCAGAAAATGTACTCAGACTTCAGTCAACCTAATGGGACAGTGTACTCACACTGTGGTTTTGTTGTTTTGGAGTCTAGAAGCTCCATCTACCCATTCTCCATGGTCTACCACCATGTTAACACAGATTTACCACAGGCGCCATCTGTACCAAGCCTAGGATAGACTCTTTAAAAAAAAAAAGACCTGGCCGGTCACAGTGGTTCATGCCTGTAAGCATTTTGAGAGGACAAGGTGGGTGGATCATGAGGTCAGGAGTTCAAGACCAGCCTGGCCAAGGTGGTGGAACCCTGCCTCTACTAAAACTGCAAAAATTAGCCAGGCACGGTGGCAGGAACTTGTAATCCCAGCTACTTGGGAGGCTCAGGCAGAAGAATCGCTTAAACCCGGGTGACAGAGGTTGCAGTGAGCACAGATCACACCACTGCACTCCAGCCTGGGCAACAGAGTGAGACTCTGTTTCAAAATAAAAATAAAAATAAAGATTAAAAATTTTAAAAAGACCTACACTTTGACTAGTAAAGAAAACCTACAGGATGGTGTTGCAAAACGCAAAATTGTCTATCCAGTTAAGTGAGCTGAACACAAACTAATCTGAAGTCCTGAACTCTCTGTGGGGAAATAAAAGTATTTTTTTTAAGCAGGCAGAAATAAATGTTTTGAAAAAGATTCAAAAGCACAGGACCTTATATAATCTTTGAATGTGGAATAATAGTTCAAACAATATTTTGAACTGAAAATTCAAGAATGAACTCTCAAACAAAAATGTCATGATTCAGAATGCTCCATGATGATGACAGAAAAGCTTGTCACCTATGCTGCATGTTAAGAAGAGAGAAAAATGGCAACAGCCGTATTTTAAAGATTCATAATGTTCTTCCCTTCCATCTAGTTAAAACCAGATGTCCAGGCCGGGCACGGTGGCTCACACCAGTAATCCCAGCTCTTTGGGAGGCCAAGGCGGGTGGATCACGAGGTCAGGAGATGGAGACAATCCTGGCTAACATGGTGAAACCCCATCTCTACTAAAAATACAAAAAAAATTAGCCGGGTGTGGTTGCGGGTGCCTGTAGTCCCAGCTACTTGGGAGGCTGAGGCAGGAGAATGGTGTGAACCCAGGAGGCAGAGGTTGCAGTGAGCCAAGATCACGCCACTGCACTCCAGCCTGGGTGACAGAGCGAGACTCCGTCTCAAAAAAAAAAAAAAAAAAAAAAAAAAACAAAAAACAGATGTCCAATATTTTTGGGCACCAATTTTGCTCTTCAGAAAAAAGTTCCCTTCTCATTCACTGAATATAGGAGAGCAATCTCTTCTCTCTTACTATTATCTAAAACCCACACGGAATTCACATCAGGGAGAAAGTCAATGTGAATACACATTTTGGAAACAGTCTACTGAAAAGTGGTCAGTAACAGAGATGAAGAAATATGAATACTGTTTAGCCAAAATCAGTGAGAAATAACTTCTTTCAAAGAAATTATGACTATTCCCTCAAAACAAGGTCAAATCAGATAAAATTTGCCAACATTCTACTTGCTTTTCTGTTTTATTTTGAAAAGAAATATTAAAATATTAATATGAGATCATGTTTCAGCCAAAAGAATTTGTAAATAAACGATACCCTAAAATGATATCCTTTAGCTCAATAAAAATTTCTTTAAAAATCTAACCTTAAACATTGAGCCAAATTATGGCAGAGATTCTTAAAAGTGACTGAGGTATTTAGATTCTTCAAAACCACAGGTTTGCAGTACCGGGCATGGAGGTAAATTAAATGACAAAAATTAGCAATGAAGAATAAAAAAATAACTTTGAATTCCTTGTATAATATCTAAATAACCTGAGCTAAGGGGAAAATGATTAAATCCTGGCACTGTGTAGCCCAGCAAATGTTCCACCAGCAAATATTTTGAGGCCAAAATCTATGTTCATTCACGAATAACCTTTTCAAGTAATGTGTCAAAAGATTTCCAAAAGTTGGTAATTTGACAATTTTCACAAAGAAAGGTAAACTCCTAAAATGTAGATACTGTTTGTCTAATCTATAGACTAGGCTAATAGATTAGCAAAAGAGTCACACTTTTAGTTGTAAAATTATCTTCTATTAATATTTGCTCTTACTTGGTTGGCTTTCAAAGGAAAAAGAGTGTCCATCGCTTTGAAACATTCTGTAGACAATCTGGAGATGACTATTTCTGGTGACATAACTTCAGCTGAAGATTTTGTTCTTTTAATAAGTAAAACATGGAATTCTGGCCTATTAACATGAATTATTTTTACAATAAAAGTCAGTTGGTGGTCAGGAGATCTGCTTTCTATTCATTGCTCTGCTGATAACAGGAATAATTAATTGGGATAAGTCAATTTGCCTTTTTGTGCCTGAGTTTCACTGTCTGCAAAGTGGGGTTAAGAATATCTGTGCTATGTTATTCACTGGAGTATTTTGAGGATAAAGTAAAACACTAGAAAGCACTTTTATTTTTTCAAAACACAAATATAAATGCTATGTCATGATATTGTTAATAATTTTACAGGTACCTCATCATGTTACCCATTCAGATATGTGCTTAAGGTAGGTGTTCCTACAGGATCTTGGGTTGGATGTTCCGTTTGATTTTATTTTAAAAATAATAAATCACAAAACTAAAACGTTTGAGCAAGGTCACTTAACCCTCTCCCCAGGTGGTTAGTTATTATTACCATCATCATCCTCCTCAACATCATTATTACTTTTCAGCTACATGTTTAAAAGAGGAGATCTTTAATATGTCAGCTTAACTGGGAAAATGTGTCCCTGGCACAGGTGGTTTTCAGAAGAAAAGCCCATCTTCACAAGAGCTTTGTCCTCTGCTTTTATTTTAAAGTGCGGACCCTGGGTGGGGAGGGACGGAGCGGGTGTTCCGGGTCTGTCACTGAGGAACCAATTCCCTCAGAGAGGCCAGAGCAGCATGGATGCGGACATGCAATCTGTTTTCAAAGTCGTAGCCAGAGAAATCCTCCTGTAAGATCAAAGAAAGATATTTATGCACTCTGTTAGCTAAGCTTGCACAGGGTACTGTGGTATAAAGCACACTCAATTTTGCATTTCCCAAAGTAAAATCTCTACACTCCCAGTAAAGGTTTCCCATCCACTTGATTTTCATATTACTCAAACCTCAAACTTTGTATTCATTTTTAAAAACGTCAACTGAATGTCAATAAGGTTCTCTTTGGACAATTTTCCTCGAGTTATTCTTGAAAAAGTAGTCTTATGTTGTGCTCAATATAAGTTGCTATTAGAAATTCTTAATTCAGGGACATAGTTATAAAATCAAAAGTTATCTTCCCACCCAAAGACTAAGAGTGTTTCTAAAGCAGGATGAACAATTTCATCGAAGTTCCTTATGATCTTGTAATGTCCCTTAAAACTCAAGAGCTCACTGATTCAATTGGTTGTCATTTTTCCTTTCCAGAAATATTACCAACCAGAACATCATTGCACAAACTTTCTTGAATTCAGACTCAGGTATACAGTGTATGGGATAAGAAGGGCCACTGGAGAAAGGTAGATTCAGGATATTTACCTTTGCTTGAAGAAGTAGAGCTCTGCCTCTTCCTACAGTCTATAAGAAAAACACATTATCCCATAAAATCTGTGTTTATATATACGCAGGCAGAAAATGGTATAATAGGAGGCTATGTTAATTAAAACAATTCACTGTAGACATAGCAATGAGTCAACTGTTCATTCAAGTATAATGACTCCAATATTCTTCTTTTTTTTTTTTTTTTGAGATGGAGTTTCACTCTGTTGTCCAGGCTGGAGTGTGGTGTGCAGTGGCATGATCTTGGCTCACTGCAACCTCTGCCTCCCGTGTTCAAGCAATTCTCCTGCCTTAGCCTCCTGAGTAGCTGGGATTACAGGCACCTGCCACTATGCCCAGCTAATTTTTGTATTTTTAGTAGAGACGGGATTTAGCTCTGTTGGCCAGGTTGGTCTCAAACCTCAAGCGATCCACCCACCTTGGCCTCCCAAAGTGCTGGGATTACAGGTATGAGCCACTGCGCCCAGCCCCAATATTTTTTAATATAAAGATGTTTACTCATTTACATGAGGACATTACTTGATATATAATCACTTGATAAATAATTTTTCATAGTCTATAAAAGGCAACCTCTAAGATATAATATCTTAGGTTAAAATCTTACTAAACAACCTTAAAATTAATGATTATCAAAAGGTTTTATCTGAATCAGTAAGTTATACATAGCTATAAACTTTTTTTTTTTTTTTTTGAGACAGGGTCTTGCTCTGTTGCTCAGGCTGGAGTGCAGTGGCACAATCATGGCTCACTGCAACCTCAAGCTCCAGAGATCCTCTCACCTCAGCCCCCCAGGTTAACTGGGACTACAGGCACATGCTGCCACGCCTGACTATGTTTTTTGATTTTTTTTTTTTTTTTTTTTTTTTTTTTTTTTTTTTTGCAGAGATGAGGTTTCACTTTGTTGCCCAGGTTGGTTTTGAACTTCTGGGCTCAAGTGATACTCCCACCTCAGCCTCCCAAACTGCTGGGATTACAGGCATGAGCCACTGAGCCTGGCCATATTTTAACTTTTAAAAACTGTATTTTTACTATACTTTTTCTATATTTAGATACACAAATACTTACCATTGTGTTACGGTTGCCTACAGTATTCAATACAGTAACATGCTGTACACAATTATAGCACAGAAGCAATAGGCTATAGATACAGCCTGGTTGTGTAGTAGGTGATACCACCTAGGTCTGTGTAAGTACTCTATGATGTTTGCACAAGGAAGGAATTGCCTAACAACGCATTTCTCAGCATGTCATTAAGAGATGTATGACTGTAATTTGAATGCTAGGGAAGAAATTACCTCCTTAAAGATAATAAGGTAGTATTACTAACTTCTTGGATTCATTCTAAGTAAAACCAAGGAAAACAAAATGAAGAACACTGTGTTCAGTTTGTTTTAAATGAAGGGTGCTTTGTGCTTGCCCACTTCCACATTTTTGTTGAACAACATTAAAAATATATATTATATTATATATATAAGATCTTACCTCTGGTTTGTCTAATAGAAGACAGCCAAGTTCATAACAGGCATACGGCTGAACATATAAGTTATTCTGACGACACAATTCATCTTTAACAGCTCGCTGGAAGTACTGAAAGGAATGCAAATGTTATTGGATGAATTCATTTTCCTACTTAGCATAAGGCTTATTATAATCTTCAAGAGGGGGCGGGAAGGGGGACTCATACTCTGTTTTCTAGATCAGATTTTCTCTTCTTTCCTCATCTTCATTCTTTCCTATCTACATCTTAGAAGTCCTTTACATGCTGCCTGATGTGCATTCCTCAGAATATATTGGACTGCCTAATTTGTGCTACTATTTTTCCAGGGGACATATTAGCCTCTATTGATTTTATCACTGAGAACATCTTTTATCTGCATCTAAGAGTCTAAACATCCCATTTTAATATTTAAAACAGAAAACACACAAGGTAACTATGATCTCGACATGCGTCTTGACTGTATCTTGCTAGCACATAAGCATTTGATCTAAAATAAGCTATTTAGGGCTGTGATAACTATCATAAGCCCATACTGAAAGATTAAACTTACAAGGACATTATCATCTAGGATTTAAAAGCCAAGAGTCTCCTATTACTGTACATTAATTCTTTTTTTTTTTTTTTTTTTGAGATGGAGTCTTGCTGTGTCGCCCAGGCTGGAGTACAGTGGTATGATCTCAGCTCGCTGCAACCTCTGCCTCCTGGGTTCAAGCAATTCTCGTGCCTCAGCCTCCCGAGTAGCTGGGATTACAGGTGCATGCCACCACACCTGGCTAATTTTTGTATTTTCAGTAGAGACGGGGTTCCACCATGTTGGCCCGGCTGGTCTCAAACTCCTGACCTCAAGTGATCCATCCACCTTGGCCTCCCAAAGTGCTGGGATTACAGGTGTGAGCCACCGTGCCCGGCCACTGTACCCTGATTCTTTCAAAGAGTAGTCAAAGTAACACTGATATATACTTCTTCAAAACAAGCAATCAAACAAAAAAACAACTCTCTCGCTTGACCCCCAGGGCTGCATCAATAATCCACAGTTATAAAGAGAGAAAACTGAATGCACACTGACATGTCTGATCATTTTTGTTCTTGTCTAACAATGAGACTTCACTCCGCTCCTTCAAAACTGCCTCCTCATGTCCTCCTCTCTCCAGTGGAGGCTGTCATCTTGATAAATATTAGTGCCAGAAAAGGAGGCCATATATAAAGAAGCATTCTAAGAATATGAAGTTAATTAAAAACTAGTATTAACCATCATCAACTTCTAGCATCTGAGAAGATGGCATTAATCAAATAATTGGATAAAGTTTATAGTGGGAGGTTCGGTTTCGTTCAGTGCTTTTTCATTTTTCTTATTCACAAGCATATACGTAGGTGTTCGTGACTTATTTTCTTTAGCCCTGACAACATTAACAGTTTACCTGAACAGCATCTTCTGAGTTTCCTAGACATTTGTGTATGGCACCAAGAAGCAAATACTTTAATCCAACAACAGATGAGTCATCCACTTCATGGCAAGCTTAAAAAGAAGGGGAGTGAACAGAGCAGTAAGCAAATGCATTCACTTAATTCCTTCAATATCATGAAGAGTGAGGTAAATGTTTCAGTTCATGTTTCTGCCTCCTGATATGAACCTAAAACTGCTCTTAATAAAAGAAGTTATGTTAATTTGTTAAAAATGACTTCACATTAAATTGCCATACCATAGGCACCTTTCCATGTTTGTATGAGGTACTGTACTAGTCAGTGGGAGAGGATCAGAACTGACCCTTCCACTTCAACAGCAAGCTGTGGGGGATGGACACACAGGTTAGAGAATGTTACGGGAGTTTTCCAAGAAAATGAGAAAGATGCAGAATGGAAACATGATGGAGCTGATGAGGAAGAAAGGAAGTAACACCATTATTTCCAAAGACTAATAAAGATACTGAGATTCAATAAGATATATATCTTACTATTTTATATATACATATTTATATTTTATATAATATTATATATAGATAGAAAGAGAGAACTGAAGTTACAGAACAAGTAACTTGAAGGTGAGAGGAAGAGGTAAATGTGAAGAATAGAAGCTGATCTTGTAGAAGCAGGAGTTGCCCCAGAAAGCCAGGCTAGGAATACGCTCATACGAAAAAGAACTCAGAGACTTTTAAGGCAGCAACATTAAGGAAACCTTAATGCAGTTCACTCACTTGTTCATTCATTCATTCATTACACTAATTCATTCATTCAATATTTATTGAGAGCCTACTATTTGCCAGGCAATTCTAGGTGCTTAGAATACAACAACAAAACAAACAAAAAATTCCTTCTCAGAGAGAAGAGCAAGTGCAAAGGCACAGGGGCCAGGTGTGTCTGAGAGCAGGGAGGAGGACCGTGCTGAGCAAGGGAGAAGAGCAGGGAGGGACAATGGCCTCGAGGGTTACAGACTGGGAGCACTGCCTGCTGCTGAATGGACTTGGGCTTTTATTCTGAATGAGATAAGAGACCACAGAGGATTCTGGGAAGCAGAGTGACACAACATGATTAGGTTTTAATAGGATCACTCTGCCTGCAGCACCTAGAAAACAAACATGTTTACAATGTAGCTGGGCATGGTGGCTTATGCTGGTAATCCCCCCACTTTGGAAGACCAAAGCGGGAGGATCACTTGAGCCCAGGAGTTAAAGACCAACCTAGGCAACATGGCAAGACCCCATCTCTACAATTTTTTTTTAATAGCTGGGTGTAGTGGCATGCCCCCTGTAGTCCCAGCTACTCAGGAGGCTGAGGTTGGAGGATCGCTTGAGCCAGGGAGGCAGAGGTTGCAGTGAGCCATGATTGTGCACTACACTCCAGCCTGGGCGACAGAGCATGACCCTGTCTCAAAAACACAAAACACAAACAACAACAAAAAACGACACAAAGGAAGAATCCAGTGGAGAAGGGCAGGTGGGTGGGGAAAGGTTATGGATGAAACTACAAGACAAGGATATAGGATTCTCACTAGTTCTGCTGGTACAGGGAGCTGTGGATGGGGACTCTGATAAGCTAAATGCACAAAACTGGGAGGGCACGATGCAGAGTTTAATAAATGCTTATGATCTACATTGCCACTACTGCTGTTTTCTGGAACATAACTTTCTCTACAAAGATCTTCATTGTACTGTATGTGGTTGGATCAGTTTGTACCATTACTGCTTACCATTGAGGAATGATATAATCTAATTAATAGACCTGAGAACTGGGTTAAATTTAGCAAAGATATTAGAGAATTATCTCATGCTCACTTCAGATACTGTCTGTCTTCCCTTCCAGGCACATATCTTTGTTGTTAGTTTTTTCATTTTGATACCTGGAAAGGGGTTCAGAGAATATTTTGTCAAATCTCACTTAACTGGTAATTGTTCTTGTGAATGTTAATTACTGCCTACCTTATATTTGCATTTGTATTTTATCTCTAAATATGTGATCCTGTACTTGTGTATTTAAAAAATACTTAATATTCTTCATTGTTCCTTTGAGTTAGACATTTATAGATGTTCTATGCTTGCTTCAATAGGAAGGGAGGGGTTTTGAATTATGCAACTCCTTTAAAAATAAATACAGTAGCCAGGTGCAGTAGCACACGCCTGTAATCCCAGCTACTCAGGAGACTGAGGTGAAAGGACCACTTGAGCCCAGGAGTTTGAGGCTGCAGTGAGTTATGAACACATCAGTGCACCCAGCCTGGGCAACAGAATGAGACTTGTCTCTAAAAACTAAAAAAAAAAAAAAAATTAAAAAGAACATAGCAGAATTTAACACATCCAAGAATATTCTGTTTCCTTGCTAGTTCCTCCTTGGGAGGGTTACACATCTACTCGAATTACAGGGCCACTGTACAAAACTTCTTACGGAGTTTTGTTCCTTTGATCTCCAGAATAGCAACATTGGCAATTGGCAATGTTTTGTTTTCACATTTGAGGAAGGCCTTTTTTTTTTTTTTTTTTTTTTAAAGAAATAGGCAAAAGGGATTTGCAGGAAATCTGATGATAAAAATATGTGGCTCAATGGATCATGCTATATTTGGTCAAAAAGAAGAGTAACTGGAGAAAAATCTGAAAAATTTTCTACAGTGGCTTATAAACTATTTCTGGAATATTATGTCTACACTGTCAATACTAATTTCTTGGGAAAATGCAGCACATATATGAAGAAGAACATATTTCTTTTTTTTTCCCCTTTTTCTTTTGTAGGCAGGATCTCCCTCTTGTCATTTAGACTGTAGTGGTGGGGCATGATCAAAGCTCACTGCAGCCTCGATATCCTGGGCTCAAGTGATCTTCCCACCTCAGTCTCCCAAGTAGCTGGGACTATAGGTGCACACCACCCCGCCCAGATAATTTTTGTATTTTTAGTAGAGACAGGGTTTCACCATGTTGCCCAGGTTGGTCTCAAACTCTTGGCTCAAGCCATCTGCCTGCCTCAGCCTTTCAAAGTGCTGGGATTACAGGGGTGAACCACCCCACCAGGCCACACTTTAGTATCTTTTTACTTATGTGAATCACACCTAAATGAAACAAAGTACTCTCGGGGAGAAAAAATGTATGCTTCCAGCAACTCCCACAGCTACAGAATTAATAACATTTATAACAAAAGCAGCACATGTTCAAGGCAAGCATATCTGTCCACAGCAGTGCTGCCTCCTCCTCCCATCACCTAAGTGACAGGATTTTCTTCATCACGACACCCTCTATCTAAGGAGAGATGTGTACTCTCCCTGACTCCGATGAGATAAACATGAAATAAACGGGAAACTGAAGAATGCCGCACTGACAGAAGAAGCCAGTGTGTCCAGTAGACAGTTTTGGGTTTTTTTAAATTTTTTACCTTGACTCATCCTCTGCAGGTTGGGGAAGGAACAGTTTGGAAGAGCTTTCCACAAGTACAACACTTCAATAGACGCCAACACACAGAGCGCTTTGGTTGGGGTTTGCTTCCGAAATCGCTCTGCCTGCAAGGAGTCAGAATAAACAGGCTACATTTTTCAAAAACAAATTCAAATAAAAAATATACCTCAGACACTTTAAAAGCACACAGTTCATCATCAATGTGAATGACCCTCTCCTTCAAAGCTAAGAATAACAATTCTTCTCTCTATAAAAAATGTTGCTTTCAATTTTTGACAGACTGGAAATTATGCCTTTCATTCATTATTCAACTGAACCTACTATCAAAATGCAGGGTGGGGCCAGGCATGGTGGCTCACGCCTGTAATCCCAGCACTTTGGGAGGCCAAGGCAGGCAGATCACCTGAGGTCAGGAGTTTGAGACCAGCCTGACCAGCATGGAGAAACCCCGTCTCTACTAAAAATACAAAATTAGCCGGGTATGGTGGCACATGCCTGTAATCCCAGCTACTCGGGAGGCTGAGGCAGAAGAATTGCTTGAACCTGGGAGGCGGAGGTTGCGGTGAGCCAAGATTACGCCATTGCACTCCAGCCTGAGCAATGAGAGCAAAACTCCGTCTCAAAAACAAAAACAAAAAAAGACGCAGTGTATATTCTGAAAACTTGGGGATGAAACTAGATTTACATGCATTTAGAGTGACAGAATTTATAAAGCTTGGTGACAGCTAATAATTCAACGGGCTTACACACACCTAAGGAACTAAGACTAGATGCCTTTTAGTCACAGTTCTCTTGATTTTAAAATTTTCTACTGAGTGCCAGTGCTCTCTGCTGTACATTATAATCAAATTTATACTCAAAAGCTTCATTAAATGTTCATTCAATAAAAACATATAAAACTAAAATAACTGATAATTCAGGATATAAGACACTACATAACTCAAGGTAATACGGCAACATTGTATTCACAGAAGTACAGAATACATAGGAATACTGTCTCTACAGTCTTGGGCCTTTCTGCTGGCAACTGTGACACTGTGACACACACATTTGCTTTTTATTACATCAAAATGTGATGTGTTCTCTATTCTCAACCCCAGACAGCCTGCATTTCTCACTAGGTCCTGCCAATTTGTATTCTTCCAAAACCACCCAATTCTTTAGACAGATCCTTTCTCTCTAGAGGTGTGTTCATTAGCTCTGCAGAACGTATAGTCTCCATTCATTAAAATTTAAAAAAAAACTATACTCCAGTTACCCTTCAGATCATATATATCTTTCACCTTTTGCTAAAGATTTCCATGAAGGGGAACCACTCTGAGTCTTAACCCAATTTTTTGAGGCCCTGTATCTGCAGGACTCATCGATTTTTTAAAAATCTGCTTTCATTATTTGCAGCAAGGCAAGAATCTTCTATTCAGAGCAGATGTACAATCATGGAGAGAATCCTCTGCATGGCGGTGAACTGCACTTTATGTGGCAAGTAAATAGGCAGCCTTGAATATAATTTCCTAAAGCTTGCCAAGGCAGTGTTGGTTACAAATGCCCATCATAAGTAATACACCAGATCAATAGGCTCCAACATACCTTTTTCACCGAGAACTGTTCAATCTGATTGTTTTTCCTTTTGAAGAGTTTCTGAACTTCTTTAAAGACAATCTGTGCCCCATCCACATCACCAGTGGCTCCCTGACAAACTGTAAGAAACCATAATTATATTTCTTAAGTACAAGTCAGGGAAAATGCCATAAGGGATACCTGAAGTGATGATACTTGAAAAAAAAAAAAGCAGGAGCAAATATGTTTAAAGACTATTCCACAATGGGCTGGACATGGTGGTTCATGTCAGTAATCCCAGCACTTTGGAAGGCAGAGGCGAGTGGATCACCTGAGGTCAGGAATTCGAGACCAGCCTGGCCAACATGGCGAAACCCCATCTCTGCTAAAAACACAAAAATAAGCCAGGCGTGGTGGCACATGCCTGTAATCCCAGCTACTTGCGAGGCTAAGGCAGGAGAATCGCTTGAACTTAGGAGGCAGAGGTTGCAATGAGCCGAGATCGCACCACTGCACTCCAGCCTGGGCGACAGAATGAGACTCTGTCTCAGAAAAACAAACAAACAAACAAACAAACAAACAAACAAAAAAAAGACTGTTCCACAAAGGACTGCACCGTCCTGCAGTCCTTCAACTATTTCCCAGGTTCCTGTGTTCCCAGAGCTTTTGGGGGACCTGGGGAAAGCCATGGTCCTTGTCCTCTTGTTGGGGAGACAGTTTTTCACATAACAAAATCCTTAGCTACTGTCACAGTGTACAACCTAGTTAGGGCTCACATACTCAAAGTGGAATAAATAGGAACCCAGGAAAGAACAATGAAGAGCCCCGAGGATCATGAAAGCTTCGTGGTAGAAGGAGGAGTTCTCTGTCCTAGGAAGTCATCAATCTGTCCTGTCCAAGTTCCTTGGCTGCCTACTACCTATAAGCCACCAGCAACAATGTGAAGAAGAAACACATGTGCTTGAATCCTAAAGAAACTGAAATTACAATTGAAAAGATCACACATGCTCACACACGCACATAGGGTCCCACAAGCTGCAATGTATGTAGTGATAGGAGTAGTCAGGGTAGGAGAACCAAAGTGGTTTTCAGAAGGCTCAGAAAGAGAAGGGATCATTTCTCTCTGGAGTGACCAGACGCTGTAAGGAGCTAGGAGAAGTCGAGCGGAGTCTTGAGGAATGAGTGAGATTTTGATCATGATCATGTGCACACCTTCTTCTCACCTCAGGCCCCAAAGATTTAATGATCCTCCCTTTGCTGTGTCTTCTCTGTCCCTTATGCAAACTTTGCACTGGCTGCAGCCCCACTACTGCTTGAAACTTTACCACAACTCCATCCTTTCCTCCCAACTCTGATGCTGCGGAATCCATTTCTATTCAATTTTGTTAGATCACATGTGGTTTTTCACTCCCCAGTTGGAATGCACTAAAGTTGACTTGCTAGTTCCCTCTTCTTTTTTTTTTTTTTTTTTTTGAGATGGAGTCTTGCTCTGTCACCAGGCAGGAGTGCAGTGGCGTGATCTCGGCTCACTGCAACCTCCGCCTCCTGGGTTCAAGCAATTCTCCTGCCTCAGCCTCCTGAGTAGCTGGGACTACAGGCACATGCCACCATGCCCAGCTAATTTTTGTGTTTTTAATAGAGATGGGGTTTCACCATATTGGCCTCTTGTACTCGTGATATGCCTGCCTCAGCCTCCCAAAGTGCTGGGATTACAGGTGTGAGCCACTGTGCCTGGCTAGTTCCCCCTTCGTTACCTGAGCACCCCTAAAAGTAGGTTGGTCCCGTACTCGCATTTGGGCATGGTCAAGCAGTCACCTATCCCAGGCGTGCACGTACCAGGATAGGCTACCATCGGCAGAGCCCAAGGGTCCAAGAATTGAGGCTCGGAGAGAGCTGAGGATGCAAAGACAATGGGAAAGACGGCAGGTTCCTCCTACTGGGATTAAGAGTGATGAGGCTGAATATTCAAAGGAAGGGACAACTCCTTTCCCAGTCACTGGGGCATCTCTGGTCCAGATGGAGGAGTGTGCACCAATCCAAAATGACCTTATCAATTGCAGCTGTAACATTTCCAAACCAGAATGAAGCTCAGTGGCTGTATTGTGCAACCAACCCCATTATTTTTAGATCAGAGGATGCAAAGGTCTGGAAAAGCTGAGCATTGCCTAAGGTCACAGAGTAAATCAATGAAAAAGAATATATTTCTGCTGTCCCTAGCTTGAGGTCTTCCTCAGATCATTGAGAACATTCTTATACAATCACATAATTAAAGCCAGTCATAAACAGCAACGGTATCTGAACCACCCCAAAGGTCTATAACATCCATACCTCAGACCCTGAAGAACGAACACCACCTATTTCTCTTGCAGTAAAATTATAGATAGATTTTTTTTTTTGACAGAGTTTTGCTCTTGTTGCCCAGGCCGGAGTGCAATGGCGCGATCTTGGCTCACTGCAACTTCTGCCTCCTGGGTTCAAGCAATTCTTCTGCCTCAGTCTCCCGAGTAGCTGGGATTACAGGCATGCACCACCACACCCAGCTAATTTTTTATTTTTAGTAGAGATGGAGTTTCTCCATGTTGGTTGTTGGTCGGGCTGGTCTCGAACTCCCGACCTCAGGTGATCCACACGCCTCGGCCTCCCAAAGTACTGGGATTACAGGGGTGAGCCACCGCCCCCAGCCAGATAGTTGCTTTAAAAGATGCAGATGTTTAAAGTCATGGGAGTCTCTGGTTTATCCTAAAATATGAGGCCTAAACAGAGCTTAGGATGACTGACTCTTCCAATAAGACTAAATATACACAATCCCATATGTTATATTCTAATATTTTTTGGTAACTTATAATTTTGATATAATTTCAAACTTACAGAAAAGTTGCAGGAATAGTAGAGGTATATGATCATGCAAATCTACTTCTAGGTATCTACCCAAAGGTACTGAAAGCAAGGACTGGAACAGATGTCTGTATACCAATGTTCCAGGTAAGCACTCCACACAATAGCAAAAAGATTGGAAACAACCGAAATGTCCATCAATGAATGAATGGATGAACAATGTGCCATATACATGCAATGGAATATTATTCAGCCTGAAAAAAGGAAGGAGATCCTGACACATGTTACAACATGGATGAACCTTGAAGACATTATGCTAAATGAAATAAGCCAGACACAAAAGGACAAATATATTTCACTTATACACAAGGTAGGTAGAATACTTAAATTCATAGAGACAGGAAGTAGAAGCGTGGTAACCAGGGTCTCGGGGAAAACGTGAATGGGGAGTTTCTGTTTAATGGGTAGAGTTTGGGATGATGAAGAAGTTCCAGAGATGGATGCTGGTGATGTTTGCAAAACAATCTGAGCGTTATCTGGAGTTACTGACACATACACCTAAAAAAGTTCAAATGGTAAATGATGCTACATATTTTATCACAATTTTTAAAAGTACAAAACTATTGACATAGTCACACAAAACATTAACATGCTGGGGAGCTAAGCCCTGGTGGCAGTGTTTGGGGTCCCTGAATGCCCATGCCCTCTAGCTCACGGCCAGCCCAAATGGCAGCTCCTGCAGGACAGTGTAACGGTGCTCCTTCCCTGCCTCATGTACTCTTTTGTTTTTGAGACAGAGTCTCACTCTGTTGCCAGGCTGGAGTGCAGTGGAGCGATCTCAGCTCACTGCAACCTCTGCCTCCTGGGTTCAAGTGATTCACCTGCCTCAGCCTCCCAAGCAGCTGGGACTACAGGTGTGCGCCACCACGCCTGGCTTATTTTTGTATTTTTAGTAGAGATGGGGTTTCACCATGTTGACCAGGATGGTCTTGATCTCTTGACCTCGTGATCTGCCTGCCTTGGCCTTGCCTCATGTACTCTTTGTACTGGAGCTATTCACCCACATCTTATCCTCTCTACAAAATCCCAATGCAGGAACAGAGATCAGAATCTTTCATGCTTATCCTCTGCTATGATTGGTATGGTTCTGGGATTGCCAAATATTGGGGGGGGGGAATTAATGTTCCTCTATACAGCCACGCTGTACATTTATGTATTTGAAACTCAACAAAGATGAAAAAATAAATAGCTGTCCACCATCGACTGTGCGGCCCAATTACACCTAATGGCTGCGGAGTTGTGTGCAGGCCTCTCTTTTCTGGGCTATTCAATCTGGATTCATCCACTCTTCAACGTATTAAACACACTGAGTCACTCAACAAATAGCTGCTACTTTCATCTGAGATGTCTTCAAATTCTATACAACAATCCTTTAAGTGTGAGACACAGCATATTATCCAGTATATGAAAAATAAGCTTATTCAAACATCAGGGACAGAGCCATGAGAACACGCCTGTCAACAGGGATTGCAATGCGGAATATGGACAAAAGAGGGCTTTGCACTGACTTTTGGGGTCCATTTGCTAATGGACCGATGCAATTTTATAGGGAATTTAAGAGATCCAGAATATCCTTATTGGTCAATGTTCATCAACCCTATCTTATTTTATATAGATCAGTTAAGAGGGCAGAATGGAAGTGGAAGATGGTCATTAAATCTGAACGTTAAGAATAAGAAGGTATTGAAAATAATGTTTGGATTAGTCTTGAATTTTAAGTAAAAGAACCACTCATGTGGCTGCAAGAGGAGAGTTCATTACACAAACCAGAAAAGGCTTACATGAAGTTGCTTAGAGGCAGAAAAGGTACAACCGCTTGGCTTTCTTCAATTCCACACCTCTACAACTCTGAATCACGTGGCCTTTTAGGTATTGAAGGATGCAGACAACTACTTTGGCCACCAGGTGGCAGCACATCTCTATCTCCTCATACATGGGCAAAAAAACACTTAATTCAAAACAGAATACAGGTGTTAATAACGATATGCAATGTAAATACCTTGCATCTAAAATATTATACTGTAAATATAATAGAGTTATGAGGTAAAACAAGGTTGGAGCAGATGACTCAGACCTATGCAACTTTGTAACCAGGGCACGAACCAAACAAAAATACTAGCACAGATCAGGCTCTGAGGCTCATGCCTATAATCCCAGTGCTTTGGGAGGCTGAGGCAGGAGGATCACTTGAGGCCAGGAGTTAGAGATTAGCCTGGGCACCATAGCAAGACCTTGTTGCTACAAATTTTTTTTAAAAAATTGGCTGGGCGTGGTAGGGCATGCCTGTAGTCCCAGCTACTCTGGAGGCTGAGGCAGGAGGATCGCTTGAGCCTGGGAGGTTGAGGCTATAGTGAGCTGTGATCAGGCCACTGCACTTCAACCTGGCAAAAAGAGCAAGACCCAGACTCAAAAAAAAAAAAAAAATTAACACACTGAAAAAAGACTGTTCAATTCTTAAAAATTCTTCAGAATCCCAATAAAAAACATAGCATATTAAGTAAAGGGATAGAGACAGGTTGAGGCAACTTAGGGCAAAATATACAGTAACGGGGAAGACCTCATAATATGCATTTCCAAGACACAAAACAGGACCAAGCCAGGCCCAGAGGGGAAGCGTGTGGTGAAGGGGCACCCTGGGCACTACTGAATTTCTGGGTGTTCACCTGGGTCAGTGAACACAGTATTCTAGCACTATTTACTTGGTTGCACAAAACATTAACATGCTGGGGAAGGCTGTGGAGGGGTACAACTTTTGCTTCCTCTTGCCATCATTCTCCCATCTGCCCACGTCAGGCGAGCTAATTCACGACAGAGAGAGGCACACTGAGGGACCATGGGCGACTCACCTGCAGTCAAGTAGGCATAATAGCACTGGGACCACCTGGACTCATTTTTTAGCCTCTCAAAGGAATCAAATGCATCCTTGAAATTGAGCTCTATCATGCTGCACCAACCTATGAAAGAAATATTTTTAGCACATGACCCTAAAGTACTGAGCTCTATGACCCATATTTAAGCCACGAGCCTCTGATATGGCGATCATTCTCTGTGCATGTTCTATGAAATGCGTAAAAAAGTTTAACCTGAAAACCTAAGAAATTATTTTTTCCCTTAAATACTTTCAATGTAAAGTTTGAATTTGACAAGGCACTTAGGTTTGAGTCAGACAACCAATAAAACAGCACAGAAGAGAATGGCATAAAGATTTCTAGAAAGACACTCCAATTTACGTCCTAACAGTCGTGAGGCTAACCCAAGCACAGCAGTACTTCTCCAAGAGTACACACAGGTGCAATAAGAAACAGTGGAAGCAACACCACTCGATTATGTACTCAGTGACTACCACTCATTCTTTTTTTTTTTTTTTCTTTTTTTTTGAGAAGGAGTCTTGCTCTGTCACCCAGGTTGGAGTGCAATGGCACGATCTCGGCTCACTGCAACCTCTGCTCCCTGGGTTCAAGCAATTCTCCCGCCTCAGCCTCCCAAGTAGCTGGGATTACAGGCACCCACCACCATGCCCAGCTGATTTTTGTATTTTTAGTAGAGATGGGGTTTCGCCATGTTGGCTAGGCTGGTCTTGAACTCCTGACCTCAAGTGATCTGCCCACCTCAGCCTCCCAAAGTGCTGGGATTACAGGTGTGAGCCACCGTGCTTGGCCCACTCATTCTCAAAACTTTATAAGATCTAGACAGCAAGCCAATGAGAAATTAGGCATTTCCCTACCTTCCCTCAGCACACTGGTAGTGAAAGAACCCCACCTTCCTGGATCGAAACAGTTAAATGGGCATTCTAGTAAGGAACTGCAGCAACTAAAATGTAAAGGATTTTATTCCCACTTTTCATCACAGTAGCCCCCATCACCTGAGCCTCTAATGTGTGCCAATGCTGTGGTAAGCACTTCATGTAACGCTCTCTAATCCTTATGACAACCTTGCAAAGGGGGCTAATAGTGTCCTTGTATTAGCAAGGACTAATCCTATGCCTGTAATCCTAGCACTCTGGGAGGCTGAGGTGGGAGGATCGCTTGAGCCCAAGAGATCCAGACCAGCTTAGGCAACACGGTGAAACCCCATCTCTATAAAAAATTAGCCAGGTGTGGTGGTGCACGCCTGTAATTCCAGCTACTTGGGAGACTGGGGTGGGAGGATCACCTGAGCCGGGGAGGTCTGGGCTGCAGTGAGCTGAGACTGCACCACTGCACTCCAGCCTGGATGACACAGTGAGACCCTGTCTTAAAAAAAAAAAAAAAAAAAAAAAACTAAGGTATCAAGAGGTAGCTACCTGCTGAAGCCATACAACTAAGAAGGAATAACTGTGGATCAAAATCCAACACACTTTCCTTTACATGATACTGCCTCCATAAAAAATATTCTGTTATCAGGTGCATCACTAAGTAATTGTGTAAACTGAGACTTGCCATTTAAACCGTGGGAGGAAGAGTGTGTGAGATATACACTTCAGAAAATTCACTGTCAAATTCTATGGGATGTGATATTGACATAGTTTAGAGTAAAAATTTGGGCTTTTTTTGGAAACACACTCTCACTCTGTCACCCAGGCTGGAGTGCAGTGGTGGGATCTCAGGTCACTGCAACCTCTGCCTCCTGAGTTCAAGCCACTCTCCCGCCCGCCTCAGCCTGCTGAGTAGCTGAGATTATAGGCGCCCACTACCACGCCTGGCTAATTTTTGTATTTTTGGTAAAGACGGGGTTTCACCATGCTGACCTGGCTGGTCTCGAAGTCCTGGCTTTAGGCGATCTGCCCCTCTCAGCCTCCCAAAGGACTAGGATTACAGGCGTGGGCCACCGTGCCCGGCCTGGGCTGATTATTTTTATCCTAGCATAGATAGCGGAGAAAGATTGGAATTAAATACAAAATAGAGATGGAAGGAAGCACTGACTCAGGAATAAGTCAGGAATAATTCAGGAATAAATAAGGAATAACTCAGAAATAAGTCAGGAATAACTCAGGAATAAGTCAGGAATAACTCAGGAAAAAGTACCAACTCAAGCTTCCGAGCCTGAATCGGAAGCCCGAGTTACTACCAACTCCTGAGTTAACCTTCCTAAGGCCTGGGTTGGGTGATTTCTAAGCTTCCTTCTGCTCTAACATCCTATCCTGTCATAGGACTTGAAATGATGCACCAACAAAAGGCCACCAAAGCTAGAGTTTTTCATTCAAGTTCTTTGAAGCACATTTCATTCTATATTGTGGCTACTAAGCAGAGCTCCAGCAGAGTGTAGAAGACACAAAAACACATTTTCCACTGGATTATACATCATTTCCTCTTTTTAAACCACAACAGGCATTTAAAACGTAATATTGTTTATTGGGCAGTTCGCAATCTTTTGGTTTTCAGTTTTCCTTAAAAGGATTCAGGAAGACAATTGTGTCCACAGCAGGCAAAGCAAGTGGCAGGCAGCACAGGGCCTGACCCCCCAAACTGACAGGTGTCAACTGCTTCCCTGAGCATTCTGTCTCCACTTCCCTGTCCCTCTGCAGAAAGCTTTTTAAGTCTCAATTTCCCTTTGGAGTCTCATCACTATCTCATCATTTCTCCTTTCTCTTTGCCTCTGTCATTCCTTTTTATGTGCTACATGGTGTGACCTTGTAGCATTAGCTACGCTGAAACTCTGAAAAGTCTGAGTCCCTTATTTAAAATTTTTTTTTGTTTCAAGTTCAAAGTTGTGTTTACTCTTCCCAGCACAATGGAGAAACTGTTACACAGAAAGATTTTGCAATTACTAATGTAATAGGATCAGAGTTTTAGTGCAGTCAGCAAAGACCCATAGCAACAATTCTGGAGGAGAATGGGGAAAATCTCGGGCAGATAAATCCTTCCAGGTTTGTTGGTGACTGTCTCTCCAGTAAGGGAGAAGCAGAAGGTGGCAGCTAACATGTATGGAGGGCCTTCCGTGCCAGGCCCCCTGCATGAGGTTTCACACGTCATGTCATCTAAACCTCACAGCTGCTACAAGGGGAGGCACCTTAACTCCAATGGCAACTATGTGGCTAGGAAGGTTTGGGCAACTTGTCCAAGGTCTCAGAGCTAGTTGGTGAAAAACACTGGGACTTCAGTCCAACTATCTCCTGTCTCCTATTTTTCTTCTCAAGTAAACATTAGTGGGAAGGAGGAACAAAGAGCTTTGAATTCTAATGCAGTCCAATAAGGTATTTCTGGTCATTTAATCAATTCATTTAACATCACCTATTATCCTAAAAAATCAAAATGCTGTAAAGAAAAAATGTTATAAAAACGTAATGAGAATCAGAGAGAAGTATCATTGCATGTGCTACGGGAATAACTGAAGTCCTTCTTACTACAGAAGGCACCAAGCATTTTGTAGACACACACTGAATGGCATGAAAGCTAAAATACTGCATTAATACTACTTCTTAACAAGAGGCTGGACAGACATTTCATATTTACCAATTTCATACAGACAGACATGTTGAATTTCTCTCTGGTCTACTGCAAGTTCCAAAGCAGTGTGGAAAGATGTCAAGGCACTGTTGATTTGACACTAAGGAGAAAAGGAAAACAGAATTACCAGCTAAGATCTGTCGATAACATTACAATCATCATAATTCAAAAGCATCTTTTTCCTTCATAGTTATTTTAAACAGGTTAAGCAATATAGAAGACAGTGGTTTAAAGATTGCTAGGAAAATACTCCAATTTGCCCCCAAACAGCTGTGAAATTAACCTAAGCACAGAGAACCTCTCCTTGCTCAGGTGGTAAGGGCTCAGCTCGCGCCGCCTTCTCCTCCAGCGTTCTCTCCTTTGCTCAGGTGTTAAGGGCTCAGCTCACACCCACCTTCTCCTTCACTCAGGTGGTAAGGGCTCAGCTCGCGCCGCCTTCTCCTCCAGCGTTCTCTCACACTTGTACAGTAGGACGTGTTGGATTTTAATTGTTTGCTAATCTAGCCCCTTGTTACCACACAGGTGTGGAAAGGGAAGGGACCATATTTCATCCCCGTGTGCGCCCAGCCCTGGCCCAGAAGTCTCTCAATCGCTACTGAGTGAATGCACGAAGCCGCTCCATTAGCCCAGTTCTCAGTGAGCTCTTCACCATACAGTTGATAGTTTGCTTCTATACCCTAGAATGCTGTTCTCCAATTGCTTCTGCTCATCAAATCTCCTCTCCCGACACTTCAGAAATTCCCTGAGGATCCAGATTACATTTCCAACACTTTCATTCACATAACACTGTCTGGGACCCAGCAAACTCTCAAATGTCCGCTCTACTTACTCCCAGTGAAATACATTTCGTTTTCCCGCCGCTGAAGATGTCACTCAGGGTCTGCCAACACGATGCCACAAGTACCCAAGAGGAGCAGCTCAAAAGCATGATCAGGATTCAAAGCATCAGTTTAATCTTAGGCATTGAGAAATGCTAAATGTCACATACCATTAATAAATAAATCTTAAACAGCCAGACGACCTGACAGCTTATTCTGAACGGTGCATGCATTTCTTTCTTGCTCTGCTGGTGCCAGGGCTCCTCTCACTGCCCTACACTTGCAGGGAGGTGGACTTCCCTCCCCTGGGCTTCCAGGTGCGTCTCCTGCTGCTTTCTCTATGCTTCCTCCCCCTCCAATGCTCCCAAGTGCCCATTATCCCCACAGCCAGCCAGGTGGGCTGGAAGGGTCCTGGAGGAGAAGCTGCAGGCTTCTCAGAGGACGGGTCCCCCACCCGCAGACCTGGGCTCCTCTCCTCAGCACGTCACTGCAGGAGGCCTCGGGGAAACAAGGGCACCAATGAGTCAGCAGGTGATCTTCAGGACAGCCTGTGACTCGGGAACACTGTAAGCCAAATGACTCATTAACCAAGGCCCAGCTGGATCAATAACTGTTCATGCCCCAAAGTAACACTCTCCTCTGTTGTCAGGAAGGTTGAAACTGCAGCATTCAATCCATTATCACCGTTTATGAATGCTGACCAGGTAGCCACAGAAGACACGCACCAATCGCATCCCTGATTCCTGTTCTCAGTAACTTAACGTCCAGTTGGAGGAAACCTCACAACAATGGGAATCGCCCACAGCTCAGAAGGCAGACATTGACACTGACTGTTAGCACACAGCTCAAACACAAAACACCAAGGTTAAAAAAAAAAAATCAATCCTTTATGGCGCAGGAATGTGTGCATGAGCGCAGGTGGAGGTATCTAGACACGTCACACCCTATGTCTAATTTTTCCCTTTTGGGATCAACAGTTCTTTTCTTGAATCAGATATGCACTCCATTTAGCATATTTATACAGAAATCACAGCATTAGGGGTTCAGCTTTGCAAACATCTCTCTCACTTTGCTAAATTAATGACATAGTTCTCACATACAGAATGTTTCTAGATGGGCCATCACCACCGAGCTGTTCCCCCCCGTGTCCCCCATGGTACATGACAGTGCAATAGCACGCTGTCCTTCAGAGGACAGAAAATTAATCAGGAAACATTTACTGGGCAACCGCTATGTGCCAGGGACAGGCTCTGGAGATAAAAAGATGAGTCCAAATAAAGCTTTGAATCTAAGGAAAGGAAAAAGAAATCCAGGTAGTATTTCAATCAAATCATTTCTCTTAACCCTTTCAAACTCTCTGAGGTAGGTATGTATTAATTCCATTTGCGGATGAAGAAAGTAAAGTTCAAAGAAGTTAAGGAGCTTGGTCAAGGTCAACAAGGTAACAATTGACTAATAGTCAAAATTCTGCCCAACTGCCTCTAAAAAGTGTGCTTTCTTCGGGGAGTGTGTATGCAGATGTGATTAAGTCAAGGATCCTGAGATGAGACAGATTATCCTGGATTAGCCAGGTTGGCCCTAAATACAATCACATGTATCCTTCAAAGTGACACACATAGGAGAGAAGAGGACACTGTCAACCATGGAGGCAGAGCCTGGAGTGATGCTGCCACAAGTCAAGGAAGGCCAGCAGCCACCAGAGGCTGGAAGAGGCAAGGAAGGGTTCTCCCCACAGCCTCCAGAGGGCTTGAAAGCACTGAGACCAGGTTATGGAGCTCAATGGCATTATGCCGAGAGCAAGTAGAACTACAGAATTCATTCTAGTTCTATCCTGATCATTGAGTGAGGAATTATGATGAACAGCCATTAACACAGTTGAAATAAATTTTCCCATATTTTTCACCAAAAAAAATATATATATATATATATTTTTAAAGATAGGGTCTTGCTCTGTCTCCCATGCTGGAGTGCAATGGCGCATTCGTAGCTCACTGCTGCCTCAATCTCCCAGGCTCAAGAGATACTCCCATCTCAACCTCCTAAGTAGCTGGGATTATGGGCATGCACTGCTGTGTCTGGCTAAGTTTTTTTTTAATTAATATTTTGTAGACAGGGGTCTCACTACACTGCCCATGCTGGTCCCAAACTCCTGGGCTCAGGTGATCCTTCCACCTCGGCTTCCCAAAGTCCCGGGATTATAAGCATAAGCCACCATGCCCAGTCTCACCAAAAAAATTTAAAAGAAAAAATGATCTTTTTTTTTTTTTTTAGACAGAGTCTCGCTCTGTCACCCAGGCTGGAGTCAGTGGCGTGATCTTGGCTCAATGCAACCTCTGCCTCCTGGGTTCAAGCGATTCTCCTGCCTCAGCCTCCTAAGTAGCTGGGACTACAGGCATGTGCCACTGCGCCTGGCTAATTTTTATATTTTTAGTACAGATGAGGTTTCACCATATTGACCAGGCTGGTCTCGAACTCCTGACCTCGTGAGCCACCCACCTCAGCCTCACAAAGTGCTGGGATTACAGGTGTGAGCCACTGTGCCCAGCCCATGATGGATATCTTAATTTGTCATCATAAAAACTCTCACAGAGGCCGGGCGCAGTGGCTCATGAGGTCAGGAGATCGACACCAGCCTGGCTAACACGGTGAAACCCCGTCTCTACTAAAAATACAAAAAATTAGCTGGGCGTGGTGGCACATGTCTGTAGTCCCAGCTACTCAGGAGGCTGAGGCAGGAGAATCACTTGAACCCGAGAGGTGGAGGTTGCAGTGAGCCAAGATCGTGCCACTGCACTCTAGCCTGGGTGACAGAGTGAGACTCCATCTCAAAAAAAAAAAAAAGTCTTTCTCTGGTCCACCATGGAGGCATTAAAATAAAAAAGCCACTAGGCCAGGACTGACTTAGTGCCATCTAGGCTTTTGTCTCATTAACTATACCTGGACACACTGTGTCACAAAAACCAAGCCTCAGTTTCTTCACTAGTAAAATGAGAAACAATATTGGCTAGCTTTATCTGCTTCCAGCAAAAGCCATGAAGAACACAAAGCGCAAACCTTTGCCAAATTAAGTAGGGCATGTTTATTGACAAATTCACACCAGCATAATCGGCAGCCATGGCATTGTTATGAAAGATGGAGCATATTTTTCCAGTTATTCCAGCCTGCCCTCTTGTAGGTATATTCCTAGGTATTTTTTAGTTCTTCTAGCAACTGTAAGAGGTTGCTCCATTTTATTCTCTAAGTGAGTGTTGCCGGTATGTGGGAAAACTCTGGATTTTGGCAAGTTGATTTTGTGTATGTCACAATATCATCCTCTTAGGAGTTCTCTCTCATATATATATATTTAATTTCCTTGGATTTTCCATGGAGGCATTAAAATAATTTGCAAGTGACAGTACTGTCTCTTCTTTTACAACAAATTTGTTTGTTAATTGGCTAGGAGCACCAGTTAAAATACTTATAACAGCACACTGCATTGCTGTCTTTAATGAGGCCACCATTAAATATGGTTTCACCATTAAACAGGGCTTGCTACAAGTAGATGCCGTTTTTTACTAAATAAGAAATGTCCTTCCCATGTATAGCTTACTAACAGTTTTCTTTTTAATCTGGATTGAGTAGTACATTTTATTAAATACCATTGACAGGACTGTATGGTTTTATCAATGATTTCCTTAATGCAGGGAATAACAGGAACATATTACCTGAGGCTGAACTGTGGCTGCCTTTTTGGAATAAGTCCTACTAGGTCATAATATAGCATTTTAAAATTATAATGTTGGATTTAATTTGCTAATATTTATTTAAAATTTCGTGGTTTTTTTTGAGACAGAGTCTTACTCTGTTGTGCAGGCTTGAGTGCAGTGGCGTGATCTCGGCTCGGCTCACTGCAATCTCTGCCTCCCGGGTTCAAGTGATTTTCATGCCTCAGCCTCCCGATTAGCTGGGATTACAGGTGTGCACCACCAGACCCTGCTAATTTTTTGGATTTTTACTAGAGACAGGGTTTCACCATGTTGGCCAGGCTGGTCTCGAGCTCCCGACCTCAAGTGATCCGCCTCCCTCAGCCTCCCAAAGTGCTGGGATTACAGACATGAGCCACTGCATCCAGCTTATTTAGAATTTCTATATTGGGAATGCATGATCAATCATTTTTCATTTAGTGCTTTACTCTGGTTATCAGGATAATGCCAGACTTGCAGAACCAGCTGCAAATATTTTCATATTTCCTGTGCTCTGAACTATATAAATAACTAGTTCACTTTTTAAAGCCATGCGTTTCAACTGAATAATTAAATGTTTAAATCGCCATAATTTAAATTTTTTTCTTAATGGCCACACAGTGTAACAAAGAATATTAGACTTTAGACAATACTACCCAATTCTAGGCCAACTTTATAATCAACACAAGTTTGAACCTAGGAAATAATTTGCTTTGTTTATATTCTCAGGGGATGTTGAATTTTTTTTTAATGTTTAAGTTTAATTATTGTTATTATTATTATTTGAAACAGGGTCTTGCTCTGTCACCCAGGCTGGAATGCCTTGAACTTCTGGGCTCAAGCAATCCTCCCACCTCAGCCTCCTGAGTAGTTGGGACTATAGGTGCACACCACCAATCTGGCTAATTTTTTAACTTTTTTTTTTTTTTTTTTTTTTGTAGAGACGGGAGTCTTGCTATGTTTCTCAGGCTGTTCTCAAACTCCTGGCCTCAGGCAGTCCTCCTGTGTTGGCCTCCCAAAGTACGGGGATTACAGGCATGAGCCACAGCACCCAGCTGGGATGTTGAAATAAATTTCATTTAAGTATAATACTCTTAGGAAAGGTACCTTGTCTTTAAAAATAAGTGTCACCTGTTAATAGTGGTGGGAAATAATCCACAATATTGTTTTCCAACATTCTGAACATATACTCACAGTAAATGGCAATTAAGTTTCCTACCAATTGTTTCAGACTCACCAGGAGAAATTCCAGATTTTATCTAACAGGCATAATTAAGATCTGTTTAAGATTCTATCATAAATACACAAGAATGTACTCTTGCCTAATATCCAAACAAACTCATGCGTGTTCTGTGGCAAGAGAAGGGACAAAAAGAAATAAACCATGTACTATAAAGGGATGGAGCAACTAACTACAGGTGACATTTTCCACACAATTAAAAAATTCAAGCTATTCTTGATATTTCCATACTAATGTACTTTTAAAGCCCTATATAAAGATCTCAACATATAAATATGAAGATACAAAAAAGTCTGAATGATTGTCGCAGTCAACACATGAAGCCTGGGGTCTACTAATATTCCTTATTGTTCTATTGAAAAATGCTCACCAGCAATACCTAACTGAGAGGACTTGCTGAACTCAGCTACCCAGCAAAAGTTTCCATGTCTAGAGTTGCGAAAAGAGTAGAAATGGAAACAAGGCCGAGTTCTTTTGGGGATTTGGCCCAGACTATATTGCCAAAGGGATGTCAAGTTCCAGCCCTCCCCGAATCTGTAACATAAGATTCTGCTTCCCAAGTGAGCAGTTTCCTTTTGTGCCACCTCCAAATCATATTTAACATTAAGTGACAAAAAGCTCACATGCACAAAGGTTTCAGTTCAGAGCCCTGTCTGCTGGCGTGAAAATAATGTTGGTGTCACTTCAATCTGTTGGGTTAAACATCGGACAAGAGGTGACTGCTGCAGGGACAAATCACAGAACACAATAGTCCCTTGTTCCCTAATTCTATAGCTTTGATGTGCATTTGCCTTTGAGAATGTTCAAATCTGTTAGATAACTAAGTTCGCAGTTTGTAAAACATAAGCACATTCTATTTTAAGATGTTTTAAGCAACTAGTAAGTAAAAAGCCTGTTAGAGTCTGAGCAACATGGTGAAACCCCATCTCTACAAAAACACAAAAAATTAGGTGGGCTTGGTGGCACATGCCTGTACCCCCCCCCCTACTTGGGAGGCTGTGGTGGGAGGATTGCTTGAGCCGGGAGGTCGAGGCTGCAATGAGCTGTGATTTTGTACCACTGCACTCCCGCCTGGGTGGCAGAGGGAGACCCTGTCTCAAAAACAAAAGTTTGTTAGTGTATTAGTCTATTTTCATACTGCTTATAAATAAATATCTGAGACTGGATAATTTATCGAAAAAGAGAAGTTTAATGGACTCACAGTTCCACATGGCTGGGGAGGCCTTGCAATCATGGCAGAAGGCGAAGGAGGAGCAAAGGAACATCTTAACACGGTGGCAGGCAAGAGAAGTGCAGAGCAAAGGAGGGGAGAAGCCCCTTATAAAACCATCAGATCTCGTGAGAACTCACTCACTATCACGAGAACAGGATGAGGGAAACTGCCCCCGTGATTCAATTATCTCCACCTGGCCCCTCCCATGACACATGGGGACTATGGGAACCAAAATTCAAGAGGAAATTTGGGTGGGGACACAGCCAGAACATATCAGTTAGAATAGGCAAAATTCATGAGCTGTATTTAGAATAAAAGCAGCACTCAGAAAGTAGAGTGCACATGCGTGCGTGTGTGTGTGTGTGTGTGTGTGTTAGAGAAGGATGAAAGGCCTAAGAGATATCTAATATTCATGAGGTATTTGGGAGCTAACTAGACATGAGATTAAACATACAAACAACACTAAATATACATGAGTACTTAATATTCATGAGGTCTTAATTTGACCATCCACTGGTGACACCCATTCAGGCACCAGGTATCCTCTGCCCAGTAAAACACCAATAAAACCCAGCAAAAGATTCCACGTCTAGAGTTGCGAAAAGAATAGAAACGGAAACAAGGCCGAGTTCTTTTGGGGATTTGGCCCAGACTATATTGCCAGGTATCCTCTGCCTGTCGGGCACGGTGGCTCACACCTGTAATCCCAGCACTTTGGGACGCCAAGGCAGGCTGATCACTTGAGGTCAGGAGTTTGAGACCAGCCTGGCCAACATGGTGAAACCCCGTCTCTACTAAAAATACAAAAATTAGCCAGGCATGGTGGCATGCACCTGTAATGACAGCTTCTTAGGAGGCTGAGGCAGGAGACTTGCTTGAACCCAGGAGGTGGAGGTTGCAGTGAGCCAAGATAGTGCCACTGCACTGGGTGACAGAGCCAGACTCCGTCTCAAAACACAACAAAACAAAACAACCCATGGCTGTCCATCAGTCTGCTGCACTATGGCCAGGTGTACTCATCCCCTCATCCCCATGGGTCTCTGATAAATTATGTGCCCCAGCCCAGGATACCCTCCACCTGCAGGCCCCCTCTCTCCAACACAACGCCAGTCCTCCTAACCACGTCAGTGAGGAAGAGGGATGTGCAGAGGAAGGGAGGACACTGCACATCACACACCCCAGCACCCAGGTCGCACAGTCCTCCCACCCACCCCGCCTGCAGCCTCCCCTGAGAGTGCTAACTGATTCTTTCTCTTTCCACTGAGCGATTTACATCAATTCACTAAACTCTGTGATTCCAGCCCATTTTAATTTGGTGTGAGAATCTTTGTTCTGAGACCTCTGGAAGAACGTGTAGGTGGTGCACTTGGAGGCAGCTAGGGCACCAATGGCATCTGCATAAAAAGGGAGAGAAACGCCCAGTTGCCTGTGGGGAGACACTAATTGGCACTGGATGTCAACCATTATGGATTGAATTGTGTCCCTCCAAATTCATGTTAAAGTCCTAACCCCTACATCAGAATGTGACCTTATTTGGAAATAAGGGTTGTTGAAGATGTGATGAGCTAGGTTTAGACCAGGTCACACTGGAGTAGGGTGGGTCCTGACTCCCTCATAAAGAGGGAGAATGCAGATGCGGAGGCCAGCTCAAAGAGAGAACACCATGCGGAGGCGGAGACAGAGATGGGGGTGACACTTCCATAGGCCAAGACATGGCAAAGCTTGCCAGCAAGCCGCAGAAGCCAGGAGAGAGGAATGGAACAGGCTCTCCCTCACGGCCCTCAGAGGAACCAATTCTGCTGACTCTAATTTTGGACATCTAGCCCAGAGCTGGGGGACAATACATTTTTGTTGTTTAAGTCCCCAGTTTGTGATACTTTGTTATGGCAGCCGTGGGAAACGAAGACACCAACGGTCAGGGGTGTCCCTTCTTTGGGGATCCATTCACCTCTGTCCACCATCACCCATGTGGTGGCATGGAAGTGTCTTTCTCTGGTGTAAGGGCAAGGGTGAGCACCTGACTCAAGTGAGGCAAGTCACAGTGCTCCCCACACCCCACTCAGAAGCCACCACTGGAGTTCTCACAGGTGACGAAGGTGGGCCAGTGTGGTGCCTGCCTGCAAGTGTGTGTGTGCATGTATGTGTATGTGCAGGCATGTGTGTGTGTGTGCACATATGTATTTCATATATGCATGCCTATATAATACATTTATTTCCCTCTTAGGTTGGCAAATTATAACAGTAATTTGTATAAATACCCGATGATCAGCCATAAAGATTTTATCAACTATCCATATGTACCAACAGTTTGTAAAGGGTCAATTTCCCTGTATCTTTTATTCACACTGAATGTTTTCAGTATTAGCCAATCATTCTTCCATGTTGTTTTAATTTGCATTTCCTGGATTTTTGCAAGGTTCACATGTTATTGGCCATGTGTATATCTTATTTCCTGACTTCCCAGCTTAGGTGTTTTGGCATTTTTCTTTTTCTGTGCTTTTATTTATTTATCCTTCCATTATGTCCTAATTTTGAAAGAACTCTTTCTATACTAAAGATGCTAACATTTAGTAGGTTAACATCCAGGGTTTTTTTTTTCTTTTTTTGAACTTTGCTTATGATATTTTTACAATACAGAAGTTTATTTTTATGTAAATTCTATCAATCTTTTGATCAATTTTATCAATCTTTTTCTTAATATGTTTTGGTTTTAGAGTTACGTTTAGAAAGTCCTTGATGGGGGAGATGGAGCTTTTAATACTACTGGGGATGTGGAATTCATAAATTTTGCATAATTAGGGAACTGTTTCCACATGCCATAAATATGGCTGCTCCCATTCTGACAAAAGTCCAGGAGCTACATCACAGCACAACTGAGAGGAAAAGAACAAGAGACTGTACTTTGTATTCATTCATCACACACACACACATGCACAGTCACACACACACACACACACACACACACACACACAAACACCCTGCTCCCTAAGCGCTGGGCACTGGTCTAGGCATTTGAGATAAAGCAGTGGCCCAAACGAAGTCTCTGTCCTCGTGGAGCTTAAGTTCTCATTCTAATGGGGAGGGGCAGACAATAAACAAATAAGGAAACCCCTTCACGTAGAGTGTCCTGAGAGAAGTCTCTGGGCAGGGATGAGGTGGGTGGTCTCCCTGGGAGGTGACTCTGAACAAACTCAAGGAAGTGAGGAACTGGTGAAAGCAGATATCAAAGGTAAAAATGTCCTAGGCAGGGCCCAGAAAGCACAAAGGCCCCGAGGCAGCCCTGTGCCCTGTGCATTTAAGGAAGGAAGGAGGCCAGTGGGGCAGGGGTGGAGTGGGGATGGCCATAGCTGGTGGGCAAGGAGACTGCAGAGGCAACAGGAGGTCAGTTCATGCAAGCCCTGATGACCATTATAAGAATTTGGGATTTGGGGCTAGGTGCGGTAGCTCATGCCTATAAACCCAGCACTTTGGGAGGCCAAGGTGGGTGGATCACTTGAGGTCAGGAGCTCAAGACCAGCCCAGCCAACATGGTGAAACCCAGTCTCTACTAAAAATACAAAAATTAGCCGGGCGTGGTGGCAAGTGCCTGTAATCCCAGCTACTCAAGAGGTTGAGGTAGGAGAATTGCTTGAACCCAGAAGGTGGAGGTTGCAATGAGCCGAGATGGCACCACTGCACTCCAGCCTGGGTGACAGAA
This sequence comes from Homo sapiens, assembly GCF_000001405.40. Lineage (NCBI taxonomy): Eukaryota > Metazoa > Chordata > Mammalia > Primates > Hominidae > Homo > Homo sapiens. The sequence continues at coordinate 24,103,963 of NC_000018.10, read as the reverse complement.
CAAGACTCCGTCTCAAACAAAAAAAAAAAAAACAGAGAGAGAATGTGGGATTTCGCACTGAATGGGAAGAGGAGTTATTTATGGGTTTTGTACAGAGACATGACATAATGTAACCTAAATTTTACTAACGAAGTTACTTTGACAGATATGTTAGAGCAGACTGCAGGGCAAGAAGAGCAAAAGCAGGGAGTCAGGATGATGTGACCATCCAGGAGAAAAACAGTGTTGGCTGGGACTGGGGCAGGAGGAGGGGTGGGTGGGAAGGGCAGAAAGAAGTGGCCTCTGAAATTCCTAATTCATTAATAAAACTCCATATAGTATAAGAAAGTGACTCTCCAATGTGAACAACATCACATGTGAAAGAGATACATATAGCAGATAAAAGCTGACGCTGACCTTGAAATATATGCCCTATAAGAGACAAGGTAGGGGAGTTCAGTGAGTTCCCAAGAACCAGACCACACGTGTGCTGTTTGTTACTGCTGGCTATGCAGACCAATTGCAGATTAGTGAATTACACACAGATTTTCAAACCACAAGGATGTTCTGCACATCTCCATTTGTCCTTTCAGGATCTGTATAAATTTCTGACATAAGACCACCTCCAGTGCCTACTGTGAATGACTATTTAGAAGACACAGATCTCCAACTGATAATTATAGTCAATAATACTCAGGTATTGAGCAAATGTAAATAGTATATATTTCTGGAATGCAAGACGTTTATCTGTACCTTGACATACTTTTGTACTTCGCCACATTCTCAAATGAATATGACTTAGACAGAATGAGGCAGTTGGAAATTAACATTCTGATGTGGAGCAAGGAGAGGCTAAATAAAGAGCCCTTTTTTCTTTTTTTTCCAGACACGGTCTCACTCTGTTGCCCAGGTTGGAATGCAGTGGCGTGATCACGGCTCACTGCAACCTCCGCCTCCTAGGCTCCAGGGATCCTCCCACCTCAGCCTCCCAAATAGGTGGGACTATGTGCACACCACACCTGGCTAATTTTTGTATTTTTTGTAGAGACAGGGTTTCGCCATGTTGTCCAGGCTGGTCTCAAACTCCTGGGTTCAAGCAGTCCTCCCACCTTGGCCTCCCAAAGTGGGAGTGTACAGGCGTGAGCCAGCACACCGGCCTAGGTAAAGAGCGTTTAAGCAAAGCTGCTTTAATAAGCTTATCCCGGTCTCATCATCATCATCAGAGGGGCCAACATGTGGGGTGCTCTTAACCCTGTGCCTGGTAAGATGGCAAACCTTCCTCGTGGGCCAGGTGTACAATCTCCAGGCCTCACTGAAGGCCACATAGCCTTTGAGGTGGAGCCCAAAACGGGAACCTGCTCAGTCTGACTCCAGAGCCAGCAATGTGGACCTCCCCGCCCCACAGCCTCCTCATCCTAAAGACGGTCCCCACCTCTCCAGTCGTCTCCACCCACAGCAACCACCCATTCACTTGGCGCTTTCTTTTTCTTGCTTTTTTGTGTATGCACACTGCTTTCTTCATAACCGAATTCCATGTTTCTTGTGGGCAGGGAAGTTTCATCCTCAGAAGACCTTTCACATCATAGCCAATAAATACTTGATTATGTACACATAATGGATAGAGTAGTTATGTTTTCAGCATCTCCACGTGAATGAATAGCAATCACCTTGAAAAGTGAGTTATGCAACTGAATCCACCACTAATGGTAGAGGAAATGAATAATGCACCAATTACAAAACTTCCTTGGTCTCTCAACAGTCATGGCAGGATTCTGACATTTGTGACGGAAAGTGCTTCGTAGTGGGATTTACAATTCAGACACGATTCTGTCTAGATAGGAAAAGAGCACTTGATAAACTAACCCTGTGCTTAGTGCTTTACCCTTCCCAGGCTGCATTACTGAAGGCTGACGTCTTCTCCTAGTGGGAGGTACTGCCTTCTTTTTTACAGATGAGGGTACAGGCTCAGAAAGCTGGGCTGGGCCAGTAAGTTGAAGACCCCATTTTGAGATGAGCCTAGTGCTCTCTCCACTACACCAAAATGCCTTTTAAAATGATGGGGAAAATGTATGTGAAACACAGCAGTAAGTTTAAAAGAAATGTGCTTATGTTAAGATGTTATCAAAGAATTAAAAATAACAGCGAAGAAGATAACACAAAGAATTAACTCAGAAAAACAAAAATCATAGAAATACAGAATACACTAGTCTACAAACAGCCATACAACTCCAATGAAGACAGCATTTCAAGACAAACAGATAAACCTAGAAAGCCGAGAAGACCTAATATGTGTCAAGACTGGCATAAGAGAAACAAACCAAAGTTATAATCAGCAAAGTGACACTGAATGTTTGCTAGACCTGAATGACACTCTCTGTAAAAGGTGTTCAACGGGCAAGCTGCTATGTGGATGTTTTTTTTTTTTTTGAGACGGAGTCTCGCTCTGTCGCCAGGCTGGAGTGCAGTGGCACAATATCGACTCACTGCGACCTCCACCTCCTGGGTTCAAGCGATTCTCCTGCCTCAGCTTTCTGAGTTTTAGTAGAGACGGGGTTTCCCTGTGTTGGCCAGGATGGTCTCGATCTCTTGACCTGGTGATAACGCCCGCCTTGGCCTCCCAAAGTGCTGGGATTACAGGCGTGAGCCACAGTGCCCAGCCAGTTTTTTTTTTTTTTTTTTATGAAAAATTAAAGCCAAGTTGTAAAAAGCAGAAATAATCCCAGGTAGTTAGTTTTGAAGATTTTATTACCAGCTTTATTGAGATCTAATTCACAAACCAGAAAATTCATCCTTTTCAAGTATAAAATTAAGTGGTTTTTAGTATATTCACAGAATCATAACATTTGAAAGTTGGAAGAGATCTCACAAATTATCTAGCCTACTGCTTCCCAAAGTATGTTCTACCGAACGCTTCCAGTCTCACAGGCTACAGTATAAATAGGAATTTTCCTGGTCAAATAAGCTGGTTAAACATAGCATACCTGCATATTCTTATCTTCCCCTTGGAGAATCACAGTGCAAAACTAAAGCCTGGGAGAAGTCCCAGGATATCCCAATTAACCCAACACAGAACCTCTTTTCATGGGACATGTACTAACAGGCCATCAAATCAGTGAGACTGGGCTGGTGCTTCAGAAAACCCTGACTTATTCCAACCCTCTAACATTCCTGGTGAATAAAAAGAACACCAGAGAAGGTCCACTGGCTTGAGGTCTCCCACCTCTTTCAAACTGCCTGACGTGAAAGCAACCATTAGGAAATAATTTTTACTGTTTATGGCAGAGCCAAAGCTAGAAACCAGATCCACAGACTTCTAGTCCAATGTTCTCTCTACAATGCCACACACTAAAAACTGAAGCTCGGAAGCCCTATGTCAATAAATGCCCTCCACTCTGGCCACAACCCTAAGAAGAGTCACACTGCAGTGCCACTGTCATTACAGCCAACGACTGGGCACTCACTCCAAGCCTTGTGCTGCACACGCCTCCTGGGTTGCCTCACTGAATCCTAACAGCTAAACTGGGCCAAGATACCACTGGGATCCCCATCTCACTGAGGAGGGAAGCAAGGCTTAAAGAGGTGAAGGGCCAAGGTCACTCGGCCAGAGTGGAGGGGCCAGGATTCATCCCAACAGTGGCCTCCAGGGGTGAGCCCTAAACCCTGAGCTTCTGCCAGGCGGAGGACAAGGGCCACAGACTCAGAGTAGGCCTTCCACACAGGTTATTAAAGGATGTAAGATGAATCATAATCATAATCAGATAATTAAGACACATCACAATGAACATTTAATAAAACCTTCAGGCTCCCTAAACACCCTGAATGTGATCAAATCCCTAATCCCAGAACACAAATATCCAACTATTCTAATACAACAAATGTGTTATGATAAACTATTAAGAAAAACTGTAAAACAAGCTAAGTTAAGGGAAACTAGAAACGATGGAAATTTTAAAATGAGTTGATTAAAAAAATCAATCTCTCTCTCTCAAAACCAATATGATAATCCAAAAGCTTAATCATAAAATTAAGAAAACACAAATTAGTCTAATAAAATAATATCACATTTTTACAGATCTGAAACTAGTATTAAGTTATATGTTTGGAAAGTAATAACTAGAAATGGAAAACTATAATATAAAACTAAAATGGATATAAGTAAATATATATTAACATTACAGAAGAAATAAGGGAAGTTATTAAAAAACTGATTTCAAAAGGGAATTTCACAGCAGTAAGTTACATAAGAACTCCTTCCAATGTTTAATGGCAGTTTAATTACTTTAAGTGATCTGTTTCTCCAAAATATGGAGATATAAGAAAGCATATAAAAAAGATACGCTTTTAGCCAAATCATTAAAAACAAATCAGGTCTATTCCTAAAGCCTAGTAAACACAAGTCCCAGAAATATTTATATTCACATTTAAATACATACATATATATATTAATTGCTAAGTTACATATATCAGTTATATATTATATATAACATTGTTATGGAATGCTCCTGCCTCACAAAATTGATACATGAAATCCTAACCCTCACTGGAACTGTATTAGGAGGTGGGAGTTTTGTGAGGTAATCAGATCATGAGGGTGGAGCCCTCATGAATGCAATTTGTGCCCTCATAAAAGAGACCCCTGAGTGCTCTCTAGCCCCCTTTCCACCATCTGAGGACACAGTGAGAAGCCATCATCTATGAACCAGGACATGGTCCTCACTAGACACCCAATCTTCTGGCACCTGGATCTCATGCCTCCAGAACTGTGAGAAATAAAAGTGTGTTGTTTTAGTCACCCAATCTATAGTATTCTTTTATAGCAGCCCAAACTAAGACACACACATACACACACACACACACACACACACACACACGTTTTATATATATATATGTATATATGTTATATATATGTATATATGTTATATGTATATACGTGTATAGATATATATATACACACACACACACACACACACACACACACATTCCTCTAACTTATTAGCAAATAAAAGCAGTGGGATATACTAGAAAAAACACTCGATTAAAAAAAGAAAGCCTGGGCTGGGCGCAGTGACTCATGCCTGTAATCCCAGCACTTTGGGAGGCCAAGGCAGGAGGATCACTTGAGGTCAGGAGTTCGATACCAGCCTGGCCAACATGGCAAAACCCCGTCTCTACTAAGAATACAAAAATTAGCCAGGTGTGGTGTTGGGCACCTGTACTCCCAGCTACTCAGGAGGCTGAGGCAGGAGAATTGCTTGAACCGGGAGGCAGAGGTTGCAATGAACCAAGAACGCACCACTGCACTCCAGCCTGGGTGATAGAGCGAGACTCCATCTAAAAAGAGATGAAAAAGAGACAAACAGAAGAGAAGAGAAAAGAAGAAAGAAAGGGAGGGAGAGAGGAAAAGAAAGCAAGAAAGGGAGAGGAGAGGAGAGGAGAGGGGAGGGGAGGGGAGGGGAGGGGACGGGAGGGGAGGGGAGAGGAGAGGATAGGAGAGGAGAGGGAAGGGAGAGGAGAAAAGAAAGGAAAGGAAAGGAGAAAGGAAAGAAAGGAAAGGAGGAAGGAAGGAAGGAGGGAGGGAGGGAGGGAGGGAGGGAGGGAGGGAAGGAAAAGAAAGGAAAGAAAGAAAGCCTGAATTCTAGGTCTTCCTTAATCCTAAAATAACTATGTACACTTTCACAAAGTACTTATCTCATCTGGACCCCTGCTTGCTATATACGACAGGACAGACATATGCAAAAATTTTATAGTCAAAATGGGAGAAATAAAAGGTGACATGACTAAATGAAGACATATCCTCAGTGACTGATAAGAAATATTATAAACATAGTATCAATTTAAATTTCCCATTAACAGAGAACCTGAGAAACTGATAGTTATGTATATATGTGAGAGAACAAGTGGATAAAAAATAATATAATATATATTTAAAAGGCAATCATGATATTCTTGTTTTATTTAAGACATAGGCAGGGTCTTCAAAATGGTCATAGAAAATGTGCATTATAATAAAACTATGCATGAATTTCAAATTTTTTTACACCAAAATAAGCCCATACTAACTTGCTATAACATGTCTGAGCAGGATCTAGTTTGAGGCACTAAGAAGCATAAGACATCAACTTGAAAAGAGCCCCTATCAGAGCAACATAAATTCTGCATTTAAATGGAAGCAAGAACAAACATAAAACCTATGGTGAAGCTTGGGTGAAAGAATGGTGAAATCACTGACACTTTACAAAAAGTTTATAGGAATAATTCCCCAAAGAAATCAGCAGTTTGCAAATGTATAAGTTTACGAAGGGCCAAGACGATGTTGAAGATGAAGCCCATGGTGGCAGACCATCTACACAGATTTGCAAAGAAAATATTAATCTTGTTCATGCCCTAATTGAAGAGGACTATAAATAATAGCCAACACCATAGACATCTCAATTGGTTCAGCTTACACCATTCTGACCAAAAAAGATGAGCAAAGTTTCACTTGATGGGTGCCAAAACCACTGCACCCAGATCAGCTGCAGACATGGGCACAGCTTTCAATGGAAATTGTAAATAAGTGGGATCAAGATCCTGAAGTGTTTCTTCAAGGAACTGTAATAGGAGATGAAATGTGGATTTACCACTACAATCCTGAAGACAAAGCACAATCTAAGCAATGGCTACAAAGAGGTGGGAGTGGCCTAGTCACAGCAAAGACAGCAAGAGCAAAGGTGATGGCAACAGTTTTTTTGGGATGCTCAAGGCATTTTGCTTGTTGATTTTCTGGGCGTGGGGACAAAGAATGATAACATCTGCTACTTATGAGATTGTTTTAAGAAAGTTAGCCAAAGGTTTAGCAGCAAAACACCCCGGACAGCTTCACCAGAGAGTCCTCCACTGTGACAATGCTCCTGTCCATTCCTCTCATCGAAAAAGGCCAATTTTGTGAGAATTTCCTTGGGAATCATTAGGCATTCACCTTACAGTCCTGATTTGGCTCCCTTTGACTTCTTGTTTCCTAATTTTAAAGGGCACCAATTTTTCTTCAGTTAATTATGTAAAAAAGACTGCACTGACATGGTTAAATTCCCAGGACCCACAGTTCTTTAAGGATGGACTAAATGGCTGGTATCATCGCTTACAAAAGAGTCTGGAACTTGGTAGAGCTTATGTTGATAAAGTTTATGTTTTATAATTTTATCTTTTAATTCCATTTGTCAATGAAGTTTTTGAAGTCCCCTTATCACAATTATCAAAGCTATATAATATTCACTTAAAAAGTATACAGATAAAATATAAAAAGTAAAAAGAAAGATTTTATCTATTTTAAGAATTTGATTCAATGACAGGAAGAGAAAATACCCTCGAAACAAACGCACATCCCTGATTTACAGAAGGGATCAGAATAAAACCATATGTACATCTCATACATGCAAAGAGGCATGAAAATACAGTAAGATAGTTTTTAAACATCCGTTTACAATTTAAAAACAGAATAGTCTATAAATCTTAGTTTGGGATGGAAGATAAATTTCATTTCTGGAGAAATGAGTCTATCATTATAACAACAATGTGAATATGTCTGAATGTTCAAAGTTCCTACGATTAAAGGCAATGTTAATTCTCACAATGAAAGTAATAGACAGAAAATATAATTAACTTCACTAATATTTATATTATACATTTAGAATTTGGACAAATATATAAGAAATACAGGCATGCCTCATTTTATTGCACTTCACAGATACCACTTTTTTTCTTTAACAAATTGAAGGTGTGTGGCAACCCTGCCATGAATAAGTCCATTGGCATCATTTTTCCAACAGTATGAGCTCACTTCGTGTCTCTGTGTCACATTTTGGTAATTCTCCCAATACTTCAAATTTTTCATGACTGCTATATTTGTTATGGTGATCTATGATCAGTGATCTTTGATGTTACTATTTTAATTGTTTTGGAGCACCACAAACCATGCCCACATAAGACAACAAACTTAGTTGATAAATGTTGTGTGTGATCTGGCTGCTCCACTAACCAGCCATTCCCCCTTCTTTCTCCCTCTCCTTGGGCCCCCCATTCCCTAAGACGCATTAATTGAGGTTGATTAATAACCCTACAATGGCCTCTGAGTGTTCAAGTGAAAGGAAGAACTGTAAGTCTCTCACTTTAAATCAAAAGCTAAAAATGATTAAGCTTAATGAGGAAGGCATGTTGAAAGCTGAGAAAGGCTGGAAGTTAGGTGCCTTATGCCAGTTAGCCAAGCTGTGAATGCAAAGGAAAAGTTTTTTTTTGTTTGTTTGTTTTTTGAGGCGGAGTTTCACTCTTGTCGCCCAGGCTGGAGTGCAATGATGCAATCTCGGCTCACTGCAACCTCTGCCTCCCAGGTTCTATCAATTCTCCTGCCTCAGCCTCCCAAGTAGCTGGGATTACAGGTATGTGCTACCATGTCCCGCTAATTTTTGTATTTTTAGTAGAGATGGGGTTTCACCATGTTAGCCAGGTTGGTCTCGAACTCCTGATCTCAGGTGATCTGCTGGCCTCAGCCTCCCAAAGAGCAGGGATTACAGGCATGAACCACTGCGCCCAGCTGAAAAGTTCTTGAAAGAAATTACAAGTGCTATTCCAGTGAACACATGAATGATAAGAAAGCAAATCAGCATTACTGCTGATACGAATAAAGTTTTAGTGGTCTGGATAGAAGATCAAACCAGCCACAACATTCCTTTAAACCAAAGCCTCATCCAGAGCAAGATCCTAACTCTCTTCAATTCTTTGAAGGCTGACAGAGGTGAGGAAGCTGTAGAAGAAAAGCCCAAGGTTGGCAGAGGTTGGTTCATGAGGTTTAAGGAAAGAAGCCGTCTCCATAACAGAAAAGTGCAAGGTGAAGCAGCAAGTGCTGATGGAGAAGCCATAGCAAGAAAACCAGAAGATCTAGCTAAGATCATTGATGAAGGAGGCTATACTAAACAACAGACTTTCAGTGGAGACAAAGCAGCCTTCTATTGGAAGAAGATGCCATCTAGAATTTTCATAGCTTGAGAAGTCCATGTTTGGCTTCAAAGCTTCAAAGGATAGGGTGACTCTCTTCTAAGAGGCTAATTCAGCTGGTGACATTAAGTTGAAGACAATGCTCACTTAACATTTTGAAAATCATAGGGCCCTTCAGAATTAGGCTATATCTACTCTTCCTCTTCCTGTGTTCTATAAATGGAAAAAGAAAGCCTGAATGACAGCACATCTGTTTATAATATGGTTTACTCAGTATTTTAAGCACACTGTTGGGACATACTTCTCAGAATAAAAAAGATTCCTTTCAAAGCATTGCTGCTTACTGATAATGTATGTGGCCACCCAAGAGCTCTGATGGAGATGTACAATGAGATATAATGTTGTTTTCATGTCTGTTAACACAACATCCATTCTGCAGCTCATGGAACAAGGAGTAGTTTTGACTTTCAAGTCTTATTATTTAAGAAATACATTTGATAAGGCTATAGCTGCCATAGACATGGCTTCCTCTGATGGATCTGAGCAAAGTAAATTGAAAACCCTCTGGAAAGGATTTACCATTGTAAACACCATTAAGAACATGGATTCATAGAAGGAGGTCAAAATAACATTAATGGGAGTTTGCAAGAAGTTACTTCCAACCCTCCTAGATGTCTTTGAGAGGTTCAAGACTTCAGTGGAGGAAGAAACAGCCAATGTGGTAGAAATAGCAAGAAAACTAGAATCAGAAGTGGAGCCTGAAGATGGGACTGACTTGTTGCAATCGCAGGACAAAACATGAAGAGATGGGAGGGGCTTAAGATGAGTGAGAAAAGAAAATGGTTTCTTGAGATGGCATCTCCTGGTGAAGATGCTGTGAACCCTGCTGAAATGACAACAAAAGACTTAAAATAACACATAGACTTAGTTGATAAGGCAGTGGTAAGGTTTGAGAGAATTGACTTAATTTTGAAAGAAGTCCTACTGTAGGTAAAATGCTATCAAACAGCATCACATTCTACAGAGAAATCATTCGTGAAAGGAAGAGTCAATCGGCGGGGTAAACTTCACTGTTGCCTTACTTCAAGAAATTGCCACAGCCACCCCCACCTTCAGCAACCACCATCCTGATCAGCCAGTAGCCATCGACATCTAGGCAACACCCTCCACCAGCCAAAAGATTACGACTTGCTGAAGGCTCAGATGATTGATAGTTTTAGCAATAAAGTTTTTTAATTAAGGTATACACATTGTATTTTTAGACATAATGCTACTGCACACTTAACAGACTACAGTGCAATGTAAACTTAACTTTTATATGCACTGGGAAACCAAAAAATTCATGTGACTCACTATATTGTGATATTTGCTTTAGTGCAGTGGTCTAGAACCAAACCCGCAATGTCTCTGATGTATGCCTGTATATCTTAGTTGAAAGTCATCAAACTTGGTTTAATCAGTAGCTTATATCCGAAGAAAAAGAGATTGTATAAAATCATACAGAAAATGCACACTCTCAATACTTTTTTTTTTTTTTTTGAGACAGAGTCTCACTCTGTCACCCAGGCTGGAGTGCAGTGGCACGATCTAGGCTCACTGCAACCTCTGCCTCCTGGGTTCACGCCATTCTCCTGCCTCAGCCTCCCAAGTAGCTGGGACTACAGGCGCCCGCCACCACGCCCAGCTAGTTTTTTGTATTTGTAGTAGAGACGGGGTTTCACCATGTTAGCCAGGATGGTCTCGATCTCCTGACCTCGTGATCTGCCCGCCTCGGCCTCCCAAAGTGCTGGGATTATAGGCGTGAGCCACTGCACCCGGCCAATACTTTTATAAAACATCTTTATTGAGATAAAATTCAAAAATCACAAAATTCACCCACTTAAAGTGTACAATTTAATAAGTCTTTAGAATACTCATAGAGTAATATTATAGCTATGCAACTACTACTACAATCTAAGTTTAAAATATACATATTTTTGAAACAGGGTCTCGTGCCTTCACGGCTCACTACAGGCTCAACATCCTGGGCTCAGATGATCCTCCCACCTCAGCCTTCCAAAGAGCTGGGACTACAGCTGTGCGCCCAGCTAATTTTTTGTAGAAATGGGGTTTCGCCACATTGCCAGGCTTGTATCAAACTTCTGGGCTCAACTGGTCCACTCACCTCAGCTTCCCAAAGTGCTGAGATTACAGGTGTGAGCCATTGTGCTCTGCCTGAAATATTTTCATTCCCCCAAAGAAACTATGTACCATGTATCCATTAGCAGTCACTCCACACTGTTCCCTCACCTACCTCCACACTGAAGCAAGCAATAATCTATTTTCTGCCTCTGTAGATGTACCCGTCCTAAAGATGTCATATAAATGGAATCATATAGTATATGGTCTTTGTGACTGACTTTTTACACATAACATGTTTTCAAGGTTCCTCCATGCTATAGTATGTATCTGTACTTCATTCCTTTCTATTGCTGAATAATATTCCATTGTATGAATGTATCACATGTTGTTTATCCATTCATCAGTTGATAGACATCTGAGCTGTTGCCACTTTTTGGCTATTATGGATAATAATATGGAGTGGTGTTTTTATTTCTCTTGTGCATATTCCTAGGAGTGAAATTGCTGTTTCATATAGTTTGACATTTTGAGGAACTGTTGAACTGGGTCCAGAGCAGCCACACCATTTCACATTCTCACTGGCAATGAATGAGGGTTCCAATCACTCTGCATCCTGCCCACACTTGCTATTGGCTGTCTTGCCTACTGTAGTTAGCTTGGTGGGTGTGAAACAGTAGCTTACTTGGTTTTGATTTGTTTCCTTAGTGATTTATGATACTGCCTATCTTCCTTGGAGAAATGTTTCTTCAGATCCGTTGTCTATTATTATTATTTTTTTTTTTTTTTTTTTTTTTTTTTTTTTTTGAGACTGAGTCTCACTCTGTCACCCAGGCTGGAGTGCAGTGATGCGATCTTGGTTCACTGCAAGCTCCGCCTTCAAGGTTCACACCATTCTCCTGCCTCAGCCTCCCGAGTAGCTGGGACTACAGGCGCCCGCTACCACACCTGGCTAATTTTTTGCATTTTTTTTTAGTAGAGACAGGGTTTCATCATGTTAGCCAGGATGGTCTCGATCTCCTGACCTCGTGATCTGTCCGCCTTGGCTTCCCAAAGTGCTGGGATTACAGGCGTGAGCCACCGCGCCTGCCCCCATTGTCCATTTTTAAATTGGCTTGTCTTTTTATTATTGAGTTGTAACAGTTCTTTACATATTCAGAATACAAGTCCCGTATCAGATATATAACTTGCAAATATTTTCTCCCATTCTATGGGTTGTCTTTTCACTTTCTTGATTGTATTGTTTATAGCGCAAATGTTTCATTTTGATGTAGTTCAATTTATTTATTCTTTTGTCATTGTGCTTTTAGTGTCATGTCTAGGAAACCAAGGCCTAACCCAAGGGTTCTACAGTTTTAGATCTTACATTTAGGTCTATGATCCGCTTTGAGTTAATTTTCTTGTATAGTATAAGGGTCCAACTTCATTCTTTTGCATCTGTGAATACTCAGTTGTCCCAGCACATGGTCTGGCTTTGTCACCCAGGCTGGAGTGCAGTGGCATGATCTCTGATTACTGCAACCTCCATCCCCCGGGCTCAAGCCATCCTACCACCTCAGCCTCCTGAATAGCTGGGCCTACAGATGTGCACTACCACACCTGGCTAATTTTTGTAGAGATGGGGTTTCAACACAGCCCATGATGGTCTCAAACTTGTGAGCTCAAGCAATCTGCCTGCCCTGGCCTCCCAGAGTGCTGGGATTATAGGCATTGAGCTACTGTGCCTGGCTGAAAAGACTATTCTTTGCCCACTGACGTGTCTTGATGTCCATGTCAAAGCAAATTGATCATAAGGCCGGGCGTGGCGGCTTACGCCTGTAATCCCAGCACTTCGGGAGGCCGAGGCGGACAGAGAACCTGAGGTCAGGAGTTCGAAAACAGCCTGGCCAACGTGGTGAAACCCCATCTCCGCTAAAAATACAAAAATTAGCCAGGCATGGTGGCGCACACCTGTAGTCTCAGCTACTTGGTAGGCTGAGGCATGAGAATCGCTTGAACCTGGGAGGTGGAGGTTGCAGTGAGCTGAGATCATGCCACTGCACTCCAGCCTGGGTGACAGAGCAAGACTCTGTCTCCAAAAAAAAAAAAAAAAAAAAAAAAAAGTAAATTAATCATAAATGTAAGATTTATTTCACAATTCTCACTGATCCATATGTCTATTCTTATGCTCGTACCACACTGTCTTGATTACTTTGTAGTAAGTTTTGAGAGTAGGAAGTGGAGTTTTCTTTTTCCACTTTCCATTTTTTCCTTCTTTCTCAATATTATTTTGGCTATTTTGGGGCCCTTGAGTTTAGGATCAGTTTGTTAATCTCTGCAAAAAAAAATAAAATGCTGTGATTGTGACAGACACTGCATTCAATCTGTAGCTCAATTAGGAAAGTACTGCCATCTTAACAATACTGAGAGTTCTGATACAAAACATGGATATCTTTTCAGCAGTATTTTTAAAAATGTTAAACTGCTTTAATTTGTATCATTATGGAAATAAAAATAGGCAAACAAAACTATGGGGTAGAGTAGATACCATGCATAAAATAATGAATAATTATATTCTGGCCCCCTATTTCTTGAGAATTTCTCATCATTTAAGAGCTACACAGAGCTGTTTATAGACCTTGATTTTAGCAATGCTACCACTGGAGCTATAATCTAATAAGGAGCTAAAAATATATATACTGAAATATTTATTGCAGTACTTGCTATCACATTGAAATATTGGGAAACAACAGTCAAATATCCCAGCCACAATTTCCCAACAACAGGAAAATAGTAGATTATTAACACAAGGGAAATCTAAGTAGTCTGCCTGCATGTCAATTATTTACTTAAAAAATTATGTTAATACTTGTAAACATCAGATTTGTAAACAAAATGCAGAAAGTCTCGTATGTATAAAGATTACAAAATAATTTTAAGTAAAACAGCTTAGAATGTAATTATCACTAGGTTACTTTTATGACATTGCTTAACATCTTAAAATAATTATGTATGTGTTTTGAAATGAGAGGATCTCCTTGTCACCTGTAGCAAGCAGAAGGACACACTGCAACAACCCACTTACTTACAGGCAATTCAGCACTAATGCTGCTGAGTGGCAGAATCGCTTTAGCAATATTGCTAGAAAGGTCACCTAGCAATAGATTATGCTTTTGCCCCCTACCCTTAGGACCATGTAGGCAAGGGAAAGCTCATCCTCTTAGGCACACATAATAAGCTTAGGGATATAAATCAATATTAACCTTCTACTTGCTTTTCAACCCAACAGATAGGTAGGGTTAAAAGGACAGCAAGTGTAGTGGGGTTACTAACATCTTCTCATTTCGGTAAACGGTCATTAAGCCACACAATATGGATTTATCTCACTGGAAAGTGAGATACAAATACATCCTTCATATCCTCTACACCAAATTAGATCAATCTCTCATTTTGTATAGTTCTAAAAATAAACAGAAACCTCCTTTTTTGGTGCCTGAGCATTAACAGAACCACGTAGGATGCAGGAAGAGAAGACTACAATGAACAGAACTTTAGGGAATTATTTCTCTTCCTGCATTGCCTTTTTCCTGATCCTATAAATAAAAACATTACATCATGCTGACAAGGCATGCTGTTCCAAATACAAGAGGCAGGCTTGCCCTTCAACAGATGCAAAGAAACACAGCCACCAAACAGCTCTGATAATGTCAACGTACCCTAGAGATGGGGGACAGCACAGGCCCTTCTGCACTGGCCATATTCTCCATGATCCCCCGGGGTCTCCCTGTTCTTTCTTCTATCTGATAAATAAATCACCAAAGGGGTCAACGTCTGCTCTCCTGTCCCTGTCACAATGATGAACTGATGGGCTGAAGAATCACAGAGACCTCCCACTAATTCTGGGGGTCACTGATGGAAACTGGAACTTTATCTTAATAAACATACAGAAAGAAAACACTAAAGCCCACTTTTAAAAGGCACCTCTCACAGTTGATGGCACCCGAAGTCATGGATGGAAGTAAGGTCCAGAGACAGAACACAGGCACGCCGGGGATAGAAGTGTAAAGAAAGTCTTTCACACAGAGCTTCGTAGGGAATTGAAAATGAGGGGGAAGAACCTCCACCCTCTTGAAAGGAACCAGCAAACCTGGGTGACATGAATATGGCGACGTAAAGGTCAAGCATCAAAGCCATCCCCACAGACACTGAGAGGGTTTGGGGGAAGCACATCCTATCACTGTCCCTTTCTCAGCAGGAACGGAGTGAGGGAAGGGGAGGACACAACAGAGTGGTGGACGGGCAGAGAGGGCTGTGTCTCTTCTGAAAAAACAAACAAGGCAGCTTCAAATAGGAGAAAGATTATATAATGAGGCTCCAAGGGCAGGACCATAGCTACTTGATGACTTCAACGTTGCAGGACTCCCTAGCCTTTACTGCAATCCGAACTGTTCCATTCTTGACTCCCTACAGACGATACTGCCCATATATCTGGAGCTCACTCAGAGCCAAGAGCTGCAGATGAGGTGAAGACACCAACATGATTTTTACCTATGTCTGTGTGTATGTTAACATCTATTTGCATGTATGTGTATGTGACAAATATACACCAATACAAATATAACAGATAAAGTTCATTTAATGTATTTACTTTTTTACTTCAATTAAATTTAATTCAGTTCTTTATAATCCCATCTTTGAAATAAAAATGTGACTCTCAAGAAATGAAACTGATTGTTTAGCCAGCATACTGGAATTTAAATAGCTGATTTGGTCCCCTTCTTAGGAGATCATCTTCTTATTTCAATTATCAAGACATTTTTACAACTTCTTCTTTGGAACTGACTTCAGAAACACATTTAGGTGCCACAAGAAAAGTAAATAGTCCTTGATAACCAACATCATTTCTGAAAAAAGAAATGACATACAGCAATAGATTTTTCTACCAGTAGCTTCATCTATTCATTCAGCCAACATACATTGAGGGCCAGTCCTGTGCTAGGCCCAGATTTCGATTTCCAAAAACCAAACCTAAGGCTTTAAAATGTCAGCATGCAGGATATTCACAACGTATGGGCTCAAGCTCAGGAGACTGTTTCAAAATAAAGGTCAGGAGCTTGAGACCAGCCTAGCCAACATGGTGAAACCCCATCTCTACTAATAATACAAAAATCAGCCAGGCATGGTGGTGCACACCTGTAATCCCAGCTACTCGGGAGGCTGAGACAGGAGAATCACTTGAACCCGGGAGGCGGAGGTTGCAGTGAGCCAAGATTGCACCACTGTACTCCAGCCTGGGTGACAGAGCAAGACTCTGTCTCAAAAAAAAACAAAAAAAAAACAGTTCTCAAAATGCTTGCATAGGAACTTTGTTAGAATATGTTCATTAACTTTATAGAAAACGACTTTCATTTATTTGAATATCTGAACACTTTTTTAGAGGTAAATAATATTAAAAATTAGTTACATTACTAGTCACACCATATAAGGTATGTGTGTGAAAGTATGTATTTACAGAAAACCAAATCCTTACATGTCACATACAAAGCAGATTGTTAAAGCTGAAAGAGAAAAAAGTTGTGTAAATCTGTATTGCTTAAAGAAGAAAGAGCAGAGACAACTGAAAACAGTTTATGAAAATATAGACTTGTCCCTAATATTGTAAAAATAATCAAGAAAAATACTCATTAATTGCTTGTATCTTAATGGACATAACACTACCATAGGTCTAACTGAATGAAAATTAAGTGAACATTAATGGAAAATACAGAAATTCAAAATTATAACTACCAATTCACATTTGAAAATTGAGATTCCTATATAACCCATTGGTCAGCCTCCCAAACATTGTTTGCATTGTGGAAATTCAGGGATAAGTAAACAGCTGTATAGTACATACATCTCCTATAGCTACACCCATAACCAATTTTGCCAATCACAGGCCTTGCTTTATTGACAGCTCTCAACACCAAACAAGTTCTTTTTCCCCAAAAGAAAAAAAAAAACAAAACACGAAAATGTGATACCTGACTTCCCATGCTTAAGCACTCAGTAGGAATAATAAACACCATCACACCCTTACTTAGACAGCGTTTGCCACATGCTAGGTACTGTATTCACACATTCATTCCCCCCAGCAATGTAGTAAGTCACATGGGAGGAGTCAAGGAAAATAGGATCAGCTGTAAGGACAACACAAGTGGGCAGAGAAGGTTCGAGGCACAGTACTATAGACACGCAGTGGGGAGAAGCGGAGGCAGCGAGACAAGGGAATTCTTTCTGCAGTTTGGCAAAGAGGATCCTGTGCTCACCAGCTGGGGTGCAAACGGACCTCACCATCATGGTGTAGCACTCACTGCAACATCAACTGAGGCCATAACAGAAAACAGCCAAGTCACCACAATGAGGTTTATGCAAGTGGCACGACAGGAGCAGATCTGTGGAAGAAATCCTCCTATATTCACTCTACAGAGTCCCAAACAACGAAAGGCAAAGTACGTAAAAAGTTAACAAAACTAAAAGAAAAAGTGGGCACTCAACAGGATTTGAAAATAACGAGTACAGAAGAATGAACACTGACGGGCACAGATTGAGACAGTCACCCTGCATGTTAGCAAGCTTACACAAAAGCAGCTGTTCAAATAATTTCACAGATTCTGAGTCACTGAAGAAACAAAGATGGTGTCATATAATGCACCTGCCCTAAATTAAAGCCCCTAGACCATGTTCTGTGAGTACGTGTTGATAAAAAGAGCTCAAGGGGCCCTATTTCTAACCTAAATGTTCACTGAAAAGAAAAAAAATTCTTTGTAAGCAAATTCATTGGAAGGAGTCATGTAAGTTTCATAAACTGAGTCAGGGCCTTCAAGGCCTTACAAACAGCCTTTGGCAAGGGCTATATCACAGCCTCCCTGGGCAGAGTTCCTCATCTGCAAATGAAGGATGACATGGTCATTTCTGATACCGTCCTACACATACCTGGGAAGAGCAATGAAACGCTGCTGTCTGGGCACCTTGGGGATAATAACAACCATATTTCAAGTTAGCCTTAAAATCTTTTCATCCTCTGGGCCTTTGGGAAGAGCCAAACAGAAACACTCATCATATTTTGTCTGGCCCTAAAGCTACAGCTCACTAAATAACCGTAGTCACAGATCTTGTGTGTTTTTTCTTAAAACTTAACTGTGTTAAGTGCCGCTTAACTGTGAAGGAGTTCTAGCACCTACCCTCTGCACTCTGATCACAATTATCTACCCCCAAATAGACTACATATCTACTAAGAGCTATAATGTGGACTATGTACCTCCAAAAACCATATTTACAGGAATCCTTTGATGAAGCTGTGGCTTCCTTATTTCTAGAACCATCTTGACAACAAGGAATGACTGCTTATGTTTAGTATTCACTCAATCCTCTATAGGAATTAGTCGTGGCACAAACTAAAACCATGTCAAAGTAAGATTTTTGGGAAAAAAACTTATTAGCTTAACCAAAAGTTAAGCAATTTTGTTTTAAAATGAAAAATTACTCAAATGGCAAGTATAACAAAATATAAATTCTGATTTTCACATTTCTGTTTAACAACTTCAAAACCCAATTTAGAGCATTCATTCATCAGCAGAATAAAGAGAGAGAATTCTAACAAATGTCCAAAGCTAAGGGGCCTCACTGCCCTGCTGCACACAATTTTAAACTTTAGGCTTCTAGATGGATCGCTGAAGAGATGACCGAGGTAAATCTCTCAATTCTACACTTTATTCGTCAATGCACCAATTAGAAACAGTAACCTGTCACCATGAATTTACTTTCCCCTTGTAATAAATATCTGTTAAACACTAAACCCAGCAAATCTCTGTTAAACACTAAACCCTGTAGCATCGTGTTCAAAGCTACTCAGAACTTGAAGAAATCTAAATCTGCCCTTGAAGAAATCTAAATCTAAGAAAGCACTCATCCTGAGGCCAGGCACAGTGGCTCACACCTGTAATCTCAGCACTTTGGGAGGCCGAGGCTGGAGGATCTCTTGAGCCCAGGAGTTTGAGACCAGACTGGCCAAAATAGGGAGACCCCATCTCTAAAAATAAAAATTCAAAAATTAGCCAGGCATGGTGTCGCACAGCAGTAGTCCCAGCTACTTTGGAGGCTGAGGTCGGAGGATCGCTTGAGCCTGGAAGGTTGAGGCTGAGGCTGCAGTGAGCTATGACTGTGTCACTGCATGCCAGCCTGGGCAACAGGGTGAGACCCGTCTCAAAAAGGAAAAGAAAAAAAACAGTGAGAGAAAAAAGGGAGAAACACAACCAAGGGCTCACGAGCCTGTATGCAAAGAAAAACAATTGCAAGATAATGAGAACAAAAACAATTTGGACACAGGTTTAAATAATTCAGATCTTGGTGGGCTTTCTGAACTATATCTCAATTTTATTTTATATATTTATTTTTGAGATGGAGTCTCACTCTGTCACCCAGGCTGGAGTGCAGTGGCGCAATCTCGGCTCACTACAACCTCTGCCTCCCAGGTTCAAGCGATTCTCGTGTCTCAGCCTCCCAAGTAGCTGGGATTACAGGCACGTACCACCATGCCCAGCTAGTTTATTGTATTTTTCGTGGAAACAGGGTTTCACCATGTTGGCCAGGCTGGTCTCGAACTCCTGACCTCAGGTGATACACCTGCCTCAGCCTCCCAAAGTGCTGGGACTGCAGGCATGAGCCACCATGCCCAGCTTATATCTCAATTTTCAACTGCTAGTATAATCTCTAAAACACATCTTCCATATACAAAGCACTTAGAAAACTGCTCTGCATGGTCTTCAGATTTAAGGAGTCACTTTATGAAGGAGAAAAATGACTGGGAAAGTAATATACACTCCACTGCCTGCATCCCCACCCCCAAAAAAACAAATTATTCCTGTGCCCATGAAAGCATTTCTAGGCAAAAATCTTCAAAAGGACTCATGGGGGCTGATTTCTCAGAGTGCCTGGTTAACTGGAGGACAGATGTTGTTAAAATCTCAAACTGATTCCCTGATAACTCTTGGTAACAATGTAGATGGAGCAGCTACTATAACAGCTATCTTATTTCATAGGTATGATTAATTTCTTATAGTTTCATTTTTCTACAAATCCTCATAACCTCAAACAAGCAGATAAAAAGATATGCAAAGGAGAAGTAGACTCCAAAGGCCAGCGCATTTCTGGTTCTGGAGTGAGACAACCCAGGCTCACTCACTGGGCAAGCACAGGAAGTTGCTTGAAGCCCTCTTAGATCCCTGTTTATTTTTTCTATAACATGCAGATGACAATTTTACACCTATGTCACAGGGTTGTTCTGAGGATGAAATGGAAAAGCGTGTATAAAGTTCTTAACGCAGTACTGAGCCAAATTAAGCACATGAAAATGTGATAAAAGCTCCTAGTATTTCAAAGCTCATGTTGCCCTGATATTTAAGGCAGTAACTTTTGTATAAGTCAATTGTTAGCCAAGATCAAAGTTTAGAAAGAGATTATTAGTAATTCAGAGAGGGAAAAAAATTGTATTTTGTATTTTTCAACTCAGCAACTAAATAATGCTCACGTGCCTTAGGCTGGAAGTGCACCAATCTTGTGTCATTAGCAATGAGGAATCTTACCCCTACTTCGCCCACATCTTCCGAACAGAAGGTAACTGACTAACATCCTGGGTTCCTGGAAGAGTCTTCCCTAGCAAAGACACAAGGAAAGGCAAAAGAACAAAATGCTCCGGGGCCCTGGGACATTCTGGCTCGTTTTAATACCAGTCCTCAAGTGAGAATCAGAGATTTGATCATCGGAGGCTTTATTTTAAAAAGATGAGGAAGGTACAGTACCTCTAGTCGTTGTATCCGTCCCTTGAAAAACATAAAGAGGGAAGAATTTGGATAAGCAGCTTCTTTTTTAAGGAGAATTTCCTTAGCTTCATCCAGGCCTGCCTTGTTATCACTGCCATCCAAGGCAAAAAACGGGCGGACTACAGTATGATACCAGAGCAGAGCTAATCTAGAGGAAGAGGGAGAGAAACATTGAGCACATTAACTTTCCTTACACCATTTCCATTTTTCAAAACTCCAGTATGTGTTCTTCCAATACTACTCTATCCAAAAAGCTTACTATGCAGTCTCTGAAGAAGTAAAATCAGAGACTTTCCCCATTTTAATGTTAATATTTGGAAAACTGCAACTTTAGCACAATATATAAATCAGAAGACACCCTTCCCTCAGGGGAGAAGAGAATAAAGTAACAGGAGCATTTAGCTTTTCTGAGCCTTCTAGATGGATCGCTGAAGAGATGGCTGACATAAATCTCTGAATTCTACACTTTACTCATTAATGCACCAATTAGAAATGGTAACTAGTCACCATGAGTTTACCGTTCCCTTGTAATAAAAGCTTTATTTATTTATTTTTGGCAAAAGGAAAATGTTGTTTTCTCTTGCGTTCACAAAACTTAGGGTATAAACCTAGAATCTAAGTTTAAATATCATGCACAAATAAATAGGTCAAAAGGAAAAAGAAAATTTATAAAAAAGAATAAATTTAAATATGGAAACCACAGACACAAATTATACTAAGTTGGGTTAAAATAAGTGAGGGGATAAGACAAAGGGCTCTTTCTCTGGCCTTTGAAGATGTTCAATTTAAAAAACAAGCAAATAAATAAATTACTTCAGACTCCCTTGCTCCAAACTCATTATTTAAAAAAAAAAATGGCCATGTTAAACTAGGTAAACAAAACAGAGTCACTGGGATTTGTAATCCTAGCTACTTGGGAGACTGAGGCAGAATTGCTTGAACCGGGACCCGGGAGGCAGAGGTTGCAGTGAGCCGAGATCGCGCCACTGCACTCCACCCTGGGCTACAGAGCAAGACTCTGTCTCAAAAAAAAAAAAAAAAAAAACAACAGCCAGACAAAAATGTTTAACCAACATGTCAAATATTTTTATGTAAATGCATACTTCTGGTGTGCTTATAAATTTGGTTCTCTTATGGAGCTCATACTAATGACACTATTAATTCTATTCATTTCTTTATCAGAGATAAGCATAAAATATTAAGATATAAACAGACAAATGATCACAAGTTAACAAACCTATTAATTCACATTAATAAAGGACAACTGTGTACTTCAATGAGTTTAGGGAGGCATAATTTTTTTAAATGAAAAATTAATGGTATTTTAAATAGCTATCAGTTGATTAAGAGTTAACATCCAAATTTCTCAATACTGATACAAGTAGAAATAGAGGTAAGGTCCTCTATGATATCAACATTTTTGGGGAAAATTTTGACAAGTGCTGTAATGTTAGACAAAGAATATCCGGAATCGTGTTAAATTACTCAAGTTACAAATGGTAGATATTTGCCAGACTAAAACAAACAAACAAAAAACACATCACTTTTAACTGATGTAGAAATTGGTGAATTCTTGTTCTAGATAGTTATATCAGCTTCCTCATGCTCTCCTGCTTAAATAATTATTATTTAAGTTTAAACCAAGGAACATAACATGACTCAGTTTAGCGAAAGAGCACAAAATATCCATGTCACATATAGGAAACCACCTTGAATCATCAAGGAAAATTACCCAATGTGAGAATTCTTTATAAGAATAAAAATTTCAGAAACACAGAAAAAGCTTAGCAAATTTGTACCTCCTAAGTCCAAAAATCAGAATCGTGAATCTCAGAGAATGTGGTCAAAGTCACAAAAACTGCTTATAAAATCATTTGAGGTTTTAAAATACATGACTTGTGAGACTAGTGAACAACGCCTTGTTCTCTAACTAAAGTCAGCTTAGAACCACCACCACGACCACAGAACACAGTCCTTGGTGTTGCATTGAAAGACATAAGACACAGCACCCTGTCAACCAACCAAACATTTTACCTGAAGTTTCCTTTAAAGTCTTTGATTGTCGTTTACTTACTTTCAACACTATATTATCTACCAAAGCATTGCAATACAGCTACTCACGTAGCTAAAGGGGCCTTCATGTCCTTACTTTCGCTTGCATACATCAGTGAAGAAAGCCCCTGTAGGCGGTCTCCAGGAAAACCCAGCAGGTTGATGATTTTGAGCAGGTTTGGGGGCACCATGGATATGCAAAGGTGAAAAAGGCCATATCCAAAGCTAACAGCACCTTTCAGTCTGTTCAGAGACTCCTCAGACACCCCTTCAGCCACAATGTGATTATCATTTGCAGCATCAGAAGTCAAGGACTCTTCAGTTAGCTTCTTCTGATACAGCTCCTGAAGGGCATTGATGTCCAGATAGCATTTATTGTAAATCTTCCAGGCTTTCCTAAGGATCCACCCACCTTTGATATAAGCTAAAAAGAGAAGGGGAGAAAAGATTCAAAAACATTCAAAATAATTTTTCTATTTCTATAGTAAAGGATACTGAACAGTAACCTGAAAATCAAGCCAAAAATGTAAAAAACATAAAAATTAGTATCTATTGTTGTACCCAGTGTTCTTATAGTGCTTACTTAAATGTCTTATTTCTCATCAGTCTCCCTTCACTACACTGGATGATGACTGGTAAGCATGTGTGTTTCTGCTCATTGTTCTATAAAGCCCTTCATGCAGTACCTAGAGTACGGTATGTAATATACATCGAATGAATGAATGAATCACCTGAATCCAACATCTTTTCACGAGTTCTGTGAAACCCTCCGCTGCATTTCTGAATTACTATACTGCTTTCCTGATAAACTTTTTTATAATCCTTGCATTTGTCTACCCTGTGTTACATTCCTCCTCAAAAGCAAGTTCTTGGCCTAGGTCTAGGTGACCATTAAATTTCTAGCCAAGGTTGGGTGCGGTGGCTCATGCCTGTAATCTCAGCACTTTGGGAGGCCGTGGTGGGCAGATTACTTAAGTCCAGGAGTTTGAGACCAGGCTGAGCAACATGGAGAAATCTCATCTCTATAAAAAATACAAAATTTAGCCAGGTGTGGTAGTGCACACCTGTAGTCCCAGCTACCTGGGAGGCTGAGGTGGGAGGATTCCCTGAGCCTGAGAGGTCAAGGCTGCAGTGAGCCACAACTGTGCCACGGCATGCCAGCCTGGGCAACAGAGTGAGATCCTGTCTCAAAAAAAAAAAAAGAAAGAAAAAAATGTATACCCAAGCACCAAGCATTGCGTCTTGCCAAAAAAAAATAAAATAAGCAGGCAAAAAAGACTAATATTTACTGGGTAAACAAATAGCCAGTTTATTATCAAAAAAGTCATTCATGTTAAATGCAAAATGTAAAGACCTCCCAATTCATGTATATCTGAGGAGTACTGTGTGGCTTAAGCACACCTTATCAGAATTGCTTTATTTGGTTTATGAAACTGGGGTTTATCCACTGCCCCAACCACAGTGAAGTAGCAGTAAAAAAGTTACAGCACAGCAGAAGGTACAAATCTCTTATCTTTAAAGCCACCTCCACTATTTTCTGTTAGGCCAATTTTTCTTAACAGAGCCCTCTTAGGAACACATACCACAAAGACGACTTGAAGTATAAGAGGTAAGACATGGGATTTACCACCTCCCTCCACCACTGGCCCCTGTCAGGACCCTACTGTTGACCACTCCTCCTAGGAATATTTTTACCTTCAGATGAGTAGGAAGGGCTAGGGGAGGTCAACTTACATAGGACTATCTGAGTGCATCATCATCTCATTTTTGAAGAAAGGATTTTCTGTAGGGAATTTTCTGTAAAATAAAGTTCTCTCATAACTATAAGAGAGCTTATCCACTTGGCAATGTTATTAATATGATACCAACTCTGACCCTCATGTACAAATGGACAACATGAACTGTCAGACTTCCAGGCCCTTTAGAACAGTAGGAAAAGAGGTTTTCAGAACGGCATTTTTAAAATTTCAGAAAATATATGAAATAAAATAAAATCTGATTTACAAAAACCCAATCCCGGAATTGAGAGTGATCTAAGAATAGATGTGTAGAAAAGAGTTGATGCAGCAGGCCTGACTGCTATCCTTCAATAGAACTGCTAAAAAGGTTGGCCCTTGGCTGGAATGGAAGCTTGGATTCTGGGAAAGTTCTTACCATTTCCAGGACTGATAAGAGTGGCTCACTGTGTGCACCTAAACTGTCTGCACAAATAATATGATGTACATTGAACACTGATTTTTCTTCTGGGAGTCCGGAATTTGTCTATGTGCCTACATGATCGGCCCCCAATAAAAACTCTGGCATTAAGTCTCTAATGAGATTTCCTGGTTAGTGACATTTCATTTGTGCTGTCGTAACTCGTTGCTGGAGCAAATTAGCACATCCTGTGTGACTCCCTGCAGAGCAAAGCCTTGGAAGCTTGTGCCTGGTCTCCCCTGGACTCCGCCACCCCATGTGCTTTTTCCCTTTGCTGATTTTCCTTTGTATCTAAGGAACACAAACGAACTACAAAACATAATCTAAGCCCTCCAAATATCCACAATAAAATTAGGAAAGAAAACCAATACAAATGAAAAAATAAGACTGCAACGTAATTTAGCTGTAAGAAGTCATAGCTAAAAATATGACTGTAAGATGAGTCTTGAATGTAAGTCATCAAACCTGGAGGTGGTCTTGGGGACCCCCAATCTATGGTATCAAGCTATTATTTTACTTAAATGCATCAATTTTCTGACAAATGATGAACATATCACCCAGGGGATCACATTTAAAAACAACTATCCTACAACTTCTGGGTGATTAATGTCCTATAGTCTACCTCCACTAAAAAGAATGCTATAGGGTAGAATGAACAAGTAAAACAAATTAATCTACAAAGTTTTTTTAGTAACTTTAAAATAATAAAAGTAATACATTTGAAACAATTTCTTTTCATTCGTTCTACTTAACAAGAATATTTACTGTACAAACACCACATTTCAAGCACTGTTCTGGGTGAATCGAAGTGAAATAAGACAGAGATCCTTCCTTTAAGAGGCTCAATGACTTTTTCCCCTCCTAAAGGGAAGCACTGTAGGAAAAGAAAGCCTGGAGAAAACCTTGAAGCTTCTTTTATACTAACAAAGTGGATTTTTAAGTGTCTGGATTGATCCAGCATGTCCACAAACAAGAAAGATGATGCTCAGTTACAATCCAAAAAGCCAAAGGTTTAACAGAAAAGCAGAAAAAAATAGAAACTAGAATATATATTCTTGAGAGCACAGAGGCAATTGGAATCTAATTGAAAACAAATAATCACTGGCTGCAGATTTTAAACAAATCTGTAAAACCCTAAAAATATCGATTGGCTATTGACTGTTTCTATTATGTGCCTGGCACTGTGCTTGCCACCTGAGGAACGCCAAAGAACTATAAAACATTGTCCAATCCCGCCTAATGCCCACAATAAAATTAGAAAAGAAAATAAACAAAGGAAAAAATAAGCATGCAACTTAACATACATATTTAAATGCTCTATTGGGTCACATACAGAAAGAGTGAAAACAAACAACGCTGAGATGATGAGTGAATTGTTCTTTTTTATCTCCTTTTTCTGTCACTAAATAGTTTTCCATGTAGTAAACACATAAATAAATTAGAGAGTGCAAAATAGTTACTGCAGGATTTCGGAAGAACACTTTACTCCTACCCATTCTTAACTGGAAATTTGGAGGGATAAATTTAACTCCATTTTATCCTGTATTTTCCAGGCTACCTCAGCTTTATTAAAGGAAGTGAAGCTTGCACTAAGGGAAAGGGAACACCCCAGGAGAGAGCAGCAGGAATGCCAGTAGGAAGGAGCAGATGGGCGAGCGGCTTGGAGGCAGAGTGAAGCAGGGGACACACCGGGACAAAAGGGTGCAAGCCCAACAGAGGAGTGAACACCTGCTCCCGGAGAAACGGCATCTCTCAACGTGACGTCGAAGGGACCAGGATTATAGACATGAATGCTAACAATTCTGACCTCAGGTGAGGAGCTACAGAAATGGATGGTAGAACTGGAAACAAACGTTAAGAATCCATCCAATCCTGAGTACGTGGAACTAAATCAATAAAACACAACAGAAACCTCCACGGTGAAAACCCCACTCTTCTAGAATAAGAATACAATGAATTCAATCCGTCTTTAATTTTGTGCCTAAGATGGGTGCCAATGTCTGAAGGCACATGTTAAAGTCTATGGTAACAAGCTGTAAGGTCCTTAATTTGAGCCAAGGAAACAGAACCCAACGTTTTTGACTGAGTCAAAGATGATAAACTGATGTATGTCAAAACAAACTTAATGCTCATGTCGAGAGAGGCCATGTTGCTTTTACTACATTCTGCGTCCAACTTGGCACTGAAACAGGTTCTCGGGACTTGCCCTACTCTCCATCCCACACTCTGTAAAGCAAAAATTCCAGCCACAGCCAGGCCAAGCAGGAGGAGGCAGAGGCTGGGGGAGAATGCAGCACCGAGAACAGGACGCTCTGCACTGTGGCTCCTACAGGGGCCGCTCCAGCAGCTCCATGAGAGGACACAGCAGCTGAGTGCATGTCTTCCCAACAAGCAGAGAACACGCTATTTAAGAGCCATACACCCTGCACAGCCTTTCATCTGGCTGCTCTGAAAGGTCAAGTATGAATCATTCAGCTGTCGTTATCGCTGTGTCTGTGGAGGGAGGTGGAGACAGCAGAAAAACCACAGAGCAGGCCGGGCGCGGTGGCTCATGCCTGTAATCCCAGCACTTTTGGAGGCTGAGGCAGGCAGATCACTTGAGGTCAGGAGTTCAAAACCAGCCTGGCCAACATGGTGAAACCCTGTCTCTACTAAAAAATACAAAAAAATTAGCCGGGCTTGGTGGCAGGTGCCTGTAGTTCCAGCTACTCAGGAGGCTGAGGCAGGAGAATAGCATGAAACCAGGAGGTGGAGGTTGTAGTGACCCAAGATTGTGCCACTGCACTCCAGCCTGGGCAACAGACAATCTGTCCCACCTTATGAGGACCAGGCAACAACTAGCTGAGAGATGGAGGGGGCGAGAGGAAACCCTGCCCCATACGGGGACAGAAGTCTTCCCTGGGAAAGGGCAAGAGCTGCTTGCAAAATGGGAATATCAAGTTACATGAAATTGATCTTGGATAAATTTTGTAATTTTTCAGGGGGACTGTATCTGGTGCAAGCATCTATTAAAGCCTGTCTGTCCAACTGTCCCGGAAGGAGGCTGGTTAACCCATGGCAATTCAGGCTTGCCTTTCTTGTGTCTCAAATAATAGAGGTTTTTTTTTTGTTTTTTTTTTTTTTTTTTTGAGACAAGGTCTCACTTGGATTGCTCAGGCTGCAGTGCAGTGGCACTATCTCACCTTACTGCAGCCCCGACCTCCCAAGCTCAGGTGATTCTTCCACCTCAGCCTCCTGAGTAGCTGGGACTACAGGCACACGCCACCAAGCCTGGCTGATTTTTTGTATTTTTAGTAGAGATGGGTTTTGCCATGTTGCCCAGGCTGGTCTCAAACTCCTAGACTCAAGCAATCCACCCACTTCGGCCTCCCAAAGTGCTAGGAGCCACCGTGCACAGGTGTGAGCCACTGTTCCTGGCCCAAGACTTTGAAGGACAAAAGATGATTTAGTTTTCACCAGTCAGCCCACTGCCTCGTTATCTTCAACCTTCACCAACAGACTTTTTTTTTTTTAATTATACTTTAAGTTCTAGCGTACATGTGCACAATGTGCAGGTTTGTTACGTATGTATACATGTGCCATGTTGGTGTGCTGCACCCATTAACTTGTCATTTACATTAGGTATTTCTCTTAATGCCAACCCTCCCCACTCCCCCCACCCCACGACAGGCCCCGGTGTGTGATGTTCCCCACCCTGTGTCCAAGTGTTCTCATTGTTCAATTCTAACCTATAAGTGAGAACATGCGTGTTTAGTTTTCTGTCCTTACAATAGTTTGCTCAGAATGATGGTTTCCAGCTTCATCCATGTCCCTACAAAGGACATGAACTCATCCTTTTTTATGGCTGCATAGTATTCCATGGTGTATATGTGCCACATTTTCTTTATCCAGTCTATCATTGATGGATATTTGGGTTGGTTCCAAGTCTTTGCTATTGTGAATAGTGCCGCAATAAACATACATGTGCATGTGTCTTTATAGCAGCATGATTTATAATCCTCTGGGTATATACCCAGTAATGAGATGGCTAGGTCAAATGGTATTTCTAGTTCTAGATCCCTGAGGAGTCGCCACACTGTCTTCCACAATGGTTGAACTAGTTTACCGTCCCACCAACAGTGTAAAAGTGTTCCTATTTCTCCACATCCTCTCCAGCACCTGTTGTTTCCTGACTTTTTAACGATCACCATTCTAACTTATGTGAGATGGTATCTCATTGTGATTTTGATCTGCATTTCTCTGATGGCCGGTGATGATGAGCATTTTTTCATGTGTCACCAACAGACTTCTAATAGGCTCACTTCTCCAATCCCAATATCTTCCTGAATGGCATTACCTTTCCTCCATTTCCTCCCTTTAATTATGCCTGAGGTTGCAAATTTGTGAATTTTTGCAATCAGATCTTGGCAATGACCTTGAACCGTAGGATATAAATAACTCCCACATGCTTAGCGTTCCAATAATGGAACACTAGGCATGAATGGATTTTAGTATCCACCCACCATGTTCTAGGCAAAAACGTCCTACCAGGTTCTAAGGACACAGAGAAGGAAACGGACCTTCATGCTTTATAAACCTCCTCAGGGATAAGGGATCCTTGATCTTCCCAAAGATTCAGAAACACTTGTTCCCTATTCAACCTCTATAACTAACTTATATGTCTATGGCTGAAGTATCCTGCTGAATTAGAATTTATTTACTTACTTATTTGTTCCTACTGCCAAACCATGAGTTCTCCCAGGGCATGAAGTGCATCTCATTCATCTCAAGACTACCAGCACCTATCATCTCACAGCATGTGGGCACATAGGAAATGCTCAACATATGTGGGGAAGAGGTAAAACAGCAGGTAGATTGCACAGTCCCTGCCCTCAAGGGGTATGTAGCCTAATACTTTAGGCAGACATGTAAATAAATATGAGTATTGCTATGTGATACCTGCAGTAAATGGTGATGTACAGGGTATAAGTAATAGCACAACAAAGGCCAGATTGGCTGGGCATGGTGGCTCACACCTGTAATCCCCACACTTTGGGAGGACAAGGCGGAAGGATTGCTTGAGCCCAGGAGTTCAAGACCTGCCTGGGCAGCATAGTGAGACCCCTATCTCTACAAAAAATTTTTAAAAAATTAGCCAGGTGTGGTGGTACATGCCTGTAGTCCCAGCTACTCAGGAGGCTGAGGCAAGAGGATCACTTGAACCTGGGACCTCAAGGCTGAAGTGAGCTATGATCTCCAGCCTGGATGACAGAGTGAGACCTTGCCTCTTAAAAAAAAAAAGAACCAGGATTGATATGAGGAGGGAATGCTGTACAAAGGAGGAAGGCCTGGGTTGCACTTGATTAAGCATAAGAGAAAGATAAAGGGGGTAGGGGTGTTCCACACTGAGAGGGCAAGGTGAATAAAAGCTCGAGGCAGCAGCGGGTATTCAGGGAGTGTGAGAATCTCAGCTCAGCTAGATGAGGTAGTGGAAGGGCAGGTGGCTGGGAAAGAGGCAGGGTCTTACATGCCCCGCACAAAAGGAATTCAGACCTTCCCTTGCAGGTGAGGCCCACCAGCTAAGTGTTTAAAGCATGGGTTTAAGCAGTTCTGGAAAGATACTCTAGCAGCAATGGAGAGTGTGGCCCAGAGGGAAGCAAGAGGCAGTGTGGCTACTATTCTAGCCCAGGGCTAGTTCCCCAGGGTACAGGGAGCACCTGAGGGAGAAGGTCCCAAGGAACCTGGGTTTCTGGGCCACTTGGAAGGTGATAGCACAAGTAACCAAACTAAGGTGGGAGCACGTGGACAGCACCAGGATTTCAGTTAGAAAATGAGAAAACCATGGCTCAGGCCCTGGTTCTGTCATCACCAACAAGCTGCATAAATCATTCAACTGCAACTGTCTCACCTGTCAAGTAAGGAAAACAATCTCATCTGAGGAAAACTAGAGTATATATGTTGCCAAGAATACAAAGGTGAGAAAGACATGGGCCCTCTCTTCAAATCCAAAAGGAAATAAAGGAAATTTATAATCAAACAAGGTGGCAAGTGCCATAAAATATGTTTTAAAAATAATTTATCACAAAAGTAATATATTCTTGCTGCAATAAAAGACACTTGGATAATAGAGTTAAAAAGATATAAAGTAGTATGGGAAATTAAAGAGATGATGGAGTAATTCATTATAAGGAAGTTTAAATGAGATAAACACAAGCTTTTTTAAAAGTAAGAAGCATTGACCGGGCACGGTGGCCCATGCCTGCAATCCCAGCACTTTGGGAGACCAAGGCGGATGGATCACTTAAGGGCAGGAGTTCGAGACCAGCCTGGCCAACATGGTGAAACCCTGTCTCTACTAAAAATACCAAAAATTAGCCAGGAGTGGTGGCATGCACCTGTAATCCTAGCTACTTGGGAGGCTAACGTACGAGAATCACTTGAACCCGGGAGGCAGTGGTTGTGCTGTGAGCCGAGATTGTGCCACTGCACTCCAGCCTGCATGACAGAGTGAGAAACTGTCTTTAAAAAAAAAAAAAAAGCATGAATCATTAAAAAGTTCACATTGGCTCATCCCTACCAGAGCTCTGGCCTGTGTGTGTGCCCCTGGCCCCTCAGTGCTGCCCCGCTCCAAGGGTGGGGAGGGCCACCCATAACAAACATCTCCAACAAGGAGCTTTGTTTTTTTTTTTTCCCCAAGAAAATTATCCATGTAAAATGTTTTCTAAGAAACATGGATCCCAACAATGAAGTAAACAAATTATTTGTAGCTTAATAACCCACTGGGTGTCTCAAAGGCAAATAGAGCACATTGTTGGTTGTGTTTGTTTGAAACAAATACTGAGCTATTCACAAAGCAAATAACCACTACATAAGTTTATGACAAGCTGAGGCTTTCATGCCTATGAGAATTTCACTTCAATGTCAATATCACATTCAATAAATCATAGGACTTCAGGAAGAAGCAAGAATGCTGTCAAATACTATGATGAACAGGATTAAGTAACAATAATATCAAACTATTAGAAGAATAGGCAAAGGCTGTAAAGATAATTTGTGAAAGAAATATAGTTTATGGATAAAATACAAAAGCATATTCAATCTCACTAATACCCCCCAAAAATGCACACCAGTCTAAACGTTCATGAGGAATTGACTAAATACATTAGGGCATACCCATATGATAAACTAACACACTATTATTTAAAATTATGTTCTGAAAGTAAGTCATAGGGAAAATACCCAAAGTATAATTGAAAAGAAAAAACAAGATACAAAATACTTTAGATTCAATTTTGCAAAAAATTAGAGAAATATAAAGTAGATCATTAATAAAAAGAGATTTTCTCTAAGTGGTGAAATTGGAGATGATGACTTGCTTTCTATCTTTCCAAAATATTCCATACTAATATTTAGTAATTTTACAATCAGAATAATCTTAACTATAAATACTATTATCTGATAATTCTCAGCTTCACGAGGGCAGGGACTAGGCCTGTGTTTGCTTATCTAACTAAGTGCTTAGCACACAGCATGTGCTCTATAATTATTTGTTGAATGGATCAATGATTGAACAAACGAAAGACAGACGTACTCATTTAGAAAGTTCTGGCTGGGCACGGCAGCTCACACCTGTAATGCCAGCACTTTGGGAGGCCGAGGCAGGCAGATCACAAGGTCAGAGTTCAAAACCAGGCCGACCAACATAGTGAAACCCCGCCTCTACTAAAAGTACAAAAAATTAGTTGGGCGTGGTGGTGGGCGCCTGTAATCCCAGCTACTCTGGAGGCTGAGGCAGGAGAATCACTTGAACCTGGGAGGCAGAGGTTGCAGTGAACCAAGATCGCACCACTGCACTCCAACCAAGGAAACACTGCGAGACTCCATTTCAAAAAACAAAAAACAAAAAAGTTCTGATATATTCTCACACTTTAACTTTTATTACATTTGCTTTATCCTCCTCTCTCAACAGGTATTTTCTTTTCTTTTCTTTTCTTTTTAAGTCTCACTCTGTCACCCAGGCTGGAGTGCGGTGGAGTGATCTCAGCTCACTGCAACCCCCACCTCCCATGTTCAAGCGATTCTCCTGCCTCAGCCTCCCAAGTAGCTGGGATTACAGCGACCACCACCACACCCAGCTAATTTTTGTATTTTTAGTAGAGACGGGGTTTCACCATGTTGGCCAGGCTGGTCTCGAACTCCTGATTCAAGTGATCCGCCTGCTTAAGCCTCCTAATGTGCTGGGATTACAAGTGTGAGCCAAGGCACCTGGCCAGATATTTTCTTAATGGTTAAAATTAGCTCCTTATGAGAGTCCCTGAGTGTCAGGAAAAGGAAGTACAAAATCACAGAGCTCTTGTCTTGACCAACAAGGTCCAGATAAGCTCTGGTACTCTTTTATATCTGAGTCAGCAGTGCGCTCCAAATGCGGGATATGACATTACTGCATTATAAAAAATTCACATGAGCTATGAGTTCTTGACCATATAAGTAAGGTATTGTTAGAAGAGTCCTGAGAAGAGGGTTAAGGAGAAAAAGAATTATTGAACCAAAACAAACAGTGAATGTACATCATAGAACATATTTTAAAAGAAAGATCAATTCTTAGAAGTCCAAATTTCAGAGATCAAAATAGAAGTTATATTCCACTTTTGACTTCAGCCAAACAGAAGCCAAGCATCGTTCGTACGAGACAGAGACAAAGAAAGAGCAAGAGAAACAAGAAAAAGGGGGAAAAACCGGCTTCTGATAGGCTAGAAAGAAAAGAGTATGTTATAATTTAAAAGAAATTTATCCTTCTTCATTTAGGGTTTAGGAGAAAATATCTTTCTGACAGTGAATTTTAATTGATTTCCTTTTAGAATTTTCGGTTTTTTCAAGTAAATTCTATCTACCAAAATGGGAAGTTTCTGCTGTCAATATCAGAGACACCCATAACCACATAATTAAAAGAATTAGGTCAATTTTAGACTCAGTCATAGGACAAGTTTTAGAGGCTCACTTGAGTCTATTTCACTCAAGAAATTAAAGCTAAGCCTAGAAAACATTTGTCTTGGACAGACTAATTAAGAAATTAGTTTATATCCCTCACTAAAGTTTGTTAAAATGCAGGTCATTCCAGTATATTAGCAAATCTTTAATGATCTTTAACGATCTCCTAATATACGTGAAACCATTGAAGCCACTCAGGCCTTAATAACAACTTCCTGAAAACCTTAAATTTAAGCCAGTTACATTTCACTTTAAAGGTTATTATCACAACCTGATTCCCACAAAGAAAAACTATTATACATCTACATACATATAAGAGGCAGTAGCAATTTCTGTCAGTATGACAGAATTCTCTTGAGACAAGAGGATGAAACAGACTCTGGCACAAAAACTGCTCCACTAAACACACATTAAACACTTGTGGTTTCAATTTCCCCAGTAATAAATCAGTATCATGCCCCAAAGAGGTGCCACATGTGTTCAAAGACTGAAATATAAGGCATTCTTAAAAAAGCATATTACTAATTGTGTGCACTGAATACTGAAAACCATTAAAAATAATGCTTCAGCATACCTGACAATTCTTGTTTTACAAATGAAAGCACAGCCAGGTAAACCTGGCAGTCAGCTATGATTATCTGCCTCTGAAGCCGATCAACCATAGAGGGGGCGGATTTTCGGACATCAACCTGTTTGGCAGAAAGAATGTCCACACTGATAAATCACACATAACAACGACAGTTCCCCCAAACAGTATCAGGTTATTGTACAAGATAATTTCACATACGAATTGTGAAACCTGGCACTCAAAGCCAAGCCCAAATTTATCCTATGAGCCTGGCAGCTCCAAATTCCCATTAGTCTGACTTTGTTTTGTTTGTTTGAGCACTGTAACTCAAAGACAAAAATATTCTAAGTGATACAAGCTGAATTCATGGGAAATACGAAAAGCAACAAAAAACCTCGGAGTTTCACCTTTTTTAAAAACAAACAATATGAAGTCTTTCTTATCCAGAATAAAAATCATTAAAGGTACAATATATTCCTCAAAGTAGATAACCTGAAAAGTCAACTTTGCAGCCACCTGTCTTCAGGTAGGATAACATTAGGGGCATTCTTTTCGTGCATGCAACTGAGATGTAAGGATCAGAAACTGATTACATTTCCATTAAGGAGAAAATATTCTGGAATTAAAAATTAGCTTTGAATAAATCACAAACTACTTGAAATATAAGTCATATAAATACAAATATGCAAAAAGTCAAATCACTTTTTATAAAATGTTGGTCTTTATCATAATGTTTCTAAAATGAAAAATAGAACACTTCAGAATAGAACACTCTGCATTCTTAGTACAAAGTAAACTTGAATAAAATAAGTTAAATAGCTTTAATATGCTATCACAATGACAGATGAAATAATAGAATTTTTGCAAATATGTCAACAGTATACACAGTAGACAAGCCAGAATGATGTGTTTCCCTTTTTTCTAGATTTTAGCATAATCCATCGTGGTCACTGTTGTTTCAAACCTAGCCCCAGCACTCACTATTCTATTCACTTGGGAAAATGTCAAGATGCTTCTGTTTCCTCGTTTGTCATAAAATCTACTGTGCAGGATTGTTGGGAGGGCTAATGAGATACTGAATGTGAAAATGCTTTTTAAATTGCAAGGACTCATTACAAATCTTAATTATTAACACAGGTGCTAGACATGGTACTGGATACTGATGACAGACATGTAAATAAGCTTTCATTCTAATGACAAAATATAGACCATATTACTATGCACTGTAGAAAGCTCTCTGAAGGGTAAGGACAGGGAACTATGGGAAGCTGTAGGAGACACACTCAACAGGGCATGGAGCCTCAAGCAACAGTCTTTGAGGAAAAGGACACGTAGAAAGAACTAAAGAAGAGTAGGAACCAGGAAACGAGGGAGGAGAATGTTCCAGGCAGAGGAAACGTAAACGCCAAGTCAGCCACATTAAGAAGTCTGTACTTTATTATAATGGCAATGGCTGGTGAGAGGGGCCACCGAAAACCAAGCAAGCAACAAATTTGCATTTTAGTGACTATATTATGGTCAATGAATTAGAGCAGCATTCTCCAACCTTTTTGGCACCAGGGACCAGCTTCACGGAAGACAATTTTTCCATGGACTGGGTTGAGGGGGTGGGAGGAGATGGGTTAATGGTTTCAGGATGAAACTGTTCCACCTCACGTCATCAGGCGTTAGTTAGATTCTCATAAGGAGGGTGCACCCTAGATCCCTTGCATAGACAGTTCATGCTCCTATGACAATCTCATGACACTCTTGATCTGACAGGAGGCGAAGCTCAGGTGGTAATGCTCACCTGCCCTGCAGATCACCTCCTGCCCTGTGGCTTGGTTCCTAACAGCCCATAGACCAGTACGGGTCCATGGCCCAGAGGCTGGGGACCCCTACATTAAAGAACCGTGAGACTGGAGGCAGAAATACCCATGTGTCTTAGACAAGTGGGATAGTGTCTGACCTACAGAGATGGCAGTGAGGATGGAGAGTAGTTGATGAATTCAAGAGGTATTAAGAAAAAGAGTCAACAGCACTTGGTCATTGATTAGACGTTATAAAACGTTGGTCTTTATCATAATGTTTCTAAAATGAAGAATAGAACACTCCAGAATAGAACATTCTGCATTCTTAGTACAAAACAAACTTGAATAAGTTAAATAGCTTTCATATGCTATCACAATGACAGAAGAAATAACAGGATTTTTGCCAATATGTCAACAGTATACACAGCAGACACACCAGAATGATCTGTTTCCCTTTTTTCTAGATTTTAGCATAATCCATCGTGGTCACTGTTGTTCCAAATCTAGCCCCAGCACTCACTATTCTATTCACTTGAGAAAATGTCAAGATGCTTCTGTTTCCTCGTTTGTAATAACATCTACTGTGCAGGATGTGTCAGGCTGGAGAGAGAGGAAGCTAGGAAAACTCTGGCCCTCTGGAGCATCAGGAGGCGGGACACTTGGCCCATCAGTGGCTTTCTCATGGTGGACACCATAAACAAGAGCAGAGGTGAAACACTCTCCTGTGATGCTTCATAGGCAGGGCACGGGCATGCAGGAGCAGAAGACAGGTGGCTTCTGATGACTATATCCAACAGACTGATTTGTCAGTGACGTATGTGAGACCCTTGGGCACTCCAAGTAACATCAGGGCTAGGAGGGTGCCTCTCCATAGCCTAGCACTTTTGCACTGAAATGGTGAGGGCAAAATCAGGAAAACTGGATTCTGATGGTATTATGACTATTTATAACCAAAGGCTGGTGAGGCCTGGGGAAAATTAGGTAAACAGCTGAATTCCAGAATTACACCAAAATGCAATTCTATTATTCATCAACTGCCATCGTATCCTATTTGAATTACATATAGGAAAACCTCATTAAAACAGCCCTTCCCACACGGCCCATTATGGAAGAAGATGATTCTAAGATATCAAAAGGACATGCACTGAATGGCTCTGGATGACTGAAAGCAGCTTCTGTTTTTATAAGAGATAACATTTTATATAACCAAAAACCATAAGAAACATTGTGGTTTTTCAGTCATATTCTAAATACTAAAACCAAGCAAATGGCTTTTGTTCTAAATGAACAAAAGTGATATTCTAAATAAGTGGCACACAGTCCACAACCTAAAGCCGCAATACTTACGTTCTTCTTAATTTTATTCTTGATTGTTTCAATTACTCCAGCCTCTTCACTTTCACACAGTTTTTCTGTGGTTTTTAAGTCATCACATGCCAACTGCATTTTTTCTTCCTCAAATGTCATCATGGCATTCTTCCAAGAAAGAAAGAATGAATGAATGAATGAATTAGTATCTGAAAATTTAAGCCAACTTATTACAAGAAAACTCCAAATTAAAAAAACACTTAAATTATTTATTGCAAGCAAAAGAATCACAATGTTACAGCATAATCTATTCATTCAAAGAAACTGTAATCTCAACATGAAATAAGACTATACCTCTATCACATCATCATGAAAGAAATACGGTAATAAATGTCCTTGCCATTACTGTTCTACAAATTTTGTTGTTGCTGTTATTAAACACAGTAACAAAAATTCTCTATGATTTCTGACTGGTCTGCTCAATTCAGTTTTTACAGTGGCGTCTGATGCAGAAGTTCATTCTACCCACATATGGATCCCTGGCTCCACCAACTACTGCACAGAAATGCTAATGAAACAACAGCTTGTAGGTACACCTGGAAAATCTTCAGTCTTTCCAGGGACTGCAATTCCAGTAGGTTCACTTATAAGGAATTCATTTTATATTGTCTATGTTTAAAAATTCCATGACAGCTTGTTTCCAGGCACCTGATCCTGGTGGACTTTTTCAAGCCACATTTAACGAAGTAGGGGAAATCTACTGAATCTCTGCTGAGCACCTGTGACTTTTACACAGTAGAACTGAGGTTTCTGAGATGAATGGGCTTACAGGGGCAGAGACAGACTTGCTGCGGGATACCTGGTTCTTGGAAGGACCTGATGAACCTACTGTCTCTAACTCCTCATTTCCTATCAAATTCCACCAGCTCCATCTTGGCCTTTCAGGCTTCCTCAGTATGGCTCTAACCTACTTTTCCATTCTAGCCAAACCTCGGCCCAGGCCTCCCTGCCACACTTTTCTTCCCAACCCTCCTCTCAAGCTGCTGAAATCTCAACCCTGCTGTGGCCTTGCTTCTCCTCCTCCTCCACCACCAGACTCAGCCAAGACCCTTTGGTTAGATCTCATTCGCAGCCCTTGTTATCACTTGGGTACTAATGTTACAACCGCCACCCAGTACCATTTTCCTTAGGGTTGGGAATAATGTATTCTTTCAAACAATAGCCGTTAACATTTTTGTTGCATTAACTGGCAATAAGAGGAAATAAATACCTTGAATAAAAACTTCTCACTGGAAGCTGGCGTGGTACCTGTGGTTGAGCACTGCCAGGCTGTGGCATGCCCATTTGCTGACATCTTTCCCAATCTTGGATCTAAATGCTTTCTCTTTTTCAGTCCCTATCATGTCTTTTTTTTTCTTGCTGTTACACAATTCATTAATAGTCTTTTAAAAAAATTATGTGTTTGAAAGTAATTTGTGTGGTTATTACTATTTCCGAAAAATCGAAGTATCCCATTTTCCACATTGCCCAATGTACTTTAAAACTAACTGCAACCTACTTCCTCAATTCCCAAATACTCATATTTGGAAATGTAATACAAACTGACGAATTTTAGCTCTGCTCATTTAACTTGACTTCTAGTCCACATTTACTCAATAATTTCAGAGCAAACCTTTATTACCCAAACCCAGACTTTTTTTCTACCTCGAATGCAGTTTTAATTATTGAAGGTCTTTCCATTACATTTTTATTCTAAAAAGGACTTTGGTTAAAATATAATACCCTATAAATAAGATGTAAGCATTTTATTTTTAAAATTAGGGAAGGCAGATTATTTCATAGGCATTGGGTAATAGGCAAAAACTTTATTTCAGTTTTAAACTCTAAAAGACTTTCTACAATAGTGTATCTATACAACTGGTAGCCACTAACAGACATTACTTTATATAATTGTTTCCTTCATGCCAATAGGTCTTAAGATATCAACTTACCAAAAAACTGACAAAGCTGGCTCCAAAACTCATTAGTGGGCTATGATTTCTGTTAAAAAAACACACACACACACACAAAATACAATTATTTTCACTGTAAAATTTTATTTTAAAAGCATTTGACATATCATGATTACCATATAATCCTTCTAATTGAATAAAAGAAGTTAAGGTCATCAAGCAGATTAAATTACCCTAATAAAGAAGTTAAAGAGGCAAGGTGGTTTATGGCTCTATCTGCCAGGATAGAATTTGCCTCTGATTCTTCAAAGCAAGGCAAACAAAAAGTCAAATTATAACAGACACTGCCTTAGTAAACTTTGTAACTGTGGCTGTTAAAGAGTTGACACAGTAAATATAAAGATAGTAGAAACAGGCCAGGCGCGGTGGCTCACGTCTGTAATCCCAGCACTTTGGGAGGCTGAGGCAGGCAGATTACCTGAGATTAGCAGTTGGAGACCAGCCTAGCCAACATGACAAAACCCCATCTCTACTAAAAATACAAAAGTTAGCAGCAAGTGGTGGCGGGTGTCTGTAATCCCAGCTACTGGGGAGCCTGAGGCAGGGACAATTGCGTGAATCCAAGAGGTGGAGGTTGCACTGAGCCAAGACCACACCACTGCACTCCAGCCTGGGCG
Source organism: Homo sapiens (assembly GCF_000001405.40). Lineage (NCBI taxonomy): Eukaryota > Metazoa > Chordata > Mammalia > Primates > Hominidae > Homo > Homo sapiens. Next base: position 24,063,550 of record NC_000018.10, on the reverse strand, counting down.
AGAGAGTGAGACTCTGTCTCAAAAAAAAAAAAAAAAGGTAGAAACAATCTGACAACTACAAAAACATGGCCAAAGAAAGACAGTTATTATTCATTTTTAAAATAATCTTCTACAGTTACCAGTTAGATCATTTTTAAAATGCAAAACTTGTTACAAATGTTCAACACAGAAAATCAGTATAGTTTCTAGAGTAGATCAAAGGGTCTCTTCACTGAGTCAGACTTCACACACTTACTCATCAATCCCAGAACCTTAGGAATGCCTCGCTAAGAGTCAGCCATTCCCCCCTTGTAATCATCTGATTTTGTTGTAAGGCAAAAATGAAACCAAATCAATACCAATTTAAAGAATAAAAGAATATAAATGTTCTGCTTCAAAATCCAAAATAGTACAAAATCCAGATTTCTATAAATTGCACTAAAAGGAAAAGCTAGTTGTAATTACCTTCTTAAATGAAAATCGTTTTACTGATTTTTTATTATGCAAATACTATATGGTCACTATAAAAAGGGATGAAACAATTTATTCAATCTCTGACTATAAATACAGAATATATGCAAAGTGAGAGTATGTGTGGGTCTACGGGAAAGAGAAGGTGCACACTTACATGTGTGTGACTCTGTGTGTATACACACACATATGCCTAATGGACATCTTGTACATATGTTTTTGCAGGCAAGGCCAAATATATTTTTGGGATAAAATGCTAGAGGTAGTGTTACTGAATTGAAGGGTACACACATTCATTTTTCTCCTGGTACACTGTGTGTGTGTCAGAGAAAGACAGTGTGTGTGAGATCCAGGACTCTATTTTACATTAACCTTCTGTTGCCATTTTCTTTTTCATCTACTTAGTACCTACCTAAATTCTACAGTTAATAATAGTCTGCTTTTCCCATTTAATAGGTTACTTAAACCTACATGAAAAAAAGTGAGGGGGTCAATTCCCTTGTGAGGAATCCCTAACCAGTGCTCACACCCATGAACCTAGATCAAACGGCACACTCCTGTAGCATCTGTCATCCCCACAATCTGCCTCAAAATACACATTAGTTTTTCTCATTCCACAGCACTATATGGGAATAACAGTATGGGCTCCTACCCTACCCTACTATATATCATATCCACCTTACACACATAGCAGGTGTTTCACAAATCCGAGTCAGTGAAGGAAGGGATGACACAGAATTCTGCCTTTCAGGAACAGACACATCTCAATCAAGTGCTGAGTACTGCAGCTTTTCCCTCCTTTTCCCTTTCCCTGCTCAAATATTAGCCACTTTGCCATTTGAAAAATGAAGGAAGCTGAAACTAGGGCCTACTGTTGCCACATCTGCTTCTTATTCTTGGCTAAAATTAGGTTTCTGAGAGCTGCGGCAATTAATTATTCATGGTACCTAACCTGGCCCTTTCGACTTCACCTACCATCTTATCATTTAAGAGGGGGGAAAAGAAACCATAGCAACAACGCAAGGAAACCATTTTCCCTCCTTGAAGAACTGTCTGCATCCCCCACAGCACCCGGGTGCATCGGGCACGTGACAATGCACTGCAGGACGGGCGATCGTCCTCTCAGGCTGCACATCACTTGCTGTTAGAAGAGCTCGACCTAACATGGTTCACTTGGTCCTTGGTTTGTTTTCTTTTTAAACAGAGTCTCACTCTGTCACCCAGGCTGGAGTGCAATTGTGCAATCTTGGCTCACTGCAACATCCGCCTCCCAGGTTCCAGCCATTCTCCTGCCTCAGCCTCCCGAGTAGCTGGGATTACAGGCAGGCACCACCATGCCCAGCTAATTAATTGTATTTTTAATACAGACGGGGTTTCACTATATTGAGCAGGCTGGTCTCGAGCTCCTTCCTCAAGTGATCTGCCCTCCTTGGCCTCCCAAAGTGCTGGGATTACTGGTGTGAGCCACCACACCCAGCCCACGCTTTTTTTTTTTTTTTTTTTTTTTACTTATTTCAAGTGATCCTAAGTTAACTTACTGCATCTGCATCCTAATCAGTTGTGGACCATGCATGTGTCTCTACACAAAATGCATTCATTCCAGAGATCTGGAAATGTTCCCAAAGAGTACGAAGGTCATTGGTTCAAAACCAGTGCTATGGACGGGGAGGAAGAGGCTCCTAGCTCATTTCAATTACTCCTCATATTTGGAACCAACAAAGACCAAACAAGAGGGGAGTGGGAATGCTATGTGAAGGCTGAGTATAAGCATTAGAACCCAAATACAAACCTTTCTAACTACCAAAAGATACACAAAAAATGGAGTGAGTGAAATAAACCATAGTGAAAAACCTATTTTTTTAAAAAAAAAAAAAGAAGACTAAATATTTGCTGATATTGAAAAAACAATGGTAGGATAATCTATAACATTTTTTTCAAAATTGATACCTATAAGGTGAGGGAGGGGAATAGGGAAGAAGAAAAAAGGATGGAAATGAAGCTCCCTTTTATACATCTTGTTTTATAGATTTCATTTTGGAACCATGTAAAAATTATTCACAGTAATACTGAGTTAAATGTTAATAATGCAACCCCTAAAGTCAAAAGAAAGTGACTTAAATGTCCCTAAAAGCAAATCCAGTTGGTAATATAATACCAGAGCAGAACTAGTCCAAGAGACTTTACAACACAGTAATCTGACAGTACATCCCTATTGTGAAATACCCTTAAAAACTGACCCCAAAATGTGGCCAAAAGAAAAATCTTAACTATTTTCGTAATCATATTCTTATTGGACAAATGGGTACTGTTATGCTAAGGCTGCTGGGTCATAGTACGTGAGAAAGCAATCAGTTAAGTATGTCAGTGTTTGTTGGGACCCAGGACTTTGTGCATAGGAAAAAGGATGAAATAAACTTTTAAATCTTATAGTCCAGAATACAAACTGGAAGAATAAAAGCAAACTCACTGAATTTTTTATCTTTAAAAGAATACGGCCAGGCGCAGTGGCTCACGCCTGTAATCCTAGCACTTTGGGAGGCTGAGGCGGGCAGATCACCTGAGGTCAGGAGTTCGAGACCAGCCTGGCTAACATGGTGAAACCCCATCTCTACTAAAAATACAAAAATTAGCTGGGCATGCCTATAATCCCAGCTACCTGGGAGGCTGAGGCAGGAGAATCACTGGAACCTGAGTGGCAGAAGCTGCAGTGAGCCGAGATCGCGCCACTGCACTTCAGCCTGGGCGACAGAGAGAGACTACGTCTCAAAAAAAAAAAAAAAAAAAAAACAGAAACGCAAATCAAAACCACAATAAGGTACCGTCTCACACCAGTCAGAATGGTTATTATTAAAAAGTCAAAAAACAACAGATGCTGGCAAGGTTGTGGAGAAAAAGGAACACTCTTACACTGTTGGTGGGAGTATGAATTAGTTCAACCATTGTGGAAGACAGTGTGGCAATTCCTCAAAGACCTAGAGGCAGAAATACTATTTGATATGGTTTGGCTGTGTCCCCACCCAAATCTCACCTTGAATTGTAGCTCCCATAATTCCCAAGTGTTGTGGGAGGGAGCTGGTGGGAGATAATTGAATCATGGGGGGATGGTAATGAATAAGCCTCATGAGATCTGATTGTTTTATAAGGCATTTCCCCTTTCACCTGGCTCTCATTCTCTCTTTGCCTGCTGCCATGCAGGACATGACTTTGCTCCTCCTCTGCCTTCTGCCGTGATTGTGAGGCCTCCCCAGCCATGTGGAACTATGAGTTAATTAAAACTCTTTCCTTTATAAATTACCCAGTCTCAGTCTCAGGTATATCTTTATCAGCAGCGTGAAAACAAACTAATATACCATTCAACCCAGGAATCCTGTTACTGGGTATATACCCAAAAAACTATAAATTGTTCTAAAGACACATGCACATGTATGTTCACTGCAGCACTATTCACAATAGCAAAGACATGGAATCAACCGAAATGCCCATCAATGATAGACTGAATAAAGAAAATGTGGTATATGTATACCATTGAATACTATGCAACCATAAAAAGGAACAAGATCATGTCCTTTGCAAGGACACAGATAGAGCTGGAGGCCATTATCCTTAGCAAACTCATGCAGGAACAGAAAACCAAACACCGAATGTTCTGACCTATAAGTGGGAGCTAAGTGTTGAGAACATATGGACACATAGAGGGGAACAACAGACACGGAGGCCTACTTGACGATGGAGGGTGGGAGGAGGGAGGGGACTGGAAAAAATAAAAAATTAGTACTAGGCTTAATACCTGGGTGATGAAATAATCTGTACAACAAATCTCCATGACACAAGTTTTTCTATGTAACAAAACTGCACATGTACCTCTGAACTTAAAAGTTTTTTAAAAAATTAAACAAATTTATATGGAAAAGTAAATAATTTAGAATAGCCAAATCAAATCTGAAGAACAGCAACAAAGCTAGATGCTTACTTGAACAGACATCAAGACAATTAAAATTAAGAATTTCTTTTCAGTCATAAGAGATTGGAAAAAGCAAACCACAGACTGGGAGAAGATATTTGCAATACACATATCCAACTAAGAGCTCATCTTCAGGATACATTAAAAACTTCCAGGAATCAGTAAAAGACTGAAAACTTCCTAAAAAGATGGCCAAAATCTTAAATAGGCACTTCACAAATGAGGGTATCCAAAAGTCAGTAAACATATTAAAAAGTGCTGAAAATCATTAGTTATCAGGGAAATCCAAATTAAAACCAAAATGAGATACCACCATACTCATCAGGTTGTCAGGAAGGACTGACAATATCAAGCGTTAGTGAGATGTGGAGCAACTAGTTTTCTCCTACTTCGTTTATCAGTGTCTATTAAATCTAAACGTATGCCTACTCTAGTAACTTTTTTTATTATGAACTTGATAATTTTATTATTTATTCTAATGATTTTTTTTTTGAGACAGAGTCTCACTCTGACACCCAGGCTGCAGTGCAGTGGTCGGCTCACTGCAGCCTCCGCCTCCTGGGTTCAAGTGATTCTTGTGTCTCAGCCTCCCAAGTAGCTGGCACCTCAGGTTCATGCCACCACACCCGGCTAATTTTTGTATTTTTAGTAGAGATGGGGTTTCACCATGTCGACCATGCTGGTCTCAAACGCCAGACTTCAAGTGATCCACCTGCCTCTGCCTCCCAAAATGCTGGGATTACAGGCGTGAGCTATTGCGTCCAGCCTCTAATGAATTTAACAGTGGTTTAATTTTATGCACATATAGTTGTCATTAATTTTTTTAATTTTAGGTTCAGTGGTACATGTAAAGGTTTGCTATATAGGTAAATTGTGTGTCACAGATGTTTGGTGTACAAATGATTTCATCACCCAGGTAATAAGCATAGTACACAATAGGTAGTTTTTCGATCCTCACCCTCTTCCTACCCTCCACCCTCAAGTAGACCCTGCTGTCTGTTGGTCCCTTCTTTGTGTTCAAGTGCACTCAGTGTTTAGCTCCCACTTATAAGTGAGGACATGGAGTATTTGGTTTTCTGTTCCTGCATTGGTTTGCTTACACTAATGGCCTCCAGCCCCATCCATGTTCCTGCAAAGGACATGATCTCATTCTTTTTTATGGCTGCATAGTATTCCACAGTATATGTACCACATTTTCTTTATCCAGTCTCCAACTGATGGATATTTAGGTTGACTCTATGTCTTTGCTATTGTGAATAGTGCTGCAATGAACACACACATGCATGTGCCTTTATGGCAGAACAATTCATATTCATTAGGGTATATACCCAATCATGGGATTACTGGGTAAACCAGTAATTTTCACAACAGAAATGAATGATTATGTTCCCCCAAAAGACACATACACCATGTTAATAGCAGTGTTATTCATACTAGCCACAAAGTGGAAATAATTCAAGCATCCATCACGGTAGAACAGATCTAGTATTACAGCATATTCACTCAACGCAATAACATGAATTAATCTCATAAGCAATAACATTGAGTGAAAGAAGCTAGACACAAAAGAGTATATCCTAGATGAGTCCATGTATATGAAATCCAAAACCACTATTCACTTCTAATGTTCTAGTCTGAACAGTGGCTACCTCTGGGGGAATATCAATTTAAGAAGGAGCCCAAAGGAGGGCACTGCAGTGTTGAAAATGCCTGATAACTTTACCTGGATAGTAGTTACATTGATGTTTACACTGTGAAAGTTCTTTACTGTATGTAAGTTTTTCCTTATGACAAAGAGAAAAATATTAAAAAGAAAAACAATCAGATAAATGATCACTGATGACTATTTGATTATATTAATAAATTAGTATTCTTTTTTTCGGTGTGTAATGGTACTGTGGCTATATTTTAAAGGATTTTCTACTTTTTAGAGGGATGTACGAAAGTAATTACAGATAAAATGAGACATTGACTGGGATTTGTTTCAAAATAATTTGGGGCAAAGAGATTAAAAGGGAACAGAAGATAGATAAAGCAAGACTGGCCCTGACTTGATAATTATTGAAGCTGAGTGACAAGAACATCAGAATTCATTAAATGATTCTATGTACTTTTCAAGATGTATAAAATTTTCCAAAATAAAAAGTTAAAAAACAAGGCCAGGCATGATGGCTCACACCTATAATCCTAGCACTTCCGGAGGCTGAGGCAGGAGGATTGCTTGAGACTAGGAGTTCCAAACCAGCCTGGGCAACATAGTGAGACCCTGTCTCTAAAAAAAAAAATTACAGAACAAACATACATATGTTCTACAAAAGATAAGGTGTCTTTTGGAATCCTTTCATGAGAGGGCCTCTTATGTTCACTGCATTTGCTTTTTTAAAATGAACCATCAGTAATAAAACGGCTCTAAAATTTTCTCTCTGTATGAGTCACAACAGGTAGAAACCTGTTGTGAATGAAAGGAAGCAACTGATCCTCATTCTGATATTCGCCAACATTGCCTTGGAAATTTTTTTAAGGTCTCTCCAATATATTAAAAATTGGACTGATGATGATTTCCTGAAACACAGTGGAAGAGAATGTATATATTTGATTCTCAAAGGAACATTTCTCACTCAGGTAAGCAGGCATCACTACTGTAAAACAGTCCCTCACTGAGTATGTTTCTTTAAATGCAATTTTACTGCCCAAAGTAGTGAATAGCTGGAATTTTTTTGTCTTTCATTTTTCTGAAAATGTTCTAAACTTATTTAATGTTTAGTTCCTAGAATTTTCCAAAATACTTTTCTCCCCTTCAAATGTGTGGGGGGTTTCGACTCCTGGGGATTATAAACGAAGCACGGGGCCACCTGAATCTAATCAGCCCACAGCTGTCATCCACATCTTTCACTGCAGCCCTGAGACCTGAGATCTGAGGGTTGAAGAAAAAACTGCATGTACTCACCCCTGCTGCTCTTAATGGAAGCTCTGCTTTTCTGGGACTCATGCTGTTTAAAAATCACAGACCCAGGGGGCCACTGGAGTTAACTGTGTACAATTAGCAAAAAGGACAACACTGAATGCTTCTCTAATGCCTCAGACCTCGCCTTCAGAAACACAATTTTTGCCAAAAGGATAAGTGATATCCTCTGCTCTGCTTGTTATCATCAAAAATGGGTTTTAAGGAGACAAACTGGTTTGGTATTTCATCTTTCCTTCCGAAAGAAAAGTAAAACAATGCCAAGAAAAGAAAACTACATGCATGAAGCTGTTTGTTGCAACATTATCCAGAACAGAGAAAAACTGGGTTTTAATAGACCATTGGAAAAAAGCTTTATGACAGTGCATTTAGCAACAATTTCTTGGATATGACACCAAAAGCACAGGTAATGAAAGTATATAAATGGAACTACATCAAAATTTAAAACTTCTGTGCCTCACAGAACATAATCAGCAGAGTGAAAAGGCAACCAACCTATGGAACTGGAGAAAATATTTGCAAATCATATATCTGATAAGGGGTTAATATCCAGAATACATAGAGCTCCTACAACTCAGCAACAACAAAAAACGAACAATCTAATTAAAAACTGGGGAAAGAACTTGAATAGACATTTCTCCAAAGAAGATATACAAATGGCTATATAAGCACATGAACAGAAGCTCAACATCACTAATCACTAGGGAAATGCAAATCAAAGCCACAATGAGACACCACCTCACACCCACTAGGATAGCTACTATCAAAAATAAAACAAAATAAGTGTTAGAAAGGATGTGGAGAAACTGGAACCTTTGCATACCGTTGGTGGGAGTATAAGGTGGTGCAGCCACTATGGAAAACTATAGGCAGTTTCTGAAAAAATAGAATTACCATATGATCTAGCAATTCCACTTCTAGGCATATACACAAAAGAATTGAAAGCAGGGACTCAAACAGGTATCTGTACACCCACGTTCATACCAGCATTATTCACAACAGCTAAAAGATGGAAGCAACTCAAGTGCCCATAGACAGATGAATGGATAAACAAAATGTGATATACATACAGTGGAATACCATTCAGCCTTAAAAAAAAGAAAATTCTGATACATGTGGCAAAATGGATGAACCTTGTGGACATAATCCTAAGTGAAACAAGCCAGTCACAAAAAGATTAATACTGTATGATTCCACTTCTATGAAGTACCTATCATAGTCAAATTCATAGAGACAGAAAGCACAACAGTGGTTGTCAGGGGTTGGAGGTAGGGAAAGGAATGGGGAGCCATTCTTTAATGGACACAGAGTTGGAGTTTTGCAAGATGAAAAAGAGTTCTGCAGATTGGCTGCAAAACAATGCATATGTACTTAACATGACTGAACTGTAAACTTGAAAAATGGATAAGATGACACATTTTGTTATGTATATTTTACCACAAATTTAACAAATTAATTGAAAAAACTTTCTATAATAGAATAAATGACTCATAAATAACCAGATGGAATATCATCATGACCTAAAAATGTTTTTTGATAGAATTTAATGTGAAAACAAAAGTTCTGCCTACACTTTTCAACACATGCAGACAACAAAAAATGAAAAAAATTGTTGTGAAGGGCAAGAAGATCAAGGGGGTCTTCTTCAGTGCCAAGTGTGTGTACAGGGGGGAGTTGAACAGTCACGACTGAAACTGCTCTAATCATCATCTCTGTTTTCAAGCTGTCACCACAGATACTTCCTACATTTACACTCCTTTTAGAGAGAAAAATGCATCATTTAAGTTGATTTACTTGTTCTACATCCCTGTGGTTCGGTTGTGGCTTTGATACAATTTTCTCAACGGAATATATCATCCAGCCAACCAAACAGAATAATGGGGCGATTCAATACAAGACAGCCAAATCCTGCTTATGTGGGAATGAGTGATTCACTGAGTGGCAAGCTGAGGCCTCTCAGAGCCCAGCTGTGACCCAGAGCACCCTTAGCACAAGGCTGGCAGTGAACTGAACCCACAAGAAGTAGAGAACAGTCCTCACTTATATGAGGTTACTCCCCAAGACAGTCTTCTGCATTTTTTTCCAAAAACAAATGCGAGTGATTTGAGGATCACTTTTTATATTATCCATATAAGCAGTATAAATAAGATTTTTAATGCATCCCTTTCAAAATTTAAAAAAGGGGAGGAAAAGGCCACTTTTGCTCATTCTCTTATTTAAAAAGTTGTTTTTTCCTTTTTAATTGTGAAATCTCTCTACTTAGCTAACTCCTCCCCCACTGTGCCAAGAAAAATCAAAAAGGGTTTTATAATAAGGAGTCTGATAATCTGATGAGGGCTGACTTAAAAACTAAAAATATGTGCTTTGAACACGTAAAAGTCAGCACTAAATAAAGGCTTGAAATGTCCCAATTTCACAGGAGACCTGATGGTCTGAATGTAGCCCCCACATAGTCTGTACTTGTGGTTCCTGGGCTATCGGCTCATTTTTACTGTTCTATATCTCAAGTTCTCTAACTTGAATACACTGTGGCAACAATCAATGGATAAGATTAATTTATTGCTTCTGCAATGAGCTATGTTTTCCAAATTTGTTGAACTTACTTTGTAACACCATTCAGACACGGGAAACTATTATGGGAGCAACTTGGAGGCCTCAACCTTAATTCAAAGATGTTGCAGCAATCACAGAGAAAGGAATATCTGTTCAGCCAGTGCCACAGAACATAAAAGCTTTTATATCACTCACCAACTAAAGAGAAAGACTTGTCTCTACTCATATTACGACAGGAAGGAAGAACAGTGATGTCTTCAGCACCTTGTTCACGTGGCATTCATTCAATGGTTTATTAAACAGAGCATCTTCTATATGCAGAAAAGGGAAAGGTGTCTTGGAAGTGATAAATGGGAAACTCTACATCAAAGGTCTAAGAAAAGCAACCTATTCCCTCAGACGGTGGCCAAGGAAAATAAAATGGGAAATGGTTTATTCGAAGGGTTTTTCTTGACATGATTCATATTGTTATTAAGAATATTTTTCCAAAGGAAAATGTCTGATTTATTCTGAAAGCATCTTACTTTAAAAGTCCTCTCAATGCTTCCTTTATATATTACAGATAGCATCCTTAGAGATCTCATATATGATTCGACAGCATCTGTGGAATGTCCCTTTTTGAATCCTGCTACAAATCAGATTATAAAATAAAATTCATTACCTGTGATTCTCCTAAAAAGTTAAATCACTTCACAGTAATCCCAGTGGCTCTATCTCATTCATGAGGTCTCCTCCTCCCAACAGGCCTGAGAGACAGGTACAGTCACCCAGGTCCAATTCCATGCCCTGCACACTCCACTGCGCCACATCTTCTAAGGATCCATGATAAATTTCCAATTCTCAATGTTTTCCCATAGTACGTAGCTGACACTGAGCCTGCTCCTGGAAGGATTAAAACATCAACTCCTTCCAAGCCAAATAACTAGGAGGGTGAGTAAGAAATCACACCAAACAAAAACAATAAAATTCGGGATCATCGTCTAATAAATAATTTATAGTTTTCCAGTTTGTTCCTTGGCTCCACCAAAGTTATCTAAGAGAAAACTGTAAATTTTCTTTAAAAAAAGCAATAATTTTTTTTTTAAAGCAAGATATTTAATTTTAAAATCACCCATCTAAGTCATGACTGGATAATATTCCTCAGTTTAAAATGAATAAAAAGTGACCTTTTCTATACTTAGGGCTTTAGGAAAAATTCTAATGAATTTAGTTTTGTTCCACTCACTCATTCAAGACATGTTTGCTGAACACCAAGTACACAGCCGGCCCAGTGCTATGTGCTGGGGACACAAAGATGACCAAGAATACGCCCGCTCTTCAGAGAGCATACACGGTCCAGTTTGGCAACTAGAAAGTCCGAACAGCCCTTCTAATAAACAGTGACGCAAAGTGAGTAAATGGTGTTTACTCTGACTCACGTCATCATCCCTTGTCACCATATTTTTTGTGGACAAATGAGGGCCCCCTAACACCATATTTGATGAAATCTGAAAAAGGCTACTTGCCATCTTTGATCTTCTCTTCTCTAGTATTCTTTTTAAAGATACATGAATATGTCTCCAATCACTCTCTATATTTTAATTCTCTGCAGAGCATTTATTACTATTTGATATTTGTGTCATTATTTGTTTGTTTGAATAAATGGAAGTCCCCAAGAGTGGGGACCCCATCTCTGTTACATGCTGCTGTCCTGACCACCTAGGACAGAATCTGGAGTTTAACAGGTCCCCAGTACATGCCTGTTTAGTGAACCAACCAACCACGTCCTACAAAATTCATACTTCCCATTTCATCTGACGAACTGTCCTCACAGGGTCAAAAAATGACTAGATAGAAGACCTTCATCACCTGAACCTGTAAAACTGCTTTCACCAACAAAAGCACACGTGCTTATTTCCTTTACCAGAAGATAGCTGTGGGGAAATTCACGGAAAGACTTTATTTGCTTTTCAGACATGACTCAAACCATGACCTTTAGGGACCTTTTAATCTAAAGGACGGCATGCCTCTAAAACCACTGACCACCCCAGCCTTTAGTTTATGAGTGTTTGATTCACAAATGTTTGGAATAGGTCCAGTCTTCTGTTCAGACTCGTTTTTATCATGTGCCCACCCTTTTGGGGAGTATGGGAGTCTGTAGCCACCACCAGCTCACCCCAGATGTCCCTGCAGGTCAGGGGCACCTCAGGCCTGGAGGGGTACCTGTCCCCAGACAGCATGGCCCCTGTGTGTACAGCGATGTTTGCATTTACAGCCACTGCAGTTTCTGTTTATTTTTGTTAACTGCTTGTGATATGGCCTTGCATCTTATCAGCAAAAAGACTTCGTAATACGCTGGCTGGTGCTGAGAAGCCATGAAATTCACCAAGATCAGTGAAGCTGTTAGCCTGTAACAGGCAGGGGATGGGAAGACTTTTGGGGCCAGTCGACTCTGGGTTTCCTCCCCACGGAAGGGAAGAATAAGCAGGAGGCTGGACAGTCCATTCCTACAGCCTGAGGTAGTAATTATCTACAGGTAGATCATTAATGAGCCGCTCTCTAAGAGGTACCCTAAAAACAATAATAACCAGGCCCTTGACCCTTACTTCCTACGGACTATTGCTCTGACTGATGCGTTTCTAGCACACACGTACATGAAGAATGCATCTCCTGAGTATGGCAAAATATACTCAGTCATGAAAGTAATTTAAAATACAGACAAGTTCAACAACAAGATGACAAAAACAGAATTGCATTTTTTTTTTTTTTTCCTGAGATGGAGTTTTGCTCTTGTTGCCCAGGCTAGAGTGCAATGGCATGATCTCAGCTCACTGCAACTTTCGCATCCCGGGTTCAAGCAATTCTCCTGCCTCAACCTCCTGAATAGCTGGGATTACAAGGCACCCGCCACCACACCCAGCTAACTGTGTATTTTCAGTAGAGACAGGATTTCACTATGTAGGTCAGGCTGGTCTCGAACTCCTGACCTCAGGTGATCCACCCTCCTCAGCCTCCCAAAGGGCTGGGATTACAGGCATGAGCCACTGTGCCTGGCCCACTTTTTTTTTTTTTTTTTTTTTTTGAGACAGGGTCTTGCTTTGTCACCCAGACTGGAGTACAGTGGTACAATCTCAGCTCACTGCAGCCTTGACCTCCCGGGCTCAAGCCATCCTCCTACCTCCCAAGTAGTTGGGACTACAGGCATGGGTCATCATGCCTGGCTAATTTCTGTATTTTTAGTAGAGACAGGATTCCGTCGTGTTGTCCAAGCTGGCCTTGAACTCCTGACCTCAAGTGATCTGCCTGCCTTGGCCTCCCAAAGTGTTGGGATTACAGGCATGAGCCACTGCACCAGGCCACATTTCACTTTTTAGCCTCTCTCTGGTGTCTAGCAAAGGAAAGGCAAGCAATGCAGGGGTGTCCCTTAGAACCTAGGAGTTTTAAGCAGGACAAATTATGAGAACAATGAGAAAGGAGAAATGGTGAACAGGACAGGGGATACGAGTGCCTGACCAGGCATTGGCGACTGGGGGCTGGCAGCCACAACCCTCTCAGAGCCCCAAATGGTGTCCAGGCACCAGCCAGCCAGGCCTGGGAAGAAGGAGGGGAGAAAAGAGAGAGAAAGCCAAATGAAGGCCAAGGAAAACGGTCAGACCCTGAGTCCTCCATCTTTTAATTGCCAAATGCTTTCTTGAGTTAGGACTACCCAGTCTAATTAATACGACAGACTATTTAGTAAGAGGATATTTAAGAGAGAAAGTAGCAACATAAAAATTAAGTTTGTCTTCAGATAACAATAGGGAAAATAGGAAATGTTTCCATTCCGTGTTTCCATTTATTTCCTTTCCAGTTATTACTTTAATCCTATACATTTCCCAAAACAAAATAAAAATGTTGGGGCTTGGGTGTGAGGGTTCCCGCCTGGGCCACTGACCTCCTGCCTCTCTCCTCAATGGTTCCTGCTCGGCCTCTAGCCTAGGTCCAAAGGGTGCTGGTTCCAGACCACTCTTCCTGGTCCCTCGGGTCGGGCTGGATCCCTCCTCTGGGCTCTCAAGATCCTCAGCCTTCACCCTTCAGAACACAACTCACACCCGCACAGTGCCTACCCAGCACAGGGTTCAGCACCCAGAATGCCCTCAATGGGTACTTGATGAATAAGCAAATGAATGAGTGAATGAGTGAGTGAGGGAACAGCCTGAGAAGCAAATGAACAGAAAACTATCTATGCTGAGCTATTTCAGGTGGCTATGAGATAGGTGAAATTGTTCCCATTTCTTTCCATGTTACAGAGCTGGCTGACTGAGTGAACAAACTCACTAACATAGTGCCTGGCATGTAGTAGGTACAATGTAACTATTTATTGAATGAAGTTAATAAATAATGAATTGGTCTAAATAAACAAAAATCTTTTCCACGCCTACGAAGTTACTCCTGAAAACAGGATTAATATTTGAGTAGTCTCTGGAACATACAAAATGTTTTGAGTGATTTCCTGCCTTTACCGTTGGCTCTCTTTAAAACATTATTTTACAAATATAGTTCTTGAATTGTCCACCTGTAGAATGCTGAAAAGTACTAAAGGTGGCATTATAAAGGCCACTTCTTATAAGAGCTAGGAGTCCTATCATAATTATAAAATTTTCTCTTGAGTTGGCCAACGCGTCTTAAGAACCACATAATCATGTATTGACATATTCATTCCATAACTGTATTGTTAAATTTTACCAATTTAAAAAGTAAATACAGTGTTTCAAAGAATATATTTCTACAATGGAAAATAACAAATCTATTTTTCTACCTACACACTGATTGCCAACCTCAGCCTAAAAATAACTTCTAGTCTTTGAAAAGCCCACTTAAGAAAAACAACCTCAAAACAGCAATCGCTGCTACTTCCTATGAAAACGTTACCTTAAAAGGTAAATATAGCACTTATAATTTTTTAATGAACAGGAGCAGAGTGCACAAAAAGAAAGCAATATTTTCTCAAAGCTATATAAAACTAATTCTATTTCAGAAGAATAGAGATAGGAAAAAAAAAGTTACATGTTTTAACCAAAAATATACATTTATCTCAAATACTTACCATGTCCTTCTTTCAAAATTTCAAATCAGAATAGTAAAGGCCTTTAATTTCCTACTCATACAGGCATAACTGGCCCCTGCCTTCAGGCTATGGGCAGCCTTGCATAAATGCAAAAAAAGGCAGGGCATAAAAACACCTCATTTATTTAAAGAAGTCAGAAATAGGGTATTTAAAATTTAAATTTTAACAAAATCAGTTCATTCTCACGAGTCCTTAACTGCTTATGCAATTATATATTAGTGTCCTATAGTTTATCAAGTATTTCAAAATGGCAAAACTTCATAGCACATTTTGGAAGGCACACACGTGTATGCGTTTTCCAAATTCGCTGGTTTATTAGTCTCACGCAAATTATTAAACTATAAATGCTATTTTTAAATTTCCATTCTAGTAGAGGCACTATTAGACCACAAAAATCATACATATAATAGATAAAACCTACGTATAACAGGCTCTGTTTTAATAACAGAATGCATTTTTGCCATATTAAAGCAACTGTGATTATATTTGAGAAAGCTATACTACAAATAAACATGCCATGTATAAAATAAACATGGCTAAATGAATAAGACAGTGTTCCTTCTTTCATATACTTTTTTAATGTTTAATTTTTAATTTTTATGAGTACATAGGTGTATATATTTATGGGGCACACAAAATGTTTCGATACAGGCATACAATGTGTAATACTCACATCAGGTTCATATATTTTTGTTATCTCCTCTACGGAACTGTCTTCAATACAGAGCTGTTATATTTTATAATGATCTGTTATGACTTCAAATATTAGCAGTAAGAGATACTTCCTTCTTCAAAAGTTTTATTAAAGTATCAAAGTAAGCTATATATAAGTAAAGGTCAGTTTGGTTGGTTTTGCTGTTGTTACAAGCATAGGTTTTCCTCTCTGTATGTCATCTGCTTTCCTGCTACCAAAAAGAAATAAAGGGAGGGAGGAAGGCAGACAGAAAGGGAAGGAAGGAGGAAAAAAGAAAGGGAGGGAGAAAAGGAAAGAAAGAAACACTATACAATAGTCTAAGAATGACATCTTATGATTTTTGAGAAGAAGTGCTATTAAATACACATTAAAGTTGAATAACTGGGTTGTATAACCATAAAACCCCCACAGTTTATGAAGAATTCTGATATTAAGAAATATATATCAATGTTGGCCATGCACGGTGGCTCATGTCTGTAATCCCAGCACCTTGGGAGGCTGAGGCGGGTGGATCACTTGAGGCCAGGAGTTCGAGATCAGCCTGGCCAACATGGTGAAACCCGTTTCTACCAAAAATACAAAAATTAGCCAGATGTGGTGGCAGGCACCTATAATCCCAGCTACTTGGGAGGCTGAGGCAGGAGAATCGCTTGACCCCATGAGGCAGAGGTTGCAGTAAGCGGAGATCGCGCCACTGCACTCCAGCCTGTGTGACCGAGTGAGACTCCATCTCAAAAAAAGAAAAAAAAAGAAATATATATCAATGTAAATGTATATCTTCTTAAGAAACTGCAAACTGTACTAAAGTTCTGAGCAGGGCAGAATATGAATGTCATGCTAACATTCTATGTACTACAGAGCTGATATTTAGGGAAAGTTAAGTATTTCAGTAACAAAAGTCAATTAAATTAAGTGAAACAAAAGTCATTATTTGAAGCAAAAATAAAATACGTTTAAATGTATTTTTTCTGTGGAAGCATGAAAAAAGCATATTGCTTTGCCTATATGCATTCAAATATACAATATAATATTTACAGTGAGTGGTGGGAATGAAAATTGGTGCAAATCTTTTGGAAAGTTCTCTACATTTCAAGAGACTTAAAAATGTTTCTAAGAATCTATCCTAAGAAGAATATAGAAAAAATTTCTATGCAAAAACATTCATAGTAGTATGATATGCAGTATTGAGAAACAAGAATAACTAGAATATTGAGGAATACAGACTGTTAGCCAAATTAAACATATTCACCTAGCAAAATATTATTTTGTAACAAAAAGTCATAACTAAGGTAATGCTTACTCTGGTGTGCTGGAAAAAGCACAGGCTCTAGAAAACGCTACCAAGTTAAAATCTCAAGTTGATCCTGGACTAAATCTATGACTATTAGCAAGATAGACAAACTCTCAACTTGCATTTCCTCATGTGAAAATGTGATGTAATTATACTGCCTTATGTGGATATAATCAGTAAACAAGAAAAGTATCCCAAATGTCTAGTCTGAAGCTCGGCACATACAATAAACTAGTTACTGTATCATGATGATAAATGGAAAAGGCAGGATACAAGTAAGAAGTGTAGTAGGACAAACTATGTAAAAATATTCACAGGCTGGGCACGGTGGCTCATGCCTGTAATCCCAGCACTTTGGGAGGCCAAGGCAGGTGGATCACGAGGTCAGGAGATCAAGACCTTCCTGGCTAACACAGTGAAACCCCATCTCTACTAAAAATACAAAAAATTAGCTGGGTGTGGTGGCGGGCGCCTGTAGTCCCAGCTACTCGGGAGGCTGAGACAGGAGAATGGCGTGAACCCAGGAGGCGGAGCTTGCAGTGAGCAGAGATTGTGCCGTCGCACTCCAGCCTGGGTGACAGAGCAAGTCTCCGTCTCAAAAAAAAAAAAAAAAAAAAAAAAAAAAATATATATATATATATATATATATATATATATATATTTTCACAGAAGGAAGTACCCTAAAATGTTATCTGTAAGTAGTGGGAGTAAAGGGTGATTTTTCTATATATGTATTTTTCTTTCCTTCTACTTTATCAATGAATAAGCATTTATCTTTATAATTTAAAGTTTTTATTTGATCAACATAAGGCATAGTTTTAAAATGTGCACACAGAAGAAGTAATTTAAAACACCAATATATAATTAAATTTCATCTATTTACTTGTACAAAATTTCACAAACATTTTTTGAGCACCTGTGTATGCCAACTCCATTGCAGGCAGTGGAATGAGGCCCTTCCCACGGAGTTTACGTTCCAGAGTAGAAATACAGACAGTGAAAACTATGTATTTCTTGCTAAATCATCAATTCTATAACTAATCATATAAGCACTTTTAAAATGGTATTTTGGGTATTTATTACAGCCTTTCACAAAACAAAACTGAATATGCCATAATATTTTAAGTTATAATTTTATTTTTAAGCCATAGGAAGGCAGTGTGTCAAAGCAGAGCGCCTTATACTTTGCTGTGCACACAAATCCCCCCTGGCCCCCTTGTTACAATGCAGATTCTCACTCAGGTGGGCTGGGGTTGGACACGCTACATGCTTTTTTTTTTTTTTGGAGACAGAGTCTTACTCTGTCACCCAGGCTGGAGTGCAGTGGCATGATCTTGACTCACTGCTACCTCCACCTCCCGGGTTCAGGTAATTCTCCTGCCTCAGCCTCCCAAATAGCTGAGACTACAGGCGTGTGCCACCGTGTCTGGCTAATTTTTGTATTTTTAGTAGAGACAGGGTTTAGCCATGTTGGCCAGGCTGGTCTCAAACTTCCAACCTCATGTGATCTGCCTGCCTTGGCCTCCCAAAGTGCTGGGATTACAGGTGTGAGCCACCGCACCTGGCCCGGAGACTCTACATTCTAACAAGTGCCTAAATGGTGCTGATGCCAATGGTCTCCAAAGCACACTTAGACTAGCAAGGTCTCAGTGGTGCTGTTAGCATTTTTGTTTCTAAACAAGTTAGGTAAGTTAATGATGCTGGCAGACAGAGTTGTGTGAACTAAAATGACATAAATCTTTCCGAAAACAAATATTAGAAGACACTGCTAATATCTTCCTACCTGAAATTAAGAATTCTTGTATTTGCTGAAGGCCTGCTCTGTTAAACTGAATTTAAGATCCTTTCCCCACAGGTACGTCTTCGTTTTCCATTCCAGTGGATGGCCCCTCTTCCTCAGTGGCCTTTGGAGGCTGACGGTCCTGACCTTTCTTTGTTCTCCTGTGTTCCTGCTCTATGTTCTTCCCTTTCCTTGTTCCTGTCACACCAACCTCCACCTTGGTCCTCACCTCTCATGACAGGCTTGCTACACTGAGCCTGCCCAGACTCTGTCCATACTAAACTGCCGCAAAAGCGGTGCACCCTGGAGACACTTCACCATGCCACTGGTCCTTGACCAGCCACCTCTTTGCACTGTGCATCACAGCAAACTAATGCAACTGCCAGGCTCTGAGCCCCTGCAAGCTCCTGGCCTTCGCTAGCATGGCTTCTCACTTCTTCCAAGCAGGTTCTCTGGTCCAGGTCAGCAAATGTGCAAGCCCTTAACCACCCCACATCACTGATCTTTGCCTCGCAGCCTCTGCACATCCACCCCTCTCCTCTTCAGACTCCCGATTCAAATCCTAGAAAGAGTCTGACTTTTTCCATGATGTCCTCTCTGTAACCTGCCCCCGTGCTGTGTACAGAGAAAGAAACCAATGTTCCTGGGTTTGCACTACGGCTCTAACAAAACTGGTTATTAAACACACACACACACACACACACACACACACACACACACAAACATACACAAATGCTCTTTCAGCCAACTGCCATTATAGAAGAGAAGTTTAATTCCCATAGGTGAAAAATCCAATCCGCGGTAGTAAAGAGACTTTTGGCAAGAAGTTAAAATGCTGTCCTGCCTGTGCAATGCTAAATGTTTGAGCTGGTAGGAATTAGAGAAACCCTTTGCAGATGCAAAACTACTTGTTCACTCTTGAGCCTGCTGTGAATGAGCTTAATACCATATCCCTGAGATTTTCTCCATCCCAAGAACTGCCCTGGTGGCAAACCTTCGTCTTCCCATGTGCCTTTGCTCAGGGACTTTATGGATTTAATAGTTAATGGTGCAGTAAGAGACTTCAGTGAGCTCTGAATATGAGATGCTTCATGAAATGTGTGAAAGCTCTGAATGTGGGATAGCAGGAAACACACACTTGCAGCCTCGTGTTGAGCAACTACAGCCCAGGCGGCAGACGAGAAGGGCTTCAAGACACATGTAGGGCGCCCTGCCTCCCATGGGGCATCTGGCCTCAGTGTCTCCAACCTGGTTCATGACCAGAAAACCCTGAGTTGTTCCTATCCCTTTAATTGTATTTTTCTGTTGCCGAATGCTCTAATAACTTGATTCTCTCAATGTTTAATTCCAAGATGGGGAAAGGAGGGGTAGGGAAAAAAGAATGGTGTCACTGATTAGCTTTTTTGTTTTTAGAGATGGGGTCTTGCTCTGTCACCAAGGCTGGAGTGCAGTGGCACAATCATGGCTCACTGCAGCCTTGAAGTCTCCAACTTAAGCAATCCTCCCACCTCAGCCTCCCAAATAGCTGGGACTACAGACACATACCCACCACACCCAGCTCACTGGGTAGTTTTTTTATTTCATTCTTCTTTCAACATATACTGCTTCAACTTAATTTTCAAGCTACTTCTACGAATTACATTATTTTCAACTACTTAGTCTGATTCATTAATGTGTATCTTTCATATATGTATATTATATAATCCTAGCTAGACTCTAAATTTCTTGTGAGTAGGGACCAGATCTTATTTCCCCCACATAGTTTCATTGATTTTATCCCCAAAATGTACTGCTCTGCAGGCACTGAACACAGACATTTTTATGAGAGTCATGGTATCTGCTCTCAAATTGCTCCAGAAACTTCCACAATGCTTCAGTACACAGGAAATGCTCAATAAAGGACTAGCTAATTGAAAAAACCCCGGGACCCTAAATGTCATTAGGCACACCCGTTATTTACACTGCGTAAATATACAGGGTATATTCATTTCTTCTTCTGGAGTCTTTTTACATCTTAAATTGTATCATATCATACACAGGACAGAAAACTATAAGCCCCTGTAAAAACTCTTGGAGAGAGATTTGCCTACGTATAGTATCATTGACCCCTAGACAAAACAATTCCACAACTAGACATACACCCCAGCAATGTTTTGCACATGTGCGTAAAAACGTGTATAAAGATGTTCACTAAAGCAGGGGTTCCCAACCCCTGGGTCGCAGGGTCCATGGCCTGTTAGGAACTGGGCCACACAGCAGGAGGTGAGCAGCAGGCGAGCGAGCATTACCACCTGCGCTCCACCTCCTGTCAGATCAGCAGCAGTATTAGATTCTCCTAAGAACGCGAACCCTACTGTGAACTGTGCACGTGGGGGGTCTAGGTTGTGTATACTTCTTATGAGAATCTAATGCCTGATGATCTGAGGTGGAACAGTTTCATCCCAAAACCATCCCCCGCAATCTCCCACACCCTTAGAAAAACTGTCACCCATGAAACCAGTCCCTGGTGCCAAAAAGGTTGGGGACTGCTTACACTATAGCACTGTTAAGGTCCTAAGAAAATAGAACCCACCTAAATGGTTACCCATAATGCCTAAGTATATCATATATTTATATAACAAAACACTCGATTTAGACATTACAATGATTATAGTTGTTTTATAACATAGATCAACATGGGTCGACTTCAAAACTTAAAAATCGGGTGAAAAATACAAACTGCAAAGGATATTTATCATGCTAATTTGAAAACAGAAACCTATATGTTGTTAACGGTTAAAAATATGCAATGAAAGCATAACATATGGATGGAAAAGACATATACCAGCTTGATGACACTGGTGGCCTATAGAGAGGGAAAGAGAAAAATGTAATCACGCCGGGCTGAAAGGGAAGTTTAACTGTATCTGTAATGTCTTACTTCTCTAAAGATATCAGAAGTGAATATGGCAAATGTTTACAAATGTTAACATTTTTCAAAACATAATTCTGAGTATGAAGGACATCTATATTTGTTTATAATATGCTGCACTTTTGTATATTTAAACTATTTTAAATTGTTAAAAGAAAAATAACATAATGCACCTATTAAAAGTATTAAGAGGCCCAATTTCTCTCCATTATTAAAATAGCTAAAGCAAATCAGGGCAACAGATAAGAGGAAAGCGGTCCCTAAAATATTTCATGATTACTAGCTATTCCTAACCTAATGACAGAGGCCAATATTCCTGAAAGACCATGAACCAGGAAACTTGTTGCATTTTATAATTTGCTTGGTCTCTTAAGGTGGCAAATGACACTCTTGGCCCTTCTCTTACACGGTTAACACGCTGCTGGACTATTGGCTTGTGCTTTCTCTGCTACCCACCCACCCACTAGAGCTCCATCAGACACAAGCTTGCTGCAAGGTGGAGCCCAGAGTTCTCAAAAGCCTCCAGCTTTCTCTTCCTGTGCTAGCGAATCAATGCCAATTATCAAGGGAAAATAACTGAGTTCCTACTATAATGGACTGTATGTGCAAGCTGTTTTAGATGCTATCATTAGCTGTGCTTTTAGCATGGCCAGAAAGTAGGTGGGCTCACTTTGAAGCAACGATAATTTTAACTGATGGCATTAGGGGTCTATGCAGGCATGAATTATGAAATGACATGTAAATCTGATTTTCAGAAGGAAATACTTCCATTCATCTCTTTCTAGTAATCCAACAGACCCTCAGATCCCCTACTTTTTTCCCTGAACTCAATCCACTTCGTTTCACTACTGTAGCTAATGCAAAATTCCACTAACGCCACTTTCATTTTAAACTATCATTGCATAATCCCTCCTACAATCTATATTTTCTCTTTGTAACTGTTTTAGAAATAATCAGTAATTTATAATATAGCCCCCCCAAAAATACAGTACCACCACTTCACACTGATGTCTACACTGGCCCTTGTGTTATCTACACACATGCACACAAAAAGTAACACACAGTGGAAACTCACTTAACCAATCTTCACTCACCTAAATCTCTGGATTAACTAATGTCAGAGAGAGAGCGCGCTAGATGCCCTTCACCTATTGGATACTCAAGCTAGTGGGCTTTTCTCTTTACTAGTTAAGCTGTATGCTTACCGAGAGTCTCTAGTGATTATTTCCAAATGTGATTATTCCTATTGCCCTTGTTATATAAAAATTGTTATATATAAATATATATAGCCTTGTTAAATGGCAACTACATAATTCATTGTTTATTATGTAACTACATGAAATAAGGGTGAGGAAAAACATGACATGTATGAAAAATAAATAAATGCTTTGAAAAGATTCCAAAATGGCAGATGACTTTAAAAGTTACGTTAGGGTTAGGTGAAAGCGAGATAAGTGGAAAAGGCTTGTAAAGCTGAGGGGCATTTACCCAATATTGCTTCACAAATGATTTTAACCTCTTACTCCACTTCAGTGACCCCAATACTGAAAGACACAGAAATATATTATAGATGCGGCTTACGCAAGAAAGTCAAATTAAAAATCCATCACCAAACTCACAAAGCGAAAGCCTCAGCCCCACATCAAAAGTAATAAAATGTTTATTTGACGTTAATCATTTTTAGAATCCCCTGCTTTAACTGACTTCTTAAATTATAATAAATCATCACTAGTGGTCCCAATCACGGTCCCAATCAAGAGGCCTCCGATTACTCCTCCAGCTACTTCAAGTCTTTTTTCAATATTCAGTACTACATACATTTCTTTCCCAAGAGAGTTAAAATAATTGGTGTAACATTTCCCAGTTGATGACAAATTGGTGAAGAAATTATAACATTGCTTAATCCTTCAAATTTGTTCCTCTTCCTGTATTCCCTCTCTTGCTCTGAATGGCCGCACCATCTAACTAGTGACCCCGAACATCCTCAATTCCTCCTCCTTCCTCCCAACCACAACCAAAAATCAAACTGAAACCAAACAGGAGTCCTGCTGAATCTACCTCCTATAACATTTCACACATATTTCCCCTGCTCTCCCCAGACCCCATGTGGGCTATGACAGTCGCTCTCTAACTTGTTTTCTTTCCTCCAGGCTTACTGTGTACAGTGTCCCCAGAATTAGTTTTCTAAAACACAAACCCATGTCACTCCTCTGCTTAAAAACCACCAATGGTGCCAGGCATGGCAGCTCACACCTGTAATCCTAGCACTTTGGGAGGCCGAGGCAAGAGGATCGCTTGAGGCCAGGAGTTTGAGACCAACGTGGGCAACACACTGAGACTCCGTCTCTACAAACAAAACAAGACAAAACAAAAACCTGCCAATGGCTCCTTACCACCCAAGTGGAAAAGGGTAAAATCCATGGTTCTACATAGAACACAGACCCACCTATCATGTGTGTCCACTTCCATCATTCCCTTGAATACACTTCTCTTTGTGCGGCCACAGAACAGTCTGACCCTGACTATAACACATGCCTAGTCTGAGGATGCTGGCTCTGCCCCAGTACCCTGGGAGACTTCCCTGCTCATTCTCAAGGCACCTCCTCTGACACTCCCTCAATTCCCATGGCCCTGGTTTCAAGTCCTGGCTCTGCTAAGTGAAGTGTCCTTGGAAAATAATTATTTCGAGTTGCAGTTTCATCATCTGTAAAGTAGGGGGAAATGACAGTACCCACCTTACAGGTGCATGGGGGGACTGAATGAGGATGCCAGCACAGTTCCTGGCAAACTGGGGGTCCCAAGTAAGTGCTATGTATCTCTGTTTCTATGGTCTGAACTGCGTCCACCAAAAAGTCCTATGTTGAAGCCCTAACCCCTAATTTGACTATATCTGGACACAGGGCTTTTAGGAGGTAACTGAGTTTAAATGAGGTCATAAGGATGGGGTCCTAATCCAGGAGGGTTGGTGGCTTTATAAGAAGGGGAAGGAAGACATCTCACTCTCTCATATGTGCCCCTCACACTCAGAGAAAAGGCCATGTGAGAACATGGCCAGAAAGTAGCTGTCCACAAGCTAGGAAGAGAGACAGCCCTCACCAGATCTCAACCATGCTGGCTCCCTGGTCTCAAACTCCCAGACTCTAGAACTGTGAGAAAACACATTTCTGCTGTTTAAGCCACCCAGCCTTTGGTGTCTTGTTATGGCAGCCTAAGTGGACCAATATGACTGTTTTTATTACTGTTCTCATGATGTGATTCCATTTAAATTATATGCTGTGTGGGCCAGGCATGGTGGTTCATGCCTGTAATCCCAGCACTTTGGGAGG
This sequence comes from Homo sapiens, assembly GCF_000001405.40. NCBI lineage: Eukaryota > Metazoa > Chordata > Mammalia > Primates > Hominidae > Homo > Homo sapiens. The sequence goes on along the minus strand of NC_000018.10, from coordinate 24,038,536 downwards.
CCAAGGCGGACGGATTGCTTGAGCCCAGGAGTTCAAGACTAGCCAGGACAATGTGGTGAGTCCCCGTCTCTACAAAAACTACAAAAATTAGCCGGGCATGGTGGTGCATGCCTGTGGTTCCAGCTACTCGGGAGGCTGAGGTAGGAGGATCACCTGAGCCTGGGAGGTCGAGGCTGCAGTGAACTGTGATTGCACCACTGCACTCCAGCCTGGGCGACTGAGTGAGACTCTGTCTCAAGAATAATAAAAATAAAAATAAATTACATGCTGTGTAGATTGTCCTCATCAGACGGGCACTTCTTTGAGGGCAGGGAGTGGATCTTATTCATCTTTGTCTCCTTTCGGGACCTACCATGATAATTTAAACACAGTCGGCACTTAATTAATGTACAGTTTATATATGAAAATAAAGAGGACTCGACTTTAAACAAACATCACCCTCTGCAGAATTTGGTTTTGAATTATAAGAGGTAAATGGTGCCACTAGATACACATCTGACAACTCAGGGCATAAGGATGCGTAGCATAGCATAGCAAGTGCTGATTTGGGGTTGAATTTCCACTGACCCCAGGCTGAGGCCTCACCTGCAGGGAAGTCTCTGAAGAAACATGTCGCCTGAAAAATGAAAAGAGCTAAAAGATCTTTTCTCCTGACCTGATCCATGGTACCTGCCGTTCACAGTCATACACCAACATAAAATGCCACAGTCTCCTTGTGATCTCCTTGAAGAACCCGAGTTCACAACAGCAACCCTGCCACCAACTACCCTTTACTACTACCTTCCATTTGTACTGAATTTTGCATTTCCAAAGGAACCATATTCCATGTCTAAATGCTAAATTGATAATACCAAAGTGTTGTAGTAACCAGTTAATGCAACACAGAATGTCTAATATATGCAAGCCTTAAAATAAGTGAGAGATATCAATTTGGAGTCTCACCCAACCCTCCTGGTGAGATGGTCTATCTGAGACTCTGCAACGCTACTCTCCAATACGCCAGACAAATGTCCTATCACAAGGAATCCACACATTTGGAGAATGGGGGATAAATAGCACAAATGGTGGGAACCCAGAATAACTCATGTTTAAAGTAAGAATCATTCATACATCATTGACTGAGTACCTACTACATGCCAGACATTAGGGATATAGCAGTGAGCAAAACAGACAAAATTCTTAATCTCAAGGAGCATAGTCCAACTGGGGGAAATATTATGTCAGGGAATACAGGCAGTACTCACTTTACACAATACAGTAAGAGCCTAAAAAGGACCATGCAAGCTGAAACCATACAAACTGATCTTAATAATAAATGGGAACAATCACAAGTGCCCTATGATCTTTTTAAAAACTTCATCAAAACATTAAACCCACAGCTAACATCATATTCAATAGTAAAAGACCAAAAGCTTTTCCTCTAAGATCAGGAAAAAGACAAAAACGCCCACTTTTGCCATTGCTATTCACCATAGCACTAGAAGTCCTAGCCAGAGCAAGTAGTAAAGGAAAAGAAATAAAAAGCATCCCAATTGGAAAGAAAAACAATAAAATTATCTCTGTTTACAGATGACATGATCTTAGATGTAAGAAACCCTAAAAATGGCCAGGCACGGTGGCTCACGTCTGTAATCCCAGCACTTTGGGAGGCCAAGGCGGACAGATGGCTTGAGCCCAGGAGTTTGAAACCAGCCTGGGTAACATGGCAAGACCCCAACTCTACAAAAATATACAAAAATTAGCCAGGTGTAGTGGCACACACCTGTAGCTCCAGCTACTCAGGAGGCTGAGGTGGGACAATCACCTGAGCCTGGGGAGATCAAGACTGCAGTAGACTGTGATCATGCCACTGCACTCCAGCCTGGGCAACAAAGTGAGATCCTGTCTCAAGAAAACAAAAACAGAAACAAAAATATCCCCTAAAAATTCTACAAGGAATGGTTAAAAGAAACAAATTCAGCAAAGTTGCAAGATACGAAATCAACACATAAAAATCAGTTGTATTTCTACACACTAACAATGAATAATTCAAAACATTAAGAAAGTTCCATTTACAATAGCACCAAAAAGAATAAAATACTTAGGAATAAACTTAACCAGCGAGGTGAAAGACTTATACACTGAAAACTATAAAGCAGTGCTGAAAGAAATTAAAGATGAGATCAATAAATGGAAAGATGTTCCATGTTCATGGATTAGGAGACTTAATATTAGCTAATACTACTCAAGTTACCTCTAGATTCAGTGTAATCCCTATCAAAATACCAACGTCTTCTATGCAGAAATAGAAAACTCCATGTTAAAATTCATATGGAATCTCAAGGGACCCC